>NC_000015.10:43901874-44526874 GCF_000001405.40 Homo sapiens
GGGCCTTCCATATCCCTCCTCTCTTCATTTCTACCAAATTACCCATTGCGGGGCCCTAGCTTTGGATTTGTTATTTAGATTGACTTTGCCTCGGTTCCTCTGACATTGATGTGGCACCACAAAATTATGTAGCATGTGATCCAGAGGAGTTTTCAAAGCAGGCATTTTCTCTGATATCTCACTGAAAGTGCCAGCCATGTAAACGTTGAAGGGGGCCTCTGAGCGCAGGCATGGGGGCTCTTGCTCCTGATGCCTTCTAGAGGAGGAAAGGTCATGCAGTCTCCAACCAGGGGGTCTTACCTTACATGGGTGAGGATCCACTCCATATGTTTCCAATGTCTGTGCTTTTCTTAAGAAGTTCAGCTCTGATGTTGCTGGTGTTTGACCACTGGAATAAAGAAGATGAGATGATTTCAAGGTGTCTTGTTCCCACAGGTTCCCCTGAGGTAAACTCTCTATGAAGATGTGCTTAGGATGAGCCACACATCTCAGTTTGTCTAGGGTGTGCTCCCTGCTTGGTTCTAGGACCAACTTCGAGACTCCTGCTAGAGTCTCTGACTGTCTTCAAACGTTTTCAGAGTGAGGCAGGCTACATAATGAATTACTTGGGCTGAGTGTAAACAATGGGGAGTGGTGGGGACTGTGGCAGCACCATCTTAACTCTGAGATTCCCATCACTGAGAATGCAGGGCCCACTACTTGGGAGGCTGAGGTGGGAGGTGGGAGGATTGCTTGAGCCCAGGAGTGCGAGGTTTCAGTGAGCTATGGTCACAGCCCTACACTCCACCCTGAGTGACAGAATGAGACCCTGTCTCAAAAAAAAAAAAAAAAGAATGCAAGGCTTAGCTAGATATTGTGATTTTAAAAGAAAAGTCAGAGATACTGATTTTTATGTGGTATTTCACAATTTAAAATACTATGGGGTAAAACAAAATACATCTGTAGGCTGGAAGCAGGTCATAGGCTTCTCATATGTGATCTGTTCTAGACTGAAATATAAAGAAGGGGCTCATATAGCTTGCTGGTGCCACCCAGCCCTCTTCCTTTGCCAAAAGGAAACACAGGAAATTAGGGTGAGGAGAGGCAGGAGACAGTGCTGAGCTCCCATGCTCCACAACAGCTGTCTGTCCATAGGGTGATGACCAGGAAAATGAAAGATGCTGAAAAAGGCAGAGATCAGCTCCGGCTCCAGGCCATCTGAAGGGGCCTTTGGCATCACCCCTTCCCACTGCCTCTTTAGCAGGTGTGTTGATGGGCTCATTGCAGACCCAGTGGCAGAATAACCATCAGGCTCTTGCCTGGGTCCAGAGCCCTGCAAAGCAGATATACTTCTACAGATACAGGTTTGGCTTCAGTGAGGAGGGGTGGGCAGCTTGTGAAGTCAACATCTCTGATGGCTGGTGGACAGGACTGCACGTTGCTCGTTTCTAAGCTTATCATTTGCCTCAGGTGATATGGCCAGGCAGGAAGATAAGCTGACCCCAGGCCAGATTCCCCCTAGTGTCCCTCTGGAGAGGCATTAGTCAGGCAGCACCTTTATGTGCCAGCCTCTGTGCTACTTGCTGGAAAATATATGAAGAAACACAGTATACAGTCTGTGCTCTCAAAAGCCCATATCACAGTTGCATAAAGGAAGCATGGATGTATTTTTACATTATGAAGACGAGGCAGGACCTATGGAAAAAGTACCTGTGGAAGGGGGTATTGCTGTGAATAAAGACTTCTGCATCCACTAGTGTACCTGAGGCACAGGGAAGGTAAGTTAGGAAAATATCTGTGTGGCAAGCAAAGGGCTGGCTAGAGCACAGCTTCCCTTTCCAGGGAGTGTCCTCTGTCTGCAGGGGGAGTGGGCCCTGTGGGCTCCATTTACCCTTGGAGTTGGCCCAAACCTCCAGGGTCCTCAAAGCGGGCATCATTTCCTGGGGGATCCCCTGCTTTGAACTAGGTTTCTGGAGGGCTGTCCCTACTATTCTGATGTCTCCTAAAGCCCTCCAGGCAGTTCCAGCACATCCCTGATCTCTTTGAAGGAACCATGAGGCCCCTGCCCCCAACACCACAGGCCCGTGTTTATTCTGATTTTTACCACAAGGGGTCGCTATTCCCTAACAGAGTGACTTGAGGAGCCATGGGGTCCTGCACCTGGGAAGGCACACCGAGGGAGAGGGGCGGGAAGCATCTAAGATTCCATTTGTTCGGTGTCGCCATTCCGCTGGGAGGGTCAGGAACCCCTCCTGCCACAAGGCATGGGCAGAGGGGTCTGTTTACAAAGGCTAAGGAGGCTTTGGGTTATATTTGTTGGTAAAATCATTGAGTGAAGGGTTTCTGGGGGGCCTGTGGTCGGGGAAGGAACAAGTTGAAGCTTAGTATTAGCATTAGAAATATCCAGCTCTGCTCCCTGTTGCCAGGCATAGTCTTTCCTCGGAACAGTAGATACACAAACCTTTTAAAATATTTTTTTAAAGCTGTAATGTATTATAATGACAACATAACTTTTTTTTATTTTTAATTTTTTGAGACAGGGTCTCGCTCTGTGGCCCAGGCTGGCATGGAGTGGTGCAATTCCAGCTCACTGCAACCTCCACCTCCCAGGTTCAAGTAATTCTCATGCCTCAGACTCCTGAGTAGCTGGGATACAAGCGTGTGCCACCACATCTGGCTTTTTTATTTATTTACTTTCATTTTTAGTAGAGACAGGGTTTTCGCCATGTTGCCCAGGCTGGTCTCGAACTTCTGACCTCAGGTGATCTGCCCTCCTCCGCCTCCCAAAGTGCTGGGATTACAGGTGTGAGCCACTGCGCTTGGCCAACACTGCATTCTATATCCTTTTTCCTCATAGTTTGTCAGTTTGGGGAATCTGTGCCGTAACCAAATGGAGCCCAAACACCCTATTGTTGCTTTTTAAAATCAGGCTTTGTAGAAAATCCTACTTCATGTGGGTGAAAAGCTGCATTAATGCTGTTTTATGGTATTCAGCATATTCTGGGCAAAGTAAGAGAAGCTGAGAAAGATGAGGCTCCAAACTTGAAGCCACGTCTCCTCCACTTCTCTCTGTGCAAAGTCGGGGACTCCAGGTAGGGTATGGGGGGGGCCTGAGTCAGGCGGGGCTGAGGACATACTTCTGAACCAGAGTGCTCCCAAGGCACCCTCAGCATTTATGAATCAGCCCTGCGCACTCCATCCTCCACTGAGAAGCCACCTGTCACACTGTCACAGACTAAGAGCAGAAGCCTGCCCTTTTTCACATCCTCACTCAACCTCTCCTTTTTTTTTTTTTTTTTTTGAGATGGAGTCTCGCTCTGTCACCCAGGCTAGAGTGCAATGGCGCAACCTCAGCTCACTGCAACCTCTGCCTCCTGGGTTCAAGCGATTCTCCCGCCTCAGCCTCCGGAGTAGTTGGGATTACAGGCACCTGCCATCATGCCTGGCTAATTTTTGTATTTTTAGTAGAGATGGGTTTTCACCATGTTGGCCAGGCTGGTCTTGAACTCCTGGCCTCACGTGATCCACCTGCCTCGACCTCCCAAAGTGCTGGGATTACAGCCGTAAGCCACCGCGCCTGGCCTTTTTCTTTCATCTTTTTTATCTTATGCAATTTCCTTTATCTTTTCCTTTTCCCCAGTTCATGCTTTCCTCTGTATCTTCATTAAATATCATAGTGAGGCAGATGCCTTTCAAAGGCCAATCCCTCTCTGTTTCCCCTATAACACAACTTCTCCCTTGTCTTTAAGCTTCAGGCTAAATCGCTTTTCTTGGAGAGGGAGCCTACAGGGCTTGTGGCTGTGACTTGTGCTGTCAGTGTATCACTGACAATGGTACATCCGCGGTCAGGAAGGCTGGGGAGCATCACTCTGTGTCAGTAAACAGTCTGCGAGAACAGAGGACACGGCGTGGAGCCTGCGTGCTCAGGCTGTGGAGAAGCCACAATGTTCTGGGCCTGATTAAGTGCCACGTACCTCAGTTCCGTCTTGTGAATCTCAGCAATTTTCCTTTCCAGCTTCTCTGAATGTTTAGGGAAAAACTGGAACTTGGAGCTGTAGCCTTCAGGGTGTTTCCCTGAGTCATAATCCCCAATCTCCGCTTTCAAAAGGAAGGTGGAAGAAAACAATTGTGGAGACAGGTAAATCATCATTGACAAAGCAACAAGAGATTAGCACACAGAGCAAAAGCCAAAATACACATCAGATTTATAAGAAACAGTGGATTCTGAGCACGGCTGTGGGCTGGGCAGAGGGCAGGCCCTTCAGGAGCATGTCCACCTTTGTTTTTCCAGGTGCACACACTGGGTTGGCATTCAAGTCTATGCAGAGAGACAGAGAGCTGACCTTGTGTTCTGAGGTCACCACAAGTAAATTTACAATGAAAGAGCAGAGGCCTGCACTATGGTCCTCATCCATTCCGCCATGAGAAGATGGTCTGGGAGCAATGGTCTTTGTGGCAGCACAGGAAGTGGTGAGCTTGATCAGAAAGGGAGATCCTCTTGGGCCTCAGCCAGATCATAAGTCTAAATCCTAGTTTGAGGATGTTAGCAGGGACACAGTAAATTGATGAATGAGCTGCGATCCAAATTCAGAACTCAACCCTCAGTTCAAATCAAATCAAATTAATAAATTTGAATAAATATTCATTAAGGGCTGACCAGGTGCCAGGTTCCTTCGAGAGGCCTACAGAGTGGGAAGCCTGGCTGTAACTAGAAAGTATCGTTGAGTTCAGAAGCATCAAGTTCTTTTTTTTTGTTTGTTTGTTTTTAGACGGAGTCTCACTCTGTAGCCCAGGCTGGAGTGCAGTGGTGCGATCTTGGCTCACTGCAAGCTCCGACTCCTGGGTTCACGCCATTCTCCTGCCTCAGCCTCCCGCGTAGCTGGGACTACAGGCGCCTGCCACCTCGCCCGGCTGATTTTTTGTATTTTTAGTAGAGACGGGGTTTCACCGTGTTAGCCAGGATGGTCTCGATCTCCTGACCTCGTGATCCGCCCGCCTTGGCCTCCCAAAGTGCTGGGATTACAGGCGTGAGCCACCGCACCCGGCCGAGAAGCATCAAGTTCTAAGGCTCATTTCTCAAGTCCCTGCCAGGTGTGAGCCTTTCTCCTCCAGCTATTCAGAGAGAGTTTATCTCTAAACCTGGTAAGATCTCAGGGCAGTAAACTTTAGGAGGGCAGAAGACCCACGGTACTTTCCACACCCAGGTCAGAATCCAGCTTTTTCCACGTGAAGCTCTCCACAGGGAGGATGGTGGGTAGGACAAAAGAAAGAGGAGGGGCCAGCTACTCTGTGGGTGCCCTTTTTCCTTCCCAGGTGAGAGCCACAACCACTTCAGATGTGAAGTCTTGAGGGAGGAGAAATATTAAGAGGAAAAGGTGCCCTCCTCCCATGGCTGAATATTGTACTTGGGACTTGTACTTTTTCACTACAAACCTACTCACTGTATCTTCCAAATTACTTGGGAACTTCTACTGTTAGCAAGAGACCCAAGTCTGAAGTCTGGGGTGACCTTGAGCCTTGCAGTCTTTTTTCTTTTGAGACAGGGTCTCACTGTCATGCACGCTGGAGTGCAGTGGCATGATCATAGCTCACTGTAGCCTCGACCTCCTGGACTGAAGTGATCCGCCCACCTCAGCCTATAGCTGAGACTACAGGTGCACACCCCAGGCCTAGCTTTTTTTTTTTTTTTTGAGACAGAGTCTGGCTCTGTCACCAGGCTGGAGTGCAGTAGCGCGATCTCAGCTCACTGCAGACTCCGCCTCCCAGGTTGAAGCTTCCCAAGTAGCTGGGACTACAGGCATGTGCCACCACGCCCAGCTAATTTTTGTATTTTTAGGAGAGACGGGGTTTCACCATGTTGGCCAGGATGGCTTCGATCTCTTGACCTCATGATCTGCCTGTCTCGGCCTCCCAAAGTTCTGGGGTTACAGGCGTGAGCCACCGTGCCAGGCCTAATTTTTAAATTTTTTGTAGAGATGGGGTTTCACTCTGTTGCCCAGGCTGGTCTCGAACTCCTGGGCTCAAGTGATCTTCCACCTCGGCCTTCCAAAGTGCTGGGATAACAGTTGTGAGCCACTGTGCCTGGCCCAGAGTCATTTATATTGATTTTATTTAGAAAGTTCCAAATGGAAAACATCAATGTTGGACGTCAAGTACTTTTTTGAAGGAAAATGAATGATTGGGTAAAACTGTAGAAAAGACTAGAGTTTAAGACTCGACTTAGGTCAGGCCAGGCTTTCTCTTTAAAAATAAAAGGGGCACTCAGGAGTTCAAGATCAGCCTGGGCAATGTGGTGAAACCCCATCTCTACAAAAAAATTAAAAATTTAGTTGGGTGTGATGGTGCACACTTGTGGTTCCAGCTACTTGGGAGGCTGAGGTGGGAGGATCACTTGAACCCAGGAGGTGGAGGTTGCAGTGAGCCGAGATCACACCACTGCACTCTGGCCTAGGGGACAGAGCCAGATCCTGTCTCAAAAAAAAAAAAAAAAAAAAAATTCAAAGGGGCATCTTTGGGTATCTCCCCATGGACTCTCCATGTAGGTGATTTTAAAAACAGGAGTCTCAGAAGTCAAAGTGGCAATGGGCTGAATTTTACATTCTTAACACAGGCAGCCAGCCGTGGTATTTCTATTGCCAGAAGGACTTTAGTTTCTTATTGGCAAGCAGTTTCCAGGTTCTCTTCACAAAGTTGCTTCCAGGATTTCCAACTAAGAGTTCAAATTCTTTTGGGGAAACTTCATGATTTTAGTGCTGTCGTCCAAAATGATCCAGTAGTAATGGCAGTTTCAGGCCTAGGGACTAAGAGGAATCTAGGAAGCGGCACTTAAGTGTCTCTGCATCTCAGGAGAAGGGGACGTGTGTGAAGAGTGCATATCTCTCCCACTGTTTTGCAAAAAAACCCAGTCTGGGCCTCAGCTGGGTAAGCCTCAACTCTTACTTATTAGCCTGTTAGGAAATGTGCTTGTTACTTGGAAACACTTTCAACTTTGAGCACACTGAACTAAAAGGTCTCTGAAATAGATACTAGAATTCTAAGATGCTTCATATCTTGGAGATTTGCCTGAGAGGATGGGGAAAAAATCAAGTCTGATTACACTCCAGAGTCTCAGGGACTTTATCAACCAGGGGCCCAGGACAAATCCCTAAAACAGAGTCAGAATGACTTTAAGGGGCTGGTAGTAAGATCTCAGGCGCAGTTTAGGGTTGAGTGTTCAGTGTTTTCTGGCTCTAGGAAATCCAAGCAAAATCCTCTAACTTGGCTGGGTGTGGTGGCTCACACCTGTAATACCAGCACTTCGGGAGGCTGAGGCAGGTGGATCACCTGAGGTCAGGGGTTCGAGACCAGCCTGGCCAACACGGTGAAACTCCATCTCTACTAAAAATACAAAAAAAAAATTAGCTGGGCATGGTGGTGGGCGCCCGCAGTCCCAGCTACTCAGGAGGCTGAGACAGAAGAATAGCTTGAACCTGGGGGGCAGAGGTTGCAGTGAGCCGAGATTGCACCACTGCACTCCAGACTAGGCCACAAAGCAAGACTCCATCTCAAAAAAAACAAAACAAAACAAACAAAAAAAACTCTCTAACTTGAACTCTGCTTCAAGTTAGATACTGTTTGTTTGTTTGTTTATGTATTTATTTATTTGGAGATGGAGTCTTGGTCTGTTGCCCAGGCTGGAGTGCAGTGGTGCAATCTCGGCTCACTGCAACCGCCACCTCCTGGGTTCAAGCAATTCTTGCACCTTGGCCTCCCGAGTAGCTGGGACTACAGGTGTGTGCCACCACACTGGCTAACTTTCGTATTTTTAGTAGAGACGGGGTTTCACCATGTTGGCCAGTCTGGTCTCGAACTCCTAACCTCAGGTGATCTGCCCACCTCGGCCTCCCAAAGTGCTAGGACTACAAGCGTGAGCCACAGCACCTGGCCTAGATAATGTTTAGATTCAAGAAGGAGTCATCAGTGCTAACTGAAAATAATGTAATCAGTACTTGGCATGAAAAGCAAACTTATCCTGTCAAAAGTCATTACCTTGAAGGATGTAAGCTGCTAACAAGGCAGCATCCGATGTTTTACAGAGGAGTCGGCCATGGTAGAGATCCCTTTTGATCTGCAGGAAGACTAAATACCTGGAGAGAAAACAGAGAATAAACTATAAAGGATTTCTTTGATTGCTTTAAAGATAGAAATATGTATTGTAAGCCTATCAAAATCTTTGTCAGGATACTTTTACTACATTAAAAAAAAATCCTAAAACATAATGTAGAACAAATACATTCTCCATTTCCCTGGAAACTCTTTCAGGTACTTTGCCCTGAACTGACTTGAGGTTCAGTTAAAAATATGCCAGTTTCCTCCTGTAGCTCAAGTCAGAAATGGCTGTTTCCTGGTAAAAGCATCACCCCACAGTGCTGAGCTTTGGAAGGAGCCAGCCCCAGTCGATCTGGTGCCGAAAAAGAAAACTATGCCATCAGAGACTGGCAAACTGGGCCTCTCTCCGCCTTGGATGCCAGCTGATGTTCCTTCTTAAGTAGAATGGTGGGTGAAGGAACTAGCCCAGGAAGAGTTCAGCCTCAACTTACCAAGAGAATCTGTCCATATGTGGAAACAGCCTGCAGTTACCGAGGTCAACCAGACCTTTGAAATGGAATAAAGTGTAAGAAGAGTGAGCCGAGATTGTGCTACTGCACTCTAGCCTGGGCAATCGGAGAGACCTTGTCTCAAAAAAAAAAAAAAAAAAAAAAAAAAAATTGCAACAAGAGGCACTGGTGAAAGAAGCACACAAATGAAGCAGAAACCTGGGGCCAGCACCTCTTTAAATACAGAAAGCTGTTGCCTCAGGTGGAAGCAGGATATCAAAAACAAGAGCAAATAGTAGCTGACATGTATTGAGCACTTACGATCTGCCAGTCCAGGTGTTACACACTTTACATGCAATAACTTATTTAATTCTCACATGACACTTTGAGATAGGTACTGTTATTATCCCCATTATTACAGATAGAGAAGCTGAGGCTTTAGTGATTTTCTCATGGACGTACAACTAAGTGAAAGAGCCAGGATTCAACTTCAGCACTGTGAGACCCCTAAACTTGGCTCTTCATCACTATGATATTCTGCCCTCCTTGCACTATAAATGCTTTGCAGTTTCACTAGTTGGATGGACCCTGTCACAGTGGAATGGAATTGATGACTTTCCATTTTGAAATGTCTTCACAAGGAGTGTGGTCTTTATTGCTCTTCTTAGAAGACCTGTAAGATTATGAGGAGCATCAGTCCCTTGAGTGGGTCACCTACCATGGTGGCTCCTTGGCCAGGGAGCATCTCTGGTGATTTAAAAATATTTCCACAGATTCTTTGATAATCCTAATTTCATGAGGTAGAGCTTAATTCCTTCTCTGAGTATGGCTTAGACTTGGTGACTCACTTCTATCAATAGAATAAAGCATGAGTGAGTGTCTGACTTCTGAGATCATAAAGTCATTGCAGCTTCCTCCTTGTTCTCTTGCCCTTGGATCACTCATTCTTCTTGAGGTTGCTTCAGCAGTCCTATAGAAAGGTCCATGTGGTGAGGAACTGGGGCCTTTGCCAACAGCCAGCAAGGAACTGAGGCTTTCGGCCAACAGCCATTTGAATGACCCATCATGGAAATGAAGTCCCCACCTCCAGTCAAGCCTGTGGATCACTGCAGCCCCAGCCAACCTCCTGACTGCAACCTCGTGATTGACCCTGAGCCAGAACCACCCAGCTAAGCTGCTCTTGAATTCCTGACCCATAGACACTCTGAGACAATTAAACGCTTGTTATTTTAACTTTTATGGTCCAGCATCCCTAGGGGAGTAATGAAAATGTAGTAAAATTCCTTTAAATTCGAACAGTCTGAACCAAAAAGAAATTGACCCCTCCCTGGACAGTTGGAGGTTTCCATTGTTTCTGTTTTCGGGCTGAAGAATGAAACAGAGGATTCCTTGTCCACTTGATCATGTAAAAATGCTCAACAGGAAGAGGGCTGTTGACAGTGCAACTTCTAGGAGGTGGTAGGAAGGGGTCCTAGCAGGTAACTCTGAGAGGCTTGGGCTTGAAGATTCAAGCAATTAACAAACAGAAATGAGGGAGCAACCAAGCCATCTTCTCTCCTCAGCGCTTGCTACTCAAAGTGTAGCCCACATATCAGGGGTATCAGCATCACTTGAGAGCTTATTGGAGATAAAGAATATAGGCCCATCCTACACTTCCACCTACACCTTTTAACAAGATCCCCAGGTGATTTGTGTATAGATTAAAATTTAAGAAGCTGTCCTAAGAAAATTCAAAAGCCATCTTCTAACCACAGCAGGATGGACTGCCTTCCTCAGACCAAAGGGAAGGTGAGTCTTAGCCTGGAAGTTAATAAGAACCCATCCCCTCACTCCCACCAACCCTACTCTGCCCAAATGTTTGCCAAGAAAAACGAAAGGAAAAAAGACATCATGTAGAGTGAATAATTAAGATGGATCTACCAAATCAAGCTCGTCTTCACTCTGCTTCCCACAGCGAAATGCCACACGGTGTGTGGGAGAGAGTGAGTGAGCACTTCTCTGCCTCTCACTGTTCCAACTCCCACCTTCCACAGGCTTCAGCAGGATGTGGATGCAAACCTTTTGCCCCTTACTCACTGATCACTCCCTGGGCCTGGATTCACGCATCACGTCTTCCATGTTTCTCTGCTTGTCTGTGTCCAAAATTCAGGGACTGTACATATTGGACTAAAGGAGATATTACAAAGGGATAACATGGCTCTGGGCAGTGATTCTCAATGTGGCAGAGAGGGGAACATCTTCCAGGGGGAGCCCGTCAGAATCTGTATGTGTTGGGGGTGCTCCTGTGGTTTGAAATGGCCCCTTTGGGCCGGGCGCGGTGGCTCACGCCTGTAATCCCAGCACTTTGGGAGGTCGAGGTGGGTGGATCACCTGAGGTCAAGAGTTCGAGACCACCATGGCCAACATGGTGAAACCCCATCTCTACTAAAAATACAAAAAAAAAAAAAAAAAATTAGCCAGGCATGGTGGTGTCGGCGTGTAATCCCAATTACTTGGGAGAGGCTGAGGCAGGAGAATTGCTTGAACCCAGGAGGCAGAGGTGGCAGTGCGCCAAGATCGTGCCACTGCACTTCAGCCTGGCTGACGAGAGCAAAACTCCATCTCAAAAAAAAAAAAAAAAGAAAAGAAAAGGCCCCTTTAAAGTTTCTGATTTGCTCCCCTTCTCCTCCCACCCAAGGGAACATGATCCTGCTCACACTGAGAACCACTGTCTTTCCAAGGCATCATTATTGATGGCAGGTAATGGCCTCAGGTGAACTGGAATAGAAACAAGGCTTTCCACTGCTGGGCAGGGTTCCTTTTGATTTCTGGTGATAAAACAGCTGCAGGGAGGTTAAAGGCAAGGCCACAGGGCATTCTCAGGCAATGTCATAAAACTAGATGGGAAGAGGGAAAAGGATACACCAGTATCCTAAAGAAACAAACCATAGTTGAGGGCAAGAGGAGATGAGCTCATGAAAGAATCAACTGACAGCTTCAAGAGAGAGAATGAGCTGCACCAGGGCTCCCCCTCCCTTTCTGCCACAGTGGCTTCCATCGAGCTTTGTGTTTGGTTCATTTAAGAAGATAACCAGTGACTCAATGTTGTTGGTGGAAATATATTCCACATGACTCATAGCATCCTTAGACCTATTCACAAGAGACCCTGGCATGTTCTCCCCTGCCACACAAGGGCCTAAGGAAGACTATCTTGTTGCCTGAGGCACTATCTCCAGGGCCACTGTGTGTTGCCAGGCAAGGGATCAGCCTGCTGGGGCTGCCTAGTGCAGCCCTCCTGAATCTCTGAACCTCAGAACATTTCATAGCCAAGGAAATAGAAGTCCAGAGATGGAGAGTGACTTATCTGAGGTAACACAGCAATCAGAATCCAGGCCTTCTGACTCGGCCCATGGTAATTCACTTAGTTATCAGGTTAGTCCTAATCCAAGTCAGGAGGACCCTTTGTTATCAGAGAGATATTCTCACTGAGACTAAAGGAGAAATGAGCTCTAGACCGGATTTAGGAGAACACGCTTGCTTCTGAGGAAACTGGTTTTTTGTTTTTTAAACTCTGCTGATCTCTTTCTGGCCTCAGAGGGGCTTTACCTCACCTCCATTTTTGTTTGAATGCTAGTGTTGTCCTAAATTGATTGGAGTGTGAATCAGGACAGAATTAGCAAGAGCCTGCAAGATGCCAGGGAAAACCTGAGCTTTTGTGTAACACGAACATCTCTCCAGGGTATTGGCTTTGGCATAATGCTTTCTGATATCAGAGGGTAGAAATGAGTCCACAGGCATTTCCAGAGTTTAAGGCTGTGAACTCTGGAAAGCACTGGAGGCTCCTGGAGAGTTTTTTCCAGAAGATCCTTTGGCCTTACCTTCCCTTCAAATAGATTCTTTGCCACTGGCTTCCCCTATTTACTATTTCCTTTTTCCTGACTATAATTATGTTTAGTACGTCTTCCTCCCCAATATTAGACTGTAAGCTCCTTGAAGTCAGAGACTATGTTTTATTTACTTTTAATATTCTTCTACAGAGCCTAAACATCCTGTGCCTAGCTTATCCATCTATCCATCATCCATCCATCATCCATCCATCCAGTTCTGACACTTACTATATGTGCCAGGCACTGTCACAGGTGCTGGGAATGCAGTAGGGAACAACCTGGAGTCCTGTTAATGGAGCTTACATTCCAATGGGGGAGATGGCAAAATAATAACAAAACAAAATAACAATAAAGACTCACATTTACTGAGTGCATGCTGTGTGCCCTGTTTCATTCAGTCCTCCCAGCAACTCTATGAGGTGACTACCTTTTTTTTTTTTTTTTTTTTTGAGATGGAGTCTTGCTCTGTTGCCAGGCTGGAATGCAGTAGTGCAATCTCGGCTCACCACAACCTCCACCTCCCGGGTTCAAGTGATTCTCCTGCCTCAGCTTCCTGAGTAGCAGGGATTACAGGCACGTGCCACCACGCCTGGCCAATTTTTTGTAGTTTTAGTAGAGACAGGGTTTCACCATTTTGGCCAGGCTGGTCTCAAACTCCTGATCTCAGGTGATCCGCCCACCTCAGCCTCCCAAAGTGCTGGGATTACAGGCGTGAGCCACTGCGCCCAGCCTGTGACTACCATTTTAATCCTTGTTTAATGGATGAAGAGACTGAGTGCTTAGAGATACTGTTCTTGCCTTGTCACAGAGCTAGTTAAAGAACAACCTGGGATTTGAAGCCAGCTCTCTGATTTCTTAGCCCAGGGGTTGGCAAACTACAGCCCACTGCCATAGTTTCCAATGGAATAAAATTTTACTGGAACACAGCCTTGCTCATTCATTTATGTATCGTCTATGGCTGCTTTCACACTACAATGACAGAATTGAGTAGTTGCGACAGAGACCATATGGCCCGACAAGCCAAAAATACTTACTATTTGGCCCTTTACAGAAAAAGTTTGCCAATCCATCTTAGCCTAAGCTAGGCTCAAGCGATGTTCACTGAAGGCACAGTGGCCTGGTGACTCCGTTCGTTCATGTATGTCTTGATTCATCCTGTTAACGTTTTTTGGAGCACCTGTTGTGTGTCAGACATTTTGCTTCCTTGGACGGCGGGGCCCCATTTGCAGTCAGTTTCCTTCTCCTACTTGATCTTTCCAAAGAGTTCATACACCTGCAATCCCTGTTAAAAGCCAAATCTGGTACCTGAATTTCCCATTTTCTTTGCCTTGTCTCTAGCCTAGACAAGAAAATCTGTTTATTACTTTAAAAATGACAAAAGAAATTAATCAGGATTTGGCAACTAAATTTATCATCTGGGAAGAAGCCAAGAGATAAACTGAAGCAAGTTCTGTACTCCCTACTTCACCCCCTTCTCTCAGCCTGGCTTTATGGGAATGGCTGAGACAGCAGTGAAATTTAGGACCAATATTGCCTGGAAAAAACACACTGACAGCTAAATTAGTTTGGCAGCAAGGTGGGATGGAGGGCTCTAAGCCAGGGATGAATTACGGATGTTGAGTGAGGCTGGGCCCGGTATCTCCTCTCTTAAGATCAGTAGGGATGTGAATGAGGAGAAAAATGCAGCTAATTCCACAGGCTCACAGAATGCCCCAGGGAGGGGGAGGCACAAAGACTGCAAAGCAGGCCCAGGCACCGGTGGTTCACACTCCTGACAATGCTGGAAAACTGCATACTAGGTAAAGAACGCTGGTGAGGTTGAGAGAGAGGGGAAAATTGCCCAAGATGGTTAGCACAAATGCATGCAGACCGAGAGGAGCTCCTTCTCTTGCCAGTGTCCTTGAAGTCTGCTGACTTGGTGAGAGGCCTGGCCATGGTCCTAATGCTGTGCTTACCAGGACTTGGATGACTACCTGGGATAGCTTTCTCTCTCAGGAAACAGAAGTTAGCTGCTTAAGTTTTAGGATTCTAGCTGGTGGGGAAAGGGGACAGAGGAGGAGTGGAGATTATTAGAAAAGAAGTACCTTTCACATAAACAAGGAAGAAAAGCCAGTACTAACTGTACTTGTGCATGATGCAGAGCCCCTGGGGCCTACGGACTGTGTAATGAATCTGGCAACGAAATATTGAGACTTTGCTCAGTGCAAGGCTCACTGTGGGTGTATTAAGAAGTGTAAGAGGCCGGGATAGTGGTTAATCTTCCCGACAATTCTATGAGGTAGATATCACTATCCCCATTTTATAAATGAGTAATCTAAGGTTAGAGAGGTTAAGTATCTTATTTCCAAGTTAAGTATCTTATTTGGCTGTATACAGCCAACAAGTAACATAAGTAAGATCTGAGCTCCCAGGTCTATGCTGCTTCTTGGGTAGGAAGGTCTGTCCATTCATGTAAGATAGTGACACTGGATTTACAAAATTGTATTTTTTTTTTTTTTTTGAGACAGAGTTTCACCCTTGTTGCCCAGGCTGGAGTGCAATGGCGTGATCTTGGCTCACTGCAACCTCTGCCTCCTGGGTTCAAGCGATTCTCCTGTCTCAGCCTCCCGAGAAGCAGGGATTAAAGGTGTGCACCACCACACCCGGCTAATATTTTGTCTTTTTAGTAGAGACGGGGTTTCACCATGTTGGTCAGGCTGGTCTCAAACTCCTGACCTCAGATGATCCACCCACCTCACCCTCCCAAAGTGCTGGGATGACAGGCGTGAGCCACCACGCCTGGCGGAAAATTGTATTATTAAGAGCTCTTCCTAAGGGCCAAGATAACCATACATTTCCAGTCCTTTAATCAAATTGGAAAGCCATGTGTCTGTGGTGCTCTCACTGGCTGCTCCCTCTCATCCCCACTGTTGGTCCAGTGAGGTGGACAACAAAGACGTGTTAGGTTTGCTCCGATATGTAGACAGGAGTACCAACTTTGGGGTCTGCCCTGGCACCAGTACCTCTTTTAGCAGAGACAGACAGAAGTTCAGAGCTAAGGCAAACACTCTGGAGATCATGAGTGGGGCAGGCTAGTGGTATTTTAACAAAACTCTTGAAAAAAATTTTTTTTTGAGACAGAGTCTCACTGTGTCACTCAGGCTGGAGTGTAATGCCGCAATCTTGGCTTACTGCAACCTCCACCTCACGGGTTCAAGTGATTCTCCTGCCTCAGCCTCCCGAGTAGCTGGGATTACAGGCGTGATGGCCCGGCTAATTTTTGTATTTTTAGTAGAGATGGGGCTTCACCAAGTTGGCGAGACTGGTCTCGAACTCCTGACTTCAGGTGATCCGCCCGCCTCAGCCTCCCAAAGTTCTGGGATTACAGGCGTGAGCCACCACACCTGGCCTGAAATTTTAAACATAGTGGTTCTACCCTTACTCACCTACCTAAAGCCTTAGGGTGTCTATGATTTGGATGGATTTGGTTTTCTGAAGCAAAGCAAGAGCCACCTCCACTTCCACATAGATGAGCAGAGCCTGGGGCTTCTATGCCTAGTAAGAGACATGAGATTTGGTTCTAGCTACACTCTTCACTGTCTTCAGTGCTTCAAAGTAGGTGGGTACACGCTGCCCTATGCATCTGCAGGAAACAAGCCTTCCTGAAGAGGATCTCCCTCAACTCCCATGTGAAGGGCCCATGCCGAAGAAGCCACTTTTCTCCCCTGTCCCACTTCCTTGTTGCCTTTGTACTGATAATGCCTGCTTCTTGGCCCCCTCCTCTCCCCATTTCCTGATTTCCTCTCTTAGAGAAATTTTTGCTCCTTTCACCTGGCATGCTCTTTAGATCAGGAAATGAAAATAATTCTGGCCGGGCACGGTGGCTCATGCCTGTAATCCCAGCACTTTGGGAGGCTGAGGCAGGCGGGTCACGAGCTCAGGAGTTCGAGACCAGCCTGGTTAACATGGTGAAACCCCGTCTCTACTAAAAATACAAAAATTAGCCAGCCGTGGTGGCAGGCGCCCGTAATCCCAGTTAGTCAGGAGGCTGAGGCAGGAGAATCGCTTGAAACCAGAAGGTGGAGGTTGCAGTGAGCTGAGATCGCGCCACTGCACTCCAGCCTGGGCAACAAGAGCGAAACTCTGTCTCAAAAAAGAAAAGAATTCCATATTCTTTCCTCCTTCTTCCCTCCTCCTTTTCTGTCTTTGGAATTTTCCCAAGCAGTTAAGGATCTAGGAGTGGATCTCAAAGCCTTACAGGATAACCCGTCTATATGGCTGGCAATATCCTCATTCCCACCTTTGCTGTCTCCACGGTCTTAGGGAAGGGGTTAGAGCTGACAGTCCTATCTCTTCCTCAGCTCTAGGATTCCCTGGCATCACATCCTTACCTATGGTCCTGCCTTCTACAAAGTAACATCAAGGTTTTGCTTATGTCAAAATTAGGTCTTTCTAATATAAAAATTAGGGATCCATGTTGTAGAGTTCTTGAATCTCTGAGGTGAGACTTTCACAGTAAATTTCGCTCAGATACACAAAATCCTGGGGAAGCTTTGAAGCTCTCACTCACTGACCCTCTTTTAGGATGGCTGTGGGCACAGAGGTTCTTTTCATCCTCAAGTGGCGCTGGATGAGACAGGATGCATTCCACGCAGCTGTCGGCCTGCCACAGAACATGATCCCCACAATAGTTTATCACGAACCTGATCCAACAGCACCACAGAGTTTATCCATTTTGATTTTAAATCTTCAGTATCTCCCAGCTTATCTTTCAGTGTTATGCCTTTGGCATTTTCCAAGTATATCCATTAGACCACTTGAATCTATTTGCAACCTCCGAAATAAGCAGCAACATAGCTCTCTCCAAAAATGTCCACAGTGGCAACATCATAGGTAAAAGAAAAGACGCTTCTGATTAGTTACTCCAGAGCCCTTTGAGAGTGACCAGTTCAAGAGGTAGTATTCACACTTCTTGAAGGAAAGAAGTCCACTCTGTTGCGACTGCACTGAGGGGTACGCGAAGAAAGCATGTGGAAATGAAATACAGAAGTCATTATATTTAGGAAGAGTTCCTTGCCTCTAAGAGTTAGGCGCTTCCAAATGAGAGGCTCTAAGAGGTCACCATCCCCCTTTCCTATGCTCTCCAACAGGTCCTAATGGCTGCGGGAAGCATGTTCACCTCACCTGGTTATTTCTTCTTTCAGAGCAGCAGGGTCTGCAGGATAAAACTTCACACGGAAGCACATGGTGAATGGAGGCTGGGCTGCAGAGAAAAAGAGGTGCTCATCAGGGAAGACTCTCACCCAGAAGAGGACAGGGCTCTTCTGCCCACTAGCATGAAGCAGCAGAAGAGAACCCTCATATATTTAGGGCCAACTTATACTCAGAACAGTGGGAAATTATATATGTAGATCAAAACTTGAGATAAGTGGGAGGTTTCGTCCCACCCTCCCCAGGGGTGTGGCTTGAGTCTTTTCATGGAGAATACTTACATCTCAATTGTTTCACCACAGACTTTGTAAATTCCAGCCAATGCTGAAACAGAGAACACAGAACATGAAAACCCTAATGAGAAGGGCTGTAAAATATAACTTGTTTTCTCCAACTTAAAAAACTAGACAGATTGTAGCCTAGGGTGAAAGCAGCCCAAAAGCTTATGAAAGATAAGTTTGGTGAGTAAAGAGTGATATGATTTTCTGAAATGAGCTCCCATGGAGCCAGCTGTGAAGGGGGGAATAGTTCCAGCTTCAGATGCCATTTATGGGCTTCCCTGGAAATGCTGTCTTCTAAAGCAGGGTGCCAAAATTCTGAGCCATGTTTTTGGCATGCGATTAAGGCACAAGCGACTGCATGTATGTGTGGCGGGGACAGAGCCCCACCTGGGTTGAGTCGGGAAATACTGACTTTAATGGGTGGTGTGTGTTTCTGTTATGCACCAGCTTTTTTTTTCTTCTTTTTTTGGCAGGGGAGTGGGAATAGAAGATTTTGGTAGCAACTCTAGAAAGTAGTGAGAAGTGGAAATTTCCTAAGTCAGGGATGGCTGGTATATATTCCATCTTTCTTTGAGTAACATAAATTGCCAACCCTTGTGTTAGAAAACACATACTCAGGATTCCTTGGCATCCAGTGATGTTTTAAAATCTAAATCTCAAATGATAACTAACCACAACCAACGTGTAGGATAGTACCTTCTTCCCCTTGGATTTTTCAAGGAGGCAGGACATAGAGGCAGAATACATTTTCCCATGGTACTTAACGTCTGGGGGAAGCAATGAAACCATTCTATATGTGTTCCTTAATTCTACATGGGTCCTTTATAAATTTTATTATTGATGTTTGTTGCTTTTTGCTAATCAAGATTAGGTAGGACTGCTATTAATTGGAGTTTGATTATCCAGAGGTAGCTTAACATTGCCAGATGTAAGCTCCATGAAGGCCCAGAACTGTCAGTCTCGTTTACCACTGTATCACCAGTGCCTAGCACAGTGTTCAATAGGTAGCTGCTGAATGGCAAAGGGACTGGGCCCATACTTCCTTCTTTTCTGGCTACTTCAATTTAGTGTAATGTCTTGGCAGAGTCCTCCCTCTGGCAGGAGAGCAGCCAGGGCGCTGCAGTCAGCATCCTGGCCTCCCTTGATTCCCAGTGATCACCTTCTGGGCTGGGCCATGGGTCATGCAGTTAATGGACCCACTAAGAGCCAGTTCTTCTGTCAGCTCCACATGGATAATCTGGACTGACATTCTGCTCTCCTGCTTCTGCTGATCTGAGTTCCCACGAGGCTGGCAACTCATTATAGCCACTCAATGTGGTTAAGAGGCCCTTCTCACATTACACGGCCCACCGCGGCTCAGCTTCACAGGGAGGCAAAGGCAAGAGATGAAATTGCTCAGAAACAACTGGGGTTCCAGGGTATGCCTGTGAAGACGGAGGAGGCCTATCTGTTCAGAGCACACTGGAATTGTGGACAGTGAGGAGAACATAGCCAGTGCCAGGGATTCAGTACACAGAACAGCAACACCCCCAGACATTAGACTGATAGATTAAAAGAAATAAACAAAGGAAGGTAGAAATTAATGACTGTGAGATGCATTATCAGCAGAGGGCAGATAAAGCTGAATGACAAAAGCCTATTCCCCTTGACAATAGCTAGAAAGAAGATTTTAGTTTTATTGTAGTGAGAGCTCAAGAAAGGACTGAGGCTGGAGGATAGTAGCAAGGGGTGAGAAGGGACTGAAGAGCTGTCACAGCTGATCCATGGGATTTGGAGTCTGGCAGAGAAATCTTGAGAGGAACCCAAGAATATGGTGATGGCCAGAGTGGCTTTTTGCAAATGCCTGACCAAATCGGTCCCAGATTCACTAGCAAACAGACAACATGGGCTTAGGGAGGAGGGATTAAAAGAAGAGGAAAAGAAGATTCAGAGAGGAGGGTTTCCTCCCCTATCTGAGTGAATGGGCCAATGTGGCACAATCTTCAGACTCTAGGGGCTTGAAAGGGTACAAAGCAGAGGCCAAGAGAAGGTGGAGGCCCTGGGCCCGAGTCAGGCATCCTGGGGAAGGAAAGTAAGGGCAGCTCCTCCAGGAGAGACCAGGAGAGCTTGCAGATGCATGGAGGCTCCTGCAGAGCAAGGACTGACATCGGATGGATGTAAGTGCTGGGTTCAGACTGTCTTGAGACCCAGGGAAAGAGGTTTATTTTAGGCCCTTACACCCTGAGGGAGCAGGGGAGCTCAGCTCCTCCATCCCTACCATGAATCAGTGGACTAAGGACAACTCTCTACAGGTCCCCATTTCCCTACAACCCTCAGTTACTGTCTCAAGCCTCTCTGCTCTCCTTAACCCCTCCCGCAAGGCACAGAATTACACAACTTTCAGAGGCTATCAGTTATACATTCAGCATGGAATCTCAGAAACCACACTGGCCCTGGAGTCAAACAGGTCTGAGCTCGAGGCTGGCTTTGCCACTGACCTGGGGCAAGTTACTTAACTTGTCTGAGACTTTATTTACTCATCTGGATAACAGATATTATCATTAGGGATACTCATCTCATTTTGTTAAGGATGAGATGGAATAACATACGTGAAGCTCTTAGCTTAGTGCCTGGCACGACTCAGTGAGCAGTATACATCAGCTGGAAGAATTAGGTTTGTGTGCAGCGCAGAGCCTGGCAAGCAGTAGGAACTCCATAAATGTTTACTTCTCCTCTTTCCCATGTTCTTATCTCTCTCTAGTTCCTTCTCATTTTAACCTTCACCACATCCACATATTCTCTTACTCTCCTCAAGCACATTCTGACCTAACTAAAAAACCAATGAACAGGATACAATTCGCCTTTTTTTCTTCATATACCACCACTCTAGGGGATGAAGAGATCTTGGAGTAACTGGCCCTCCTTTTTTTTTTTTTTTTTTAAAGACAAGAGTCTTGCTCTGTCTCCCAGGCTGGAGTGCAGTGGTGTGATCTTGGCTCACTGCAACCTCCACCTCCCGGGTTCGAGTGATTCTCATGTCTCAGCCTCCCAAGTAGCTGGGACTACAGGCACATGCCACCATTTCCGCGAATTTTTGTATTTTTAGTGGAGACGGGGTTTTGCCATGTTGCCCAGGCTGGTCATGAACTCCTGGGCTGAAACAATCCGCCTGCCTTAGCCTCCCAAAGTGCTGGGATTACAGGCATGAGCCAGTGCACACAGCCAGCCTTCCTTTTTAAGGATAAAAGTTTGGACCAAACAAAGAAACACCATCATTACCTCTCTACTTTGGTGGGGATGCCAGAGAGTACATCTCCACAAAGAGCAAAGGGTAGATGAAGGGAAGTTATAGAAACTGCAGGTGTCTGCAAGCTGGGAGGCTGGGCAAATGGACGTAAGAAATACAACACTATAAGCCATTAACTCACTCATGCATTCATTTCTTCAGAAAATATTTATTGAACACCAACTACATTGTAGGCCTGTGCTAGTTAAATGGGAGATAGTGATGAATGAGACAAAGTCCAGGCCCTCATGGAACTTACATTTTTGCAGGGAACACAGGTAATCACAGAATGATGTAATAAGTGCTATAACAGGGTAGCAGAGGGCACATGGGGGCCCATAGGAGGATCCCTAATACAGAGTGGGGTTAGGGGAGATTTCCCAGAGGAAGTAAAAGTCTAAGCTGAGACCTTAAGTGTGAAAAGGAGTTAGCTGGAAGAAGGGTGTGGAGTGTGGAGCGGTAAGGAAAAGGAGAAGATTCTAGGCAGGGGAACTCTATAGGTGAAGGCTCTGTAAAGAAAGAAGGTATGATGTATCTGGAGGGCAAAAGTATTACTGTCTGGCGGGACCACAGCAGGTTGGGGAGATGAAGCTGGAGAAATAGGCAGGGGCCTGAGATGATGGACTTGTTCCTGAATCTGTCTGGAATATCAGCACCCTTGGCTATCAGAATGCCCTGTGTCTGCAGAGCTGCCTATGCTGTGTAGAGCAGAGCAAGAACTGCAAGATCTGCAAGGTGCTGAAAGGCCCGCGCTGGTTTGGCTCTGTCTGTACTGCCTAGATTGGGTTGGTATGGCACCTTTGGTGAGGCCTTTCCTAACCAGTACAATGTGCTTCAGCCTGCTTACTAGAAAGTGGGCAGGAGAGGCTCACCCTGTGACTTGGGCTCCGAGACCACAACTCCAGCCCAGCTGCTCTGCCTCCAACTTTGTGCAAATCATTTAAGCTCCCTAGCCTGCCATTTCAGCAACTGTAAAATGACAAGCTTCTCCAGGTGAGCTCTAGCCAAGGTGCCTTCCAGGTCTAATGCTATGATCTGAAGAGACGACATCCAACTGCAGGGTCTGGTTGGTCCCTGATTCCTGAAGCTTGACTTTGAATATGAATGACAGTTCAAGACCTCAGTCTTATTGACTAGCCCTGTCCTCCTTTTGTGCTTTGAATATTGACTTACCCGCTGCTTATCTGGGTCTACAAAGCGGATACCAAAATAGTCTTTCTCAAGTAGGTTCAGATGGTGGCAAAGAAGGTCAAACAGGTACTGGCCTTTGGCATCTCTCTGCAAAGAAAGAAAACTCCATTGAGAAATGAGTGGGTTTCTTCAGTGTAACTTTTTTTTTTTTTATAGCCATTAAAAGTTGTTTGTAACTGTTGCATGTGTCTATGAAAGGGGTGAATGTCCATAACTATGTCCTCCACATTGTGATACATCACTCACTGTCTGGAATCCAGAGGCTTTTAGCACCTGGAAGGAGCCCAAGAACCCTTCCCACCACAAAGATGTCAGAGAAGTCAGGGTAGAGTCAGGTAAGCCCAGTTCCCATCTCAAATGCACAGAGAGCTTTCTTAAACTGTGGGTGTAGGGAATGTCAGTGTGGAATACAGCAATAATTACACCAGGCCCAGCTGACTGAGCCTCTAAAGTAAATCTTGAATCCATTCACTTCTCTTCCTCTCTGTTACCAACACCATAGGTCAAGCCACCACCATCCCTCAACAGGACCACTGCCAGAGCCTTCTAACTGATCTTCTGCCTTTGCTCTTGCCCTTTCAGTCCATTCTCCGCACAGCAATGAGGGTGTCCACAATTTAGACATCATCTCTTTCTTGCTGAATAAGTGATCAGGCACATTGTAGGATATTTAAACAAACAAAAGGATATACTATGAACAGTAAGTCTCCCTTCCACCCTGGCCACCCTGTGCCCCAGTTCCTCTCCCTAGAAGCAACTGTTATCAGCTTCTTGTATATCCTTTTTTTTTTTTTTTTTTTGAGATGGAGTCTCGTTCTGTCTCCCAGGCTGGAGTGCAATAGCGCAGTCTTGGCTCACTGCAACCTCCACCACCTGGGTTCACACGATTCTCCTGTCTCAGCCTCCCAAGTAGCTGGGATTACAGGCATGTGCCACCACGTCCAGCTAATTTTTGTATTTTTAGTAGACACGGGGTTTCACCATGTTGGTCAGGCTGGTCTCTAACTTCTGACCTTAGGTGATCTGCCTGCCTCGGCCTCCCAAAGTGCTAGGATTAAAGGTGTGAGCCACCATGCCCAGCCCTCTTGTATATCCTTTATGTGATGTTTTATACACAGGCAAACCTACATACATATACATCTCCTCTTTTAAAAATACATTTTGTAACATATTTTTAAGCTCTTTTCTCCCACTTAGGGTATCCTGCAAATCCTTCTATGGCAATATATATAGATATGCCTCACAGTTTTTAACTGCTGCATGTCACTGCAATGAATCTAAAATTATTTACCCAGTTCCATATTGATGACATTTGTTTCTAATTTGCTATTACAAACAATGTGGCAGTGAACATACAATGATCTTTATGTTACTCACTTCTCTTAATTCTTGTTGCTCTCAGAATAAAATGAAAACTCTGATCATGGCGTCCCAGGCCCTATACAGCCTGGCTTCTCTCTGCACTCACCCAAAATCATTTTCCTCACTACACTTCAGCCATGGCCTTTCCGTTCTGAACTCCCCAAGGCTTTTCTGCCACTGTCTTTGCATTCCCTCTGCCGGGAATGTTCTTCCTGCAGCTCTCTGCAGCCACTCCTATTTTTTGAGGACTCAGCTCAAATGTCCCCTCTTCAGAGAGGCCTTTCCCTATAGTACAGCCCTTCCCAGTTACTTTCCATCTCATTTTGCCATTTATGTCCTTCATAGCACTTATACCAATCTGTAATTATCTTGTTGATTTGTTTAGTTATCTATTTACTATCTGCTTCCTTTCTAGACTGTAATTTTCATGAGGTCAGAATCCTTCCCCCAGAACTTAGCACAGGGCCTGATGCATGGCAGGCAGGTCCTCAATAATTATTTGTTGAATAAATTACTGAATGAATAGAAGGGAAAAGGTTTGCTAAAAGATTTCACAAAATGGTGAAAAGCTAGGCCGTTTATAACCCATAACCTTCTACTTCAGAGACCTGCCTGGATGCCAAGGGTGAAGTGGGAGGAGAATGACTTGCAGGAACCTGTCAAAACATCTGGAGCCTGCACAGCATCCATCGCTGGCCTGTCCCCAGTGGTCTCTGCAGCTCAGTTCAGATGATCATCTCTGGCGGGTCTATGTCTAATTTTGCATACAAATTGAGGTTGTATGAGGAATTTCTGTAGTGTAGTGGTTATCACGTTTGTCTCAGAAATTGAGGTTGTAAGATAAGATCCAAAGATCTCTCCTGTGCCAAGGCCCAAGGCCATGGGTAATTACAGAAGGGCCTGGCCCTGCCCCAAGAATGAGCATATTTTAAAGACCTTCACAAAAGGTTTACACCTCACCTCTTCCCCTTCTGCTAACTCACCACATACTATCCAAGGAGAACTAGGGCAGGATGCTGATCTCGCGGCAGTTATGTTAAGAAGTTTGTCCTTGCAGGAGCTGGAAGAATAGGTGAGTAGACAGCTCAACTACAGAAGGAGGCAACATGTGGGCAACACCCCTCCTCTTCTGAGACAGGAATAATACAGGGTGGTCACAGGAGAATAAAAATTCCAGACAGCAGTTTCACATGACTAGAGGCTATGGGCTGATAAGACCCTGAAAAACAGGGCATAGACCAAGCTAGCTAAGACCCACTGAACCCAATGTGTGGCTGGATTTGACCTAGGTTTCTCCTAGGACCTCACTATAAACTCGTTAACATACTAGATCACACACCTACCAGCGCCAGGACTGTTCCAAGACCACCCATATTTGCTGTAAAAATAGGTGCCACTGCAGTTATGAGAAATCTCTACCTTTTCCCAAGAATTTTCTTGAATATTCCACCCCTTGGTTAAAGAAACCCATAAAGACAGAAACCCCAAACCCCACTGAATGACTCTCTCAAGTATGCCTACGCTCCCTTTTCTTGAATGTGTACTTTGCCCTTTGCAATAAATCTCAATAAATCTCTGTTCTTTTACTATTTTCTGACTCTTCCTTGAATTTCTTGAAAGAATTCTTATCTTCTCAATGGTGTCAAGAGCCTGGACACCAGGTGGGGTGGAGGTCTCACTGGCGTTTGGGGACCTCCCCCAGCCCACTGGTATCACTTCTGCTAGCCTCATACTCCCTCTCACAACATAAGCCTGAACTCGCAGGCCCTATTCCTCCTGTCTTTGGTCCCCTACAGGAAAGAGTGACTCTCAGGACAGAGACTCGTTATGAATCACACTGGGACTTCTGGGTGGTGGGCCACAAACCAGGTCTTTCAAAGGACTCCGTCAGAACTTTCTTTGTGCAGGGCCTATTAACTACTTCTTCACTGATGCCAAGAGAGTGAGAAGAGCTTAAAGAGGTATTTCAGGTTCTCTGGGAGCAGAGGAAACATGTTCCACTCTATCCCATGCAGCATATCCTATACTATTATCTCTCTCAGAGCAACTGAAATGGAACAGTGAGAGACAGTAGCATATTTTCATTGCTTTTCTCTACAAATTTTACTTTGCACCAAGCTGGCTTTTACATTGTGATCAGCTGGTGCTTTTTTTTTTTTAATGAAAAAATGTTTTTCACAAACACTACTACAGTATGATGTGAGTTTTACGGGCTGAAGAAGTTTGCTTCCATACATACAACAACCAGATTAGCAATGGGACAGAGATAGCTATAGGGAAAACATGCTTCTGTGATGGAAATCATACAGACTTTTAATAAGAATCCTGCCTTTCATAAAACAACTCATTCTCATGGGCTGCGAGTTCAGATGCACTTGTAAGGCTCTTAGCTGGTAAGAACCCTGAACTTGGTAGATCCAACTTCAGATTTCTTCCACTTCACAGGAAGAAAAAGGAAGCATGGCTTTTCTCTTGGAGTAGTTAGGAAATAAGGATATATCCCACTACCCATTCCCTACAGCTACATAAAAAAGACCTTTTTCTGGTTACTTTTCAGCACCTGGTGAATCCCCCTGCTCCCCCGCCGTGAAGACATAGTTCCCTCAAGTTCCCATTTACCAGTTACCAGTGTTAGATGCATTGTTTTGAGCTGCAGGGCTCTTGCATAGACTAATGAAGAGAAGCATCTTCCTTTGCTCTTTCTCCAAGGCTGGGGTGGGGGTGAGGGGAATGAGGAAAGAGGTAGACATAGAATTCCATGAAATTTAAATCCCCAGTAGGTATGCAAAGGTAGAATCAACTTAGAGCTCTGCGCAGAGGCACCTTTCACAGAGGGTTGCGACAAAGCCCTTCCTTTGAGGCACTCACACCTGTGGCTGGTGGAGTGGCCTGAGGCAGCACTGGGTGAAATCACATGCAGCTGAACCATCATGATGGGCTCCCTACAAGCCAACGGCAGGGGCAAGATTTTAGGAATTTTACAACTTCCTGGGCTTGTGGATCCCCTTGCACTTCCTGATGCCAGCTGCGTCCTGGGATACCCTCTCCATGGTCTCCCAGTCCTAAGTCCAGGGGTTTCTGGAATATTCTGTGACAGTCAGTCTTTTCTTTTGATGAGATGGCAAAGCCGTCTTCCCTTCCCTTTGCCTGCAGGTGCCCTGGCACTGTGGCTAAACTGTGCGTTGAATGTTGTGCCATTGATTATACCGGAGAAACAGGCACTTGCGCTGACAGGTGATTACTGTTTAGTCACAAAGTCAGAGCTCCAAGCCTGAGGACATTTATCTTCAGGACAAGTGAGCTGAGGCAGAGCACCCAAATCCTCACCCTGCAGCTACTTCTGAGGTTATTCTCTTCCCAAAGACATTATTGGATCAAAATAACTTATTAAGCACTCGTTTAAAAAATAAATTTATATTTTATGAACCACAACAGTGCCTATACATATTTGAAAATACTAGTGCATATAGGTACAACCCATTTATTCTCTCTATATGGTGCACAGAATGATTCATGAGCCTCTTGGAATCACTGTGCAGCTCTGAGGGTGGGATAATTCCTATTTTTGCTCCTCCCTGGAACGCCTGGTTCTGGTTCTCTATGGTTTGCCTATTCTTTAGGGAAGGGACTGAGGTAGCAAGCAGTAAGCAAGCTTGGGCCAGTGACCTAAACTATTTAAGGTTAATTGCATTTTCTGTCTCATCATCGATATCCATGGGCAGGAGAGGAGCTTTATTTTAACCCATCATGGATGAGGTTAATCCCAGGCTCTCTGGCATGCAGCATCCTGATGAGAGAAGCCAAGATGCAGAAAGCTCCACTCATTAGGCTCCACTTTATTCAATCCTGCTTACTTGTGAGGCACACAAGCACCTCACAAGCAAGTGCAAACGAAGTAGAGTCTAGCAGAGGGTAAGAGTGATTCCAACTTCCTCCTGGCTACATGCTATGACCTTGGTTCACAATCTGTTAAAGGGTAGCTGGCCTTGGTTTCACGGGCCCTTAGAGAAGGCAGAGGTAAAATGGAGGGATTACAGAAAGTGGGCACCCGTAGCCCAAAGTACAAGAGTCCAGAGGTGGAAGAAAGCCACACTGATACTAGGCACCCTGGAGGAAGGGCAACAGTTGAACGAGTTGTCCTTGGAGGCCTGCCGGGGAAGAAACAGGCACCAGGGATGGGATGGCATCTTAGCCTGCATTCTAGCTTAACTATATATATTTAAATTTCTTGTAGGCCAAAGACTTCCTTGCTTTCCTTCCATGCCTTTTAGTGGTGTGAGGGCATGAGTGGCATGCCGATGTCTGCCAGGTTCCAGAGCAGATGCTGTGTAAAAGCACTTTAATGTTACAGAGGAACAGCCACAGTAGGTCATCTTCTCAGGGCCATGGCATTAGTGAGCTGAGCAGAAAAGTGTGAATTAATTTCTGGGGTGCAGTCCCTGCCTCTATGGTCACATGCTACACCCAGCCCAGCTTTCTGAGGCAGAGGGAGGGTGTGGGGCACAAGTGCTAACAGCAGAACCTCAGATTCCCTAACTTCAGCACCTTCTTTACACTTTCTTTGAAGGGAGGGAACCCCTGCTGAGCTCTTGGCCCAGGAGCTCACTTTTCCTGCTTAGTCGTAAACCAATGAAATCTGTCCAGGAACTGCTGAGGCTGCAGCTAGAAGAGCAGCCAGCTCACTCTGGGAGAAGATTAAGAAAGCTCATTCCAGGGGGAAATGCAGAGACGTCCATCTGCAAGCAATACTCTCTTGAGTAGCAGGTCACCACAAATGTGGCAGGGCCATAGCTCACCCCTACCCAGGTACTCCCTTCTGTTTCCTACTCTCAGAACTCAGCCATCAGGCTGGGAAGAACAGGGCCCAAGCAGGCTCTGGTATCTAGACTACAATGCCAGGAGGCTGCTGTGGGGCCACGTAACCATGTGGCTCCTGGAGGAGTGGTGAGGCCCCAAAGTGGAGGGAAATCAGAGCTCAGAAGGAGAAAGGATCAGTGCTTCTTAGCCACTGTTCTCACCAAATCCTTAAATACAGCAACTTCTTTGCCCCAACAACTCCCTTCTACATGCAAATTGAGAGCTGGGGTGATTTTCATGAAGCCACACAGATATCTCTAGGTTCAGATGCCAGGTGCAGTGCTGCAGGGAGCCCTGTTGGCAGTCCTCACTTGGGTCAGAGAACTGGCTTTGCTCATCGCCACATGGTGTGACACGCAGGATGTGCACGTGGGGTGGGGAAATCACATTCAGTCTGGAACATGGAGGTCACCGTGCGCAAGGAAATGTCATGGGAGGGAGGACTAAGTGTTCTGTCAGCACAGATGGCCCAAAGCAGACTCAACAAGGGCAATTAAGACCCTCTGAGCAGAACTTCAAACCTGCTGTTGTACAGCTTGTAAGAGCAAGGCTAACAAGAGGGCCAGTCTTATTGAGATATCAGTGGTGATGCTTCAAGAGACAAGGTGTCTCATTTCTATATGAAATCTTTGTACCCTGTGAAGTGTCTGGAAAGAAAAAGAAAAACAGAGCCAGGTCTGAAGAAAAGCAGACAACTCGTTCATCTTTCTTATCTTTGGAGAAGCCACTTTTACAAGTAAGGTGACTCTTAAAAGCATCACTGCATCTTGCTATTGATTGAATAAATTTTAGTTGTATTTTTCCAACCAGTGCTGAATATCTCAGTGGACTAGTCATGTCACAGCTGCAGAACTACTGGAAACTCAGCCAGGCTTGTTAGGAAAAAACTCATTGCTTTGTATTTGTGAAGCTCATATTCTCTTTCTCTATTCTCTGTCTCTCTCTCTCTCTTCTCTTTCTCTCTCACACTTATACCCCCCGATCCCCACTCCCAACACACACACACATTCTCTAATACAGCTGCACTTCTCATACAACGCTGCTTCAAATAACTTGTAAAGAAAATCTAGAATTTGGGGAAAGATCGACTTCCCCTTGCTCCAACCCTAAGGACAGTTTGACAACTCATTTTATTGCTGCTTTTTTCTTTTTTTTTTTGCAAAAGACAAATGCATGTTTGGCAAAATCTGGGAATTTCTGGGGTTTTAGGGAGTATCCTGGATGGCCAGGGTCAGGAGAAATATGATAAACTCACTGGTCCTCATAACTCTTTGATTATTTCCCTCCTCTTCACAAAAAAATTGTTTACTGGCCAGTGCCAACATATGTGATGGATCCTGAGGTAGACACATTTCATTAGCAAACAGGTCAGGATCTTTGAGTCCTGAGTGCAGTCTGGGTGCAGTTTCCTTTTCAACTCTCCTATCAGGTTACTTATGTTCCTTAGAAGTTGAGGCACAGGGAGCAGAAAGGGGAGGAGCTCTGGGAAGGCAAAGGCTTTGAGAACGAGCACTAAGTAGACTTAGAGTCAAGGCCCTGGTCTGCCACTTCTCAGCTTGTGATCTCAGACCCATCCCTTAATGTACTCAAGCTTCAGCTTCCTTATCTCTAAAACAGAGTTAATCTTACATCTAAGGATGACTGTGGGGCTAAAATCAAGACACAAAATATACATAAAAACCCTGTGAGTTTTCGTGCCAACTTCCTCAGCCTCTTGAGACCTCTTCTTCCTCCAGGATGGATGGACTTGAATGCACAAGGCCTCAGCAATGAGTCAATGCACTCAAGGAACAGAAGCCTGTCCTCCCTGGACAAGAATGCATGAATGGATCTTGGCTACATGTCCACCTTGTAGTGTCCCCAAGATCTGGGAGTGGCTACCATTTTGGAAATATGCCCAAAGTGGCTCTTAAAGTACAAATCTGCGTCTTCTTCTTACCCAAGGCTATTTTTTTCCTGATCAGAAGAGTAGAAAATTTCAAATATATGTAATCAAACCAAATCCCCTCAGAAGCCTGGCAGCCTCTAATCAGTGCCACAGAGACAAAGGCAGAGCTTCTGTGACAGGCTCCTGACATGCTCCCTAGAAAGGAGGAGCTGAATAAGGGGAATAAGATATGACACAATTCCAATAGACACTATACCTTTTAATGCCTTGGCTTTAATTAGAATAAAAAGAAAAAAAGCATTTGGCAAAATATATTTCAAGAAATTAACTCAGCGTCCTGATCTCTCTCAAAAAACAGAACAGGTTCCCTCTGTAGTTAAACCTATGGGAGCTACCTGTAGCATTAGACTCTTCCCCCTGGGATTCCCCAGGGCACTGCACAACAGGATATTGACAGATAAATGAGAGAGGGATGGGCAAGTAGGGCCCACAGCTCTCTGACTGAAGCCCCAACTTCCCCAGAGCATGCCCAGTCACACACAGCTGCTGGCATCCTATCCCAGGACCAGACAAGTCATTTTCACTGCTTCTCCTGAGAAGGACAGCCAGGGCCTCCCTTGAAAGCCCCTTGTCACAGCAAACAGAACTCTGAAGAAGAGTTCCATGGTCTGCCTTGATCTGTGGTCCCACTAGAGGAACAAAAGCCACGTTTATGCCTCCCTTCCCAGCACTGAGTAGAAACAACCTCACTGGAACAACAATAGTGAGAGTCCCAGGAGAGGAGTGAGACAGCTGGGGCCCAGAGCCAGACAGATGGGTGGAGAGACAGTTTCCTGTACAAATACCGAGGCCTAGGAAAGCAGCAGGACAAACCCCGAATCTTCCAATAGTGGTTGTCCCACTGGTGGAGGAGAAGAGGAGAAGGAGGCAAGATAGGAGGCAGACAGCTAGCTCACTCAGAAGGCTGACTTTCCTTAATAAACAGCAAATTAGGAAGCATACCATACTCCGGACCATTGGTTCTCACACCTGAGTCCACCTCAGAATCACCTGGAGGGCTTGTTAAAATACAGATTGCTGGGCCCCGCCCCTAAAGTTTCTAGTTCATAGGTCTGCTGTGGGGCCTGGGAATTGGCATTTCTAACAAGTTCCCAGGTGATGCTGCTGTTGCTGGTCTGGGGATTACTGGCATCTGATGGTCTTGTAGCTCTTGAAGCCAAGATTACAGGGATAAGGGAAAGAGAAGCAGATATTTGACCTCTGTCACAATCCAACTCTGTTAGCACAAACCCCACTTTCATTAACCTTCCACGTTTTCATATAACAAGAGTACCAACTTCAGAGCATTAGACTGTGAGTTAAATATTACAGAGAAACACTGCTTCTTCCTACCAGGTTTTTAAATTCTGCCTTTCATGACAGTGGGCAGCTACCCAACTCTGGCTTGCAAGTTCGAGTCCCCAATTACCATTTATTTTCAATGGCTAACTAGCTCAAAACTCACTGCACTTTTGCTATGAACTAGATCATCAGAAAATAAAGCCAGCAGTTATCATCAAACTCAATCCGGGGAAAGAACTCCCCTTCTCACCCCAGATCTGCTGTCAGTGACAGGGAGTCTGTTCCAGAACATGTCCTATCCTGGCCTTTGGGCTCTCTTGTCTAGGAGGCGGGGCTGGAAGGTGCCCCAGTACCTCATCCTGCTGTCTCCTCCCTACATCTACGCTCCTTGAGGCTCCTTAGTCAGAATTCTGTCTTGGCTGTCAAGACCAGCCTTCTCCTTTCTCTCCTTTTCCTGAGAGAGGATCCAGCTGCCCCTCCATGGAGGGTTGGGGTGGGTATAGGAAATATGCTCTGAGCATGTAGTTCCATGCCAAGGAGGCAAGTCCTCCATGTTCAACTTTGGCAGGGAGTTTGGGGCAGGAGGGAAGCGATGGGAGTAAGAAAAGGCACATTCTGACTGTGATCTCTTGGGCAGGTCATTTTCCCTTTCTGTGCCTCAGTTTCTCTATCTGCAAATAATCTCATGTCCTCTTATGTGCTCAAAATCCTCTGATTCTGTTATTAGTCAATCAAAGTAATAACATCCCAGGTCCATCTTCTAAACAAGGATTTAAAACAGTTTTTTTTTCTTTAAAAAGGATAATCGGGTAGCTTTAACAGGTAGATGTTTATTGCTAGTGTAATTAATCTAAAAAACTCAGGGCCATTGCTCAAAGTAAATGGAAAGAGTAACTAAACAGAATCCATTCAATTTTAGAAACTGCCTCTAGCAGGCCTGACACAGTGAACACCATTATGTGAAACTATTATCCTGCTAGAGTCTGGTCATTTTACATTCCACTGTGAGCGATGGAAAAGTCCCATTAGATCATCTAATGCCCGCCTCCAGCCTCATAAAATGAGGATCGTTGCAAGATCTTCTCAGAGTGGATCCTCAGGCTAATACCAGCCTCTGTCCTTCCCAGGCCCACTATTTCCTAAACTATAACCCAGGCAGCAGCGGGACTGCTGGATTTCTATATGCGAGGGCTTTAGGCGTGACAGTCTGGCTGGGGTGAGGGTGGGGAATAAAGATTTATTTGTATGATCTTGTGTATAAGATTGAGAACTCTTCAACTGTCCAGATAAAGAAGGGATAGGAACTGACAGAGATGGAAAGGGGCTGATAAAGTGTCCCTTGCAACCTCATCTCACTTAACCAGAGGCAGAGCCTCTGAAACGTGGCTGAGGCAGAAGCTGCGGATGTGCTTTCAGACAAGTACCATTGGGTCCCTCAACTTGTTAGTTTCCTGAAGGTTCTCCCACATGTGGTATTTCAGTGGCTGAGCAGCAACAGATGTCTTTTGGTCTATAAATAATTCTTGGGGCCAGGCGTGGTGGCTCCCGCCTGTAATCCCAGCCCTTTCGGGGGACAAGGAGAGCAGATTATCTGAGGTCAGGAGTTTGAGACTAGCCTGGCCAAAATGGTGAAACCCCATCTCTACTAAAAATACAAAAACAAATTAGCCGGGTGTGGTGGCGGGTGCTTGTAATCCCAGCTACTTGGGAGGCTGAGGCAGGAGAGCTGCTTGAACCCGAGAGGCAGAGGTTGCAGTGAGCCGAGATCGTGCCATTGCAACTCCAGCCCGGGCGGCAAGAGTGAAACTCTGTCTCAAATAAGTAATAAACAAATAAATAATTCTTGGGCTTGGAAATGTATGTCTTAATGTGCACTGGGGGTAGGGTGGGAATGACCAGGTCCCCAGAGCATCAGGAAGAACCATGGTCCAGGCTTTGCAGTGTGATAGAGAGAGCAAACAGAGGAGGCAAGTTTTCTGGAAGTGTGTGACTGCTCCTTCTTCAGTTTTTGGTCAAGAAGAGTAGGGGTGAGTGGAGGGGAGGCAGGAACCTTGAGCCCAGCGGCTCCCTGAGGCCTCTGGCGCATCCCTGTCATCTTCTGTGCCTCTGCACATTGGTTGGGATATTACTGCTGAAAAAAATCTTAACATCTGCTGCCAACTGAATATTGTGTTATTTGAAGGCCAAAAAGTGGATGGAAAACCATTGGGAAAAACACTCAATTCAGTGTGTATCTACTGAGGGTCTAATCTGAGCAAGGCACTACCTGAGCTATCTCAAGGCTGCAGAGACACGCGGTTTAGACATACCTGAAAAAGTGACTTGGGAAAAGCCATCTTTTCTCTGATCTCATGATATGCACTGCCTGTACTGCTTAGCTGTCCTAATGCTAACCTTCCCATGTTTAATTCCACTCTCCTCTCCATTACTGGGAGAGACAGAAGCATGGTGTCCAGTGTTTGCATTCATGGTTCACAGCCCAGTGCCCTGTACATGATCCTCAAGAAGTATTTGTGGGTTTTTGTTTCTGTTTTGAGACAGGGTCTTGCTCTGTTGCTGAGGCTCAGGCTGGAGTACAGTGGCACAATCACCGCTCACTGTAGCCTTGACCTCCTGGGCTCAAGCGATCCTCCTACCTCAGCCTCAGAATAGCTGGAATCACAGGCATGCGCCACCACACCCAGTTAATTTTTAAAGTTTCTGAAGAGGGGGGTCTCCCTATGTTGCCCAGGCTGGTCTTGAACTCCTGGGCTCAAGGGGTCCTTCTGCCTTGGCCTCCCAATGTGCTGGGATTACAGCCATGAGCCACCACGCCCGGCCAAGAAGTATTTGTTGATTAATTACTAAATGACTATGACCAGGCTAATTACCTGATGAGCTCCTCCTTCCTGAGTCTTCAACTCCTAATACCCAGTGAGATCAGTGTAGGAAAGAACAGAGGATCAAACTGGGGTAAGGGTATTCCTGGAGATGGTATCCCTGTCCAAATCAGAGTCTAGCTTAACTCTAGACATTCACTTCAGAATCGGTCTGCTGGGTTCTGCCTTTTATCTAGTTTGCTGATTCTAACTACATAGGCTGTACTTGGGAAGGGAGGGAAGGGGAAGAAGCTGACTGAGACAAGGGGGTCCCAGCCTCAACTCCAGAAAGATGCCGACAGTACAGCCCGGTTCTAAAGTAACTTCTTATACAACCAACACAGTAAAGGCAAGTAAAATGGCTTTGCTTCCAGGAAGATCGCTAACTGGGTCCTTGCCATTGGAAAGGGAATTAAAAGCTCAATGCTGGAAAAAACTAATAATTACATTTGCTTAATTATATTGATGTGAACCTCATAGCCAAGTTATTTTTAGGAAATTGATGCTAAAAAATACTGCCATGCTCTTGGGGTCATGTGGAGCAGGATTTAGGATGTTTTTAACTTTTGGAAATTATCAAATGCCTTTCTATAGGAAAGTGTTACATTTCTAAGATTTTTCTCTTTACAGTTTTTCTGATGCTTTGCCTGTCTTTCTAAAATACATCCTGACACCTAGACAAAATGGCATAGGATCATTGGGCTTCAGATCAATGGGTGATAAATGATAACATAGAATTGGCTGCCAGCCTTATCATTTGTCACAGGTCAGATTCCTTAGAAAATAAACTCCGGGACAGAGTTTAGCATGAAGGATGTTTATTAAGAAGTGCTCTTCGGCCAGGCGTGGAGGCTCATGCCTGTAATCCCAGCACTTTGGGAGGTGGATCACTTGAAGCCGGGAGTTCAAGACCAGCCTGGCTAACATGGCAAAACCCTGTCTCTACTAAAAATAAAGAAATTAGCTGGGCGTGATGGTACGTGCCTGTAATTCCAGCTACTAGGGAGGCTGAGGCAGGAGAATCGCTTGAACTTGGGAGGCTGAGGTTGCAGTGAGCCAAGATCGCGCCACTGCACTCTGCACTCCAGCCTGGGTGACAGAGTGAGACACTGTCTCAAAAAAAAAAAAAAAAAAAGTGCTCCTGGGAACAACATCCATGGAAAAGAGGGGGAGAAAGCTGGAGTGAGCAGAGGGAGAAGCTGAGCTGCCACGTGGGCCTAGTGTTGACTTGGTTGGACCATGGGGAGATCTGGAGCCAGAGGGGCCCTTTAGAGTTGTTTCAAGTTTAGCCAAGATAGCCAAGTCTTTTATAAGCTTGTCTCAAGCGGTAACTGAATGTTGACCACTGCCAACAGGACCCCTAGTGGGGACCTGGGTGGAGTATTAGCCTCCATCACACCACTCTTGACAGAAACCCCAAATCATAACTACCATTTCTTAAGAGCCTACCATGTGCAGGCTGGGAGCGGTGGCTCATACCTGTAATCCCAGCACTTTGGGAGGCCATCCTGGCTAACACGGTGAAACTCTGTCTCTACTAAAAACACAAAAAATTAGCCGGGTGCGGTGGCGGGCGCTTGTAGTCCCAGCTACTCGGGAGGCTGAGGCAGGAGAATGGTGTCAACCCAGAAGGCAGAGCTTGCAGTGAGCCGAGATCGCGCCACTGGCAATCTGGCCTGGGCGAAAGAGCGAGACTCCGTCTCAAAAAAAAAAAAAAAAAAAAGCCTACCATGTGCAAAGCATTCTACAAACATTATCTCTAATGCTAACAACAATCTCACAAGGAAAGTTTCTATTAACCCCATTTTATAAAGAGAAACAAAGGCTCAGTGAGGTTAAATGACATGCCTAAGACAACACAACTAGTATATGGGACTCAAATCCACGCTGCCTTGCTCCAAAGCTCACATTCTTTCCAAACGCTAGACTCTTATTTTTTGATTTTCTCATATAGCTGCTGCAGAAGCAACCTACAGCTCCATCCTTCTATGCAGCTTTGGGTTGCCTTTATAGTCCTCTGACTATATTTATAAATTGGTAGCTATGCACATATATACAGCCCATTGCTTGAATTCTTTTCTGAACTCTTTGGATTCCTTAGACCTGGGCACTATTGGCCTGCTTCAACCAGAACACCACTCCTGTTGAAAACAGTATAGAGGCTGGGCTTCTCCAAGAAGGTACACAAAGAGGGAAAGCCTCAAAATTTAACAGAAACCAGTAACTTAGCCAACAATATTTGAAGATTATGAAGCAAAAAATGAGCAGCATTTAAAGCCAGATTTCTTTTTAGATTTTTTTTTCTTAATGACACCATGCTCATCCTTAATAGATTAATTAATTTATTTTTGGAGACAGAGTCTCACCCTGTCACCCAGGCTGGAGTGCAGTGGCACGATCTTGACTCAGTGCAACCTCCGCCTCCTAGGTTGAAGGAATTCTCCAACCTCAGCCTCCCGAGTAGCTGGGATTACAAGCATGCACCACCACATCCGGCTAATTTTTTTTTTTTTTGTATTTTTAGTAGAGATGGAGTTTCCCCATGTTGGCCTGGCAGGTCTCGAACCCCTGACCTCAGGTGATCCGCCTGCCTCGGCCTCCCAAAGTGCTAGGATTACAGGTGTGTGAGCCACTGTGCCCAGCCAATAGATTTATTTTTTGATCAGAACATTTCTGAATTTCTATATCCTGGAGATTAAATATCAGTGGATAACCAATCCCAAATCCCCCAGATGGGGGAGCTGATGAGGCAGGTGCCAGGGATAACATGAAAGGTTATATACAACCTCTCTATATTCCCCAAAGGCTGTTATTAATCTTGTTCTTCCTTTCCACACTCCAGATCTCCCTAATCTTCAGCATGACATGCATGTGCCAAAAGAAGTCATCAGTTCAAGACAAGAAAAGCTGCTGCCTCAGTAAAAAGATGCACCATTGACAAGTTCATTTGGCTCTGTGGGTTTTTCTCCCCAGGTAGAGTGTCTTATAGTTGTTCTCTGGGGTGCTCTTTTTTATTAATTAATGTATATATTTATTTTTATCTTTTTGAGATAGGTTCTCACTCTGTCACCCAGGCTGGAGTGTCGTGGCACAATCATGGCTCCCTGTAGCCTTGAACTCCTGAGCTCAATTGATCCTCCTACCTCAGCCCCCTGGGTAGCTGTGACTACAGGTATGTGCCAACAGGCCCAGCTAATGTTGGTTTGTTTTTTTGTAGAGACGGGTTTTCAGCATGTTGCCTAGGCTGGTCTCAAACTCCTGGGCGCAAGTGATCCACTTACCTCAGCCTCCCAAAGTGCTGGGATTACAGGTGTGAGCCACTGTGCCAGGCTGGGGTGCTCTTTTTCATTTGTCAGAGATGCTTAGAAAAGCACCAGGCGCGGTGGCTCATGTGCTCCCAGCGCTTTGGGAGGCAAGGCAGGCGGATCACCTTAGGTCAGGAGTTTGGGACCAGCCTGGCCAACAGGGTGAAACCCTGTGTCTACTAAAAATACAAAAATTAGCCAGGCTTGGTAGCGGGTGCCTGTAATCCCAGCCACCTGTGGGGCTGCGGAGAGACAATCACTTGAACCTGGGAGGCAGAGGTTGCGGTGAACCCAGATGGAGCCACTGCACTCCGGAGCCTGGGCGACAGGGCAAAACTCTGTCTCAAAACAAACAACAACAACGACAAAAGATGCTTTAAAAAGTGCGTGGCATCAGACTGTGCAAGATGCAGTCAATGAACAGTTTCTGGGGCAGCCTCCTCAGTGCATTCAAGTCATCCCTGCACTCCAAGAAAGTAATGGGGCCCTATTTCTTGTGCCCATTCTTCCCGCCCAGGGAGACTCTAGAGATGAGAAATGATAGAATGATTCCCTTGACTATCCATTAATTAGAAAGTGAACCTTATTTTTGGGAAGGGGAGATTATCTCCCAAATTACAATGGGATGATAGCTGTTATAAGAGAGGTATGTACAAGGTACAGGGGTAGTTTGGTGGGAGTGAGACCATCATGTCTAGAGCATGTTCTAGGAATTTCAAATAACTGCCTTGGTACAAGGACGTCGGTTGCAGATCAATATGGAGAGGTAAACAAATGCCACATGGTGAAGGGCTGTGTATACCATGCTAAGAACTAGTCGGGAAATCACTGTAACAATACAGGTGAGCTATAATAGGCAATAAGATAAGGGCAGTGAGGATAAAAATTAAATCAATATTTAGGTGGCAGAATAAATAGTATTTAAGTGACCAATTTGAAGAGGGGCGTGAATGAGAATTAGGAATGGAGGATAATTAGCAAGGAGGCTGGGAGAACAGGTTGAAAAGCTATCTTTAAATCGAGTATTATCACAATGACTTTGGTGAATGGGTCATTAATATTTTCAGGGCTCTGACTACTGAATTAATTAAGGAAATAATTAAGATTTCTTAGATCAGCCATTGCATTGATTTCTTTTTAGAGCACACTGTTTTGGCAAACCCTATGTTTTAAAAAAATGTTTGTTAGAATACATTATCTTCTTGTAGGTACCAAGGTTGAAGTCAATTATCAAAGCATAGAAATCATGTTTGGGCCAGGCAGAGTGGCTTACACCTGTAATCTCAGCACTTTGGGAGGCCAAGAAGCGGATTGCTTGAGCCCAGCAGTTGGAGACCAGCCTGAGCAACATGGTGAAACCCCATCTCTACAAAAAATACAAAAAATTAGCCAGGTGTGGTAACGTGTGCCTGTAGTCCCAGCTACCCAGGAGGCTGAGGTGGGAGGATCGCTGTGTTGCCCACGTTGGGGTGTAGTGACTGATCATAGCTTACTGCAGCCACAAACTCCTGGGCTTATGTGATCCTGCCACCCAGCCTCTTGAGTAGCTAGCACTACAGGTGGGTGTGTGCCACCATGCCTGGCTACTTGTACATTTCTTTAAAGCAAGTTTTAGATGCTCTTTTCTGAGCTTCCATAGCATTCTGGACATAACCCTGTCAATATGTTGTATCTGCTTCTCAATATGTTGTAATTATCTGTAAGTTATCATGGAGAGCTGGGTGGGTGGAATAGGGACTTTGTCTTACTCCTTCTGGTATGCCCACTTCTTGAAATATGGTGGGCACTTAAAAAATAAATCTTGACAGCATAAAAGCTGCAAAAATAAAAGTAGTAAATTATGTCTAGCAAATACCATTCTAAGTGCTTTTTTCAGACTGGCCAGCAGAACTGAAACTAATTCTGCACAGAAAACTAAGGGCGGGGGGGCGTTGCTCCTGTGAGCTCAGCTGCACCTAAACACTAACTTTGAGTTGTATACTGGTGATCATTTTCATAAGAAAGTGGGTCAATTCCAGACATGAAATACATCTGAAGACGTAGTCCATCAGCAGGAGCCTTTGGAGGCAATATTTTCTTACCTCTAAGATTCTTATTCAAGAAATATATTAAGAGAATTACTGATGCTCATATTTATTGTCAAATTAGCCATGACAGCTGCAAAATGTTTTCATTTTAAGTTGAATCCCCAAAGCTTCATTTGCATTTTCTCTAACTTAAGGATATTGTTAGAAAAAGCCAGGCTTGCTGGTATAGGGGTAGAGGGAGAGGAAGGAAGAAGATATTTCATCTTTGGTTCTTCTGAGTTGAATTAAATATTTTAAGTTAATCATCTCTGATCTGTCATTAGGGGAGTTGTCCATATGCTTTTTACAAATTATGACTGCTAGGAATTCATAATTAAAGAATGTATGAAGGTCAAGAATATGGAATTTCAACTAATGTCTGAAATGATGGCCTCAAAGACAAGAGTCCCTCAGACATCTGCCCCCTCCCTCTCCTAGAGCAGTCTAGTACAAGGACTGCTGCTGAGCTGCAAGCATTTCCAAATGCAGCAACACCGAAACTCATTATAGTTTTAACAGCTTGCTTTTCAGAGTCTATGGGACTTTGACAATCCAAACTTAGGTCTGCTTAATGGAATGGCTTTGCTTTAGAAAACAGATTTTGTGGAGGGTTTTATAACCCTCTTCTCCCAAAAAATGCATTTAACCTTACTCATCTGGAACAATGGAAGACAGCAAAAGACAGGGAGAAGGCTGGGATTAGTATTTAGTGATATCTTAATTTTAAATGTTTACAGTGAAATGAAATTCTTGTTACTATCAATGACAACACATAAGAGTCAAAATATAAATGAGTCATGAATAATTAGGTATTAATCATAACACATAATATACTGTCATGAATACTAATGTTCCATAAAAGAGAATATTTCTTTTTTGAGACAGAGTCTTGCTCTGTCACCCAGGCTGCAGTGCAGTGGTACCACCTTGGCTCACTGCAATCTCCACCTCCCGGGCTCAAGAGAGCCTCCTATCTCAGCCCCCCAAGTAACTGGGACTTTAGGCGTGTGCCACCAGGCCCAGCTAATTATTGTATTTTTTGTAGAGATGGGGTTTTGCCGGCTGGGCACGGTGGCTCACTCCTGTAATCCCAGCACTTTGGGAGGCCGAGGTGGGCAAATCACCTGAGGTCGGGAGTTCAAGACCAGCCTGACCAACATGAAGAAACCCTGTCTCTACCAAAAATACAAAATTAGCTGGGTGTGGTGGCGCACACCTGTAATCCCAGCTACTCGGGAGGCTGAGGAAGACAGAATTGCTTGAACCCAGGAAGTGGAGGTTGCAGTTAGCCGAGATTGTGCCATTGCACTCCAGCCTGGGCAACAACAGTGAAACTGTATCTCAAAAAAAAAGAAAAGAAAAAAGAGACAGGGTTTTGCCATGTTGCCCAGACTGGTCTCAAACTCCTAGACTCAAGTGATCCTCCTGCCTTGGTCTCCTAAAGTGTTGGGATTACAGGCGAGAGCCATTGCTCCTGGCCGTAAGAGAGTACTTTAATATTAAGGATTAAGTAGGCCCAGAACTGTAAGACCTTGGATATTTCATGATACTTTTAACTCACCTCTGTACTGGGTAGAATAGTGTCCCCCAAAATTCATGTTCACACAGAACCTTAGAATGTGACCTTATTTGGAAATAAAGTCTTTGCAGATGTAATTAGTTAAGATGAGGCCATACTGGATTAGGGTAGACCTAAATCCAGTTATTGGTTCCTTATAAGAAGACCATGAAGAGACATAGACACACACAGAGGGAAGACAGAGGCAGAGGTCAGAATGATGTAGTAACAAGCAAGGAATGGCAAGGATTGCCAGCAACCACTAGCAGCTGGGAAGAAGCAAGGAAGAATTCTTCCCTAGAGTCTCCAGAGGGAGAATGTCTCTGCTGACACCTTGATTTCAAACTTCTAGTTTCCAGAACTATGACAGAATAAATTTGTTGTTTCAAGCCAGTTTGTGATTGCTATGGCAGCCCTAGAAAATGAATACAACCTCTCCTTCAGGGCAAAAGTTCCACACTGTCCATGAAGTCTTTCCTTACCAAATCTGGCCATTGTGACCCCTCTTTCTACTTAGAGCAAAGCAGACTTTGTTATTTTGCACTTGGGGCTCTCCATGATTGGTCATTTACTTATCTTTTCAGTACCATATCCCATCGGCCACTGCCTTAGTCCTTTTCTGTTGCTTATAACAGAATATCTGAAACTGGGTAATTTATAAAGAAAGGAAATTTATTTCTTACAATTATGGAGGCTGAGAAGTCCAAGGTTAAGGCACTGCATCTGGCAAGAGCCTTCTTGCTGGTGGGAACTCTATAGAGTCCTGAAGTGCCACAGGGCATCACATGATCATGGGGCAGAGTGGGCTAATGTGCTCGGCTCAGATCTGTCTTCCTCTTCTAAGAAAGCCACCAGTTCCATTCCCATGATAACCCATTAATCCATTAACCCTTTAATCTATTAACGCATTAAGCCATTCAGGAGGGCAGAGCCCTTACAAATCCCATCACCACTTAAAAGGACCCACTTCTTTTGTTTTTGAGACGGAGTTTTCACTCTTGTTGCCCAGGCTGGAGTGCAGTGGCGCAATCTCTGCTCACTGCAACCTCCACCTCCCGAACTCCCGGGTTCAAGTGATTCTCTTGCCTCAGCTTCCTGAGTAGCTGAGATTACAGGTGTGAGCCGCCACGACCAGCTAATTTTTTTTTTCGAGATGGAGTCTCACTGTGTTGCCCAGGCTGGAGTGCAGTAGCATGATCTTGGCTCACTGCAACTTTCACCTCCTGGGTTCAAGCGATTCTCCTGCCTCAGCCTCCCAAGTAGCTGGGACTACAGGCACCCGCTACCGGCTGGGTTCCTTGGAGTCTGTCCCACGCATACATAGTTAAAGGGTCAGTCAGATATTTGGGCAGGATTTATGCACAGAATTTGGGGCTTCCCATTTGCCTCTCTCCTTTCTGGAATTTTCCTCCTCATTTTCCAGCTGCTGTGGCTATCCCAAGCTGTGGCCTCTGTGGGTTTGATAGAAACTGTGGGTTTCTATAAGTTTATTTATTTATTTTTTTTTTTTTTGATAGAGGGGGGGTTTCACCATGCTGCCCAGGCTGGTCTCCTCCTGAGTTCACGTGATCTGCCCACCTTAGCCTTCCAAAGTGCTGGGATTACAGGCATGTGCCATAGCGCCCGGCAGGTTTCTATGAGTTTATATGACACCAGATAGGACATCTCCTTAATCTAAAAGCCATTAAAAAATGGGAAACTTACCCACTGCCATTTCCTTCTTCCAAGGGTAGACCCTACACTACCCTGCCTACTTTTTATTATGCTCCAGTGGCATTAGGTGGTTGCTTTTTATATTTTATTCAACATTTACACTTATCTGTGGGAGAGTTGGTTCAATAGGAAGTGCTTGGTCATTATAGGAAGTAAAGACTCCCTTCATTAAAAATGTCATTTTTTTTAAATAAAAAATTTTCCTGAACCCAAAGAACTAGAAAGAATACTAAACAAAAGCCAAAGTCACGGTCAGTTGTAGGCAGAGGAGAACTGATTTAAATTACTACTGAGGACATTTCAATCTTTTTTAAAATATGAAATTACTTTTACTTGTTACAGTGGAATATCATTATGAATGAAGTAGGTCCTGGGTACCTGAGCCTGTTATATGATTGCCAAGCCCTCATCCTATGCCAACATAGGACACTCATACAAAAACACCACATGGAACTTCTTGGACACACAACTGCATGCATCCCACTGTAAATGTACTGAAGTGTAATATAACCTTTGTGAAGATTTCTTAGGCATATGGACGGGAGGGCACATTGCACCATAGAAAGCAAAACTCTGCCCCCTGCCCCCCAGATCTTTTAAAAATGTCTTCCCCAGGTGGTGGCTCACCTGTAATCCCAGCACTTTGGGAGGCCAAGGCAGGTGGATCACGAGGTCAGGAGTTCAAGACCAGCCTGGCCAAGACGGTGAAACCCTGTCTCTACTAAAAATACAAGAATTAGCTGGGCATGGTGGCATGTGCCTGTAATCCCAGCTACTTGGGAGGCTGAGACACAGAACTGCTTAAACCCGGGAGGCGGAGGCTGTAGTGAGCCGAGATTGCACCACTGCACTCCAGCCTGGGCAACAGAGCGAGACTCTGTCTCAAAAAAAAAAAAAAATTCCCCAAAGTCTCACTTCCTCTGACAGCACCCAAATCTCTCCTCCTCTTGGCTTCCCTCTTCCAGTCCTATCCAGGTCCTTTGCTCTCTTATCTCTCTCTTCTTTTAAAGGCAAAGCTCTTGACTGTTCTAAATCTGCAGCTGTATCTATTTCTCTGCTTATCACAGCAAAGGCAGCATGGTTAGCCATGCAACTACAGGATTCTTCTTCCTCAGTGTGTATGTGTGTGCGTGTATAGCATGACTGTAAATACTTATAAGTTAATAGTTTTCTCCTGTTTATATACGCATGTACACGAGGAAATAACATAGGCTGGAAAGGGATATCGTTCAGGCTGGCAGAGTCTGAGCACTAACTATGTGCCATGTACTTTATTTACACACATTATTTCTAATTTTATTTTTCAGATGAGAAAATTCAGCCTTAGAGCTACTGTTCATTCTCTTTCCACTACAACACACAGCCTCTGGGGTATCTCTAACATAATAATGTAAAATGCATTAGAAAACATGAAGGATATGTCTGGGAGTCTTAGGGGAGGGAAAGGAAGTAGAGGATTGGGTTGTCTTGTGTTCAGGAGAGAAGGTTTGGGATCTGGGTCGTTGAGGGAAGAAGTTTAATGAAAGAGTTCTGCTAGATGGGGCAGTGGGTTCCCAGGATGGAAGGGGGTCTCCACTTTCACTTTGCTCTCTTCTGTCCCCCTGCTCCCTACATGGTGGTCACATGGCCTCCTCTGTGCTCCTCAAACACTTCAAGCTCATTCTAAAAGACAGACACATTCTGAATGATGACCTGGTTAATTTATTTACTAGTGTTAGTTAAAGTAGATACTTTGGAAGTCTGGTAGGCAACTTCAGTCTTTAGAACACCAGGTAACACCATTTCTAGCATTAAACTACTTCTCTCAGTTTACTCATAAGCTGGAAAAGTACAAGCTTTTAAATTCCCGTACACCTTGTCAATTTGAGGTGAACTGGTTCAAAAGAAAAAGGAACCTACAGAAATGTCTACTTTTAAAGTTATCACTTGAATAGAATTTAATGAATACTAGTGCTTAAGCAACTTCTGTTTCATTGTATAATATCCTTTAAAATCTAAATTTCCTGGCATAAATGTTTTGGATGCTTCACTTTTAGCCAGCATTACACAGCGGTGGCTGCTAGATATTTACCTTGAGTGTGAGAGTATATGTGAAGAATATTAGCTAGGAAATAGACTTCTTGGTAGATTACAAAAAGCTGTGCATGGCTATACAATTTCCATTTATTCTGTTTTCCAAACTCCATATATTTAAAAGCTATCACCTCTCAATTTCATGCTGATAACTTTGAGTTTGGCAAAAGTTGACAGTTAAAACTATCTTCCTATAGTGTTTGGGTATGGCTTTATAAAAAGCAATTTACAAAAGAAAATCCATTTGAAATTTTAAATTTAATTTCAAAATGATGGTTTTTATAATCCCTGGTTTTAAGGAGGTTGCAAGGAATGGAAAGACATGAGAAACAAAAAGAAGAATGAAGAAAGAAAGAAAGACGGAGAGGGCAAGGGGATGAATGGTTGCATCATGGACCGAGGTGAGGACAATCAGAAAGGCAGGGAGGAATGCCACACCCAGGGAGACAGCACAGGTGCACTTTATATCAGACAGAGTGTGTAGAGGCCTGGGAAAGCTTTAGTTTTCATAAATTCAATCTCCCTTATTGCTGAAGCAGAGGCAGCTGGGATACAGGAAGATTAACTGATAACTCAAACCCTACTACATTTCAAACCCCTCCAGTACTTAAACCTTTTATCCCAGATGTTAGTAAAAGCTAACGAGTAGCCAAGCTGGCAATTTTTAATAACTATCCTTGGGCTTATTCTCCCACAGGTGTAGATCCTGAATAAGAGGGGTAGGGAGAGAAGGATAAAGAAAGCTGATGTTGGCTGAGTGCTAACTCTGTGTCAGGTACTGTGTTAAGCACTGTGCATGTATTCTTTAATCATCACAACAACCTTATGAGGTAGGTACCACAATCCCGCCCACTTAAAAAAGGGAAAATCAAAGTACAGAGAAAGCAGGCAAACTTGCTTAGTAAGTGACTGAGCTGGGAATTGAACCCAAGCAGTTTAATTATAGAACCTGAATATATAATCATTGTGCCATATGGCATTTTCCAAAATAACAAAAAATAACCAAGTTGACAGGATAAAAGGGATTGAAAGTGTATTGTACTCTAATATATGGCTGCTGCCTGGGAAACTGTTAGGATATAGTGGTAGAAGTCTGGAGTCCTCTTCAGTGTACATTTCTGCCACCCACCATTACTTGTAAGCATGGGGGAAGAAAAAAACCTACCTGAAACCATCCTTTCTTCTAAATTCAAATTTGAATAAGTTAAAGAATTAAAAATCTGTTTGGATTTTTGACATGTTCATTCCATTATATTAAAATTTCTATTAAATGTCAAATCCTCCTTGTGGGGAACATTTCGGTAATTTGGTGGTTGAATCATGTAGCAATTACAAGCCTAACTTATAAAACAGTTTCCATAAGGAGGGCATATTTTTTTCCAAAGTATGTATAAATACACACACATACCAATACTCCCTCACTCTATATAAGATACCTTAAAGCCAAGTTCCCATTTTTCAGGTTCTATTTATATGCAACCAGTTCTAAGAATTCTCCGAAAAGGACAGGCCTGTACTGTCCCCTAACTAACATCTGTCAGAAGAAAACTCCTCATCCATTTTTCAGGCATGACCCACTTTGAGGGTTCAGATTCTGTGATGAGTCACATGCAAATCTTCTAAGAACCTTGATGGGTTGCAAATGAGATGAAAATGAAAATGACCAAAATGTTCAGAGTCAACCACCTTAGTTTCTCTTTCCTATTTGCCATCTGTCCACAGCTCATTAAGTTCAAATCATATTTTTGTGAGTAAGAATCTAGAATTTGGGGACCTCTTCATGGGACACTTCTGCTTCACAGACATACAGGCCAAAAGAAGCACTAAGCAGGCTTCAGGGCTCCATGGTTAGTAGGCAAAGCCTGCAGGGAAAGAGCTCAGCAAGGGTCACCAATGGGGACACCTCAGGCACCCAAACTTACCACTTTGGTGGCCTGTGTGGATGACTGGGAAAGGCCCTGCAAAGCCCCTGCAAGGTTCCCTGACATCCCTAGCAGTAACTGTGAGCTTCTTACTCCTTCCCTTCCCCTCAGTCCCATCCACTACCATCTATGCTCACTGTCCACATGGGTTCCCCTTCACAATGGGATGGGCTTTCCATCCCTTTTAAAAATCTGTCTTAGGGCCCTCATAACTTTCCACCCAGTGATATAATTATTCACAAACATATTCTACTTCCTACTAAACTGTGAGCTCCCTTCAGGTAGAACCTACATCCAATTCCCCTTTCTGGAACTCATGGAGTCTTGCTGATAGATGCTCAAAAAAACACTGAATTAAACAAATGGTCCTAGAAGCCAGTCTCTGAAAGTCCTGCTTGGTAGCAACTACAGGATGAGATGGGCACCATATCAGCCTCAAAATGTTCATTCCTTGTACGACACTAGAGTTGTTGCATCATTCCACATAGCCAATGGTGTTTTTTGTAAGTTGGCTTTGTGTACTCCCCAGTGTCTTACAGGTGAAGCAGTCCAATTAGGCAATGATTGTTTAAACACACATTAATCATGCATTAGGAGTCCTAAATTGAATAACACAATATCCAGGAAAATACCCTGGACACAAGGCATCCATTACAGACAGAAGTGATCTCTCAAGTCGTGCTGCATACATATTTGGAGAGTAAGTGCACTTCAGGGAGTTCTGCTAACTTAAAAAAAAAAGGATGAAAGAAGAAGACATTTGCATGCTGCATGGAGATTCCAAGGCTTGGGAAGGGCACACGTGTCAGGCAGCCAGGAGCTCTGGAACTTGCATTGGTCATCACAATTATGCCTCAGTTTCTTGAACTGCTTCCTTCTTCCTTCTTGGTATGCAGGAAGGCTAGAGGTTGTCCTACACTGCATCTGGGCAGGCTCTGGTTACAAATTCAGGCCCACTGCTCAGTGGTCTCAGCCCTCCTAGCTGAGGTACTGGTGGAATGGTGCAGCCTCTGAAGAAACCCATTCAGATCTCTGCCCTAGAGGCCATGTGTATTAGATGTGCTTCTGTACAACCGGGAAGGTGGATAGGTGAACGAAGGAGTAGGGTGTGACCAAGGAGGGACATATGCCTCCTTTAATGAGATCCTAAATTCAATCCTATTTTCCTCAATAAAAAGGGAGCAGGCCATTGTCTGGGGAGGAAAATTGGTTTCATGCTTTAAAACACGCATTCACATAGACAAACAGCCATGCTTAAACTACGATAGACTGAAAGCTGATGACAAGTCCTTGGGGATGATGATTCTATAGTCTCTCTTCAGCTACCTCAGGCATACTTGGAAATACATTTGCATTCACACCCATTCCTGTGGGCAGGGATGCATTAAGAGAGACACCGACTGAGCCTCTCTTAACCTCAGTTTCACCTGCAGCTCCTAAATAATGTGGGCAGAGGCCAAGCGTTCCCATTCAATGGATCTGAGTCCCCAGAGTGAGCTCAGCTTGGGACCTGGCATCCTGAGATGATGAAGAGAATTTTGACAATAAGGCACAGCTGGGACATCCTTACCAGCGACAGCAAACCCCAGATTCTAAAATGGTTTACTCCAGCTGCCTTGCTCAGTGCTATTTTAATAACCGGAGAGGCTGGCTGTTTAACAGTTGAATGCTTCCCCTGCCATCATTTTGGTACTTTGATTACAGGCAAAGTGACACTGACTTTTAACAACAGGGATATATAGTCTTCAATATAATGCCCCTTATATCAATGGAGGATGATTAATCTTGGTTTCTTCCCTCGAAATGCGGTGTGAGACCAGATAACAAAATTCAGGTGGGCCAGTCAGAAGATCTACAGAGGAAATGATCAAATCAGGTAATTAGCATATGCATCACCTGAAACATTTATCATTTCTCTGTTTTGAGAACATAAAAATCTGTTCTTCTACCATTAGAAAATATACAATAAATAGTGCCAGGCGTGGTGGCTCACACCTATAATCCCAGCACTTTGGGAGGCCAAGGTGGGCAGATCAGAAGGTCAGGAGATCGAGACCATCCTGGCTAATACGGTGAAACCCTGTCTGTACTGAAAATACAAAAAAAATTACCCGGGCATGGTGGCGGGCACCTGTAGTCCCAGCTACTCGGGAGGCTGAGGCAGGAGAATGGTGTGAACCCAGGAGGCGGCACTTGCAGTGAGCCAAGATCGCGCCACTGCACTCCAGCCTGGGCCACAGGGTGAGACTCCATCTCAAAAAAAAAAAAAAGAAAAGAAAATATATAATAAATTGCTGTTGATTGTAGTTGCCCTATAATGCTATAGAACACTAGAACTATAATGAAAAATATTTTATAAAGAAAATAATTCATAGTGCTCTTAGACTTCAAATACCAAACAGATTATGCTCTGGATAATTAAGAATGGATTACTGAATTCCCCACACACCAGATAATATGTGTGAAAGTAAGTCATGCACAGTACAGTGGTATAACTGTATTAGATGTTATTGTCCTTTAATGCTTTTGAGCCTTAAACTGCTGTATTAGCAAACTACTTAGGATAGCTCTTGTTTGTTGTGATGAGTGATGCTCAGCAAGGCTGAAGGGACAATTCACATGCCATCAACCAAAAACAACCTTACATTAAACAAGGACTTGCCTGCTACTTTTCTGAAAATGAACGAACAACAACACAAGACAAATTCTCCCCTGACCAGGCCTCTCTTACATCTTGGGTGGAAGGCTAAACCTGCTAAGGGGACACATTTTTTTGGGCCCGAGTCTGTATGTGCATGTGTGTGTGTGTGTGTGTTGTGTGTGTGTGTGTGTGTCTGTGTGTGTGTGTGTGTGTGTGTGTGTGTGTGTGTGTGTGTTTCAGAGTTGCCATGTGGTCAAACTGCCATAGACTGTCCCATCCAAGCTGAACAAGTAGCTCTCCTAGGAGGGGTAAAAAACAAACAACGATCTGCTCAGCACAGCGAGCAACTTCCTCACCAGGTGGGAAAATCTGGACCTGCCTCATAATGATTTTCTGTCATGCCCCACATAAGCAAATGCTGCACTAAATATACATCCCAAATACATTCTATCAGGGAGCTGGAGCAACACCAGTATTTATGCTCAGGCTAATGTTCTATTACAGGGATTATACTCAACTGAAATAAAATGAATATTCTCTAGCACAACCCAATTGTTCTTTATACAGTTTTTAATGAGATTCCGCCCAGTGTCACAGCAGTACTTATGTAATTACTCTATATAACTCTGCCAGCAAGAAGGGAATGAAATCTCCTTATCAGGGTATTGCAAACCAATAACACCTCAGCAGCCAGTCTCTTTCCATGCGCTGCTGCATTTTGGATAGTCTGGGAGCACGGCCATCATGCAGAGGGAACGCTTGGGTGACCAAGGCTTCAGCACTGCAGACTCGCTTCCAGGAATGAACACTGCACTTTCTTGAGATTTCCCAAGAAAACATATGAAAAGAAAGCGAGCCTGCAGCTTCTGAGCTGTGTCCTCTTCAATTGGGATGTTCAAAGGGGCATGTGTGGCCAGTATGCAGCCATGCGGTCAGCACGCAGCTTTTGTCAGAGGCTGCTGAAGGCAGCTTTGCTGGAACTCTGGAATAATCCACCCAGGAAGGGAAGTGAATGGGAGAAGAGGCAGATGCAGATGAAAAATTATTTGTTTGGCTCCTTGAGGAAAACTGTAAGTCAGCAGAAAGCAGAATTGAGAAAAAAAGTGCAGCTGAGAAAGAGGCTAATCTGGTCCTGAGAAATTATCTAAATTAGGAAGATAGCCTCTGCCATCCACTGCTGAAGAACCCCAGAAGCCAGGGGCTAGACCTCGAGCAGTTCCACTAAGGCTTTGTCCTGTGGTCCTAAGAATGACTTTTTCTCTACTGGTAATTCCGCTTTAGATGTGATAGGAGCCTTGAGCTGCCCCAGGGGCTATGAAATCCAAGAGCACAGCACAGGGACTTCCCCTCTACCCCAATGTCCAGTGAAGGAATTCAGTCAGAAGGACTTAGCAGCATAGTCTTGGTATCTGCTAAAGAGTTCTCAGGGCTTTCCCAGGGGAGCAAAACTGCACAGATTCTGCAAGGTAAAACATGGAGGAAGGACAGGACCATTGCATCACAAAGTCCTTGCTGGCTGCTTTCTGGGATTTTCTCTGGTAGCATCCCCATCCCTCAAGCATGGCTCAATCCTTGGTGGTGGAGATGGGTGGGAGAGGGAGCAGAATTAGGAAGCAAGCATCACTCCTACTCCACAACCAAAAGAAAATCAGCAATGAGAAGAAGGCTTGGTCAGATAGCAACAGGAAAACATAAATGAAGAATCACTACTGTTATGGCCTACATTGTAGACATTGTTCTTTACAGTCAGACCATATCGCTCACTAAGCCTTGTTGCAGAACTAGGAGAACTATGGTAGATCCTTCTTTGATCTTTACCACAGCTATCCCTCACAACCACTTCCCTCACAACAATAAAAACCTCACACCTTAGCTATAATTTACACTCCTGTGCCAACAGAGAGTGATAACAGGTTTCCACAAGGTACTTGTCATCTGTTACCTCCATGGGTGGTATTATTTGCACTTAATTGTGTTAATAGTTAAGACTCTAGTAATAAAAATAACCTTCAAAAGGTATTCTCAGCTATGATGTGACTTTACAGCCTTAGACACAAAATTCATGGAGACCAGTAGGATGGGTATTCTTCCTACTTTATAAATGAAGAAAAAATAACTCACAGATGTTAAATGACTGCCTGAAGTTTATGGCACAGTTTAAACTGGTTCCCAGGTTTCTTGATCCTTACCCAAGTCCTCATTCTATGAAAAAGTTCTGTGCTACCTGGGTAGAATGATCATTACAAGAGAAATCTGCCAGAGCTGAGCTGCACGTGAGGGAAAGCAAGCTACCTGGCCAAGCCCTGTCGATGCCCAGATTCAATTAAATATCATCAGGAAAGGGCTATTCAGTTTGTGCATTTCTCATCTCTTCTGCTCTCACGCTTTCCCTGGGGGCTGGCACAGAACTGCACAGACTGTGATTCAGGACGTTCTTCTGGGCCAGAGATGCTTCTGCCTGTTTGCTTACCCAGGAGACGAAGGCCTGCTGGAGGGCTGAGACCCAAAGCAGATGGGCAAGCTCATCACTGCACTGGGTACTGTCCTGGCCCACAAAGGCACCATGTGATAGTGACTCAAAGGTTATATTTACAGACCCCAAATTATTCAGTGCCTGTATATGCTTCCCTACTTCAAATGTAGGGGATGAGTGACAGGACAAAGTGAGAGCTGGGTGGCCAAAGTAAGATGAGTAATAGTGAAGGGCAGGCATAAAGATGACTCTCACCCAACACCATCCCAAAATGTGTAGGTGATAATGTGTGCGAGGGGAAAGGGGTTGACTCATCCTGGTTTGCCATATCTGAACAACAAGTATGACATTTTACTTAGCATTTCCATAGCATCTCTTTCTACAGAGCTTGGCGCTTGCCACATCCACCTTCTCTTGGCCTGATGAAATACCCTTGTTTAACAGGGGATCAGAGGGAGCAATCCATGCCCTTTAATAAGACTGTCCCTATCATCCTGCAAAGCCTCAGATGAAATCTACCTTACATGAGATAAGTGATATAAAGTGCTACAGTGCTTAGTACAGCACCTAGCACTCTTCGTTTAACAGCTATTTCTTGTATGTGCTAGATGATATGCTGAGCATTTTACATAGTAAATAATCAGAAAATGGAAGCTATTATAATAATTATTATCTAAAGGGAGTATGCCTCCTGTTCCTACATGCTCCCATTGCAAATCAAGCTCCTTTTGATTGTGGAACACAGGAGAAAAAAATGTCATTTTACTGTTTATGTGAGTAAATTTATTTGCCTTTGATGTATCTTGCTAAAATAAAATTTGTCCTCAGCCTTAGGTACACTGTAAATGCATATGAAGTAACAAGAATTTTCTCAAAGTCTCAACTCTTTAACACGGTCTCTCCTTTGTGCACAGGGATGTAACCAAAAAGCTAAACACAGGGCACTCCTCACCCTTGGAAAGTCACTTCCCAACATGGTACCCAAAGAGACATCTTGAAAGAGACATGCACAGTTATGTGCTCCCTCTCCAGGGAACAGTCTTCTCCAGTGGATGTGAAACAGGCTGTGGCAGCTGCTTAGTATCATTAGACCAAGGGCAAGTCACCTGCTCTCTCAGGCTTAAAATAAAGTTATCATCTCAAGCCAAAAATACTCAGCATTTGGCCAATAAAAGAAAGCCAATGAAGGCCCAGTTATCACAAGGGATTTCTTATTGATGAGATTTCTACAGTGAATAACTGAAAGTGTGATTTGTATGCATGTATGGCATTATGGAGAAGTTGATGAAAGCCAACTGCTTTGTGAAAAGGGCCATTTTGTGTGTGTGTGTGTAGATCAGCAAACCATCAAACCTGAATAAGTTTGTTTTTGTTAAGCACACAATTTCTTAATACATTTCATAAGCAATCAACCTCTGAGTGAAGAACATTAGCCTCCAATAAAAGAACAAATTATTCTTCTATATGTTCCATGTTTTCCAATGAACTGTCTCTATTCTGGTTATAATCAAGTAAAAGGCACCCACTTCAGAGATTTTTTTTTTTTTAGGGCATGGTCCTTGGCTATACAAGAGAACCAAAATGTTTTCAGAGTTTCAGATGATAACTGAGGATCCATTTGGGGTTCTGGTTTTTTGGTGGAAGTTTACCACAGGTAAGACAAAAACATAAGGCTAAGTAACTAGTACATGCAAACAAGGACCACTTATAAAATCACTCATAGCTGTACTTATTCAAGCCCTGGATAAAAAGGGAAGGCTCATACTCACTATTTCGACTAATAATTTGAATATGATTCTATCACACTTAGAGTAGATCCATTTCCAGCCTAATGCTTGGTTTTCTCTAATCTTGTTTATTCTTAATTGACACAATAATCTTTAGGCAGGATAAGGTATTTTCTCTCATAAATTTATAAACCTTTACAAAAGAAATTACTTTGCGGAAATTACTTCAAATGTCAAGTAAGTCAAGGAACTTAATCTTGGAATTATGTTTCTATTTTTAATGTTTTAATCCAGACACAGCTTTTTTTCCCTAAGTCTCCTCAAGTATTGAAGGTACTAAATCAGCTCTCATACAAACAGCTCTTCAGAAGGGAAATAATTGGAATTTTCTTCCTCATTTAGTTCTTTTAAATTCAACTACTTTGAGGGAAGATATAAAAATAAATAAATAAAATCAAATTGATTAAAATACACATGATGTGAGACGACTTTTTTTTTGCTCTAGTGTTCAACATCTTAATTAGAAACACCTGCTCAATTAAGAAAAATAGATTGAATGGAGAAATCTCAAAAAGTCATTCAGTCTATGACCCTGCTCTTGGGTCACGGGTTAACTAAAGCATCTCTAAAATGTAATTGCCTATATTAGTGTTTCTTAATCAACTTTGCAACACTCCAAGGCATTAAACAAAATGAATTTTAAATCATTTTACTTGTTAAAGCTGCTCATATGTACGTGTGTCCATCCAGAAAGGCTGGAAATGATGAGTTCATGAATTTCAGAAGAAGTAAAGCAAGGAGGGGATTACTGATGTTCATTGATAGCTGGCCATTGGTTAGACAACTTAATGATTGGGCCTTTTCTCTTTTGTCTCTACAAAGTTGACTGTACTGCAATCCCATTTCTTCCAATTCTATCATCTATGAAAATGAAGATTTACCATCATCTACCTTTTATTTATTCTTTTATAGATAATATCCACAGGTAGTTAAGTCAGCCTTTTTAAAGGGAGTATCTTCCCCTATCATCCCTTTAAAAAACTGATTTATATAACGTTTTATAATTTGCAAAGTACATATTCACAAAAATCCTCAGAAATTTAAAAATTATTCTTAACCTTGTTTACAGATGTGAGAACTGAGTGAGGTCATGTGTCACCTATTAAAATATTTGTGATAATTTCTTTCTTTCTTTTTTTTTCTTTTTGAGTTGGAGTCTGGCTCTGTCACCCAGGCTGGAGTACAGTGGTGAGATCTTGGCTCCCTGCAACCTCTACCTCCCAAGTTCAAACAATTCTCCTGCCTTAGCCTCCCAAGTAACTGGGATTACAGGTGCCCACCACCATGCCTGACTAATTTTTTGTATTTTTAGTAGAGACAGGATTTCACCATGTTGGCCAGGCTGGTATCAAACTCCTGACCTCAAGTGATCCACCTGCTTTTGGTCTCCCAAAGTGCTGGGATTATGGGTGTGAGCCATTAAGCCCAGCCTCTGATAATTTCTAGTTAGTTAGGTGGCTAGAAAATGTTGAGCCAGGGGCTCAAGCCCAGGCTTTCAATTTCTAATCTTTGGTTCTCTCCACTGTTCTGTATTAGCCTCTCAGAAGGTATTCAGACATTTGTATTACCTGATTTAGTTTTTCTCAGTGCTTTTAAGCCATGCAGCCCCAAACTAAAGTAACACTCCAGTAATGTGCAGTGAAAGCATTATCACTTTTATTTTGAATGTTGTGCTCTTGACAGTCTTTTAAAAGAGCCTCTTTCATTGATTATTAATTCAACTACCAGTCTGCTTTTATTCTTAATCATTTTTCCTGTGTTTCCTTGTTGCTAGCAAGCAAGTCAGTATCCTTGCATACTTACTTAATTTACTCTTCCTCCTTAACACACAGACCACTTACTGAGTCTTTACTGTGGGCGAGACACTATGCTTATGTCATTTTCACATAACTCCACAAGGTATATATCATTAACCTATTTTGCAAATGAACAACCTGAGGCTCAGAAAGGTCAAGTGTGTGTAACCTATTATTTTTTTGAATATATCTAAGAGAATCTGAATTTTGTCTTTCAGGTTTTTCTTGGTCTTATTTATGATACAGTGTATACTCCCCTTTTCTTAATTAAAGAAGCACTAAATGTCATTCCAAATAATGACTCATTTGTGCATACACTAGGACCCAGAATATAAGATAAGCTGCCCATGTAGTTTCATGGCTAACACAGTGGTCAGCACACAGGTGCTGAATAATGTACTGAGAGCTGCTCATGCCTTTGAGGACCATGCCTTAGAGTACCATTGATGGACTGAAAATATAAGAAAAAACAATCTAGAAAGAAAAAAAAATGAAAAAGGCAAAAGACAGAAGAGAAAGAAGGGGGAGATGGTTCTGTAGCCTCTGAAGTAAATTTTTGTTTTTTTGTTTTTTTGTTTTTGAAACAAGGTCTCACTCTGTCGCCCAGGAGCGCAGTGGCAACATCACAATCACGATCGTGGCTCATTGCAGCCTCTACCTCTGGGGCTCAGGTGATCTGCCCACCTCAGCCTCCTGAGTAACTGGGACTACAGGTGTGTGTCACCATGTCTGGCTATTTTTTTGTAATTTTTTTCGAGACAGGGTTTTGCCATGTTGTCCAAGTTGGTCTCGAATTCCTGGACTCAAGCAATCTGCTCACCTCCGCTGGGAGACCTTGGCCTCTCAAAGTTCTGGGGTTACAGGCGTGAGCCACCCTGCCCAGCTGGTAAATGCTTTTTAAAAGGAAGATTCATTGCTTTACATTCTATACTCAAGTTCTTATTAGTACTCCTATTGCTTGAGCTCCTGTTCTTTCCCGTGTGGTGGTCTCTATGGCTATGTCACAAAGGTGGTGACAGACTCCTTAGAAACAGAAACAAACAAGTATTCAACTGTGTGCATCTCTGCTGGCCATTTGTGTCATTCCAGCCCACACCTGGCATACAAACAACACTGACATCAACTCTCTTATGCATCCTCTGAAGGGAGCTGAAAAAAAGCCTTCTCAAGCCTTAACACAAAGACTAAACTTCCCTCCCCCACAGATTACTGTGCTTTCTTACAAATTCAAACAACCTCTAGTGAATAATTATTTAAGAAGTCTCTCTCCTTGGACCTCATAGCTCACTGCCTCAATTCCTCTAAACAGAGCCATCTGTTAGCCAAGGACTCAACATCAAAACATTCTTTGATGAGTCACAATTAATGACAAGTACAATGTGAGTACTGCCAGAATGATAAATTTAACACTACTCAAATATTCATCATGGACTAAATAAAGAGCCTTTTAGGTTTCGAAGACGAAATATTTTAAGGTTTATAAAGCTGCTTGGCTTTAAAAATAAACCAAATACAGTCCTGGTAGTTCCCAAGAAATCAAATGGATCTGAGGTAGTGTTAGCAAAGCTGACATTATGCGCCTGAAAATAATCATAATTTAGATTTTAATAGTCGATATGAATATTTTAATAGCTGATTTAGATTTTAATAGCTGCAACTATAGAAGTCAGGTGAGCACAATGAACTGACTGGGAGATGAGACACAAGAACTCTGACTCTAGCTGGGACACCAACTACTTTACATCCCTAGACCAGATGATTACCAAAGTCCCTTCCAGGGCTAATACTCCATCACTCTGTGAATATATGATTTAGAAACATGCCTACCTTTTGGATTCAAAGAGGACTCCACTGACAATATTTTTTGTGTTAAGATTACTGACATCTGAGATTTTTTTTTCCTAGACATTTTTGCTTGTTAAAAGACTAGCAAATTCAATGAGTGAATTTGGTCAATATTTCTTTTCCCTTTTAACGGGCCTATTGCTCATTGATACTACTGAAAGGGCAAGTTATTTGCATCCACACGCTAAATTTTCTCAGTAAAATGATGATGATGATGATAATTTTTTGAGACGGAGTTTCGCTCTTGTTGCCCAGGATGGAGTGCAATGGTGCGATCTCGGCTCAACGCAACCTCCACCTCCTGGGTTCAAGCAATTCTCCTGCCTCAGCCTCCCAAGTAGCTGGGATTACAGACATGCGCCACCATGCCCAGCTAATTTTGTTTTGTTTTGTTTTTTTGAGACGGAGTCTCGCTCTGTCGCCCAGGCTGGAGTGCAGTGGCACAATCTCGGCTCACTGCAAACTCCGCCTCTAGGGTTCATGCCATTCTCCTGCCTCAGCCTCCCAAGTAGCTGGGACTACAGGCGCCCACCACCACACCCGGCTAATTTATTTTTTGTTTATTTAAGTCTCACTCTGTCACCCAGGCTGCAGTGCAGTGGCGCGATCTTGGCTCACTGCAAGCTCTGCCTCCCGGGTTCATGCCGTTCTCCTGCCTCAGCCTCCCGAGTAGCTGGGACTACAGGTGCCTGCCACCACACCTGGCTAATTTTTTGTATATTTAGTAGAGACGGGGTTTCACTGTATCCGTCAGGATGGTCTCGATCTCCCGACCTCATGATCTGCCCGCCTCGGCCTCCCAAAGTGCTGGGATTACAGGCGTGAGCCACAGTGCCTGGCCTAATTTTGTGTTTTCAGTAGAGACAGGGTTTCTCCATGTTGGTCAGGTTCGTCTCAAGCTCCCGACCTCAGGTGATCCGCCTGCCTCAGCCTCCCAAAGTGCTGGGATTACAGGCGTGAGCCACCGTGCCTGGTCTAAAATGATTATTTTTTAAAAATGAGATCCATATAATGAAAACCAACAGTTCTCCTTAGGTCTGTTTCGCAATCAGTAAAAGATAAATAAGAAATAGCTCAGCAATAATGAGCAGTAGAAAAACAAATGTAATTTAAAATCTGAGTCCCATTTTATGGCTTAAAGCTGAGTAGCAAAAGTAGACAAATTGAAGTCTAATCTTGTATTTGAAAAAAACCTAAACTACATAGAACTGTGGCTTTAAAAGCATTTGTGAAGAGAAAGCAGGAAAGATCTAAAATTGACACCCTAACATCACAATTAAAAGAACTAGAAAAGCAAGAGCAAACATATTCAAAAGCTAGCAGAAGGCAAGAAATAACTAAGATCAGAGCAGAACTGAAGGAAATAGAGACACAAAAAAATCCTTCAAAAAATCAATGAATCCAGGAGCTGGTTTTTTGAAAAGATCAACAAAATTGATAGACTGCTAGCAAGACTAATAAAGAAGAAAAGAGAGAAGAATCAAATAGATGCAATAAAAAATGACAAAGGGGATATCACCACCGATCTCACAGAAATACAAACTACCATCACAGAATACTATAAACACCTCTACGCAAATAAACTAGAAAATCTAGAAGAAATGGAGAAATTCCTCGACACATACACTCTCCCAAGACTAAACCAGGAAGAAGTTGAATCTCTGAATAGACCAATAACAGGAGCTGAAATTGAGGCAATAATTAATAGCTTACCAACCAAAAAAAGTCCAGGACCAGATGGATTTGCAGCCGAATTCTACCAGAGGTACAAGGAGGAACTGGTACCATTCCTTCTGAAACAATTCCAATCAATAGAAAAAGAGGGAATCCTCCCTAACTCATTTTATGAGGTCAGCATCATCCTGATACCAAAGCCTGGCGGAGACACAACAAAAAAAGAGAATTTTAGACCAATAATCTTGATGAATATTGATGCAAAAATCCTCAGTAAAATACTGGCAAACCGAATCCAGCATCACATCAAAAAGCTTATCCACCATGATCAAGTGGGCTTCATCCCTGGGATGCAAGGCTGGTTCAACATATGAAAATCAATAAACGTAATCCAGCATATAAACAGAACCAAAGACAAAAACCACATGATTATCTCAATAGATGCAGAAAAGGCCTTTGACAAAATTCAACAACCCTTCATGCTAAAAACTCTCAATAAATTAGGTATTGATGGGATGTATCTCAAAATAATAAGAGCTATCTATGACAAACCCACAGCCAATATCATACTGAATGGACAAAAACTGGAAGCATTCCCTTTGAAAACTGGCATAAGACAGGGATGCCCTCTCTTACCACTCCTATTCAACATAGTGTTGGAAGTTCTGGCCAGGGCAATCAGGCAGGAGAAGGAAATAAAGGGCATTCAATTAGGAAAAGAGGAAGTCAAATTGTCCCTGTTTGCAGATGACATGATTGTATATCTACAAAACCCCACCATCTCAGCCCAAAATCTCCTTAAGCTGATAAGCAACTTCAGCAAAGTCTCAGGATACAAAATCAATGTGCAAAAATCACAAGCATTCTTAAACACCAATAACAGACAAACAGAGAGCCAAATCATGAGTGAACTCCCATTCACAATTGCTTCAAAGAGAATAAAATACCTAGGAATCCAACTTACAAGGGACGTGAAGGACCTCTTCAAGGAGAACTACAAACCACTGTTCAATGAAATAAAAGAGGACACAAACAAATGGAAGAACATTCCATGCTCATGGGTAGGAAGAATCAGTATCGTGAAAATGGCCATACTGCCCAAGGTAATTTATGGATTCAATGCCATCCCCATCAAGCTACCAATGACTTTCTTCACAGAATTGGAAAAAACTACTTTAAAGTTCATATGGAACCAAAACAGAGCCCGCATTGCCAAGTCAATCCTAAGCCAAAAGAACAAAGCTGGAGGCATCACACTACCTGACTTCAAACTATACTACAAGGCTACAGTAACAAAATCAGCATGGTACTGGTATCAAAACAGAGATATAGACCAATGGAACAGAACAGAGCCCTCAGAAATAATGCCGCATATCTACAACTGTCTGATCTTTGACAAACCTGAGAAAAACAAGCAATGGGGAAAGGATTCCCTATTTAATAGATGGTGGTGGGAAAACTGGCTAGCCATATGCAGAAAGCTGAAACTGGATCGCTTCCTTACACCTTATAGAAAAATTAATTCAAGATGGATTAAAGACTTACATGTTAGACCTAAAACCATAAAAACCCTAGAAGAAAACGTAGGCAATACCATTCAGGATATAGGCATGGGCAAGGACTTCATGTCTAAAACACCAAAAGCAATGGCAACAAAAGCCAAAATTGACAAATGGGATCTAATTAAACTAAAGAGCTTCTGCACAGCAAAAGAAACCACCATCAGAGTGAACAGGCAACCTACAGAATGGGAGAAAAGTTTTGCAACCTACTCATCTGACAAAGGGCTAATATCCAGAATCTACAATGAACTCAAACAAATTTACAAGAATAAAACAAACAACCCCATCAAAAAGTGGGCAAAGGATATGAACAGACACTTCTCAAAAGAAGACATTTATGCAGCTAAAAAACACATGAAAAAATGCTCATCATCACTGGCCATCAGAGAAATGCAAATCAAAACCACAATGAGATACCATCTCATGCCAGTTAGAATGGCTATCATTAAAAAGTCAGGAAACAACAGGTGCTGGAGAGGATGTGGAGAAATAGGAACACTTTTACACTGTTGGTGGGACTGTAAACTAGTTCAACCATTGTGGAAGACAGTGTGGCAATTCCTCAGGGATCTAGAACTAGAAATACCATTTGACCCAGCCATCCCATTACTGGGTATATTCCCAAAGGATTATAAATCATGCTGCTATAAAGACACATGCACACGTATGTTTATTGCGGCATTATTCACAATAGCAAAGACTTGGAACCAACCCAAATGTCCAACAATGATAGACTGGATTAAGAACATTTGGCACATATACACCATGAAATACTATGCAGCCATAAAAATGATGAGTTCATGCACTTTGTAGGGACATGGATGAAGCTGGAAACCATCATTCTCAGCAAACTATTGCAAGGACAAAAAACCAAACACCAGACGTTCTCACTCACAGGTGGGAATTGAACAATGAGAACACATGGACACAGGAAGGGGAACATCACACACCAGGGACTGTTGTGGGGTTAGGGGAGGGCGGAGGGATAGCATTAGGTGATATACCTAATGCTAAATGACGAGTTAATGGGTGCAGCACACCAACATGGCACATGTATACATATATAACAAACCTGCACATTGTGCACATGTACCCTAAAACTTAAAGTATAATAATAATAATAAAAAGAATATCACTAGAAAATAAAATAAAATAAAATAAAATAAAAGCATTTGTGAATGCAACTTTTGTTATAATCATAGATTAAGGTGATGATTCACTGGGTATAGATCAACTTTAAAAAGACCAATCACAAGGGATTTAAGAAATGGCACACTAGTGGGTCAGACTCAATCAAAAGTCCTTATAAATATAATAATTCAGTGATGCCTTTTTCCGTGTTCATTTCTGTGATAACTAATCCTTTTGTGGCTATTTTCCTGAACTTTTTTTCTTTTTTCAAGCATGAAAACAACATAGCATTAAATATTGAAATAAGTGAGGCCAGGCACAGTGGGTCATGCCTGTAATCCCAGCCCTTTGAGCCATGATTGTGCCACTGCACTCCAGCCTGGGCAACAGAGTGAGACCCTGTTTCAAACAAACAAACAAACAAACAAAAAAAAAAACAAAAGAAAAGAAAAAGAAAAATGAGTGCTCATAATGACAGAATCCTGATGTAACAAGGCTTTTTTTTAATTTTGGCATATTAGATTTTGGCCTCTTTCACATGTTAATGCTTTTTCTTATGTGTAAGCATGCACATATTCAGAATCCTGCCCTCAATGGAGAAAAGATATTACCTAAAAGCCAATTCCAGATGATGACAATTTTCTTGTGACCTTGCATTCTGCCTAGTCTTATATTCTCAAGTATTGACAACATTGTGATTTATGACTGAAGTCCTTCCATACCATTGCTTTGGGTCTTGTCTAGAAGAGGCAACCTTGGATTACTAAATAAATGAAAACACAATGACTTATAGCCCACAGTTCAGAAGACTCGGAGTTGGCAAACTTACCATGACTGTAGGCAAAAGACTGCAGGAGAACTAAGTATAATTAGGGTTGCTGTGAAATAAAGGGCAAGCAAAGAAAGAGGATATGACTGAGCTATGGTTTGGATTGAAGGGAAGTCTCCAAAAAAGTATACTGAGGGAACTCACCTAGTATGGAAAAGGATAGAGCATGGCCTGGGGACTCAGTACTTTTTAAATTGACAGGGATTCCAGCGATATTTAGCTTATAACCCTTATTAATGAAAGATGCACAAAAGCAAATACAGAGTACAGAGGCAGGGCTTGAAGGAACGGGCAGAGACTTTTCCTGATTCTTCTCTATATTTACTGCATTCTATCTCCTGAGAGTTAAAAACAACTATGATCATTCACTTTGATGACCTGTCAAAACCATCTGATGTGCACTAGGATGATATCTGCCTTTTACTGATGACGTGTCAGGGACTGTACATACACTGCGCCTAACTTTGCAAAGCAAGTCTTATTACTGTATTTCTAGTTTATGATTGAAGAAGCTAAGAAATAAAGAGGTCAAGTAAATTACCAGGATTTCACATAGCTAATGTGTCTAGGTTGGGATTTGAATCCAGGTATGTGTAACAAGTAAGACTGCACCTAATTTCCCACCATGCCACCCTCTAAAAGATGCCATGCAAAATTAATCTTTTAAAAAGTCTTTTTTTTTTTTTTTTTTTTTTGAGACAGAGTTTCACTCTTGTTGCCCAGGCTGGTGTGCAATGGCACAATCTCCGCTCACCACAACCTCTGCCTCCCAGGTTCAAGCGATTCTCCTGCCTCAGCCTCCCAAGTAGCTGGGATTACAGGCATGCACCACCACACCCAGCTAATTTTGTACTTTTAGTAGAGACGAGGTTTCTCCATGTTGTCAGGCTGGTCTCGAACTCCTGACCTCAGGTGATCCGCCCACCTTGGCCTCCCAAAGTGCTGGGATTACAGGCGTGAGCCACCGCACCCGGCCTAAAAAGTCATTTTTTAAGATCCAAAGAAGCACATATGAGGGTAGTATTAATATGCTAAGTATGGCTATCAGGAACTATATAATCCCAGCTCAGTTTAGGTAATATTTTTCCACAAATGTTAATGAAAGTGCCTGCTGCATGCAAAGCACTGGACCTTGAGGCAGGAAGATATAAAAGTCACAATTCTTGCCTTTTAAGAGTTTATCATCTGGGCTGGGTGCGGTGACTTACGCCTGTCACCCCAGCACTTTGGGAGGCTGAGGTGGGCAGATCACTTGTCAGGAGTTCGAGACCAGCCTGACCAACGTGGTGAAACCGCATCTCTAATAAAAATACAAAAGTTAGCCGGGGCGTGGTGGTGCATGCCTGTAGTCCCAGCTACTTGGGAGGCTGAGGTGGGAGAATCACTTGAACCCAGGAGGCGAAGGTTGCAGTGAGAGGAGATCTCATGCCGTTGCAGTCCAGCCTGGGAGACAGAGTGAGACCCTGTCTCTAAAAAAACAAAACAAACAAACAAAGTTTACCATCTAACTGGGCAGGATAGGAAAAAAGTAACAATAGGGATAATTAACTGCTTAAAACAAGAATAAACATAATATTACAAAGGAATACATGATTAATTGCCAAACCAATCATATTTAAGACTAAGAAAAGGGAGAGATTACATGGTCTGGAAGGGTTTAGGAAGACTCCATAGAAGAGAAGGAGGGATGAGGCTGATTTTTAGGGATTGATAGAATCTAGACAGGGAGAAAAGTAGTACTGGATTCCAAGAGGAGAAATGGGGAACAAAAACACCAGAAAGAAAGCCTTTTGCTCAGAGCCAAAGGTTTAGAACATGAATGGTTGTGAGGTAGCTGGAAAGGCAGGTTAGAGACCAAGCACTGGAGACTTTGAAGGGTAGGTTAAGTAAATTAGATTTAATTCCTTGGGCAATGGTGATTCAGAAATGTTTCTGAGCAAGGGAGTCACATGATCCAAGTGGTGTTCTAGGATGATTTTTCCAGCAGTAGGTTGCAGAAAGTTTACAGAGGGGCAGGAAGAACAGTTAGGAGTTGCCTATAGGAGCATCCCAGAAACAGAGAAACAGAAGCAGAGAGAAAGAAAAGGAAGATATTTCAGTTTCATTCTGATGCTATAGATTTAGAAAGACATGGACTTGCTTCTGGCTGGAGCTGGTTTAATTAAATGTAAATTTGGAAAATAAAGCACAAATAACTTTGGATAGATGCATAGTTCAATTAAAAATTATTTGGATTTACAGTTTTGTGTCATTTTACAGATTATACAGCACTTTCAGAAATATATAAACATATATAATCATATATATATACACATAAATATATAAACATATATATATATATATGTTTGGGATGGAGCCTCGCTCTGTCGCCCAGGCTGGAGTACAGTGGCACGATCTCACCTCACTACAACCTCCACCTCCCGGGTTCAAGCAATACTTCTGCCTCAGCCTCCGGAGTAGCTGGGACTATAGGCATGTGCCACCACGCCTGGCTAATTTTTGTATTTTTAGTAGAGACAGGGTTTCACCATACTGGCCAGGCTGGTCTCAAACTCCTGATCTCATGATCTGCCCACCTCGACCTCCCAAAGTGCTAGGCTTATAGGCATGAGCCACCGCACCCAGACCACTTTCAGAAATATTAATTCATTTATCTGCATAACATCCTATAAGGTAAAGTTTGGCATTATTTCCATTTTTCAAATGTTGAAACTGAGGTTTAAAGACCTGTGGTAACTAACACGAGGCTGCACTGTTAGTACATTTTAAGATTGAGACCTGTATATAATGGGCTTCTGATTCTATATTTCATGCATTTCCTATTTTTTTTTGGTCTGAGTAATATCTTTAAATTTTTTTTTAAATTTTACTTTAAGTTCTGGAATACATGTGCAGAATGTGCAGGTTATATAGGTATACATGTGTCATGATGGTTTGCTGCACCTATCAACCCATCATCTAGATTTTAAGCCCCACATGTATTAGGTATTTGTCCTAATGCTCTCCCTCCCCTTGCCCCCAACCCCTCGACAGGCCCTGGTGTGTGATGTTCCCCTCCCTGTGTCCATGTGTTTTCATTGTTCAACTCCCACTTATGAGTGAGAACAATGCATTTCCTATTTACCACACTGATCTGAAAAAAAAAAAAAGGAAGATTTTTTTCCATTTTAGGAAATCATCATTTTTAGTTTTTTCATGGAATATTTTAAACATACACAAAAGTGTATGAACTCCCACATACTTATCATCCAGCTTCAACAATGATAAACTCACAACTAATCTTATCTTTATCTCATCTGTACCCCAACCGCCCCCAATTACTTGACGCAAATCCCCCACATCATGTCATAATCCTTTTAAATAGAAGGCCTAGGTGATATTTTTAAGAAGAATTCAAAATTGGTTGTATTCCTTGCCAATGGAGTATTTCCTATCTTTAGCTTCAATTGAAAAGCTGAGGTAGATGTATGCTGTCCTGCAGAGCATTCCTATTCGTACCAAGATGTGAGAAGTTGAAGAGCAAAATAATTGACCCTTTTTCTCAGAAGAATTTCCTGGGAATTTCATTTTTTTCAAGCTACCTCTGAAATGAAAAGTGAAATATATTTCTTTTGTTCTCCTGACTCCTATTCTGTGTGTTTCTTTTTTCCAAGCTGGAAAGATGACAGTCATTAATTGTACATAAGGTGCTTGCAGCTTTCCTAAAGGTGGTTTAAATAGAATGCCTTGTATCTATCTACTTTATTCTACTATGTATGAACGTGTATGGAATATATGCCGGGTGTTTTATTGGCTAGTCTAAAGGAAATTGTTTTTCTTTCTGTAATTTGAGGGAAAAACACATTCCTATGTTTAACAAGCTTTTCCTTCATTGCAAAATGACTGCTTTTGCTAAGGACACTATCATTTCACAATCATTTATTCTCACATTGCTTAGGGAAAAAAATACCTAGAATTTTAAAGTTAGTAACGGAAAGACACTGAAAAAAATCTTTATTTTCACAAAAATCCTATGTTGTTATTTTATTCTGAATTTCTGCCTAATTCATAGACTATGTTTCCTAGAGTTGGACAGGACTATGGGTGAATGTAGACTGATTATATCTAGAGGCCTTAATACTGATTTAGAGGTAAGAAAATAGTTTGTTACTGGCATCCCAAAATGAGGTTTAAATTGCCTTCATTCTTTTTTTTTTTTTTTGGAGACAGGATCTTGCTCTGTCATCCAGGCTGGAATGCAGTGGCACAATCATGGCTCACTGCAGCCTCCAACTCCTGGGCTCAACTCCTGCCTCAATCTCCTGAGTAGCTGGGACTACAGGCGTACACCACCACATCCATGTAATTTTTAAATTTTTTGTAGGGATGGGGTCTTACTATGTGGCCCAGCCTTGTCTCACACTCCTGGGCTCAAGCGATCCTCCCACCTCAGCCTCCCAAAGTTTTGCTGGGATTACAGGCATGAGCCACTATGGTCCAGCCATCTTTATTCTTCAATCATTGAGAATTTTACAGCCATGCACATTCATTCATTCATTCGGTCATTTATTTAACAGATATTTACTCAACACCTACCATGCCCAGTTCTATGTGTGCTTCTGAGCATATAATAATGAATAAGAGAGATATGGTCCCTCTCCCATGGGTGGAACTTCTTCATATAAATTGGTGGAATTTCTATATATAAATATTGCAATCTTTTGATTCCCAAAAATTGTCACATACACTCAAAAAGACTGGAAGTTCTTATAAAGGACTCCTTTTAAACATCTTAGCCAATAAATAACAGCCCTGAGAGGACTGTACATTTCCTATAACCAAATCCATAAGACTTGCCAGACAGAACATACGCCTTTGAGGGCCTATACTAGTTAACTGGATAGTTTCCTTGTTAAGAAGAGATGAATGATACTATTCCTCTATCCTAAGATTTTCTGGAGGTAAGAACTATACTGGTTATAAATGTACTTTTATTGGAGTTACGGAATTTTATTTCTTCTGTGTTCTGGTATAAGCATCCTCTTCTCTCAGCACCCTGCCTCTCATTATGAAACCTGCCAACTGGCCACACAGAAAGTCAGCCATGAGAGTGTTCTGGCTGAGACACAAACTGCATTTGACAAAATGCAAATCACAAAAGGGAGGATAGAAGAAAAAGTGGGAACTGGATTTTGTGCTTAATTTTCTTCAACTACTATATTGTAATGTGATTGATGAACTAGATGGAGTTCTAAAATTAAAACTAGAACCAGGTGGAAGTTTCTTTTAAGATAAATCTCTATTCTCAGAAACATCAGAAGACAACCCAGGCTGCTGGCCTGACACTCATGGCCTAGCTACTGCCAGCATTTCTTGACAATTTACTCTTGTTAACTGCTCTGCACTTCTATTCTTTGTCTTTGAAATGTTCCTCTCCCAGCATTCTTTGGATTGGAGGCAGAAAAGGCTTAGAAGTTGAAAGCACTGCATCAAATGTTTTTTAGTTTATGCCCTCTCTCGCTTCAACATATATGGTATCTAGGGTAACATACTCTTCTTGGATGTAGCATTTTACCCCATTATTTCTTTGTTGCTGTTGTCGTTGTTGAGACAGTCTCGCTCTGTCACCCAGGCTGGAGTGCAGTGGTATGATCTTGGCTCACTGCAACCTCCACCTCCTGCCTCAGCCTCCTGAGGAGCTGGGATTACAGGTGTGTGACAGACACCACACTTGGCTAATTCTTTTGTACTTTTAGTAGAGGCAGGGTTTCGCCATGTTGGCCAGGCTGATCTCAAAGTCCTGCCCTCGAGTGATATGCCTTGGCCTCCCAAAGTGCTGGGATTACAGGCGTGAGCCACCGTACCTGCCATACCCCATCTATTTCTGAAGTTCATTTCCAAGAGCATTTCTTAGGTAAATGAGACGTCTTTTTCTCCAGCAGAATTTAATTGCACTCTGTTTGGGTAGCATATTATAGTAATATGATAAAAGAAATGAGAATGTAAAAGATGAAAATTTCATTGGTGAGTAAGCTGATGACAAGGTGGGAGGAAAAAATTCAGGCCCTTTAGAAATTTGAATTCTTGCCAGGTGTGGTGGTTCACACCTGTAATCCCAATGCTTTGGGAGGGCGAGGAAGGCGAATCACCTGGCCAACATGGTGAAACCTTGTCTCTACTAAAACAAAACAAAACAAAACAAAACAAAACATTGCTGGGCATGGTGGCAGGACTGTAAACCCAGCTACTCATCAGGCTGAGGCAGGAGAATCACTTGAACCCGGGAGGTGGAGGTTGCAGTGAGCTGAGAGCATGCCACTGCACTCCAGCCTGGTGACAGAGTATGACTCCACCTCACAAAAAAACAAAAAACAAAAAACAAAAACCAAAAAAACAAAAAATAAAAAATTTTCAAGGTGAAGAGAAGATCATTTTAAAATATTTGTTTTCTGTTATAAAAATAATACTATCCATAAACCTGTCCCTCAGAGAGTACATCTGCTACTATTTTTTCTTTTGTTCAAAAAAATTTCTGCCTGGTGCGGTGGCTCACCAGCACTTTGGGAGGCCAAGAGGGCGGATCACGAGGTCAGGAGTTCAAGACCAGCCTGATCAAGATGGCGAAACCCCATCTCTACTAAAAATACAAAAGTTAGCCAGGCATGGTGGCACGCATCTGTAATCCCAGCTACTCAGGAGGCTGATGCAGGAGAATCACTTGAACCCAGGAGGTGGAGGTTGCATCTAAAAAAAAAAAAAAAAGAGTTTCTATGCAATAGGGTTGAAATGACATTATATGCATAATTTTATATACTGTTTTTAAAACTTCGTTTTTTCTTCTTTTTTTGAGTTTCACTCTTGTTGCCCAGGCTGGAGTGCAATGGTGCAACCTCAGCTCACTGCAACCTCCATCTCCCGGGTTCAAGCGATTCTCCTGCCTCAGCCTCCCGAGTAGCTGGGATTACAGGCGCCCGCCACCACGCCTGGCTAATTTTTTGTATTTTTAGTAGAGACAGGGTTTAAAACTTCACATTTAAATATAAGGATTTTTCAGTCCAGGCATGGTGGCTCATGCCTATAATCCCAGCTCTTTGCCTGAGGTCAGGAGTTTGAGACCATCCTGGCCAACATAGCAAGACCTCATCTCTATTAAAAAAATATATATTTTTATATATTTATATACTTATATATAAATATATATATATATAAAGATTTTCAGTAGAAAATATTTTAATGGTGCTTAACCTCCAAAGAAAGATACAACAGGCACTGAATATGCCTCAGATGTAGCAGAGCTCACACCTTGTTATTAAGAGAGTTCATAGAGCATGGAAGACCAACCAACTCCATCTCTCTCTTATCCCCTCCTGCAGCACATCACACAACATCATGTGGGATGGGGTTAGGGAGGCCTTTAAATGCATCAATATATTAAAAAGCATATATAAGTTATTCTCCTTTGGGTTAAATGGAATTTGTTTGCTTGGATTTTCTTCACCTTACTTTATTGAGTTTTAATTAAATATAGCTGTGACCATAGACTAATGGACAATAAGATGTGGCAGGGGGTTAGCGGTTACTAATCTGATCTCTCACCTGATAAGAAAACCTTTCTATATCTAGTAGATCTGGGGCATCTTTGGGTGAACTATAAAAAGGTACCTCTTCCTCTGGGTAACCAATGCCAGGATACATGATGTAGTTACTGCAGCACTGGCTGGATTTCAGCCCCAGTTGCCCCCTTGGCCGGGTGCCCTTGTACAATAACTAACCTATACAACTGTACAGTCCTAATCTCAGGGCTATGGTTTTCTAGCCTCCACGTGCATGACAGAGAGCTCACCACCTCATACAGGTAGTCCCATTCACCTTTGAAGAGTTTTGTGGCAAGTTCTTAATAATAAGTAAGGTCTCCTAGGTAACTTCTAGTGTGCAACTTCTACCCACTGACCCTAGCTCTGCTTTCCGAAGGATAAGAGATCAACTCCACCCAGGCTTCTACATGATTGCTTTTCAGATATTTGATACTATCCTATCCCATGTCTTCCAAGTCTTCCCTTCCCCAGGCCGAATATCTAATTCTTATGACTGGATCATCATATGACTTCTTTCTAGATTTTAGTTAATATCCTTTTCTTGTTTTTCTTGTTTTTTTTTTGAGACGGAGTCTCGCTCTGTCCTCCAGGCTGGAGTGCAGTGGCGCGATCTCGGCTCACTGCAAGCACTGCCTCCCGGGTTCACGCCATTCTCCTGCCTCAGCCTCCCGAGTAGCTGGGACTACAGACGCCCGCCACCACGCCTGGCTAATTTTTTGTATTTTTAGTAGAGACGGGGTTTCACCATGTTAGCCAGGATGGTCTCGATCTCCTGACCTCATGATCCGCCTGCCTCGGCCTCCCAAAGTGCTGGGATTACAGGCGTGAGCCACCGCACCTGGCCGATTTTGGTTAATATCCTAGTTACTTTCTTGTTTGCTAATGCTAATGTTTTTTTTTTTTTTTGAGACAGAGTCTTGCTCTATCTCACAGGCTGGAGTGCAATGGCACGATATCTCCGCTCACTGGAACCTCCGCCTCCCAGGTTCAAGCGATTCTCCTGGTTCAGCCTCCTGAGTAGCTGGGATTACAGGTGCCCACCACCACACCCAGCTAGTTTTTGTATTTTTAGCAGAGACGGGGTTTCACCATGTTGGTCAGGCTGGTCTCGAACTCCTGACCCCAGATGATCCACCTGCCTTGGCCTCCCAAAGTGTTGGGATTACAGGTGTGAACCACTGCTCCTGGTCACTAATGTTCTTTAAGTCAGAAGATCATATTGAGCATGATACTCCAAATATACTGCAGCATTATAATACAGCTATTAAATCTTAATCTAAATGCTATATTTTCCTTAATACAACCCAAACCTCTATTTGGTTTTAGAGAAACTTATATACCATTGGCTTATATCCAATTTGCGGATATCTAGAATGCCATTTCAAACATTCTCCTACTAAGTCAGGCCTCCTCAATCTTCTACTTGTACAGTTTAACTGCTGGAACTAGATGCAGGATTTAGGCCTAGTAAATTTCTTCTTGTTGATTTTAGCCCACTGTTTCAGTATGTTAGGATCCCATTGAACATATCAAATTAACTTTTTTTTTTTTTTGAGGTTACTCCAAAAGGGATCAGCTTGATCTTGAAGTTACTCTACTGGGTGGAGACAAAGAGGCACTTTCAATGCAGAGTGCTAAGTGGAACAGTTGGAATCAGCAGTAGGGTGCTATGAAAGCACACAAGATGGTCCTCTAGTGAAAGTGAGAGGCAAGGAAGAAAACTTTCCCATGAGAATAAAAATCTCAGGTGACTCCTTAAGGGTGAATGAGAGTTTGCCAAATGAAAAGGGTCATGGAAAGCAATCTAGGAGGTGAACAGCTTGAGCAAGGATTTGGGATTACAGAAATTTCTGAATGCCAATATCTTTTAGTGTCTTTCCCTTTTTGGACTCCTATCCAGTTGTCCAGAAATTATGTGCTGCAGGTGCTCATTTAATTCTCTACTTATACTCTTCCTGGACAAGTTTCTATAGGTTAAGGCTGCTTGCTTTTTATGCCTTAGGATGGTCCCATTCCCGCATCTACCTTCCCTTTTCTTTCTTTGAGAAAGCATTGGAGTTAGTTAACTCCTACCTATACTCTGGCTTCTGTAAGCTTTTCTAAGAGAGGGCGGTGCCTTATCCATTTTGGTGATTCTGGTTCCTGACACAGTGCTTGGCACACCATAGGTATTTGACAAATGTTTAAAGTGTTGAAAAGCAAAATAACTATTCACAAATTCTAATATGCATAAACAATATTCTGAAAGATACAACCAGATTCATGTAGCTCTCTGACTTAGACATCACAGGAAGCCTACTTTGTAGCCAACAGAAATCAAAGGCTTCCTTTTTAATAAAAATGAAACAAAAATTTTTCAAGAATTTGTTACATGCAGATCCTTTTAATTGTTCAAAGCAGGTTCACAGAACACTGACTGGGGCTCTTGTGGCTTCTGACAATCATCTCCCAGAGTTGTTGAGCAATTTGCCAAGTTGCCTGTTGGCTCAAAGGTGAGAACCCCAGGCTACCTAAGCTCTGCCCAGTGATGCGGAATTGTCTCTCTCTTCTAATGTGCTCAGCTGGAACAGAATCGCAGAATGTCCAGAGCAGTGAACCATGAGGAATGAGAGCAGATTAGCTTAGCAAAAAGATAAACTAGGCATCGCCCAAGGGACATTGACAAGTGAGGTGACCTCATGCTTTGCTCTCAAATCAGAGTTCTCAAAAGTCATCTAAGCTAGAATATGCCAGGGAATACCAGAGCTTCCTATTGGCAGAAAGTAGGAGAGATAAAACTAACAAGGAATGAAAGATGTAAAGAGGTATTTGCCTCAATATCTAAATTACTATTTCAGAATTCAAGAGCCAAAAAAGAGAAACATCTCCACTATCAATAAAACAAACAAACACAAAATAGACGAAACATAAGAGACCATAAGATCACCCAGCAGAGATATTCTTGGCAAATAAAATGCCGGGCCAATATAAAAGCAATAGAGAAGAGGAAACCTGAAGGGCCAATAAACACTTGAAAGATGCTGGATTTCACTGGTCGTCAGCAGTGAAACCACAATGAGACACCACTTTACACACAAGTGATTAGCAAATATTTAAAACTCTAACAACTCAAGGAAAACAATAAGACGTTGCTGAGAGAAATGAAAGAAAACCTAAACAGAGGGATATATCATGTTTATAGGTTTCAAGATTCAAAATTGTTAACATGTCCATTCTCCCCAAATTGGTCTATAGAGTCAATGCAATCTCAATTAAAATCCCAGGAGGCTTTTTTTGTAGAAACTAGCAAATGAATTCTAAAATTCATGTGGCAATAAAAGGATCTAGAATATGCAAAACAAGTTTGCAAAAGAAGAACAAATTTGGAGGACTAATATGATCTAGATTCAAGATATTATAAAGCTACAATAACCAAGACAGTGTGGTACTGACACAAAGAAAGACAAATAGATCAACAGAACAGAATAAAGAGCCTATAAATAGACCCACACATGTTCATTTTCAACAAGGTGTAAAAGGGAATTCAGCAGAGAAAGGAAAGCCTTTTAAAGAAGTGGTGCTGGAACAGCGGGATATCTATGTGCTAAAAAAAAAAAAAGGGAGAGGGAGACTTCAATTCATACCTTGTTCCATATATTAAAAAAAAAAAAACTTAAAGTGGATCATAGACCAAAATGTACAACATAAAACAATAAAATTTATAGAAGAAAACATTTGTAACCTTGGATTAGGCAAATACTTCTTAAATATAACACCAAAAACACAACCCATAAAAAACAAATAAATGTCTACTCATAAAATAAATGGATATATTAGTCTTTATCAAAATTTAAAACTGCTTTTCAAAAGAAACTGTTGAGAGAACGACATGACATGCCAAGAACTAGGAGAAAATCTTTGCAAAGCATTTATCTGATGAAGGACTTGCATGTAGAATAAAAAGAACCCTCAACATTCCATAAAAAAACAAGCAACGCAATTTTTTTAAAAAGGCAAAAGATTTGAACAGACACTTTAACAAAGATATATATGGATGGTGTTAGGAAGAGTTTTAAAAGGAAGAAAGTGAGAGAGAAGGCAACTCAATGGCCAAACAGGTTTATTTACAAGAATAAGCCTGTGAGGCATCCCAGTCAGGAATCTGGCTGAGACCCTGATTGCTTACAAGCTGACGTTTTTATACTAAAGTTTCTTTTTTTTATTTTTGAGACGGAGTTTTGCTCTTGTCGCCCAAGCTGGAGTGCAATGGTGCGATCTCGGCTCACTGCAACCTCTGCCTTCCAGGTTCAAGTGATTCTCCTGCCTCAGTCTCCCAAGTAGCTGGGATTACAGGCATGTACTACCATGACCAACTTTTTTTTTTTTTTCTTTTGAGACAGAATCTTGCTCTGTTGCCAGGCTGGAGTGCAGTAGCGTGATTTCAGCTCACTGCAATCTCCGCCTCCTGGGTTCAAGTGATTCTCCTGCCTCAGCCTCTTGAGTAGCTGGGATTACAGGTGCATGCCACCACACCCAGCTAATTTTTTTTGCATTTTTAGTAGAAACAGGGTTTCACCATGTTAGCCAGTCTGGTCTTGAACTCCTGACCTCAGGCTATACAGCTGCCTCAGCCTCCCAAAGCGCTGGGATTACAGGTGTGAGCCACTGTGCCCAGCCTCATACTAAAGTTTCTATAGGGGAGGGGTTGGGGAAGTGCTAGCAGGTTGGAACTGCAGGGGGCTGGGGAAGGATGTGGTAAGGGCCAGGCTTTGTTGTGGTCAGGGTTGTTACTCTCTGTTAAGGTATGGGTGAGGTTGACCTTTGCTTTGTTTTTGGAAACACTGTCACTAAGGTAGGAAACACAGTCACCAAGGTGGAAAAATGGCATCACTATTGTTAATTCTCACATTCCCACCTCTTTGTATTATTATCATTTAGGAATAGGGATGTAGGTTCTCTTTGACTACTTCCTGCTCACTGGGGGTGGTGCATGGGGGAGGTGGCCTTCCTCTGGTGATGAGGTCATTCATTGTTGCTATAGCAGGAATGCCTCCTTGATGTGTTCCGTTATGGTGGTCTGAGCAACTGAGGTTACTCTTTCTAAAATAAACTTTTGAAAAAAATTTCATCAAGCAGGGTAAAAACATTAATATTAAGCAGATGACAATGAAAGGACCAATTAAAGGGAGTGCCCAATGGAGGAAATAACTGAAAAAGTCAGCAGGTTGTTTGGGCAGGCGTTCTGCAATTTTTCTGTTTGGATATTCCTTCTTTTACCAATCTAGATTTATTTGTAAAGAAACAGCATTTTCTTGCAGGAAGAGAAATAGGCCTCCCTCTTCTACAGTGAGGATATCTAGTCCCCTGCGATTTTGGAGTACTAACTGTTGCTAGGGAGTTTATCTGGTCAGCAAAGGTCAACCTCGCCCATACCTTTAACAGACAGTAACAACCCTGACTACAACAAAGACTGACTGGCCTTTACCACATCCTTCCCCTGCCCCCTACAGTTTCAACCTGCCAGCATATCCCCAACCCCTCCCCATAGAAACTTTATTATAAAAACTTTATTATAAAAACCTCCCTATAGAAACTTTATTATAAAAAAATAAATCAGGGTCTCAGCCAGATTCCTGACCGGGACCGCTTGCAGGCTTATTCTTGTAAATAAACCTGTTTGGCCGTTGAGTTGCCTTCTCTCTCACTTCCTTCCTTTTAAAAATCTTCCTAACAGCTGGCAAATAAGCAGATGAGAAGCAGCTCAATATCATTAGTCATTAGCAAAATACAAATGAGATACCACCACAAATACATACCATTACAAACACAAAAGAGATACAGCTACTGGAATGGCTAAAGTGAAAAAGACTGACCCTACCAAGTGTTGGCAAGCATTTGTGCAGGTACTAGAACTCTCATACATTGCTGGTGAGAATGTAAACATCATAATAATGGTTACTAATCAGGGAAAGAAGGGACTGCGATTGAGTTGGGGTACCTGGGCAGGGCTTCTAGAGTAGGTGGCAATGTTCTATTTCATGATCGAGGTGATGTTCACTTTATAATGATTAAGACGTACATTTGGTTAACATGATTTTCTGAGTCTCCATGTGTTTTTGTAATCAAAAAGATTCACCCAGGCTGGAGTGCAGTGGCGCAATATTGGCTCACTGCAACCTTCACCTCCCGGGTTCAAGTGATTCTCCTGCCTCAGCCTCCCAAGTAGCTGGGATTACAGGTACCCACCACCACATCCAGCTAGTTTTTGTATTTTTAGTAGAGACAGGGTTTCACCATTTTGGCCAGGCTGGTCTCGAACTCCTGACCTCAGGTGATCCACCCACCTCGGCTTCCCAAAGTGCTGGGATGACAGACATGAACCACCACACCCGGCCAAGTTTTCTTTTAAAACAAAAAGTTCTTTAGCCTTTACTCTGTTGGATAAATATAGATTTTTGCATGTTAAGTTTGCTTAAAGGAAGATGGAATTCTACTGGCAAAATACTGTCTCCTAAATCTCCAGTAAGTAAGCTTGTACTTTTGAGGACAACACTATTTTTGGCAATGTAGAAAATGCTTATAGAAAGGGTTCAATTTGTGGCTGGGCACAGTGGCTCATGTCTTTAATCTCAGCACTTTGGGAGGCCGAGGCGGGCTGATCACCTGAGGCCAGCAGTTCAAGACCAGCCTGGCCAACATGGCAAAACCCCATCTCTACCAAAAAAATACAAAATTAGCCAAGCGTCATGGCAGGTGCCTGTATCCCAGCTACTCAGGAGGCTGAGGCAGAACTGCTTGAACCTGGGAGGTGGAGATTACAGTGAGCGGAGATCACGCCATTGCACTCCAGCCTGGGCTATAAGAGTGAAACTCTGTCTCAAAAAAAAAAAAAAAGGGTTCAATTTGCTTCCCACAGCATGTTCGTCCACCTCCTATACCTCCACACTCTTATAGGCAGATATTGATCCATGGTTATTCAGATGCAAGGAAAGGCCACTAGAGTCCATTGTTGAGGCAAGGGACTGGGACTTGAACTCGGTCTTATAAGGCTTAAAAGTGGCAGTCTTTTCTGAGATTCAAAATATGTTATTCCTCATGAATTGGATGAGGGTCATGGAGGAAGGCCATTTGGAAATAACACATACATTACTGACCAAAAAGAAACATAGATAGCAATACACAAAACTATTGGATGATTTCTTTCTCTCCAGTTCAAAAGTCCAAATGAATTGTCATCAGGCATTAGTGGAGATACTCTGAATATTTTTATATATTTTCTGTTTCATAAAGAATTTCCAGAATGATTGTGCTTTACTTTTACCCACTGTTCTTCACAAATGATAGAAAAGCCTGGGAAGTGTCCCTGAATGGTTAAATAATGAGATAAAGCAGAATGTTTCTTACTTAAAAAAAATTAAAGAAGAAGCAACATAGAAGTCGGGCGATGCTGTGAAAATAAAGACTTGAAGAACAAAACCAACTCTAATTGGAGAACAGAGTATTTAAGGTAAAGGAACCAAGACATATTAGATTGTAGTTGAATTCCAAGACCAATGTGCTGCTCAGAATCCTAGATGTTCCATTTGAATTCCTCCTGTTTTTGCTTCGAAATACTAGTCTATAAATCTAATTGATTGTAAGTGTGATTTCCCTAGATGCTTGTTTACTCGTTTAATGTAGTATTATGTTGCTTTTAATAAGGTATTCAGGCCCTATAAAGTATGCTTCCAAAAAAATCAAAAGCTACACTTGAGTGCTTCTCTAATAAAATCTACCTCTGCTTAAATATAGGTAGAACCTCAACTATGCCAGCTTTTCTAATAGGGGACTGTCCCACTCCTGCAGAAGTCCTTCAGTAACTGAGAATGCTGGTGGGGTGTGGGGAGATATCCTTAACATCATTGCTATTAGAAAGTTAGTACTAGGGAAAATAACTCAGCATTTCTAACACAATATCCTCCATTAAGCCTTCAAACAAACATTTCCTTATTTACCTCCTAAAGTCTTTTCTGCTACCATTTAAGTCATTTGATCTTTAGATGCTTTCTTGCCTCTGATTTTAATGAGAAGCTGGCCCTTGGTTCTCTTTCAATACTCCCTGGCTTGTGGTGCTAGATCTTTCTACTCTTGACACCATTCTTGTCTCTTGACAATTTTCCCTCAATTGAAAGATATGAAACTGAGTATCACTGAAAATTTAAATACCCAAACCACACATCTGAAATCTGATTTTTTTTATCTTAAAGCTGGTCCCAGTTGGAGGTAGCCTAGGAGACCGAAAATACATGTTATTTAATGAAGGAGAATATTTCAGTAAAGTTAAAGCTGGGCTTATTTTGGCCAGACACAGTGGGTTGTGGGTGCTGCTCATTTTTGTGTATTCATTATACAATTGACCCTTGAACAATGCAGGAGTTAGGGTACTGACCCCCTCCCACCAGGTACAGTAAAAAATCTACCTATAAAATTGTGACTCCTCTAAAACTTAACTACTAACAGCTTACTGTGGACCAGAAGGCTTACTGATAACATAGTCAATTTAACACAGACACACAAACACACACACATACACATTTTGAGACAGAATTTCACTCTGTTGCCCAGGCTGGAGTGCAGTGATGTGATCGTCACTCACTGCAGCCTCTGTCTCCCGGGTTCAAGTGATCTTCATGCCTCAGCCTCCCAAGTAGCTGGGGTTTCACCATGTTGGCCAGGCTGGTCTCAACCTCCTGGCCTCAAGTGATCCATCCACATTGGCTTCCCAAAGTGCTGGGATTACAGGCGTGAACCACCTCACCTTAACACATATTTTGTATGTTGTATGTGTGACATCCTGTATTCTTACAATAAATTAGAGAAAAAAAAATTATTAAGAAAACCACAAGGAAGAGGAAATATATTTACTATTCATTTAGTGTAAATGGATTATCATAAAGGTCTTTATCCTTGTCTTCATGTTGAGTAGGCTGAAGAGGAGGAGGAAAAGGGGTTGGTCTTACTGTCTTGGGAGTAGCAGAGATGGAAGAGGTAGAGGAGGTGGAAGGAGAGGCAGGAGAAGCCAACACACTTGGTGTAACTTTATGGAAATACATTGTAATTTTTGATTTTTTTGCTTTTTCATTTCTCTAAAAATGTTTCTATATGGTACCAATTCTTCTTCCACCTTTTGCTTTAGTTTCAGTGCCCATATCATAGAAGGATCCACATCATAAAAGAAGTCAAAAGCATTCTTGAATAATTAGAAACCTTCTGCTAGATGGTCTCATGTCAATTTGCTTTCTGGCACTGCTTCTTCTACATCTTCTTCCTCATTGTTTAGCACTGATTCAGAAGCACTCATCTCCATCGAGTTGTCTTCTGTGAAATTCTCAGGTGTGGTGTCTGTTAACTCTTGCAGTTCTCCAAGATCCATGTTTTAAACCTTTAAACCTCTACCCTCTCCCCCACTTTTCTGCCATATCTACAATCTCTTTCATGATTTATTTGATTAGCTCTGTCATAAATCCTGTGAAGTCACGTACAACACCTGGATACAGTTTTCTCCAGCAGGAATTTATTACTTGGAGCTTGATGGCTCTCATGACTTTTTCTATAATGATGGCATCTCCAATGCTGTAATCCTTCCAGACTTTCATGATGTTCTCTCTATTGGGGTTCTCGTCCATAGGGTTGACATCCTTCCATACAGTTCTGTGTGAAATGAGCCTTAAAGGTCCTTATGATTCCCTGACCTAGAGGCTGAATTAGAGATGTTGTGTTTCGGGGCAAGTAGACCACTTCGATGTCTTTGGTGTTGAACTCATGGGGTTCTGGGTTGCCAGGGGCATTGTCTGATATCAGAAGAACTTTAAAAGGCAGTCCTTTACTAGCAAGGTGCTTCTTGACATCAAGGACAAAACATCAATGGAATCAATCCAGTAAAAGGATTCTTGTTGTCCAGGTCTTCTTTTTGTAAAACCCAAAGCCTGGCAGCTGGTGTTTTTTTTCACTTTAACGCTTGAGGGTTAGCAGCTATACAGATAAAGGCAGTCCTGATCATAAACTCAACTGCATTTGTACAAAACAGTAGAGTTAGCTTATCCTTTCCTGCCTTAAATCTTGGTGCTCACTTCCTTACTAAGAAGTGTCCTTTGTGGCATTTTTCCCCCAGAATAGGGCACTTTCATCTGCATTAAGAATTCAATTTTTATACTTCATTAGGGGAGAAATGGAACTTTAGCAGTCCTACCAAGAAGTTTTTAAAGAACACATTGGGTCTTTATAAACTGTATTTTTAAAGTTTTTTTTCTAAAGATAGAAAATGAAAATAATTACCTAAAATAGACCTCTGATATGGTTTCCAAAGAACAGAAGGTATCTTTTTTAAATCAGGGTATGAGACTTGCTGTAAAATATTTATTGATGCTAATGTGAACCTTCAGTTGGAAAGAAAAAACTAGGTAGTCACTTGCAAACTAAATTTCCCCAGGTATCTTTTTTCCAATCTTTTTTTGAGATGGAATCTCACTCTGTCACCCAGGCTGGAGTACAGTGGTGTGATCTTGGCTCACTGCAACCTCCACTTCCCGGGGTCAAGTGATTCTCCTGCCTCAGCCTCCTAAGTAGCTGGGATTACAGGCATGTGCCATCACATCTGGCTAATTTTTGTATTTTTAGTAGAGATAGGGTTTCACTGTGTTGGTCAGACTGGTCTCAAACTCCTGACCTCAAGTGATCCACCAGCCTCAGCCTCCCAAAGTGTTGGGATTACAGGTGTCAGCCACCATGCCTGGCCCCAATCTTCTAATTTTTAAAGATACTCTTTCCCTTCTCTTTACTCTGAGATCTAATGTATCTATACATAAGCAAACTAGGTGCTTTATATACATTTTTGTCCCAGCCTTCAGTGTAAACCTTAACTTAAATCATTAATGGAGACTTTTCTGGCACCCTAAGTTGAAAAGTTATAATGGGGAGGCTGTGAGGATTTTTTTTCAGCCCTTGGACCATTATTTACACTAGTTTCCTTGATCTGGTTTCCTCAGCTATAAAAATACAGTCCTGTCTCCTCCAAAAGTCTGTTATCGCCAGCAAGATTCACAACTGCCAAATCACCCAGGATTTTGTATTTCATTTAAGAAGTCTGACAATGCTTTTATGCACAATATGATACAGCCAAAACCACATTTACCTGGGAATCAGGAAACCTGAGCTCTAGTCTAAATCTAGCCCTAAACAAACTGTGCAACTGTAGCTAAGTTCGTTGACCACTTGGGGTCTCAGCAGAGAAAACAAAAATTTTGGAATCAGAATTGAAGCAGGAGAGTACTAAGGTCCTCCCCCCATCCACCGTCTCCACCTCTGGCTCTAAAATGTCATGTCACTGTGAAATGCTCTTTCATCTTCAGGGGCCTAGTGAGAGGCCAGGGTCCCAGGCAGCAAGTGCTAGAGAAAATGTAAGGACAATTTATAAAGAAGTCCCTTGATCTCAGTTTCCCTGAACTATGCAGCTCTTCAGTCTTTAAAATGGCTACAAGACACATTAGCATTTCAAACACTGCTGTTGCCTGTGACAGGTGAACTCAGGGAGATTAGGAAGTAGCAAAATTCTGTTTTTGTTTTTCTTCAAGCCAGAATGGGTATGTAAGCATTAACGTTGCTATTATACATACTATTCAACATTCCCCATTCATTTTTCATGAACTTACACAACATATCAAAGGGATGATGCTCTACTCCTTAGTGCGTCTCTCAGAATTACAGGCAGACTCATTTCACTCTGTCAGCAAACCTGAAGGCCAGAGTCTTCAGTTGTGAGAATATCTTATGCAAATAGAAAAAGCTTTACAGAATAGTATATTCAACCCCTACCCAAACCCGCATCCCCATCTTCTCCTCTATACACTGCCTCCGGAAACAAGCACTGTGTGCACAAGTCAAACAGATACCTAAGCCCCCAGTGGACAGCAGCTTAGGCACCAGTGGGCAGGCACAGAGCAGGCAGAGGGTAAGCACTGGAGCAGGACTGGATTAAGGCCTCCAGAGCTGCTCCAGGCCTCCATAGCTCCTACTACCTCAACAATCCTTGTCACAACTGCTTTCCCATTCACTACAGAGAAACTTACTTGAGCATCTCTCTTCAGATATTATTGCACAGATTCACACAGAAAAAGAAAATCACCACAGGAGAGTTTGAAAAAGATGATGATGAACGACTTTGATTGTATCCCACAGGATGGAAATTAGGTTGAAAGACTGGGAGTTTGGGGTGGGCGCAGTGGCTCACGCCTGTAATCCCAACGCCTTGGGAGGCCGAGGTGGGTGGATCACTTGAGGTCAGGAGTTCAAGACTAGCCTGGCCAACATGGTGAAATCCTGTCTCTACCAAAAATATAAAAATTAGCCAGGCATGGTGGCATACACCTGTAATCCCAGCTACTCGGGAGGCTGAGGTGGGAGAATCGCTTGAACCTGGGAGGTGGAGGTTGCAGTGAGCCGAGATCGCGCCACTGCACCCCAAACTGGGCGACAGAACAACTCTGTCTAGAAAAAAAAAAAAACAAGGCCGGGCACGGTGGCTCACGCCTGTAATTTCAGCACTTTGGGAGGCCAAGGCAGGCAGATCACGAGGTCAGGAGATCAAGACCATCCCGGCTAACATGGTGAAACCCCATCTCTATTAAAAATACAAAAAAATTAGCCTGGTGTGGTGGCAGGTGCCTGTAGTCCCAGCTACTTGGGAGGCTGAGGCAGAAGAATGGCGTGAACCTGGGAGGCGGAGCTTGCAGTGAGCCGAGATCGGACCACTGCATTTCAGCCTGGGCAACAGAGCGAGACTCCGTCTCAAAAAAAAAAAAAAAAAAAAAAAAGATTGGGCGTTTGGAACCATCAGTTCTAGTTCCTACTCTGCTTGTAACTGGGAAGCCATGGGCAAGTCATCTGGCAACTCTGGACCTTAGTTCTCTCACTTATAAAATGAGTAGGTTTGACAAGACAATCTCTAGTATATTTGTCAGATCTAAACTTCTAGTAGTCTATAGTAAGATTACTAAGAACCAGGAAAGCATGGTTTATATTATAAATCAAACTTGGCTATAATATGGAGAACATTTAAATATATAGATTCTGAGGCCCCACCCAGGACCTTTACAGAGTCCCTTACACAACTGACTGGACCATATGACCAAAGGATAAGGATGAGCTGGCTGGGTGAACCTGTGCTGGTATTCAGGAATTGACATTCTGTGCGGATAAGTATTCACATTAATGAATGGAGAAATGTCTATTTAATTTGCAAACGATCACAAGCTAGCGGGGCAAATCAGTATTTCAAACAAACTTAGAGATTGAAGGAATGGTCAGAAGCCAAGAGCATAAATGTCAGAGAGGAAAGATCAAAGGTATTGCCCCTGGAGGAGAAAGAGAAACTTCACTAAGATGAAGTTAGTAAGGCATATATACCAGAAAAAGATCTGAATGTCAGAGTAGATAACTGACCAGGAATCAGAAAATTAGCAGTGGGCCTGAAGGAATGCAGGAATTGACTGAGGTTGTCCTCACTTTGCATGGTTCTTAGATGAAAGAATGTCAGTCCCCAAACAACAGGGTTGAAATTTCAGTTGCCATGGTTTATTAACTGTGAGTAATTACATGAAGTACAAACTTGATTGCTAGCTCTTCAGTTCACAACATAAATAACAGATGTGTATCACGATCAGTGACAAATCACGTCACTTCTTTCACAGTCTGTCGGTGACTAGTCACTGTGCATCTGTTATTCAGTTAATGCACAAACAACAAAGTGTGCGGTGGGGTTGCCTCCTTGTCTTCCAATGATGAAACCCAAAAATGATAACTGAAAGAGGGAACTGGCTAACGAAGATGAAAATGCAGCAAAGTAACAAAAAGTGGTAACAGGAATGTAAATAGGGTTATAGAAGAAATAGCTAACTGTGAGATTATTGACATTGCTGCTATTTAAGGGACTCTAGATATGCACCAGAGGAACTTAGTGAAGGCAAACTAATCAATGTAAATGAGGAAAGTGGTTGTGACGAAACGTATGAAGATGTCCCAGAGGAAGTGATGCTGGCAAAAACTTCACATTAAAGAAACTCTTGCAGATATTTCATGACACTGAAAGCACAAAGTGTAAAATATTGGAAGCTCATCCAAACTTAGAAGGGAGTATGATGACAATTCACCAAGGCACAGAAAAGATGTTTTCTCAGTATCATAAACTATATGACAAAAAGGAGGCAAGTACTGTTAAAGTACTTGGGATTTTTTTTTTTTATAAATACGGACATACCTGGTTTTATTGTGCTTCACTTCATTGTGCTTTGTAGATATTGTGGGGTTTTTGTTTTTTTTTTAAATAAATTCAAGATTTGTAGCAAGCCTGCATTGAGCAAGTCTTTCAGCACCATTTTTCCAACAGCATGTGCTCATTTTGTGTCTCTGTTGCATTTTGTTAATTCTTGCAATATTTCAAACTTTTTCATTATTATATGTTATGTTAATCTGTGATCAGTGATCTTTGATGTTACTATTGCAATTGTTTTGAGGTGCCATGAACCACACACATAGAAGACAGTGAACATAACCAATAAATGTGTGTGTCCTAACTGCTCCACTGACAGGGTATTCCTCCATTTCCCTCCCTCTCTTCAGGCTTTCCTATTCCCCCAGACACCACAATATGAGGAAATTAAGCCAATTAATAACCCTACTACGGCCTCTAAGTGTTCAAGTGAAAGGAAGAGTCACATGTCTCTAACTTTAAATCAAAACCTAGAAATGATTAAGCTTAATGAGAAAAACATGTTGAAAGGCCAAAAACTAGGCATCTTGTGCCAGTTAGCCAAGTTGTGAATGCAAAGAAAAAGATCTTGATGGATATTCAAAGTGCTACTCCAGTGAACACATGAATGGTAAAGTGAAAGAGCCTTCTTGCTGATATGGAGAAAGTTTTAATGGTCTAGATAGAACAGCGGTCCTCAACCTTTTTGGCACCAGGGACCAGTTTTGTGGAAGACAATTTTTCCACGGACCAGGTTGCAGGGGGTTTCGGGATGATTCCAGCACATTACAGTTATTGGGCACTTTATTTCTATTATTACTTTTTTTGTTTTTTTGAGACGGAGTCTTGCTCTGTCACCCAAGCTAGAGTGGTGTGATCTTGGCTCACTGTAACCTCAGCCTCCTGGGTTCAAGTGATTCTCCTGCCTCAGCCTCCCAAGTAGCTGGGACTATAGGCATGCATCACCACGCCTGGCTAATTTTTGTATTTTTAGTAGAGATGGGGTTTCACCATGCTGGCAAGGCTAGTCTCAAACTCCTGACCTTAAGTGATCCCACCTGCCTCGGCCTCCCAACATGCTGGGATTACAGGTGTGAACCACCATGCCCAACCTATTATTACATTGTAATATATAATGAAATAATTATAAATTCACCATAATGTAGAATCAGTGGGAGCCCTGAGCTGCTTGTTTTCCTGCAATTATATAGTCCCATCTGGGGGTCATGGGAGACAGTGACAGATCATCAAGAACTAGATTCTCATAAGGAGCATGCAATCCAGATCCCTCATGTGCACAGTTCACAATGGGGTTCATGCTCCTATGAGAATCTAATGCTGCTGCTGATCTGACAGGAGGTGGAACTCAGGTGGTAATACAAGTGATGGGGAGCGGCTGTAAATACAGATGAAGCTTCTCTTGCCCCCCCACCACTCACCTCCTGCTGTGTGGCCTGGTCTGTGGCCTGGGGGTTGAGGACCCCTGGACAGAAGATCAAACTAGCCACAACATTCCCTTAAGCCAAAACCTAATACAGAGCAAGGTCTCCAGAATTGAGGCAAGACCCTTTTGCAGCAAAAAGATTACTACTCACTGAAGGCTCAGATGGTCATTAGCACTTTTTTTTTTTTTTAGCAACGAAGTGTTTTTTAAGGAAGGTATGTGCATTGTTTTTTTAGACATATGCTACTGCACAATGAATAGACTACAGTATAGTGGAAACATAAGTGTTTTTTTTATAAGGCATGCACTTTTATTCAACTGGTCTCAAGTCAGTGTACAGGTATGCCCTGGCTACCTCCACCCACTCCCAACTCCCAGGGAGACAAAAAGCCTTCATACATCTCAAGTTGGGGGACAAAAAAGTGGGGCCATGAAAGCTGATCATTCAAAATAAAACAAAATAAAGAAGTATTAAGGCAAAGATTAAAAAAAGTTGTATTACATAATTTACATGAAAGCAATGCTATCACCTCCCCTGTGTGGACACGGGAGAGGACTGGGCCATTCTCCTTAGAGAGAAGTGGGGTAGCTTGTAGGAGGGCAAGGTACTTCCTGTAACAACACATCTCACGATATTTGGAATGACTATTAAAAAAAGAACAATGTACAATGAAAGTCCCTGGCCACACTGTAGAACTCTGGGGGATGCTCACTCCAACCAACTGCTGTCACCTTCACCATTCCAGTTTTTAAATCCTGAGTCGAGCCAAACAAAACAAAACAAAATAAAAAAAACAAAGTCATGCCAATCTCATCTTGTTTTCTGCGCAAGTTAGGTTTTGTCAAGAAAGGGTGTAACGCAACTAAGTCACAGTCCGCCTAGAAGCATCTGCGGTGGATGATGGAGGTGCCTGACTCATCATATTCCTGCTTGCTGATCCACATCTGCTGGACGGTGGACAGCCAGGCCAGGATGGAGCTGCCGATCCACACGGAGTACTTGCGCTTGGGAGGAGCAGTGATCTTGATCTTCATTGTGCTGGGCGCCAGGGTGGTGATCTTCTGCATCCTATCGGCGATGCCAGGGTACCTGGTGGTGCCGCCAGATAGCACTGTGTTGGCATACGGGTCTTTGAGGATGTCCACATCACACTTCATGATGGAGTTGAAGGTAGTTTCATGGATGCCGCGGGATTCCATGCCCAGGAAGGAAGGCTGGAAGAGCGCCTCAGGGCAGCAGAACTGCTTTTGCCGATGATGATGACCTGGCCGTCGGGCAGCTTGTAGCTATCTCCAGGGAGGAGCTGGAGGCCACCATGGCCATCTCCTGCTCGAAGTCCAGGGTGACATAGCACAGCTTCTCCTTGATGTCATGCACAATTTCCCGCTTGGCTGTGGCGGTGAAGATGTAGCTGTGCTAGGTGAGGACCTTCATGAGGTAGTCAGTCAGGTCCTGACCAGCCAGGCACACACGCAGGATGGCATGGGGGAGGGCATACTCTTCATAGATGGGCACAGTGTGGGTGACCCCGTCATCGTAGTCCATCACGATGTCAGTGGTAGGCCAGAGGTGTACAGGGACAGCACGGCCTGGATGGCCACGTACATGGCTGGCCTGTCGAAGATCTCCAACATGATCTGGGTCATCTTCTTGTGGTTGGCCTTGGGGCTCAGGGGGACCTTGGTCAGCAGCATGGGGTGCTCCTTGGCAGCCACACACAGCTCGTTGTAGAAGGTGTGGTGCCAGATCTTCTCCATGTCGTCCCAGGTGGTGACAATGTCCTGCTTGATGGGGTACTTCAGGGTCAGGATGCCTCTCTTGCTCTGGACCTCGTTGCCCACATAGGAGTCCTTCTGACCCATGCCCACCGTCACGCCCTGGTGTCTGGGGCGCCCCACAATGAAGGGGAAGATGGCCCGGGGTGGGCATCGTCACCTGCAAAGCTGGCCTTGCACATGCCAGAGCCATTGTCGACGACAAGCATGGTGATATCATCATCCATGGTGAGCTGGCGGCGGGTGTGGACGGGTGGCAGAGAGGCGAGGGCAAGGCTCTGTGCTCGCAGGGTGGACACGGTCTCAGCAGAAACATAAGTTTTATATGCACTGGGAAACCAAAATATTTGTCTGACTTTGCTTTTTTGTGATATTTGCTTTTTGCAATAGTCTGGAATCAAACCTGCAATATCTCTGAGGTATGCCTATAAATAAAATTTCTTTTCTCATTATTTATAATGTTTTAAATTACAGCTTACTAACATTAGTTTTACTATGTTTTTTCATTTCTCTATACATTTATAACCAATAGAAATAGAGTTTCAAATGTTTTGACACACATTTATGTATCACAAATTTTCTCATTGATTATTAAGATCATATAGAGTCAGCTAGCATGGTAATTTTTGGTCTCACATTAGTGTGCAAAGCAAAAACTACAAGTATTTAGGAACACGAGGTGAGTTTTTCACTGTACTAAGTACTCATCAGATATTTCTACAGCACTGGGTCCTGTTTAAGCTTTACAGCCAAAGATTGCCATGGAAAATGAAGAGAAGATAATAATAACAGGTAAGAGACTAAAAAAACTGGCCATAGAAAAACTGTTTAAGGAACTTGATAGATTTTAGCCACTGAAAAGACAGTTGAAGTGGTAATTTAACTATGGCTGATCTTCAATGACTTTTACATAAGGGATACCGACTAGTCATTATACATCTCTATAGATGACTGAACAAACAAAAACCAATTTTAACTGGAACATGATGGATTTGGGTTAACTTAAAAATGAACTTACAGTGAAAGAGGTACTATATATCAGAACAGATTTCAAAGAGAGCTCTGTAATTTTCTTTCTGCAAGTCCTAAAATGAAAAATTAGTTCTTATCCAATTAGAATGGTTTAAGTTTTGAAAACAGGCAAGGGAAGATGGACTGTATGACCTGTACAGGTCTCTGCCAGAGTTAAGATGCTGTGATTTTTATCATTGTAGAACTGTATTTTACCCGAAGCTGCCAATTATTTTTGAGCACTGTACTTAAATTGTTCTTTGCTTTGCACATTCAGCTCCCTTTCTCCCAGATCCTCTCCAGCTAAAGGGCATTAGATTATGGAGTGGAACTCTGATGGGAAAGGAAAGCTGCAGAACAATCCTTTTTTCTGTGAGGCTCTGTGATGGGGACTGCAGTGGCTTTGATGTACGCAGCTCCCACAGCATCGGTGCATCCATACACATGAGCCCTGAATGCCTGGGACAGGTCTTTGCTGCTGCTGCTACTGCTGCTGCTGCATTCTGTGCCCTCAGACAGTACTGCTCCAGAGCACCTGCCTGGGTTTGAAATATGGATATTCATTATAAAAATCCATAAATTCATTGCCAAATTGGGCATATTAACACCCTCCCAGGACAAGGCATTTACAGGGAGGACAAATATTGACCTTTTGATCTGTCTTTGGTGCTGATAATTCTTGAACATTAAACTAGACAGTTCTTGCCACAAAAAATCCACAATCTCGTCTCTATTAAAAATCATCAGGCCTACCAGGTAAGGGATTGATATTTTCAAACAGGGCACTGATGTGTTCTCCATTCTCCTGTTTTCTCAACTCCATTTACGTATTAGCTCTGCTAAACTCGAATCTTGGTCCAACATTCTTTGGAGATGGCTCAATAATAAAATCTCTAACACAGCGCAGTGTCCTAGCCCTGCATCCTTTTACTAATTAGTAGGTTTCCAGAAGAAAACCATGTGTCAGAAAAAATCCAAACCCTGAATGCTGATAGCTCCCAGCAAGATGAAGTATGAGAGAAACAGAAACTCTTTAAACTATAAGTTATTTGACGATAAGGTATCTTCTATTAAAAAAATACTACTAGGAATATTTGCTTTCTACTATAATTCTGGCTTTGAAAATAATAAAGTTGGCTTTAGAAATAGAGACTACAAATATTCTCCACTAATGAGTCTCACAGCAGAAATGAAATTTGTTCTTTAATCAAACTTCCAGTTGGAGATTGTTCTGAGTTTGTTTTTGTTTTGTTTTAATCTGACGTGGAGTTTTAGACTTGAGAATTGTCTCTATAGCAAAAATGTAAAGTATTGGTTGGTGGTTGGGCATTCCTGAATATGTCCAAATATTTACTGATGAGAAGGTTGTAAATTCTTTTTTTTTTTTTTTGCAAGGGACTGGAGTTTTATATTTATTTTTATTTTTTTGAGATGGAGTCTTGCTCTGTTGCCCAGGCTGGAGAGCCGTGGTGCGATATCAGCTCACTGCAACCTCTGCCTCTGGGTTCAAACAATTCTCCTGCCTCAGCCTCCTGAGTAGCTGGGACTACAGGTGCATGCTACTATGCCCAGCTAATTTTTGTATTTTTAGTAGAGACAGGGTTTCACCACATTGGCCAGACTGGTCTCGAACTCCTGATCTCAGGTGACCCACCTGCCTTGGCCGCCCAAAACGCTGGGATTACAGGTGTGAGCCGCTGCACCCGGCTGGACTGGAGTTTTATTATTACTCAAATCAGTCTCCAATTCTTATTTTATTTTTAGAGATGGGGTATTCCTCTGCCCAGGCTGGAGTACAATGGCATGGTCATTGCTCGTTGTAACCTCAAACTCAGGCTCAAGTGGTCCTCCTGTCTCAGCCTCCCAAAGCACTGGGATTACAGGCATGAGACAATGGGCACTTTTTCTTTTTTTGATGTAGATGTTTATTGCTACAAACTCACCCCTTAGCACTGCTTTTGGTGCATTCCATAAGTTTTGGTATTTTGTATTCTATTTTTGTCTCAAGATATTTTAAAAGTTCCCTTTTAACTTCTTGACCTATTTGTTGTTTAGAAGCATGTTGTTTAATTTCCATATATTTGGAAATTTTCTAAAATTCCTCCAGTTCTTAACTTCTAGTTTCATACTTTGGTGGGCAGAAAAGATATTTGATATGATTTCAATCTTCTTAAACTCATTTAAATTTATTTAGACTTGTTTTGTGCTCTAACATAATAGTTTTTTTGTTTTGTTTTGTTTTTGGGATGGAGTCTCATTCTGTTGCCAGGCTGGAATGCAGTGGCACGATCTCGGCTCACTGCAACCTGGAACTCCCAGGTTCAAGCAATTCTCCTGCCTCAGCCTCCCGAGTAGCTGGGACTACAGGTGCGTGCCACCATGCCCGGCTAATTTTTTTGTATTTTTAGTAGAGACAAGGTTTCACCTTGTTGGCCAGGTTGGTCTCAATCTCTTGACCTCGTGATCCGCCCGCCTTGGCCTCCCAAAGTGCTGGAATTACAGGCGTGAGCCACTGCATCTGGCCCTAATATATTATTTACCCTGGAGAATGTTCCATGTGTGCTAGAGAAGAATGTATATGATGTTGCTGCTGGATGCAATGTTCTGTATATGTCTGTTAGGTCCATTCGATGTAAAGTACAGTTTAAGTCCAATGCTTCCTTATTGATTTTTTTTGTCTGGATGAAATGTCCATTGCTTAAAGTTGGGTATCAAAGTCCCCTACTATTATTGTGTTGCGATCTATCTCTCCCTTCAAGTCCTTTAATATTTGTTTAATATACTTAGGTGCTCCAGTGTTGGTGCATCTATATGTATAATTGTTATAGTCTCTTGATGAACTGACCTCCTTATCTTTATATAATGACCTTGTCTCATTTTACAGCTTTTGACTTAAAGTCTATTTTATCTGACATAAGAATAGTTACCCCTGCTTTCTTTTGATTTCTATTTGCATGGAATATGTTTTGCCGTCCTTTTACTTTCAATCTATGTGTGTCCTTAATGGTGAAATGAGTGTCTTGTAGGAAGCATATAGTTGGGTCTTGTTTTTTAAATTAATTCAACCATTCCATGCCTTCTGATTAGAGAATTTAATCCATTTACATTCAAAGTAATTATTGATAGGTAGGGACTTACTATTGCCATTTTGTTAGTTGTTTTCTGATTGTTTTGTGGATCCTTTTTTCCTTCTTCTCTTGCTATCTTCCTTTGTGATTTATTTTCTCTAGTGTTAGGCTTTGATTCCTTACTTTTTATTTTTTGTGAATCTACTATAGGCTTTTGTTTTGTGGTTACCATGAGGCTTACACAGAACATCTTATAGTTATAACAGGCCATTTTAAACTGGTAACAACTTTGAATGCGTAAAAAAACTCAATACTTTTACTCTACCTGCCCCTCATATTATGCTTTTACTATCAACATTTACATCTTTTTATATTGTGTATTCATTAATCAATTATTATAGCTATTATTATTTTTATTTTACTTTTCTGAGAGAAGGTCTCATTCTGTTGCCCAGCCTGGAGTTCAATGGTGCAATACTGGCCTCCCAGGTTCAACTGATTCTCCTACCTCAGCCTCCTGCGTAGCTGGTACTACAGGCACATGCCACCACACCCAGCTAATTTTTTTATTTTTTGGTAGAGATGGGGTTTTACCATGTTGGCCAGGCTGGTCTCGAACTCCTGACCTCAAGTGATCTACCAACCTCAGCCTTCCAAAGTGCTAGGATTAAAGGCGTGAGCCACTGCACCCTGCGCTTAGCATTTTTAAATAGTTTTGCCTAACCTTCATGCTAAAGATATAAGTAACTTACACACCGCCATTACAATATTATTCTGAATTTGACTGTGTACTTACTTTTACCAGTGAGTTTGTATGTTTTAATGTTTACTAATTAGCATCCTCTTCTTTCAGCTTGAAGAACTCCGTTCAGCCGTTTTCATAAGACAAGTTTGGTGGTGATGAACTCCCTCAGCTTTTGCTTATCTGAGAAAGCCTTTCTCTCTCCTTCATTTCTGAAGGACAGCTTCCAGGTATTCTTGTTTTCTCCTTTAGCACTTTGAATATAGTCATCCCTCAGCATCTGTGGGGAATTGGTTCCAGGACCCTTTGAGAATACCAAAATCCACAGATGCTCAAGTCCCTTATATAAAACAATATAGTATTTGCATATAACAACATATGCATATCCTCCCACACATTTTAAATATCTAGATTACTAGTAGTACCTAATACAAAGTAAATGCTATGTAAATAGCTGTTATGCTGTATTGTTTAGGGAATAATGACAAGAAAAAAAGTCTGTACATGTTTAGTACAGATGTAACCAATGTAGGCTTAACTACATTTGTGATCCATGATTGGTTAAATCCATGGATGAAGACCCTGCAGCTACAAAGGGCTGAAGCCTGATTTCAAAGAGGATGGCCTGGTGCTGGGGTGTGCCTGGAGCCTGAGTTTGTGGGGGCAGGCTGGGTCCTAGGTCCACAGGAGCTGGCCTGGAGCATGGGTCACCAGGAGTGGTCCTGGAGACATGGTTCATGGAGACTGTCCTGGCACTGGTGTCTACAGGAGTGGGTCTGGACCATGGGTCTGCTGAAGCAGGTTTGGATTCTGGGTCCACTGGAGGTTGGGTCTATGGGGACTGGCCTGGAGCCTGGGGCCAGCCTGGTATTAGGGCAGGAATGAAGCTTGGATCTGTAGGGGCTGGTCTGGAGCCTGGGATCATGGGTACTGGCATGGTACCTGGAATCCTGGGGACTGGCCTGAAGACTGGGTCCATGGGGATATGCCTGGAGGTTAGGTCTGGAGGCTAGGTTTTTGAGGGCTAATGTAGGTCCTGGAGCCGTGAGAGCCAGCTTGGAACCTTGGTCCACATGGATGTTCCTAGAGCCTGTGTCCATGGGTTCCAGCCCAGTGCTGGGGTCTACTGGGATGAGCCTGGACCCTGGATCTGCTAGAACAGGGCTGAACCCCAGAGCTGCTGGAGTGTAGGGCTGCAGAGGCTCCCCTACAGGGTGGGGTCACGAGGATCAGCCTGGCCTGGAGCCCGTGTCTGAAGGTGATGGCTTGGTGCCTGAGGCCTAGGCTTCTGCCGTGGCACTGGGGCAGGCTTAAAGCCTGGGGTTGTGTGGGCTGACCTGCCTCTGGGCTGTTCTGGAACCTGGGGTGGGCCTGCAGACTAGGTCTGCAGGGGCTGGCCTGGAGGCAGGGTCCACTGAGCAGGCCTGGAGCCTGGGGCTGCAGGATCTAGCTTGGCACTGTGGTGGACTTGGAAGCCTAGTCTGTAGGTACAGGCCTGGAGTCAGGGACCATGGGGCCTACCCAGTGATGGGTTTTACTGGGACAGGCCCAGTGTTGAGGAATGAGGCAACGTCCGGTACTCACTCTCCTTCCCTCACACAGAGGGTATCTTTCTCCATGCTGTGCTGTCTGAGGTTTGGGGAAGTGTGACGAGGGTAACGTAAAACTGTCTTTCCTGCCCTCTTCAATGTATCTTTTCTTATTTCTACATGATACCTCATTGCTGTACTCCCTCATCTGATTTCCCTAGTTCTTGTGAAGGTATTTTCATGCATGGATAGTTGTTTACATTGATATTTCTGTGAGGTGATGAGTGCTATAAAGTTCAATTTCACCATCTAGCTGATGTTCAAACCCTCAGTTTCTCTCCTATAGATTCTTACTGAATTGATCTGAGTGGGGATTGCCTTTTTTTTTTTTTTAAGCTCCTCAGCTGATTTTTTTTTTTTTTTTTTTTTGTATACCAGTTTGAGAGCCATTGTTCTGGAATTTGCTGCTCAAAGTGTTCTGCATGTTGAAAATGCAGAATTTTAGGCTCTATCCTGGATCTACTGAAAGCAGAAACCATCTTTTAACGAGATCCCCAGATGATTCATTTTCACATTAAAGTTTGATAAACACTGCTCTTGAACAGTGTCAACCTTGGCTATATATTAGAATCATGTGGGGGGCTTTTAAAAAAATGATACATGCACTGATATTTCTTTAAAGCTTTCCAATGATTAAAACATGAATATCACTGAACTAGAATGTACAAACACAAATATCTGCTCAGGTATACTCTAGTCATGATGAGAAGAAAGAAAAGAGAGAAAGTTTGAACTCCCACTTTCAAGAAGACAGACACAGGGGACCTACCTTAACAGAAGAATGCTGCTAGCACCAGAAAGAAAATGACTCTTATGATGATAAAGGCCTGAAGGGTAACTCCCAAATTTCATCTCACAATACTCTAACTACTATGCTTGTTTACGGCATCTTTGCTCTACCTCTCTAAAACCAGCCTTCATTGTTGTCCTGTTCTCTGCGCACTCCTCTCCCCAATCCACACCCAAAGATTCTACTCTTGAGATTCCTCAAGAAAACATATTTTTGACTCTAGGGAACAAAAACGGATCAAGCTCAAAAGAAATTCCCCATTCTGCAGTAAGGTTGCAAAGGATATATTCTTACCAACACATTCTCTTGTGGTTCATCTCATTCCCTTCAGGGTGCCTGCTGGCAATGACACAGGATACCAGAATTGCTGATAGAACCTAGTCTGTCTCCATAGGAGAAACTGTCTCCTTGCCTGTTGTCTCCTTGCCCCTGAGCTTTCTTGATGTAGTTCTACTACCAAAGTGAGTGGATTTTTCCCCTGGGCCTGATTTCTATTCTTTTTATATTATTGAAATCTAACAGTGGCAGTTGCCTCCCCATAATCTAGACAATGCTTGCAAATGATGAAAAGGAAACACGTCTATCTATCTCTACTCTTTATAGAAAAATCAGAATGATCATGCACGCCACAAGAAACAATTAACAGTTTCAGTCCATATGACTTGTGTTGTTTCCAAACAACCACAATAAAACCATAATGACAACAAAAATATATGTTCTTCAATGTTCATGACATTGAGATCTCCGGTCTACTTCCAGTAGGCCTCTTAAAGGCCTCTTTTTCCTGTCTTAAAAAAAGTTATTATATATATTTAAGGTATACAACATGATGTTATATTATATATAGTAAAATGGTCCTTTGTGTGAGGTATTTCCTACATCACACTAAAGAGACTTTGTTAGATAATATAATTAACATCTTCAACTGGTTCAATGTGGAACTAAGGTATTGTCATCAGGGATATAACGATCATAGCTGCTTACAGGTGGTATATGATCTGAAGCTATGATTCCTTCTCCACAAAATGGGGATAAGACTATCGCCTTTTAGTTCTGCTATCAAGATTAAATGAGATAATAGATACATAACTTTGTAAATTGCAAAGTGGTCTACAAGATTTAGATATGCTTATTATTAGTTGGTAGGAATGAGTGACATATCCTGGAAGACAAGTAAAGAAATCATTTCCAGGACACAGCAAAAGTATTAAAGGACAGATGAAGTTCTCTGATGGCAAATCTCTGCACAGGTGACCAAGGGTTCTATTTCTAGTTTCCTATTAAAGGTAAGAGGCAACACTAGACATTGTCTTTGACATTAGTTTCAAGCAAGCAGACTGATCAGAGGCAATGCATATGTGATCCAACACTCCACAGAGAGGGTGTCTGTCAATTCTGTCATGACCATTAGGCTCTCTACCTTATTCAGTTTAAGTACATACAAATCCCTAAACTCCACTGCCATTCAAACTGGCAGACACTAAGGCTTGAGCACTAAAGGGAAAACAAGGGGTGCTTTTTCAGATCTAATAATGGCTGGCCAGAGGATTCTATCCCTGGCAGCACAGCTGCTTCTACCAGGAAATTGATGAGATAAGCTTGTGAGATGATGGCTGATTTCACATCAGGAAGTTCAGTATGATTTGAATGAAAGACTCCGCATTCCAAGACTCCGCCCTGCCGTGAGATAGGCAGGCCTATTTCTATCCAGCTGCTCTCTACCATGCAAAATGACGTCACTTTCTAGAACACAGACAATCTCTGGGAACAACCTGCTGGCAAGCAAGCACCAAAACTTCTGGAAAAAGAAAATAAGCTGTAATCATCAAATGCTAGGGATAGGAAACAAACAGACGATAATTTCATTCCTCAGCTGTTAACACTGTTTTTTCTCTCTTCACAAGTTGCTTTCATTTTTATTTTTTTTTCAGACGGAGTCTCCATCTATTGCCCAGGCTGGAGTGTGGTGGTGTGATCTCGGCTCACTGCAACCTCCACCTCCCAGGTTCAAGTGATTCTCCTGCCTCAGCTTCCTGAGTAGCTGGGATTACAGGTGTGTGCCACCACGCCTGGCTAATTTTTATAATTTTAGTAGAGACAAGGCTTTGACATATTGGCCAGGCTGGTCTCGAACTCCTGACCTCAGGTGATCTGCCTGCCTTGGCCTCCCAAAGTGCTAGGATTACAGGTGTGAGCCACCGCACTCAGCCTTTAATTATAAGTGTGCAGTTCAGTTGTGTCAAGTACATTCACACTGTTGTGCGACCAATCTCCAGAACTCTTCATCTAGCAAAATCAAAACTCTACACCCATTTAAAAACTTTTTTCCTAGTATGCAATTCATTATTATTATAGTCACCATGCTGTATATTCGGTCTCCACAATTTACTTATGACTGCAAGTTTGTTCCCTCTTACCAACATCTTCCCATTTCCCTACCCCCACACCTGACTCCTGGTAACTACTTTTTTACTCTTTTTATGCGTTTGACTTTCTTAGATTCCACATATGTGAGATCATGCAGTATTTGTCTCTGACTTATTTCACTCAGAATAATGCCCTCCAGTTGCATTCATGTTGTCACAAATGGCAAGACTTCCTCCTTTTTACAGGCTGGGTAGTATTTCATTGTATACACATGTGTGTGTATCTATATATGTGAATACACACACACATATACAATGGAATATCTATATCACAGATATATGTGTGATATACAGATACACACATACATGATATACCATTTTATATTTGTGTGTGTGTATGTATATATATATATATATATATATGCCATGCATATATATATATATATATATATATATATATATATATGTGCCATGATTTCTTTGTTTTTGTTTTTTTGGAGACAGCATTTCACTCTGCTCTGCCACCCTGGCTGGAGTGCTCATTGCAGCCCCAAACTCCTTGGGCTCAAGCCATGCTTCTGCCTCAGCTTCCCTAGTAGCTAGGACTATAGGCATGCACCATGCCCAGCTATTTTTTATTTTTTTGTAGAGACAGGGTCTTACTATATTGCCCAGGGTGGTCTTGAATTCCTGAGCTCAAGTGATCCTCCTGCTCAGTCTCCCAAAATGCTGAGATTACAGGTGTGAGCCACTGCACCTCACCCTACCACAATTTCTTTGTCCATTCTTTTGTGAATGAACACTTAAAAGATTGTTTCCATTTCTTGGCTATTGTGAATAACGCTGCAATGAACATGAGAGTGCAGACATCTCTTCAACTCATTTCCTTTGGATATATGCCCAGAAGTGGGATTGCTGGATCACATGGTAGTTCTATTTTTTTTTTTTTTTCTTGAGACAGAGTCTCGCTGTATCCCCCAGGCTGGAGTGCAGTGTCACAATCTCGGCTCACCGCAACCTCTGCCTCCCGGGTTCAAGCGATTCTCATGCTTCAGCCTCCAGAGTAGCTGGGATTATAGGCAAGTGCCACCACACCCAGCTAATTTTTGTATTTTTAGTAGAGACGGGGTTTTGCCATGTTGGCCAAGCTGTTCTTGAACTCCTGATCTCAGGTGATCCACCCACCTTGGCCTCCCAAAGTGCTGGGATTACAGGTGTGATCCACTGTACCCTGTGGTAGTTCTATTTTAAAATTTTTGAGGAACCTCCATACTGATTTTCAAAATGGCTATACTTTTTTAGTATTTGGAGATAGGGTCTCACTCTGTTGCCCAGGCTGGAGTGAAGTGGTGTGAACACAGCTCAGTGCAGCCTCAACCTCCTGGGCTCAAGCAATCCTCCCACCTCAGCCACCCCAGTAGCTGGAACTATAGGTGCGAGCCACCATGCCCAGCCTCAAAATGGCTATACTAATTTACATTCCCATTAAGAGTGTACAAGGGTTCCCTTTTCTCACCGATAACAAGTATTCTCACCAATACTTGTTATCTTTTGTCTTTCTTATAATAGCCATTCTAACGTGTTTGAAGTGCTAGCTCATTGTGGTTTTGATTTGTATTTCCCTAATGATCAGTGATGTTGAACACCTTTTCATATACTTGTTGACCATTTTTATATCTTCCTTGGAGAAATGTCTATTCAGCTCCTATGCCCATTTTTAAATCATGTTATTTGTTTTTCTGTTATTGAGTTGTATGAGTCTCATATATTTTGGATTTAATCCCTTATCAGATAGACATATGGACTATAAATATTTTCTCCCATTCTGTGGGACACTTTTTCATTTTGTTGATGGTTCCCTCTGCTGTGCAGAAACTTTTTAATTTGATGTAGCCCTACTTGTTTTTGCTTTTGTTGCCTGTGTTTTTAGTGTCATATTAAAAAAAGTATTGCCAAGACTAATGTCATGGAGCTTTCCCCCTATATTTTCTTCTAGGATTTTTATGGTTTCAGGTCTTATGTTTAAATCTTTAATCCATTTTGAGTTTATTTTTGTGTATGGCATAAGATAAAGATCCAATTTTATTGTTTTTTTTTTTTTTGAGACAAAAATCACTTTGTCATTCAGGCTGGAGTCCAGTGGCATGAACACAGCTCACTGCAGCCTCCGCTTCCCACACTCAAGTGATCCTCCTGCCGCAGCCCCCCAAGTAGCTGGGACTACAGGCACATGCCACCACGCCCAGCTAATTTTTTTGTATTTTTTGTAAAAATGGGGTTTCAAAATGTTGTCTTGAACCCCTGAGCTCAAGGGATCCTCCTGCCTCAGCCTCCTGAGTAGCTGGCTAATTAGCACCCGGATAATTTTTGTAATTTTAGTAGACACGGGGTTTCACCATGTTGGCTAGGCTGATCTCAAACTCCTGGCCTCAAGTGATCCACCTGCCTCAGCCTCCCAAAGTGCGAGCCACCGCACCCAGTTCATTCTTTATTTTGATGCCAAAAGACTCCTCGGTTTGGCCACAGTGAGCCCCTTCAAGTTGTTTCCTGTCCTTTTGACATGTCATCATTACTTGAGCACTTTTCAACTTTCTAGCACAATAAGATGTCCCAGGCCCATCTTACCCTTTCTCTGCCCTGGCCCAGAATCAGCTAGTTCTCAAAGGCACCTGATTTTTTTAGTGGAGAGTGGCATTTAAAAACTTACATCTGGGTGTTGTGTGATCATTGTTATTGGAGGCTCATTCGTCACAGGCCTTCTCAGTAATGAAGTTAAGAAAGTATGTTTGAGGGTGTATATTTATATCCATTTCTGTATCTCAATGTTAAAAACCATGGGTTTACACTAATATCTCTAATTCTATTCCAATTTCAAAGGGTTCATTCTGTAGCAGGATGAGCTGCAGACAAGAACCCCTCAGACACCGAGTTGTGAAAGGAAAGGGCTTTACTCAGCTGTGAGCATCGGCGGACTCACATCTCCAAAAACCAATCTCCCTGAGTGAGTAATTCTTGTCCCTTTTAAGGGCTTACAACTCTAAGGGGGTCCGCGTGAGAGGCTCATGATCAATTGAGCAAGCAGGGGGTATGTGACTGGGGGCTGCATGCACTGGTAATTGGAATGGAACAGAACAGGACAGGGATTTTCACAGTGCTTTTCCATACAATGTCTGGAATCTATAGATAACATAACCTATTAGGTCAGGGGTCGATCTTTAACTACCAGGCCCAGGGTGCGGCGCGGGGCTGTCTGCCTGTGGATTTCATTTCTGCCTTTTAGTTTTTACTTCTTCTTTCTCTGGAGGCAGAAACTGGGCATAAGACAATATGAGGGGTGGTCTCCTCCCTTAATTCTAGTCTCCCCCCTTTCCATACTTGTAACTCCCTTTTCTAACAATGAGAGACCTACCTCCTATTATCCTCACTTTACTTATGTGCTCAGTCCCAGGATACAAGGAAAGAATTCCCAAGTCATACCACAGCAGAAGACTGAACTCTTGATCTTTTGTTCCAAATGGGGTCCACCCACAGCCTACCCCATTTCAGTTGATGGCAACTCCATCCTTCTAGTTGCTCAGATAAAAAACCCTGGAATCATCCTGGAGTCTTTACTCTCTCTTTCATACTACACATCTATCTAATCTGTCAGAAAATCCTATCAGTTCTACCTTCAAAATGTATTCAGAATCTAACCACATCTTACCACCTCCACCACTATCAATCACCCTGGTCCAAGCCACCACCATCGTCTTGGGCCTAGATTGCACCCAGCTAGTCTCCCTGCCTCTACCCTTGCCCCTTAATCAGTCTGTCATCAACATAGCAGTCAGGGTAGTGCTTTTAAAAATGTAAGTCACTTTCAATCACTCCTCTTAACATTCCAATGATCACAAAACACTCAGATGTAGGTTGTTAAAACCCTGCGATGGTTCCCTATTTCACTCAAGAGTAAAACCCAGAGTCCTAAAAATGTCCCTATAACTTTCTGGCCTCACCTCCTATTACTCCCTTCATCATCCTACTTTACTCCAAACACAATAGCCTCCTTGCTATTTGTCACACTCTACAGCTATAATCTTATTTATGCCCTTGGCTATGATTCCTCTGCCAGAAATGATTATTTTACTTCCTTCAAGTGTTCAATCTCACTTCAACAAGGCCCACACTGACTACCGTATTTGATACGTATACTTGATATTACAACCACCCATCCAACTCTAGCAGTCCCCATTTTCCTTACCCTACTCTATGTTTTCGTATTCTACAGCACTTATCACTTTCTAATATACCATATATCATTTACTAATTTTTTTATGTTTATTATTCATTGCTTATTCTCCACCCCTGGATCACTGCTAGAATTTATGAGGACATGAATTTTTGTCTCTTTTGTTCACTGAAGAAGAAAGGGGCCTAGAATGGTGTCCAGCAAGCTGTAGACACTCAACAAATATTTGCTGATGTTAAATGAATAAATTATTAGGAACCCAGCATTATGAATTGTTTCACCCCCTATTTTGGCAGCATGGTTTGACTAAAAATTTTCTGTAAAACAATTTGATTTTTAATCTATAATAGCAATTTGGACCAATAGCTCTCATATTTATTTTTCAAACCAGCATTCTCTCCAAGAGGAATGTGTCCTTACAAGAAATTTAGTAACACACCCACACCAGTGAGCCAAGGTACTTCAAATGAATGTTAAATCAAACTTCCAGAGAAAATGCCATAGTTTTTATTTAACATGTATGTATACCTATGTGTGTACATATCAGTACAAGCATACCTCATTTTATTGTGCTTCACTTTATTGTGACTCACAGATACTATGTTTTTGTTTTTGTTTTTGTTTTAATAAATTGAAGGTTTGTGGCAACCTGGCATCCAGCAAGTCTACTAGCACCATTTTTCCAATAGCACATGCACACTTCATGTCTCTGTGTCACACTTTGTTAAATCTTGCAATATTTCAAAGTTTTCCATTAATATTATTTTTTCTTACAGTGATCTGTGATCCTTAATGTTACTACTATACTTGCTTTGGGGCACCATAAGCCATGCCCATAGAAGATGGCAAACTTAACAAATGTTTTATGTGTCCTCACAGCTCCATCAACCAGCTGTTCCCCCAACTCAGTCCCTCTCTTTGGGCCTCCCTATACCCTGAGACACAACAATATTGAAATTAGCCAATTAATAACCTTTCAATGGCCTGTAAGTGTTCAAGTAAGAGGAAAAGTCACATGTCTTTAACTTTAAATCAAAAGCTAAAAATGATTATGCTTAGTGAGAAAAGCAGGTTGAAAGCTGAGATAGACTGAAAGCTAGGCTTCTTGAGCCAAATAGCCAAATTTGTAAATGCAAAGGAAGAGTTCTTGAAGGAAATTTAAAGTGCTACTCCAGTGATCACATGAATAACAGGAAAGTAAAACAGTCTTCAGGCTGATATGCAGAAAGTTTTAGTGGTCTGGATAGAAGATCACACAAGACACAGCATTCCCTTTAATCAAAGCCAAATCCAGAGCAAGGCCTTACCTCTCAATTCTGTGAAGGCTGAGAGAGATAAGAAAGCTGCACAAGACAAGTTTGAAGCTGGCAGAGGTTGGTTCATGAGGTTTAAGGAAAGAAGCCATCTGTATTAAGTCCACTCTCATACTGCTATAAAGAAATACCTGAGGCTGGGTGTGGTGGCTCATGCCTGTAATCCAGCACTTTGCGAGGCCAAGGCAGGCAGATCATCTGAAGTCAGGAGTTCGAGACCAGCCTGGCCAACATGGTGAAACCCCGTCTCTACAAAATCAGCCGGGCATGGTGGCATGTGCCTGTAATCCCAGCTACTCGGGATGCTGAGGCAGGAGAATCACTTGAACCCGGTAGGTGGAGGCTGCAGTGAGCCGAGATCACGCCATTGCACTCCAGCCTGGGCAAAAAGAGTGAAACTCCATCTCAAAAAAAAAAAAAAAAAAAAAAGAAAAAAGAAATATCTGAGAGTGGGTAATTTACAAAGAAAAGAGGTTTAATTGACTCAGTTCTGCAGGCTATAAAGGAAATACAGCGGCTTCTATTTCTTGGGAGGCCTCAGGAAACTTACAATCATGGTGGAAGGCAAAGGGGAAGCAAGGCATCTCACATGGCCGGAGCACGAGGAAAAGAGTGAGGGGAAGGTGCTACACACTTTTAAACAACCAGATCTCATGATAACTCTTATCCCAAGAACAGCACTAGGGGGATGATGCTAAACCATTCATGAGAAGCCACCCCCACCAGATCCAATCACTTCCCACCAGGCCCTACCTCCAGCACTGGGGATTATCTTTCAACATGAGATCTGGGCAGGGACACACATTCAAACCATATCACCATCTCCATAACATAAAAGTGCAAGATGAAGTAGTAAGTGCTGATACAGAAGCTGCAGCAAGTTACCCAGAAGATCTACCTGAGATCACTTATGAAGGTGGCTACAACAGATTTTCAATGTAGATTAAACAGCCTTCCACTGGAAGAAGATGCCATCTAGGACTTTCATAGATGGAGTAAAGTCAACGTCTGGCTTCAAAGCTTCAAAGGACAGGCTGACTCAGATTAAAGGATAATGCAGCTGGTGACTTTAAACTGAGGCCCAATGCTCATTTACCATTCTAAAAATCCCAGGATCTTTAAGAATTATGCTAAATATATTGTGCCTGTGCTCTATAAATGAAACAACAAAGCATGGGTGACAGTACATCTGTTTACAGCATGGTTTACAGAATATTTTCAGTTCATTGTTGAGACCTGCTGCTCAAAAAGAAAAAAAAATCCTTTCAAAATATTACTGCTCACTGACACTCTACCTGATTACCAAAGAGATCTGATGGAGATGTACAGGAGATTAATGTTGTTTTCATGCTTGCTAACATCCAGTTGGTAGCCCATGGATCAAGGAGTAATTTGCACTTTCAAGTGTTATTTTAAGAAATACATTTCATAAGACTATAGCTGCATGAATAGTGATTCCTCTGATGGATCTAGGCAAAGTAAATTGAAGAACTGAATGCCATCATTCTAGATGCCATTAAGAACATCTGTGGCTCATGGGGAGAAGTCAAATTATCAACATTAACAGGAGTTTGGAAAAAGTTGATTCCAACCCTTGATTTCAAGCTGTCAGTGGAGGAAGTAACTGCAGATGTGGTAGAGATAGCAAGAAAACTAGAATTAGAAGTTGAACCTGAAGATGTGACTGAATTGCCGCAATCTCAAGATCTTATGGATGAGCAGAGAAAGTGGTTTCTTGAGATGGAAACTACTCCTGGTGAAGATGCTGTGAACATTGTTGAAATGACAACAAAGGATTTAGAATATCCCATAAACTTAGTTGATAAAGCAGTGGCAGGATTGGAGAAGATTGACTCCAATTTTGAAAGAAGTTCTACTGTGGGTAAAATGCAGTTAAACAGCATTGCATGCTACAGAGAAATCTTTCATAAAAGGAAGAGTCCACTGATGTGCCAAACTTCATGGTTATCTTATCTTATTATAAGAAATTGTCACAGCCACCTTCAGCAGCCACCACCCTGACCAGTCAGCAGCTGTCAACATCAAGGCAGGACCTTCCACCAGCCAAAAGATTTTAACTTGCTGAAGGCTCAGGTAATTGTTACCATTTTTTTTTTTAGCAACAAAGCATTTTTAAATTAAAATATATAAATGTTTTTTTCCAGCCATAATGCTATTACACACTTGACAGACTACAGTATAGTGAAACATAACTTTTATATGCACTGGGAAACCAAAAAATCTGTGACTTGCTTTATTGCACTATCCACTTTATTGCGGTGGTCTGGAACTGATTCTGCAATATCTCCAAGGTATGCCTACATATATATAAACCTCTGCTTTTAATGATACTGTGAGGGCCTAGAATTTCATTTGGAGTTAATGTACACATTTGACAAACTTGACTGTTTTGAGAACAATGTTTTTAATCCCTCAAGTTCTCTGTCTGCTGATCAAAATGGACATTAACATCCTAACATACTTTGCATTTTCCTAGTATCTACAAGGCCAGATATTTTTATCTTTTAATTTTTTGAATTTTTAAAATCTAATTTTTTTAATTAATTAACTAATTTTTTTTTTTTTTTTTTTTTTTTTGAGACAGAGTTTCGCTCTTGTTGCCCAGGCTGGAGTGCAATGGCGTGATCTTGGCTCACCGCAACCTCCATCTCCCGGGTTCAAGTGATTCTCCTGCCTCAGCCTCCCAAGTAGCTGGGATTATAGGCATGTGCCACCACCCCGGCTAATTTTGTATTTTCAGTAGAGACGGGGTTTCTCCATGTTGGTCAGGCTGGTCTGGAATTCCCGACCTCAGGTGATCCACCCGCCTTGGCCTCCCAAAGTACTGGGATCACAGGCGTGAGCCACTGCGCCTGGCTGCTAATTTTTTTTAAAGAGATGGGGTCTTGCTCTGTTGTTGTGGCTAGAGTGCAGTGGGATGATCATGGCTCACTGCAGCCTTAACATCCTGGGCTCTAGTGATTCTCTCACTTCAGCCTACTGAGTAGGTGGGGACAATCGGCAATTTTTTTTTTTTTTTTTTTTTTTTGTAGAGATGAGGTCTCCCTATGTTGCCCAGGCTGGTCTCAAACTCCTGGACTCAGGTGACACTCCTGCCTCATTTTTCTGAAGTGCTGGGATTACAGGCATGAGCCTGTAAGGCTTTATTTCTAGAAGCCTTTATTTCATGTAGAAGGCTTTATTTTATTATTTTTTTGAGACAGAGTCTTGCTCTGTTGCCCAGGCTGGAGTATAGTGGCACCATCTCAGCTCACTGCAATCTCTGCCTCCTGGGTTCAAGAGATTCTTGTGCCTCAGCCTCCCAAGTAGCTGGGACTATAGTTGTGAGCCATCACACCTGGCTATTTTTTTTGTATTTTTAGTAGAGATGTGGTTTCCTCATGATGGCCAGGCTGGTCTTGAACTCCTGACCTCAAGTGATCTGCCTGCCTCAGCATCTCAAAGTGCTGGGATTACAGGCATGAACCACCGCGCCCGGCCACAGGCTTTTTTAACATGTGGTGCACCAAAGATTTTTGTATGTAAAATTTTGTGTAAATGTATTTTCATTGTGGAAGCTAATACTTGCATCAGATTTTCAAAGGATTCTCTGACCTAAAATAAGTTAAGAATCACAGCATTAAACTTGTAGAGTTCCTCCATTAAAAATTAGCTTCCCAGGCCAGGCGCAGTGGCTCACACCTGTAATCCCAGCACTTTGGGAGGCTGAGGCAGGCAGATCACCAGGTCAGAAGATCGACACCATCCTGGCTAACACGGTGAAACCCTGTCTCTACTAAAAATCCGAAAAATATGCCAGGTGTGGTGGCAGGCGCCTGTAGTCCCAGCTACTGGGGAGGCTGAGGCAGGAGAATGGCATGAACCCGGGAGGCGGAGCTTGCAGTGAGCCGAGATTGCACCACTGCACTCCAGCCTGGGTGACAGAGGAGACTCCGTCTCAAAAACAAAAAACAACAATAACAAAAAATTAGCTTCCCGACGACAGGAACCATGTCTGTCCCATCATCTTATCTTAGTTCCTACCAAGTAGTAAATAATAAATGTTGAACAAATAAAAATAAGGAAATGAATAAAGAATGGATGAACAAATCACTAATTTATTGCCTCAGCTCACACTATCTCTTCTTTGCCCAGCTTTCTAAGGGTTGGGTCACAGTAGCTCATATGACTGATAATGAGTCAGAGAGGTAATAAGACTTGCTCAATGCAGTTATCACTAAACATGGCTGGGGGGAACCTTTGTAGGAGTGAAAAAGAAATCTTAAAGATGCAAAAGACATTTGTCTTTCTGTACATTTTTAAAGTAACATGTGGCTGGGTGCAGTGGCTCATGCCTCTAATCCCAGCACTTTGGGAGGCTGAGGCAGGATGATTGCTTGATCCCAGGAGTGTGAGACCAGCATGGGCAACATGGAGAGACTCTGCCTCTACAAAATACAAAAAATTAGCTAGGCATGGTGGCACACACCTGTAGTCCCAGCTACTCAGCTGGCTGAGGTGGGAGAATTGCTTGAGCCTGGGAAGTCGAGGCTGCGGTGAGCCGTGATTGTGCCACTGCACTCTAGCCTAAGTGACAGAGTGAGACTGTGTTTGAAAAAAAAATCCACTTTTATGGAGTTTTTTTGAGGCATAGGTTTCCTGGGGGCTTTGGGGTGCTGTGTACTTCTAGGTACTAAGAGGAAAGGCCCAGAGAACAGGCTGCTAAGAGCTTGCTCCAGGTCCCAGGCTTAAGGGGAAAAGGTAATATTTATTACCCTTAAAGTTCCCTGTTTGGCTGTCCAACTCAGCTTATAAAAGTAAGAATGGAGACAGAAATTCAAATAAGAATTCTGCCCAGGAGTAAACACTGTGGATCTCTACTGCATCTTTTTGGAACCTGAGTATATTAGACAGAGCACAGAGGCTACTCTTCCCTAACATCATACCCTGACCTTCAAAGGGGTTTAAACATTTTTATTATCCAATTTCTGCATTATGCTGGCCATAAAGAATCATTTCTATTTATAAGGGAATTATCCACTAAGATTGATCAGGCTATTGTTGAGGACAGATTCCATCTCTGGAATGGCTGCATCTATTCTGCTGAGGGAACTTTCTGCCATGGATGGCTTGGCAATGAATTACCAGAAATACTCAAGAGGAAAGCAAGTTGCCTTCTGTCTCCACTTTACACACAGCAGAAAACCCAAGTGGTTATGGAATACAGTGAATTACCCAGAAACAATCAGTTACCAGAAGCTCTCTAGGATTACAGTGATGACTAACCTCAGAGATGAAGCCTTCCAAGAATCTCTTCTCAATCTTTTTTCCTTTTCTTTTTTTTTTTTTTTTAGACAGAGTCTTGCTCTATCACCCAAGCTGGAGTGCAGTGGCACGATCTCAGCTCACTGCAACCTCCATCTCCTGAGTTCAAGCCATTTTCCTGCTTCGGCCTCCTGAGTAGCTGGCTAATTAATAACTGGCTAATTTTTGTATTTTTAGTAGAGACAGGGTTTCACCATGTTGGCCAGGCTGGTATCAAACTCCTGACCTCAAGTGATCCAGCTGCCTTGGCCTCCCAAAGTGCTGGGATTATAGGCGTGAGCTACCATGCCTGGCCTCAAGAACCTCTTCTCTAAACCAGACCTACAAATGATATTCTTGACAATGGAATGGATTACTTGAAGCACAGAAAACAGAAAGGAAGTTAAACAAACATGAATACAACAGGGAACTCTTCCATATAGCTTTTATGCTGGGCAAAAGAGCCCTAACTGTGGGCAGAAGTTGTTCAAACTTCATTACTCAACGTTAAAAAAAAAATGCTTCAGTGGGTACCTACTATGTGTAAAGCATAGCACTGGGCACGATGAGAGAACTAGGGTGAACAAGATGAGAAGAGTCCATGATCTCTAATACTAGAGATAAAATATGAACACTAATAACTGGAATGCAGGTGGAAAAGAGGTACAGATAATTTAGAAGAGACAGAACATTTGGCTAGTGGCAGTGGGGTCTTGTTGCTTCTGCTTGGTGGATTAAGGAAAGAAGGAAAGAAGGTTAGGGCCTTGGATGCCCAGCTAAGTAGGCTTCTTTTCTTTTTCTTTTAATTTCCCTTCCTTCTTTTCTTCCTCTCTCCCTCCCTTTCTTCCTTCCTAATACTTTACATCCTTAAAAGTTTTAAGTAGAGAACTGAAGACGATAAGAACTGCTCTCTGGAGAAATTAATACGGTAGTAGTGAAGTTTGTAGCAATGGGAATTGAGAGACAGAGCCAACAGATGTTTAGGATATAAATCAACAGGTCCAGGCAACTAACTGTTGTGGGGATCACTAAGAGGGAAGAGTCAAAGGTGACTTGGAGAATGCTGATGTCATTCAAGAACAGGTGCCCAGGAGAGAAATAGAAGAAGGTCGGACAGATGATGTGTGGTTCTGGACACAATGAAGTGTTAGTGAAGCCACCTGACAGGCTGTTGGAAATGTGCGACTGAAGCCCTGAGGAGAGGTCTGGATTGCTGAAGCTATAGATGTGAGACTATTATGCATACAAATGAGCTGATGCCATGAAAGTGGATGAGATCATCAAGGGAGATAGCAAAGGAGGAGGAAAGAGAAGGGTAAAGGGCAGAACCTTAGGGAATACTTGCATTTAGGATAAGAAAAAGACCCTGATGACGCCATCAAAGAAGGAATCATCAGAGCAGTAATCTGAGAATCAGCAGACTGTCACAAAGCAAGAAAGAGGCTCAAGAGGGTGTAGGAGGTCACAACAGAAAATGCTACCCAGAGGTCAAAAAGGATGGGGCTTGAGAAAAATGCCAGCGAGACATCGAGGAGCATTTTTCACTAGACTTTTGGTGGGATCAGAAATCAGAGGTTTCAAGTGCAACAGCTAAAGAGGGAACAAATGGGCTATTCAATTCATATTTGTTGGTGTCCATCTGTCTTTACTGCTTGACTCTTCTTTTTCCTTCCTGAACTCACCATCTGTTCACTTTCACTGCTATGTGCAAATTTCTAAAGACCTTCATTTTAAGGATTCAGCAGATACTGACAAATATTGACTTAATAAATCTCCCTAAGAAATCCTAGATTCCTAAAAGGGTGACTGCTTGTTCACATTTTGTTTCTCAAGCAAAGATATCCCAAAGACAAGTGAAATGGACTGCGGATAGAGAGGGCTGACTGTAAGTGCACCACTGAATAAATGACACTTCCAAAGTCTTCCTGACTATCACAGAGACTCTAAACTTTTCTAAACACTCTGCAGATATTCTTTTGACACATCTAGGCTTTGCAAAACCATATACCTAATCACATTTAGTAAGAAGCTTTCTTAGAACTTAAGTGTATTTAGCCATTTCAAGTCTATAGTAGAATACGGCATTAAATGATAAAGTTCCCCTACCAAATTAAATAAGGGTAACTGTTCTATTCATAGATGAAAGAAAAACATAACAAATTTTGGTATGCCTCTTTCAAAACCGGTCACTAACTTCCCAAACATCTTCACTGAACAGATACGGTATTGAGAAGTGTTGTGGGTGGCACAAAATTACAGGATATGACTACTAATGTTATGCACCAATCTCAATTAACAGGGGGTACACTTGCAGGGTACATAAGTATAATCTGGGTTTAACATAATCTTTTGGGTTCACCTAAAACATTATTGGTTACTGGCAAGTTATTGGGTTTTTTTTTTTTTTTTTTTTTTGAGATGGAGTTTCGCTCTTGTTGCCCAGGCTGGAGTGCAATGGCACAATCTCGGCTCACTGCAACCTCTGCTTCCCCGGTTCAAGGGATTCTCCTGCCTCAGCCTCCCAAGTAGCTGGGATTACAGGCATGCGCCACCATGCCCAGCTAATTTTGTATTTTTAGTAATGGTGGGGTTTCACCATGTTGGTCAGGCTGGTCTCGAACTCCTGACCTCAGGTGATCCGCCCTCCTTGGCCTCCCAAAGTGCTGGGATTACAGGTGTGAGCCATTGCGCCCCGCCTATTGTATCTTAAAAAGTAGATTCTCATTATGAAAAGCACACATTGATTTCTGAAAGTCAATTATTTTGTCCCAGTACTTTGAGAAGCTGAGGCAGGATGACTGCTTGAGGCGAGGAGTTTAAGACCAGCTTGGGCAACATAGCAAGATCCTATCTTTACAAAAACATTTTGAAAAAATTAGCTGGGCGTGGTGGCATGCCCCCGTCATCTCAGCTACATGGGAGGCTAAGCTGAGAGGCTCACTTGAGCCCAGGAGTTTGAGGTTAAGTCCCTAAGTTACAAAAAAGATATATTTCCAAAGTTCTTCAGTAACTTAGGTACTTAGAAATTCATGAGCATTTTCTCACTGATTCAATGATATTAATAATGATTAGGTCAAATCATGGACTTAACCATGGTGGTGATTTTTATCCCTAGAGATTGGTATAATATCTTGCACATGGTGTTCTAAAAAGTTGCTGAACAAATGATTGAATGAGTCAACGAATAAAGTGTAGGCCTATACTATTCTGAAAGTAATACAAACTATTAATATAAAAATGTTTCCTTTGAAAAATATGTTCTGAATTCCAGCTTGGTTGTAAAGAACAATCTCTCCTATGGTTCATTCTCTAATTTTGGTGGTTGAATGAGGACTTCTTTCCCAGCTATGACATTAATTTCATATTAAGTTTCAGTTACCCTCGACATTTTCTTACTTCCATTGGGGAGGCCCTATAAGGAAAGTTAGAGGAATGAAAGGAAATAGATGATGATGAGGAGGAGTGATGCAAGTATCTGGAGACACCTTCTTTTTTTTTTTTTTTTTGAGACAGAGTCTCACTCTGTTGCCCAGGCTGGAGTGCAGTGCTGCGATCTCAGCTCACTGCAAGCTCCACCCCCTGGGTTCACACCATTCTCCTGCCTCAGCCTCCTGAGTAGCTGGGACTACAGGTGCCTGCCACCACGCCCGGCTAATTTTTTGTATTTTTAGTAGAGATGGGGTTTCACCGTGTGTTAGCCAGGCTGATCTCGATCTCTGGAGATACTTTCAAGAGAGACACTCATCAGGGCTGGTTGAACCAATCCTGTCATCATTTGTTCAACATTAGCCTAACTGGAACAAGGTGAGGACAGAGACTGGCATGAGAGGGGGTCTAGGTCACAGAAGACTGCAGCTGTGATGGGGGGAAAAGCAGTCTGAGGAAAGGAGTCTTTCTGTGCAAGCTTATCTAAGGCTGGTATTCATCCAAACAAAAGTAGTATAGTAGAGAGGTTAAGTGTAAGGACTCGGGCCAAACTTTCTGGGTTCAAGTCTCAGCCCCCTACTTTTTAGCTATGAGATGTCAGACTAGGTACTTAACCTCTCTATATCCCATTAAAATGGGTATAATAAGAATATCTACCTCGGCTGGGTGTGGTAGCTCACGCCTGTAATCCCAACATTTTGGGAGGCCGAGGCGGGAAGATTGCCTGAGGTCAGGAGTTCGAGACCAGCCTGGCCAACATGGTGAAATCCCATCTCTACTAAAAATACAAAAATTAGCCGGGTGTGGTGGCAGGCGCCTGTAATCCCAGCTACTCAGGAGGCTGACGCAGGAGAATCGCTTGAACCCAGGAGATGGAGGTTGCCTTGAGCCAAGATTGCGCCAATGCACTCCAGCCTGGGTGACAAGAGCGAGACTTCGTCTCAAAAAAAAGAAAAAAGAAAAAAAAAGAATACCTACCTCAAGAGTTGTTAGGAGGATTAAATAATTTAACAGTATCTGAGATACCCTGAAAGCTATATGAGCATTAACTAAACGAGCACATCAGGCATGTGTAAGTTGCTGATTACATGTTATGTCAATTATAAACTTAGTTAACTTTTAAAACTATAGGTTTCCTAGGGATGAAAGCACAAGAGGAAATTAAGGTGGGTATGGTTTATTAAATATCAGTAAAAACCATAGTACTATCTTCAATCATATGTGATCCCTGTTTTTCACCCCAAAAGAAAAGAAAAAAACTATGCCTAACCTTGTGCCAAATCACCACTTAGGACTAGGAATTTTTAAATGGTACCATGAGACCCAAGCAAGCCTTACTGAAACTTTTTTTTTTTTTTCAAGACAGGGTCTCACTCTGTTGCCTAGGCTGGAGTATAACAGTGTGATCATAACTCACTGCAGCCTTGAATTCCTGGGCTCAAGTGATCCTCCTGCCTCAGCTTCTTGAGTAGCTAGGACTACAGGCAAGCACCACCATGCCTGGCTACATTTTTACCTTTTGGTTTTTACAGAGCTGGGGTCTCATTATGTTGCCCAGATGGGTCTCAAACTCCTGGTCTCAAGTAACTCTTCTGTCTTGGCCTCCCAAAGTGCTGGAATTATAGGTGTGGGCAACCGTGCCTGGCCCTGAAGGTATTTTAATAGTGCATTTTCTTCTAATAATGAGAAGAATATAAAATATATCTTCTTTTTTGACAGTGTTGCTCTAAGAAAAACTATTCAAAATGGACTCTATTTAAGAGTACAACTCATTTCACTAAGTGAAATAAGGTCATTCTTTTTAATTTCAGAAAAGTCTGTGTCCAAACAAATGTCCTTTGGACCCTTAGTACAGAAATTGCAATAATTTTTGAGACAAAAACTTCAGGGTTGGGCTGCCAAGTCCACATGCTTTCTTTCATGGTTTGCCAGCACAAAGAGTTACTAGGGGAAAATGTTCATTAAATGAGAAAGGTTACGTCATACTGAAGGACTATGCACTTACAGATAGATGGCTTGCCTTTGCCCAGTATTCAAGGATCAGAGTAGCTGTCGTTTTTTCCTTTACTGCAGAATTATTATTTTAAGTAAATGAAAGGTTGATTTATATCTGCATTACATTTATCATCTTGCTAGAGTACAGAGTAAGGTTCAGAATACAATATTCAGATACAGGGAGTGCCTAGATGTGGAGAAGTTCCCGGTTTACAGATAATCTCCAACAGAAAAAGACTAACACCTTGCCTTCCCACCAGTTCATAGGACCCAAAGAAGCATTATCTCTTGCTTCAAAACCCAGCCACTTATCAGTTATGCAAATGAACCTCCTGGTTCTCTCATCCTCTACAGAGCAATCTAATTAAACAGCAACATCTGCAAACCCAGAATGCTGACAAAATGTGGCAGATCTGGTCAGAAAAGAAAAAACCTACCAAAACTACCCATAATATTTGACCAAGAGAACTGAGCAATCTAGTGGGAATTATACCACTGAAGTGTTTTACTAAGAAACCATCAGAGTCCTTATAAGGTAGTTAATATTTATATATACGAATAATGTATTTCTTCATTATACCCTGAAACAGGCCATAGGGATGCAGCAATGGCATTGTGGAAACTACCATTTCTGGCAAATGAAGACTTGGAGGTTGGGCGCAGTGGTTCACAACTGTAATCCCAGCACTTTGGGAGGCCGAGGCAGGTGGATCACCTGAGGTTAGCAGTTCAAGACCAGCCTGGCCAACATGCGAAACCCTGTCTCTACTAAAAATACAAAAAATTAGCCAGGCATGTTGGCATGCACATGTAGTCCCAGCTACTTGGGAGGCCAAGGCAGGAGAATTGCTTGAACCCGGGAGGTGGAGGCTGCAGTGAGCCGAGATTACACCACTGCACTCCAACCTGGGCAAAATAGTGAGACTCCATCTCAAAAACAAAACAAAAAAAAAATGAAGACTTGGGTTCGAGTCTAGCTACTACAATTTTATAAATAGAGTGGCCTTGGATAATAAGAGATAATAATAATAACTGTTGTAGTTCACATAATTTTTTTTTTTTTGAGACAGGGTCTCACTCGGTTTTGCAGGTTGGAATGCAGTGATAAGCCTCCCGAGTAGCTAGGACTACAGGTGCTTGCCACCACACTGGGCTAATTTTTTGTAGAAACAGGTTTTTACCATGTTGCAGGCTTGTCTTGAACTCCTGGGCTCAAGTGATCTGCCCACCTCAGCCTCCCAAAGTGCTGAGATTAAAAGCATGAACTGGCCGGGTGCGGTGGCTCACACCTGTAATCCTAGCACTTTGGGAGGCTGAGGCAGGCAGATCACGAGGTCAGGAGATCAAGACCATCCTGGCTAACACGGTGAAACCCCGTCTCTACTAAAAATACAAAAAATTAGCCGGGCCTGGTGGTGGGCGCCTGTAGTCTCAGCTACTGGGGAGGCTGAGGCAGGAGAATGGTGTGAACCCGGGAGGTGGAGGTTGTAGTGAGCCAAGATAGCGCCACTGCAGTCTGGCCTGGGTGAAAAAGCGAGACTCTGTCTCAGAAAAAAAAAAACAAAAACCATGTACCATGGCACCCGACCTCTGATAGAATTTTTGAGATCAAATGAGATCATGTATCTGCCAGTATTTTGTAAACGGTTAAGGCCTTTCAAATTTTATTTTTTATTATTGTGATTACATTTAACTATTTATTTAGTACATTAGTCACTATGGATTTTAAACACAGTACACTGTGTACACTGATAAATCAGTTGCCATGTATTGAGCTGATTTTGGGCAAGTCATTGATCTAATAGCATTAATCCCCAAATATTTCTTTTTTTTTTTTTTTTGAGACTGGCTCTGTGGCCCAGCCTGGAGTGCATGGTGCGATCTCGGCTCACTGCAAGCTCCGTCTCCCGGGTTCACGCCATTCTCCTGACTCAGCCTCCCAAGTAGCTGAGACTACAGGCGCCCGCCACCATGCCCAGCTAAATTTTTTTTTGTATTTTTAGTAGAAACAGGGTTTCACCATGTTAGCCAGGATGGTCTCGATCTCCTAACCTCGTGATCCGCCCGCCTCATCCTCCCAAAGTGCTGGGATTACAAGTGTGAGCCACCGCACCTGATCAAACATGGCTTTCAAACCCTGCTGCAGTCCCACTGCACAAGAGCTAATTTTTTATATTAGCCTAAGTCCCACTGCCTAGGAAAGGCTAAATGTTTATCCTTTTTTGCTTATAAGGAAAGAGAAAATGGAACTCTGCACATCTATATTAGCATTTAAATCAATATTTTATCTGAGAATATGTTAGGCAGCAGGATTATTTAAGTTAATGTTATCTACTTGAAATATTTGTTCAAAGCACAGGCTGGCATCAAAGTATTTAATATGGTTTAGATCAAGGGATTAGACTGTGACTTAATGCAAATAAACTTCAAAAAGCACTTTTGACGAAAGTTAATATAAATGGAATACATAAACATAAACTATCATTCTTCCTCAAAGGAACAGTTAAGCAGTATACACCAATCTGTTTGTTTCATGCCTCAGTGGGATTTAGGTATTCTAAAAAGGGAGGGGTAACTCCTTTAGTAAAGTGTCGAGCTACTCTTAATGGCTGTCTGCATAAAGTGATGAGAAAAATTTGATTAAGTTTGGGCATGTGAGTAATTAATTCTCAGCAAGGAAATCTGATAGGGGCCTTTGCAAATAGAACACTGAAAAAAAGTATCACTTTGGGGGCATAATCATTAAAAATGTCCTGTCACTAAGTTCTCAATCTATTCACTTGTTTAATTCTCAGTCCACAGGCACAGGTCTGTGGCTGCACCCCTAAGAATTCTAGTCTGACTCAAGGAGTGAGACAAAGTGTACAGGGCAGGAGGAGAAAGCCCTGGCTTCCATGGCCCTAATCCTTTCTTTTTCCATTCTTCTTTATCATCTGGTCAAATAGAGACTTTTGCCCTGTAAATCCCAAGCCAGCACTGTCTCCTTGTCCTCCATGTTTTGGTCTTACTGACCTAGGCAGTTTATTTCCAGAGAAATAATTTTTGGCATATTAAAATAGCTAAGAGGGAGAGAGATGGCTAACAGTCGATGTGGGTATACATTTCTTTTCTTTTCTTTTTTTTTTAGATAGAGTCTCACTCTGTCACCCAGGCTGGAGTGCAGTGGCTGATCTCAGTTCACTGAAACCTCTGCCTCCTGGGTTCAAGCGATTCTCCTGCCCTAGCCTCCCAAGTAGCTGGGACTATAGGCATACACCACTACATCCGGCTAATTTTTGTATTTTTAGTAGAGACGGAGTTTTGCCATGTTAGCCAGACTGGTCTTGAACTCCTGACCTCGGTGATCCACCCACTTCGGCCTCCAAAAGTTCTGGGATTACAGATGTGAGCCATCATGCCTGGCTGATGTGGGCATATATTTCTAATGCATTTATGATTGCCTGTTTTCTGCAGACCATATTTCACCCAATTTTGTAAATCCTAGAGTTTATATTTTTATTAGCACAGCTAGTACATACAGTGACTATCTATTAAATGCTTACTGATGATGATCTAACACCATCATCCAAGATGCCCTGGAAAATAATATCAAAGAAGGGTTTTTAATAATCAGAAAGGCTAGTCAAAATATCTTTGGCATCCTGTTAAAAAAAAAAAAAGAAAGGGCCAGGCACGGTGCCTCACACCTGTAACCTCAACACTTTGCAAGGCCGAGGCTGGTGGATCACCTCAGATCCGGAGTTCGAGACCAGCCTGGCCAACATGGTGAAACCCCATCTCTACTAAAAATACAAAAAATTTGCTGGGTGTGGTGGTGGGCACCTGTAATCCCAGCTACTTGGGAGGCTGAGGCAGGACAATCGCCTGAACCCGGGAAGCGGAGGTTGCAGTGAGCTGAGATTGACCCATTGCATTCCAGCCTGGGCAATGAGAGCAAGAGTCTGTCTCAAAAAAAAAAAAAAAAAAAAAAAAGGAAAAGAAAAGAAAAGAAAAAAGAAAGAAAGAAAAAAAAGAACAAGCACTAAAATCCTTGGCACGGTGTCTAATACCAAACATTTCCCACTTAATTTTTCTGTTCTCTAAATGTTGTATTTGTTATCATTATGAGCAGATATGCATCTTTTGAGTGCAAGAAATCTATTTCTGTAATATTTTCCAGAACACCTAGCACTGAACCAGGCAAATGAGACTGCAAAATATTTATTTATAAAGAAATAAAATAAATATATGTTTTCTTTGAATGAAACAAATTATCTATATACGAATCCTTATCTCTATTAGAGTCCTTTAACCAACCAACATATGAGGTAAATACATTCAGTATATGGTATGATATCATATCATATCTTTTTTTTTTCTTTTTCTGAGACAGGGTTTTGCTCTGTTGCCCAGGTTGGAGTGCAGTGGTGCGATCTTGGCTCACCATTTCATAATATATCTTAATAAGACCACTTTACATCTGCTTAATGCTGCTTGTTCATAAAGTGGTTTCAGCTTTGTTATCACGTTTGCTCTTCCCTCACCCCAGTATTGTAGCAGCATAGGTCTGTTGTCCTCAATTTACAGATGAGAAATTGAGACACTGAGAAGTTATATATCTTCATTTGTTCAACAGCTAGGCACTTTTCTAGGTGCCAGATTTACAGTGATGAACAAGACAGAGTTCCTGCTCCTAGGATGCTTACTCAGTAGTGTGTTTGTAAATTTTTAAAAACTAGCTCCTCAAATGTGGGTCACCATGAATGTATGAATTAGTATATTTTTTAACAACTAAGACAAAAGTAAAGCAAAAAACTGTACGTTGGAGCTTTATTAATTTATTAATCATATGAGTGACTTCTTTGCTAAATCAATGAATAATTTTCCCATACTGGAAGAATATTTCTCAATCTTTTGTGCTATTCACAAGTAATAGCTATAGAGAATGAATTATTAACATTTTCTTCATCACTTTCTTGAGTCTAGACAATCAACAAAACAATAAATCAAGCCCTGATTTGTAGTGTTTGTTGATTTCAGTGGTGTAAGTACTTCTATCACAGGTAATTTCAAGCTATCAACATGAAATCACTGAACTCAGAGTTGGCGAAAAAATGCAGTGGTACACCATTACATAAGATTTCCATCATTTAGATATAATAGATACAAATATCTCAAGAGAATAGATAACCATAAAATGATTAGCTTTGTGTATTTATTTTGTTTTTAATATAACTTGGCCTGGTGCAGTGGCTCACACCTATAATCCCAGCACTTTAGGAGGCCAAGGCAGCTCATTTGAGTCCAAGAGTTTGAGACCAGCCTGAGCAACATGGCTAAACCCAGTCTCTACAAAAAAATACAAAAATTAGCCAGGTGTGATGGTGTGCATCTGTGGTCCCATCTACTCGGGAGGCTGAGATGGGAGGATTGCCTGAGCCTGGGAGGCAGATGTTGCAGTGAGCTGAGATTGCAACACTGCACACCAGCCTGGGCAAGACCCTGTCTCAAATATACATATATATGTAAGTTTTTAGTTCATATAGTTTAATTTTTAATAATTTCTGTGCCTTAAAACCAGCTCATAAAAGGTAACTAACTCAGCATGGGAGGAAATATTTGCAATGCATATAGCTGATAAGGGATTAATATATATAACATATAAGGAACACCTACAACTCAATAACCCAAAAGGCCAAACAATTTTATTTTAAAAATAGGCAAAGGGCTTGAACATTTTCCCAAAGAAGATATACAAATTGCCAGCCAGTGAGCACATGAAAAGATGATCAACATTACCAATCATTAGGGAAATGCAAATCAAAACCACAATAAAGTACTACTTTGCATCTACTAGGATGGCTATTACTAAAAAAAGAGAAAGAATAACAAATGTTGCTGAAGATGTGGAGAAACTAGAACTCTTATATATGTAAAATGATACAGCTGCTATGTAAAATGTTATGGTCGCTCCTCAAAAATTAAACATGGAATTACCATACAATCCAGCAATTCCACTTCTCGGTATATATTCAAAAGAATTGAAAACCAAGATTCAAACAGGTATTTGTACACCACTATTCAGAGAAGCATTCTTCACAATAGCCAAAAGGTGGAAACAACCCAAATATCCATCAACAAATACACAAAATGTAGTATGTAAATACAATGGAATAGTATTTAGCCTTAAAAGGAATAAAATTCTGGTACATGCTACAAGATAGACGAACCTTGAAAACATTATGCTAAGTGAAATAAGCCAGACACAAAAGGAAAAATAATGAATAATATCTACTTACATGAGGTACACTCAGTAAATTCATAGGGACAGAAAGTAGAAGAGTGGTTACTTGGGTCTGTGAGGAGGGAGTAATAGTTTCTGTTTGGGATGATTAAAAAGCTCTGAAAATGGATAATAGTGATGGCTTCATGACCATGTGTATGTACTTTAAAAATAGCTAAAACTATAAAGTTTATGTTATGTATATTTTAATATAATACAAAAGAGGGCAGGCGGCTGGGTGCAGTTGCTCATGCGTGTAATCCAGCACTTTGGCAGGATGAGATTGGGGGATCACTTGAGGCCAGGAGTTTGAGACCAGCCTGGCCAACATGGTGAAACACCATCTCTACTAAAAAAAAAAAACATACGAAAATTAGTTGGGCGTGGTGGCATGTACCTGTAATCTCAGCTACTCGGGAGGCTGAGACAGGAGAATCACTTGAACCTCGGAGGCAGAGGTTGCAGTGAGCTGAGATTGCACCACTGTACTCCAGCCTGGGCAACAGAGCAAGACTCTGTCCCCACTCCACCAGAAAAAAAAAAAAAAAAAAAAAAAGAGGGCAGGTAATCATGAATATTCTTACACTTGAATAATTTTAAAAGAAAAAAAGCTCATGAGATTGCCAAAAATTTAACAATCGTATTTTGTGGGCCAGGATAGGCTGGTTCCAGGATTCCAGTGAGCTTACTTTCCTTCTAATGGAGAGGAAGAAAGAGACTTGCTCAGGGACACATGTGAAATGGAAGAGCCAGCCCTGACTCTAGACCATCTGAGTAGTCTAGCACTATTTCCACAGCTGCATACCGTTTTTCATATAGTCAAGTAACTATCAGATTAATGTTACAAAGTTTTGGGTTATATGCATTTGTTACAGAATGGCTTCAGGTAGATCAGAAAAATGACCCTGGAGGTTAAGAACATGGTGATTTGGAAAAAAGCAATGGGGCAAATTTGAAGGAGAAGAAATGTTGGGGAGAGGAGTGAGAGGAGCTCAGAGGTCCAGTAGCTTATCTGTTAGATATGTATTTATGCAAAAATAGGGGCAAGGGGACACAAAAAGCCCCAGTCTTTGGGCCACACCAGTTATGTACACTCCTGGGTTGAGGTCAGGGGTCTACAAGAGACGTTCTTGCCCCTGAAATGTAGTTACCATCTAGATGATACCTGAAGACACTCCCATTTCCCCTCAATTTCCCCAGGTCCCCCAGTATCTCCCCATCTGGAGGTTGTTACAGGAATTGCTTGCAAATGAGGCAGTGAGAGTTATAACCTGACATAGGAGTCCTAAGCTATAATGTTGAAATAACATTTTACTCAGAGGAAATGACATGTACAAAGGCTCAGAGGCCAGACAAGTAAGCCAAGGGGCTGTGGACAGAAAACAGGGAGGTGGCAATAGGCAGAACATTACAAAGCACCTTGAGCTTAATAATACGGAACTTTCTTTGTGGGAAAGAGCCTGTTTTAGTACAAAACCTTTTCATTTATTTCTTTTAAAGAAATAAGCTCCTCTCAACTTAAACGTCTAGACTTAAAAACTGTAGAGTGTATTTTTAAAGCCTCTTTTAAAGTAAATTGGACTTGTTTGCAGTCCATACACATTCCCACCAGTGATCCTCCAGTAGTCTAAAAACAAAATTACAAGAATTGGCAAACACTAAAGTCTTCAGTAATATAAAATTTACAGTATTTGAATGTCACTTTTTACTATATTAAAATGGATCATTTTAAAGCTCAGGTTATTAACTGATTATAAATTATGGAACATTAATGCTTTCAGGACACAAGGGCAGTACTTTGTGAATTTCTGAGAATCAGCATGATATCAAGAAAGAAGATAACCTTTCTTTACCTTCCTAGGTCTCGTTTTCCATATCTAGTGGCTGGCCTAACAAGACCTGCCTTGCAAGGTTGTTGGATGTGAAGGATATGAAGTATATGTAGCACCTAGCAATAAATAAGCACTCAGTAAATTGTGACTGCTATTACCATTGTGAACATAAATGAAATTTTAATTCAATAAACATTTGTTAAGTGTTACAATGTACAGTTGGAATCTAGGTTTCTTTCATCTTTTGTTTTACATTATTAATATTTTAATCATAGAGAAAAGTACAGAAAATAAACACCAGATGTGTGGCAGATCATTTGTTTTAACTCCCTATGATTTTTTTTTTTATGATTTTCGACTGTATGAAAATATCACAATTTGTCCATCCCCCTCATAATATTGGCACTAAACATGTCTCCTGGGAGAATTTCTTTAAGATATATATTAAGAAGTGGAATTGCTGAGTCACAGGGTATGATAACCTTCACAACACCAGAGTGTTCTCCAGAGTGGCATATCATTTTCTTTTGTACCTAGCATTGTGCATTTTAGGTGCATTCTCATTTAGCAAAACTACATGTCAGGCATTTTAATTTTTGCCAACATTACAGGTTTGAAATGGTATCTCATCTTTTAACTTATATTTCCCTAATTGCTAATAAAGTTATCATTTCATACGTTTTTTCCTATTACAGGTTACCCTTAAGTAAACTTCCTGTTCATTTCTTTTGATCATTTCTTAAATTGGGGAATTGGTTCATTTTTTAAAAATTGATTTGTGGAATTTTAAAAACATATTCTGGCTCTGAATTCTTTGCCAGTAAAATAAAATACGAATATCTTCTCAAAGTCTGTTATTTTTATCTTTGTTTATAGTAAGCATGGGTTTTCTCATCCATAAAATGTAAATAAAAACATCTACTTCATGTGATAAAATACCTGAAAGCTCTTAGTCAAGTGTCAGGCACAGATTATACATTCAGTAAAAGTGAGTTTCCTCCATTTGCCCTCAACCTACATCCTCACTCAATTCATAAGTGAGTAATAGGGGAATGGTTTATAGGTATGAGATCTGGAGAGTAACAGATTTGCTTTTAAATCTCAACTTTACCAAACTAGCTGTATGAATTTGGCCCACCTAGCTCAAGCTCTTTCAGCCTCAACTTCCTCATTTGTAGAAGTGGGGTAGTAATACTTAACTCACAGTGGTATTGTGAGGAATAGAGTTTAATCCAGTGGCTGGCCAACAGAAAGTTCTCAACATATGGTAGCTGCTACCACCATCACCATTATTAGGGGGGATACAAATATATACAAATAACTATAATATAGAACAAAATATCATTAAAACTCCCTATGAAAAAAATAATTAAATGCTATTGGAATGTAGACATGGGAAGAGGTAACGTCTAGCTAGGGGTTAAGAGAGAGTGAATGGAGGCTTCATAGAGGAAATGCCATTTAAATGGACATTAAAGGAAGTTAGATATTGATAAGAAGGATATTCTAGCAAACAAAAGAGATGCATGGGAGAATGTACACACACACATATATATACACACACACAAATATATGTAATTATATGTATTATATCTAATATCTTATACATCTATGCAGTCTGCCAAAGTATAGGAACAACTGAGTAAGTCAACATCAGAAGCAAGTCTTCATTTTTCAGGTTATTAGGGTACTCTATGCATTAAATGGTAACTCATAATTTAATTAGTATTCTAAGTATAAATGTGAAATGCTGTTGACTTTGGAATAAAATTTGGTACAGTAGGATCTGTGGAAGAATTAGAGCTGGGAGTGTTAAGAAAATAGGGAGTATTAAATATGAATAGTATACAGAAAGCCAACAGATATGGATGCCCACTGAATGACAGGTGAGGAGCCTACCACTCTTGAGAGCCAGGCTTGGTGGCTGCTCACTTACCGCCTTTCTGGGAATCAGCAACATATGATTTTCTTTGTTAAACAGGATAAGTTCTGAAACCTGATCCAGGAAAATCACACCTTTTCTCATTCACTTTACTTATACAGGCTCTGGCAATTATGGTCAGCCTAATTTCCTTCCACCCTCCTTAATTCCTTTTTTTGGTGGGGCAGGGTGGGGCAGAGTCTCACTCTGTCACCCAGGCTAGAGTGCAGTGGCACCATCTCAGCTCTCTGCAACATCTGCCTCCTGGGTTCAAGTGATTCTCGTGTCTCAGCCTCCTGAGTAGCTGGGACTACAGGCATGTACCACCAAGCCTGGCTCATTGTTTTTGTATTTTTGGTAGAGACAGGGTTTCGCCATGTTGGCCAGGCTGGTCTCAAACTGCTGACCTCAAGTGATCCACCCGCCTTGGCCTCCCAAAGTGCTGGGATTGCAGGCATGAACCCCCACATCTGGCCTCTCTCTTTCTTGATAGAAACAAATTTCATTCAGTATGTTTTGTCTTAAGCAAAAAGTTCCACTCATTACCCTCTTCTGTCATACCTATTCTACGATTTAAAATAGCATTTGACTGTATTAAAATACACTAGATTAACTATTACTGTATTTCTCATGTTCTATCTAGTTTTTTTCCCTTTCCACATTTATAGCACATGAACAATTACTTTAAAAGTGATTTGGCCCTACATTGTTGCTTTTCTTCACAGCTTATTATTTATTTACTCAAGAGAACTGAACTACGAATCTGTTATCAGATTCAGTTGCAAGCCCTGTCTATCACAATAAAGTATCCGAAGTTAGGACTATTATTTTTTCTTAGCAAACCCAAGGTTTGAGCATGATGAAATGATTTTTCTCAAACAGAAAATGGTGGGCAGTTCTATATACAAACCAGAAATATATCAGCAGGGAAATTCCAACCACTCAAATCCAGAGGAATCCTAAGCATTTCTAAAGGAAAAAGCTACTATATTTTTCTTTTTCCAAAATTTATTCTGCTCATGGTGATTACCATGTGTGCACAGATTAGCTAAAATGATCACTGTGGGATCAACAGTTCTTTCTTCATTGTCTACCAGTTCTTTTGCTTGCCTCTGGCGTAAGTAAATAAACAGGTGTATTCACCACTAAATAAATCTTACATGTTTACAAATTCCTAAAATACAATGCAATAAAAAATAGCAAGAAGAATCTGTGGTGTTTGTTGGAATCTGAGCTATATCGCTTGCATCCACACAAATAAAGACAGAAAGGATCCCATGGTTGTTCACAAACTGTGGACAATGACCCTGGGATCACAACCCAGAATTAACCCACCACTGAATAGGGTTAGTACCTTCTTCTCTATATTACGTCCCTATAACAATGTCACAATCTTAAAATAAGACTTTCTATCCTTTAATTACTAATTTTCACCTGGATATGCTGTATGCATAGCATTTATTTCCATAACGATGGTCACTTCTTTCTCCAGAGCAAAAAACAAACACAACAACAACAAAAACAAAAAAAACCCAAAAAAACTAGAGGTTAGAATATTTTCCATATTTAGTTCCTCTTGTTATGTAACATGGAATATTTGGAAAGAATTAAGTCAGCTTTGCTGCAGTAACAACCCCAAATCTTCATGTTTATAAGGACAAAATTTTCTCACTACAGTGCAGTTTGGATTCAGGTCAGGGGCAGCTTGGTTTCTGTTACATGACTCTTATTCTGCGACCCTTGCAGAAGCAACAGCCCTGATTTTGGTCATGCCACTTTCACGGCAGAAGGAATAAAGAGGGCTGGTGGAAACCTGTGCTGACTTTCTTTTCTAGTTTTTTTTTTTGTTTTTTTTTTTTTTTCCGAGACAGAGTCTCGCTCTGTTGCCCGGGCTGGAGTGCAGTGGTGCCATCTCAGCTCACTGCAACCTCTGCCTCCTGAGCGATTCTCTTGCCTCAGCCTCCCGAGTAGCTGGGACTACACGTGCGTGCCAACACAACCAGCTAATTTTTCATATTTTTAGTAGGGACAGGGTTTCACTGTGTTAGCCAGAATGGTCTCTATCTCCTGACCTCATGATCTGCCCTCCTCGGCCTCCCAAAGTGCTGGGATTACAGGCATGAGCCACCGCGCCCGGCCCTGTGCTGACTTTCAAAACTTCTGCCCAGATGTGGTCTATATCATATCTGTTCACACGTCACTGGCCAAAGAAAGTCACACATTTAAGCCTAACATCAATGGGGCAAGGATGTGTACTCCTCTCATAGGAGGTGTTGCATATCACACGGAAAAGGAAGGGAGAATGAACAAGCAGAGAAAAATATAATCTATGACATGCAGGAAAACAGTAGTTTATAAGCGAAAAGTCATCTTAAAGACTTTTCCAAAATACTTTTTCTCCCTTTTCTATATCAACCAACATGCCCATACAAAAGGGAGTGTAGAGGAGATATTCCATCCAACTATAACTGCCATGCTAGGTCTATGGCAAGAGAAGGATATAATGTAGGAAAAAGTCCTTCCAGACTTCCAGACTATGCGAGATGGAAGTGCAGCAAAGCAACACTGATTTCCTCAGCCTGGAGATAAATCAGTTTGTTAAATAAGTGAGGATAAAATCAAAGGCCAAGTGCCCACTCCTTCTTCATGTTTGGGAGTCTAGAGAAGATCAACTCTCAGGCAGCCTCCACCACAACATGGTGCACAGAAACAGTGACTCAGCGTTGTAGCAGGTCTGGTAGAGAAGTGTCTGAGGTTCAGGTTTCCTGAGCCCCCATAGTTCCCATAAGGCACAGATACTGAGAGATTATAAGAGGATGAACTGGATGGCAGACACACCAGAGGCTCAGGGGGGTGCAACCAGAAGTCAGGGGGAGGCCCAGGTAGCCAGAGTGCTACTGGGTTCTGAGCAAGCAGCCTACAGCCACATATTTCAGCCCTAAATGACAGCAGAACAAGCAGCACTAAAGTGGATGAGGGACCTTGCCCCTGAGACCAGGAGACACCTATGGCCATCATTTATGACACTACCCCAAGGGACTGTCTGAATTACTGGATCAGTTTAAGCTTTAAACTAGACTGGATATTTAGGTAATTTTTCTCTCCTGGTCTCAGGATAAAGGCTGTAAAGACATTGACAAAGAAGTGACATTTTCTCTGAGGAAGGCTCAAAGAAATAGACTAAACCATTTCTATTTTATTTACCACTACATCCACTGCTTTAACAGTGCCTGACATAAGTAGGTATTCAACAAATATTTGCCAAATGAAGGAATGAATAAGAGGCCATAGTGAGAGGAAACTGATCAACTAGCAAAGCTATGATAGAAATACCAGGCAGGCTGAATTGAAAAAACAATGCCAGTTCCATTTTGGCACCAAGCCAAAAAAGTCCCCACTTCACTCCTAAAACAAGTTTGTAACCTTTATGGAATGGCTCCTGCCACCATATTTAACTTACATTTGGTTCACTGTTTAAAGCCCTTCGGATAACACTGCTGCATCCTTTTGCTTCAAGGAAAAAAAAAAACCAGAACCACAAATAGCTGTGCAGGATTTCGACCTTGCAGTCACAATAAGAAAGCAGCAATAGGAACCAGAATGGGTGATGTCTGAACCAATAAACTAACTCTGGTGTTTAGCAGCAACTTTATTTTACCTGCCCCAGGATAATTTCAGTGTTAAAGCTATTAAACCTATAGGTATTCTAGTGGCTAGGATTAGTAAACAGAACATAACAGGGAACAGTACAGAGAAAATATGGTAACTAAAATACAAGCTTATACAGGATTGAGGTGGAGACACAGGCTGACATATGCTGACATGGTAACTAAAACACAAGGCTATATAGGATTGAGGTGCAGACATATTCAATCACTGTACTTTCCACAGTAAATTTGTTTCTCAACACTCTAGCAATAACATTAAAATTACCTATCAGGCTTTAAAACAGAACAGATGCTTAGAGATTCCGATTCAGTAGGTCTGGGGTGGAGCATACGCAATGCTAATTTTTAGTAACGTCTCAGGTGATTCTGATGCATGGCCACAGCATTCTGCAAGTGAGAACACCTGAAGAACATCATCAGTAAACACTGAAAGAACTTATGAATGAAAAGCCTCTTTGAATTATATATTTTTTGAGTATGGACTATGTTTTATTCATTTTTGTACTCTAGCCTCCAATGTTTCTGGTAATTAAAGAATAAGTGAACAAACAAATCACAAATTCTCTGCCTTGGTAGCCTGATGCTCTCAAAGAGACTGGAACATGGGAAACAAAAAAGTTGACAGCTGATGTTGTAAATCTGTACTTCCTGGAACAGAATTCCTGGCATAACTTTAGGCAGACTAAATGGGAATGAACATGTGTGATCATTACAACACTGATTTTTTTTTTTTACAAAATTAATTTTTGTTGAACTGGGGTGAGGGGTGAGGGAAGGAGGGGAAATTGGTGCTCTAATAAGATTTACGTATCCAAATCCCATACCCAGAGTCAGATTATGAAGAGCAGAATCACAAAGCCACTCCATTTATAAATCCTGATTCTGCCCTCTACTGTTTGTTTATTTTTGTATTTACTTCTCCTTGAGCAACAGTATAATGTACAACTGAAAATACTTAGTGTTACTGACAAGATTTATAATTCAGCACTACTTTATGTGTTAATGACTTCAAAGCCCTGGATGAATAAAGCGAACAGGGATTGACTCAGTGAAACTTCTAGCTTCCTGTAAACTTCATTCATTCTCAAGCTTAATGGAAACAAAACCCTATGCTAGGAAAAAGCAAGTATGTTTCCCTTTCTGAGTCTCCCTAGTTAAACACTATAATCAATGGCAACTCCACCTTGTAGCAAAGCTCAGTGATACCATGGATCCCATTACAATCCCCAAAAAGGAGAAGGTGAAGGAGGAGGAAGATGGAAGTTTGGCATGGTTTGACTCTGTCTCCACAAAATCTGCAGTCTTTCTGTCACCCTCACACTTGAAGTTACGTGGAAAGGAAGAAGAGGGAAGTGCTGGATGAGAGAAACTTAAGAGTGCAAAGTCTGAAAAAGATAGGAGAGAGAATAATGGTCTGAACTAAATAGGCAGAAGAAATCTATTCTCTATTAAAACAACAAGAATTTGCCGAAGCAGGTTTTCCAAAAGAGACCAGAAAAAGAAAAAAAAAAAGAAGCCCTAAAGTGATGCAGGAGGAGTGTCAGTCAGTCTGACTGGGTCTCCTAGTCAAAAGCTCTGGCCAAGTGACTAGATACTCACATGCTCTACAACCCTAGTGAGGAGTGCTTTGGGCTCCCACCTGCCTGGATGGATGGGTGCTGCACACTCAGCTACCTGCTTGGGTGATAAAAATAATTAGAATAGTGGTGTAGATGAAGGTTGAAGTCCTTGAAAAGTGCAAGAATATAAAGTTCTGCCCAGGGCCCCTCTTCCACAGGGGAGAAAAAAAAGCCACACACAACTGGATATTACAGTTATCCCATCATTTCTCTATGAAAATATAAAAACAAAATTAATGTTTGTCTTAGTCCATTTGGGCTTCTGTAACAAAATACCATAACCTGGGTGGCTTATAAACAACAGAAATTTATTTCTCATAGTTCTGGAGGCTGAGAATCTAAGATTAAGGTGCCAGCCATTCATGGTGTCTGGTAAGGGCCCTCTTCTTGGTTCATAGATGGTGCCTTCTTAATATGTCCTTACATGGTGGAAGGGGAGAAATCTGGTATCTTCAACCCCTTATAAGGTCATTAATCCCAATCATGAGTACTCTATCCTCATGACCTAACCACCTCCCGAAGGCCCCATCTTCTAATACCATCACACTGGGGATTAGGTTTCAACATATGAATTTTGCAGGGTACAAACATGTTCAGTCCATGGCAATGTTAACCCCTTTTGGTCCTATTTCACGTAGTCCAGTATTTGGTGGCTATTTTCATGATATTCCCCAATCATCTTATCCTTACATCTGCCTTAACTTTAAGATTACTTGAACGTTAGAGAAACTAAAAATGGGGACATCTTTCATTTTTATCAAATGATTATTCTGCTCCAACTCTATAGATTATAGATGCAAATCTTTATGGATCAGGTCCCTTGAGAGCTATTTTAAAATTCAAGCAGGGTAGAAAATAATTCCTGCAAGTCTACAGTACCCAAAACAGCATAGTACTGGTACTAAAACAGGCACATAGACCAATGGAACAGAATAGAGAGCCCAGGAATAAGGCTGCACATCTATGACCATCTGATCTTCAACAAAGCTGACAAAAACAAGCAACGGGGAAAAAGACTCCCTATTCAATAAATGGTGGTGGGAAAACTGTCTATCCATATGCAGAAGATAGAAACTGGACCCCTTCCTTACATTATATACAAAAATCAACTCAAGATGGATAAAGACTTAACTGTAAAACCCAAAACTATGAAAACCCTGGAAGACAACCTAGGCAATACCATCCTGGACATAGGAACAAGCAAAGATTTCATGACAAAGATGCCAAAAGCAATTGCTATGAAAGCAAAAATTGACAAGTGGGATCTAATTAAACTGAAGAGCTTCTGCAGACACAGCAAAAGAAACTGTCCACAGAGTAAACAGACAACCTACAGAATGGAGAAAATATTTTCAAACTATGCATCTGACAAAGGTGTAATATCCAGCATCCATAAGGAACTTAAATTTACAAGAAAAAACAAACAACCCCATTAAAAAGTGGGCAAAGGACACAAACAGACACTTCTCAAAAGAAGACATACATGCAGCCAACAAGCATATGGAAAAAAAGCTCAATATCACTCATCATTAGAGAAATGCAAATCAGAACCACAAGGAGATACCATCTCACACCAGTCAGAAAGGCTATTATTAAAAAGTCAAAATATAACAGATACTTGTGAGGTTGTGGAGAAAAGGGAACACTTATACACTGTTGGTGGGAGTGTAAATTAGTTCAACCATTGTGGAAAGCAGTATGGCAATTCCTCGCTACAAAGAGCTCAACAGCAGAGCTACCATTGGACCCAGCAATCCCATTACTGGGTATATACCCAGAGGAAGATAAATCATTTTGCCATAAAGACACATGCATGTGGATGTTTACTGCAGCATTATTCACAACAGCAGAGACAAGGAATCAACCTAAATGCCCATCAATGACAGATTGCATAAAGAAAATATGGTACATATACACCATGGAATACTATGCAGCCATAAAAAAGAACAAGGTCATGTCTTTTGCAGGAACATGGATGGAGCTGGAGGCTATTATTCTTAGAAAAATAACACAGTTACAGAAAACCAAATACCACATGTTCTTACTTATAAGTGGTAGCTAAATGATAAAATATAATTTTGCTAATTATAGCTAAATTATAAGAACCTATAAACACAAGAAGGAAATAACAGACACTGGGTCTACTTGAAGGGGGAGGATGCGAGGAGAGAAAGGAGCAGAAAAGATAACTATTGGATACTGGGCTTAATATCTGGGTGATGAAATAATATCTACAACAAACCCCTGTAACACATGTTTACATATGTAAAAAACCTTCACATGTGCCTCCAAACCTAAAAGTTAAAAAAAAAATAAAGTTTTTCAAACTGATAAGAGGCAAATTCTCTTTTAAGAGGCATTTCAATAAATATCCCAAATAATAGTTTTTGTTCAAGTCTCTTTTTTGATATAGCATAAATGAACTTAATATTTTCATATATAATTTTCATTGTGTATATTCACTTGAAGCTTTCATTTATTCCATTGTTTACACTTGCTTTGTAAGATTTTTGTACAGAGAATTACACCAGTAAACAATTCTAATATTTCGAAAATGGTTTTAGTTCTGAGCTAATTTCAAAAACGGGAAGAGAAAAGGCAGTAGAATATAATGATTAAAATCATGGGCATAAACATCAAACTCCTTGAGTTCAAATTCTGATTCTGAAACTTAGTAACTGGGTGAGTTGGGGTAAGTTGTTTGAACTCTCTTAGGCTAGCTTCCTCTACAACATGAGTGAAAACGGTTTGTCCCTAAGATTCGTAAGAATTAAATAAGATCATTTATGTTTGAGGCTTGGCATACTGTCTGGTATTTATTAAGTGTTCAATAAAAGGTGATTAGGATTCGCTCTTATTTATTTGATCTAGAGTATAAATTTTCCCATGAAGCATTTATACAGGAAAACACAATAGGCCACAGACAAGGCATCTCTGATATTGGTCATCAGAAAGACTCCAGGAGTCTGCCCAGTCACATGGGGTTCTGGAATTTAGCCAGGCTGCTGAGTGGAAACTGTTACTCTTGTTTCCTTGGCAATAGTCTGGGCATGAGAAAGATCTCAATTTTTGATAATCAAAAGTCAATGAAAAATATGCTCCTTAGGCAGGTGTCTAATTGAATGTTGTCTACTTGAAAAGTACAGTGATACAATTCACCATAACAGGGTCTTAAAAGTTTACTAATCACACAGGAATGATTACTGTTCATTCAACCTCCTTTTTCAGCAATTTATTTTTTCAGGTTTTCTAGTTAGAATTATTTGACTACCTACTTATATGGTCTGTTACCCTGACCAAGTAATACCCATGTGTTGTCTTTAAAGGTTCACTTGGTCTACACTTGGGTTCACGGACTTCTAAATGCTGGGAAACAAAGTTACATTCCTCTCACTTGCCACCTGCATTAGTTTCTGCTTCTGCATCAGTAAATTTTGCAATAAAAGATTATTGTGAAATAAGCACATATTCCCTTTCATACTCCTTTGGGAGTTAATGGGGTTATGTGCCCATCTATCTTAGGAAAATATTTCCCCCTTACTTAGCACTGTCTGGAGCAGGAAGACGTAAGGCTTGTCTAAGTCTGTGCCCCAACCTCCAAGTTGCATCCTCAGCAACTTCAGCTAATTTTAGATTTAGCTCTTTTTCCAGGCTTTGGGCAGTCTGAAACTTGGGAGCTGAGGGGGGAAGAGAAGAGTTAAGAAGCCCTAGTCAAACACCGATGAGTTCTACATGAGGCTCATTCTAGCCCTAACCTAACAACTGGGTGCTTCTAACTATTTTCCCTCTACCCAGGTTAGAGATCTCTCCAACCTGTCCACTTGTATATCCAATCCCTTCTTTTTGATACCTCAGTCCCTAAAGCTGGTTCCCTGAAACAGTGAATGTTCCTTGCTCCCCATTTCCACTGGCCTATCAGAACACTTAATTCTTGTTAGAATTCTGCTGTTTTCACTTTCTATATTTGCTTAAGACCTGGTACTATATTTAAAATTTCTGATGTAGCATATGCAGCAGTTTCCAGACTTCAGTCCAAACCCCAAAGAGCCTGCAATCATGGTGTCACAGGTGACTCTTCCGGGGCTAAGTCACAAGATATGGTTCCATACCCAAAAAACACTCTACATAACCAGTGGTTTTAAAATTTTTCTTGTCTTGCCATGCCATGCTGACAAAAGGCCATAAAGACCTTAAGGAATATACAATTGCTAGCAATTAAATCAACCTTGAACAGGTTGTATACCACTTAGGTCTGGTCTGAGCTCAAGTTTTGAACATTTACACATCTAGAACATTCTCCTAAGTGTTACTCTGGTGGTGTAAAGAAGCAACACGTCAGACTTTGCCTGTGCCTGACTGGCTGTGAGTCAAACACACAGTATCCTGGATGACTGCTATTTTGGCATTTGCTAGAATGTCTTTTGCCAAATTCCTCCAGCATTCATTTGAAGGCATCAAAATCCGTTTTACCTCCCAAAGAGTATTTGATTTTTCTTGGCCAAAAAATGCCTGTTATGATGTACTTATTAATGTTGCTAGGGTAAAACAGAAGTAATAAAATTTGGAGACCCTTTTGGATCTGTCAGGGATGTGCCATTATGCAAATGTTTCTTATTAGAGGTTGGTACCTGACTATTTTTTCTTTGGACCAACTGCCACCTGAGCAGTGTTGATCCCATTTTTTAAAAATCTATGTTTTATATTTTATGTTTATATATCATAAAACTTGAGTAGCCCCATGCTACTTTGAGGCATTTAAGAAGGTGACATCAGGTACTTTGTATTCATCAGCTGGGAGGTTTTTATTTTGTCCTGAAGCCAACTAACTAGAATGACTAAAAAATGTTATACATGTGCTCCTGACAGATCTTCCTCGTAGTAAACTCTCTCTGAAGGCACTGCTTGGATGAACTAAGTGAGAAATGTATGCTGACCTAAGAGAAGCCTCTGGCCAGAGAAACTGCGTCATATGTCACAAAAATTAAAGGAACAAATCCTAACGCAGCATTGCCCATAATATGTACTGAGAGGGCACTTGTCAACAGGATCAAAACAAGACCAGAAATGCCTACTCCAAACTCTGTGGTTTGTTTCAGACATAACAACCCTTAAGCTAGTGTCAGAGGATAAGGGCACATTTCTCCTGACCAAGGTTGAACTTCTCTCAAGTTTTTTCTTTTTTCAATCTCTTCCAGAACTAAGTTCCTTCAATTAGTCCCTCTTCACCCTCACGCACCTGCTCAACATTCTCTTATCTTCAAATTAAAAAAAAAAAACCCTCCTGGGTCCCTTCTAATTACTATTTCTGACTCTGTCTTTGAAAATAGAGGAGAGAAGTTGTTTAGAGAGTATAGGCACCGGCAGCTGGGCCCTTGCAGCCGATTGGGCTCAAATTCTCATACTGCTATTTGCATGGCTGTGTGATTGCACAAGTTACTTAACCCTTCTGCACCACAATTTCCTCATCAATAAAATGGAGCTGAAAATTGTAGTTGATCATAGTTATTAAGAGGATTAAATAAAATCGTATGTGTCAAGCACTTAGAACAAAAATCAAACTGAGTTTTACATATTCTTGAACTCACTAGCTTGTAGATTCTCTTGGATTTTTCTAATACAAAATAGTATATCATCTGTAAGTAATGACACTTGTTTCTTTCTAATCCTTATACTTTTTTGTTTTGTGCATCGGCCTTCAGTACAGTGGTAAAGAAGCAGTGCTGGTGAGCATCCTGATCATATTCCTGACTCTGCCACTTCTTTTGGATCTTCTTCCCTACTTGGTCACTAAAAGGTTCTGGTAAAGGACTCTAATGAAATTCTTGTTGTTAAATCCAACAGGTACTTTTCAATCATTATTTTGCCTGACTGTTAGGCAGCACTCAACATTACAACTACAGTTTTTTTTTTAATACTTTAAGTTCTGGGATACATGTGCAGAATGTGCATGTTTGTTACATAGGTATGCATGTGCCACGGTGGTTTGCTCTACCCATCAGCCTGTCAACTACATTAGGTATTTCTCCTAATGCTATCCCTCCCCTAGCTCCCCCAACCCCCGACAGGCCCTGGTGTGTGATATTTCCCTCCCTGTATTCATGTGTTCTCATTGTTCACCTCCCACTTATGAGTGAGAACATACGGTGTTTGGTTTTCTGTTCCTGTGATAGTTTGCTTAGAATGATGGTTTCCAGCTTCATCCATATCCCTGCAAAGGACATGAACTCATCCTTTTTTATGGCTGCCTAGTATTCCATGGTATATATGTGCCACATTTGCTTTATCCAGTCTATCATTGATGGGCATTTGAGTTGGTTCCAAGTCTTTGCTATGGTGAATAATGCCTCAATACACATACGTGTACATGTGTCTTTTCTCTTTTTTTTTTTTTTTTTGATATGGAGTCTTGCTCTGTCGCCAGGCTGGAGTGCAGTGGCGCAATCTCAGCTCACTGCAACCTCTGCCTCCCAGGTTCGAGCAATTCTCCTGCCTCAGCCTCCCAAGTAGCTGGGACTACAGGTGCATGCCGCCACACCCAGCTTTTTTTTTTTTTTATAGTTTTAGTAGAGTTGGGGTTTCACCATGTTGACCAGGAAATGGTCTTGATCTCTTGACCTCATGATCCACCTGCCTCGGCCTCCTAAAGTGTTGGGATTACAGGTGTGAGCCACTGTGCCCAGCAACATGTGTCTATAGTAGAATGATTTATAATCCTTTGGTTATATACCTATTAATGGGATTGGTGGTCAAATGGTATTTCTGGTTCTAGATCCTTGAGGAATCACCACACTGTCTTCCACAATGGTTGAACTAATTTACACTCCCACCAACAAAAGCATTCCTATTTCTCCACATCTTCTCCAGCATCTGTTGTTTCCTGGCTTTTTAGTGATTGCCATTCTAACTGGTGTGAGATGTTATCTCATTGAGGTTTTGATTTGCATTTCTCTAATGACCAGTGATGATGAGCTTTTTTTCATATGTTTGTTGGCCACATAAATGTCTTCTTTTGAGAAGTGTCTGTTCATATCCTTCACCCACTTTTTGATGGGGTTTTTTTTATTGTAAATTTAAGTTCTTTGTAGATTCTGGATATTAGCCCTTTGTCAGATGGATAGATTGCAAAAATGTTCTCCCATTCTGTAGGTTAACTGTTCACTCTGATGATAGTTTCTTTTGCTGTGCAGAAGCTCTTTAGTTTAATTAGATCCCATTTGTCAATTTTAGTTTTTGTTGCCATTGCTTTTGGTGTTTTAGTCATGAACTCTTTGCCCATGCTTATGTCCTGAATGGTATTGCCTAGGTTTTCTTCTAGGATTTTATGGTTTTAGGTCTTATGTTTAAGTCTTTAATCCATCTTGGGTTAATTTTTGTATAAGGTGTAAGGAAGGGGTCCAGTTTCAGCTTTCTGCATATGGCTAGCCAGAGCTTTTTTTTTTTTTTTTTTTTATAACAATTCTCAGTGGCTGTCAAGATGGCTGAATAGGAACAGCTCCAGTCTGCAGCTCCCAGCAAGATCAATGCAGAAAACAGGTGATTTCTGCATTTCCAACTGAGGTACCCAGTTCATCTCATTGGGACTGGTTGGACAGTGGGTGCAGCCCACAGAGGGCGAGCTGAAGCAGGGTGGGGCATTGCCTCACCCGGGAAGCACGAGGGGTCAGGGGATTTCCCATTCCTAGCCAAGGGCAGCCTTGAGAGACTGTACCGGGAGGAACAGTGCACTGCGGCCCAGATATTGCACTTTTCCCATGGTCTTCACAACCGGCAGACCATGAAATTCCCTCCAGTGCCTGGCTCGGCAGGTCCCACCCCCATAGAGCCGAGCAAGCTAAGATCCACTGGCTTGAAATTCTTGCTGCTAGCACAGCAGTCTGAGGTCGACTTAGAATGCTCAAGCTTTGTAGGGGGAGGGGCATCCACCATTGCTAAGGATGGAGTAGGTGGTTTTGCCCTCACAGTGTAAACAAAGCCTCTCGTAAGTCTGAACTGGGCGGAGCCCACCACAGCTCAGCAAGGCTGCTGTGGCCAGACTGCCTCTCTAGGCAGGGCATCTCTGAAAAAAAGGCAACAGCCTCAGTCAGGGACTTACAGATAAAACCCCCATCTCCCTGGGACAGAGCACCCGGGGGAAGGGGCAGCTGCAAGTGCAGCTTCAGCAGACTTAAATGTCCTTGCCTGACAGCTCTTAAGAGAGCAGCAGATCTCCCAGCACAGCATTCAAGCTCTGATAAGGGACAGGCTGCCTCCTCAAGTGGGTCCCTGACCCCTGTGTATTCTGACTGGAAGACACCTCCCAGTAGGGGCCAACAGACATCTCATATAGGAGAGCTCTCGCTGGCAACTGGCAGGTGCCACTCTGGGACAAAGCTTCCAGAGGAAAAAACAGGCAGCAATCTTTGCTGTTCTGCAGCCTCCACTGGTAATACTCAGGCAAACAGGGTCTGGAGTGGACCTCCATCAAACTCCAGCAGGCCTGCAGAAGAGGGGCCTGGCTGTTAGAAGGAGAACTAACAGACAGAAAGGAATAGTAGCAACATCAACAAAAAGGATGGCCACTCAGAGACCCCATCTGAAGGGCACCGACTTCAAAGACCAAAGGTAGACAAATCCACAAAGATGGGGAGAAACCAGTGCAAAAAGGCTGAAAATTCCAAAAACCAGAATGTCTCTTCTCCTCCAGAGGATCACAACTCCTCGCCAGCAAGGGAAGAAAACTGGATGGAGAATGAGTTTGACGAACTGACAGAAGAGGCTTCAGAAGGCGGGTAATAACAAACTCCTCTGAACTAAAGGAGCATGTTCTAACCCAATGCAAGGAAGCTAAGAACCTTGAAAAAATGTTAGATGAATTGCTAACTAGAATAACTACTTTAGAGAAGAACATAAATGACTTGATGGAGCTGAAAAACACAGCACAAGAAGTGCATGAAGCATATACAAGCATCAATAGCCGAATCGATCAAGCAGAAGAAAGGATATCAGAGATTGAAGATGAACTCAATGAAATAAAGCAAAAGACAAGATTAGAGAAATAAGAGTGAAAAGAAAGCCCCCAAGAAATATGGGACTATGTGAGAAGACCAAATCTACATTTGATTGGTGTACCTGAAAGTAGCAGGGAGAATGGAACCAAGTTGGAAAACACTTCAGGATATTATTCAGAAGAACTTCCCCAACCTAACAAGGCATGCCAACATTCAAATTCAGGAAATACAGAGACCACCACAAAGATACTCCTCGAGAAGAGCAACCCCAAGACACATAATAGTCAGATTCACCAGGGTTGAAATGAAGGAAAAAATGTTAAGGGAAGCCAGAGAGAAAGGTCAGGTTACCCACAAATGGAAACCCATCAGACTAACAGCAGATCTCTTGACAGAAACCCTACAAGTCAGAAGACAGTGGGGGCCAATATTCAATGTTCTTAAAGAAAAAAATTTTCAACCCAGAATTTCATATCCAGCCAAATTAAGCTTCATAAGCAAAGGAGAAATAAAATATTTTACAGACAAGCAAATGTTGAGAGATTTTGTCACCACCAGGCCTGCCTTACAAGAGCTCCTGTAGGAAACACTAAACATGGAAAGGAACAACCAGTACCAGCCACTGCAAAAACATACCAAATTGTAAAGACTATCCACACTATGAAGAAACTGCATCAACTAACAGGTAAAATAACCAGCTAGCATCATAATGACAGGATCAAATTCACACATAACAATATTAACCTTAAATGTAAATGGGCTAAATGCCCCAATTAAAACACACAGACTGGCAAATTGGATAAAGAGTCAAGACCCATCAGTGTGCTGTATTCAGGAGACCCATCTCATCTGCAAAGACACACGTAGGCTCAAAATAAAGGGATGGAGGAATATTTACCAAGGAAATGGAAAGCAAAAAAAAAAAAAAAAAAAAAAAAAAAAAAAAAAAAAAAAAGCAGGGGTTGCAATCCTAGTTTCTGATAAAACAGACTTTAAATCAACAAAGACCAAAAGTGACAAAGAAGGGCGTTACATAAGGGTAAAGGGATCAATGCAACAAGAAGAGATAGCTATCCTAAATATACATGTACCCAATATAGGAGCACCCAGGTTCATAAAGCAAAGTTCTTACAGACCTACAAAGAGACTTAGACTCCCACACAATGATACTGGGAGACTTTAACACCCACTGTCAACACAAGAGAGATCAACGAGACAGAAAATTAACAAGGATATCCAGGACTTGAACTCAGCTCTGGACCAAGGAGACATCTACAGAACTCTCTACCCCAAATCAACAGAATATACATTCTGCTCAGCACCACATTGCGCTTATTCTAAAATTGACCACATAATAGACATCTACAGAACTCTCCACCCCAAATCAACAGAATATACATTCTGCTCAGCACCACATCACACTTATTCTAAAATTGACCACATAATTGGAAGTAAAACACTCCTCAGCAAATGCAAAAGAACAGAAATCATAACAAACAGTCTCTCAGACTACAGTGCAATCAAATTAGAACTCAGGATTAAGAAACTCATGCAAAATCGCACAATTACATGGAAACTGAACAACCTGCTCCTGAATGACTACTGGGTACATAATGAAATGAAGGCAGAAATAAAGATGTTCTTTGAAACGAATGAGAACAAAGACACAACGTACCAGAATCTCTGTGACACATTTAAAGCAGGGTGTAGAGGGAAATTTATAGGACTAGATGCCCACAAGAGAAAGCAGGAAAGATCTAAAATCAACACCCTACCATCACAATTAAAAGAACTAGAGAAGCAAGAGCAAACAAATTCAAAAGCTAGCAGAAGACAAGAAATAACTAAGATCAGAGCAGAACTGAGGGAGATAGAGACATGAAAAACCCCTCAAAAAAATCAATGAATCCAAGAGCTGGTTTTCTGAAAAGATCAACAACATAGATAGACTACTAGCCAGACTAATAACGAAGAAAAGAGAGAAGAATCAAATAGATGCAATAAAAAATGATAAAGGGGATATCACCACCAATCCCAAAGAAATACAAACTACCATCAGAGAATACTATAAACACCTCTAAGCAAATAAACTAGAAAATCTAGAAGAAATGGATAAATTCCGGGACACATACACCCTCCTAAGACTAAACCAGGAAGAAGTTGAATCCCTGAATAGACCAACAACAAGTTCTGAAATTGAGGCAGTAATAGCCTACCAATCAAAAAAAGTCCAGGACCAGATGGATTCACACCCGAATTCTACCAGAGGTACAAAGAAGAGCTGGTACCATTGCTTCTGAAATGATTCCAAACAATAGAAAAAGAGGAAATCCTCCCTAACTCATTTTATGAGGCCAGCATCATCCTGATACCAAAACCTGGCAGAGACACAACCAAAAAAGAAAATTTTAGGCCAATATCCCTGATGAACATCAATGCGAAAATCCTCAATAAAATACTGGCAAACTGAATCCAGCAGCACATCAAAAAGCTTATCCACCACGATCAAGTCAGCTTCATCCCTGGGATGCAAGGCTGGTTCAACATACGCAAATCAATAAACGTAATCCATCACATAAACAGAACCAATAACAAAAAGCACATGATTATCTCAATAGATGCAGAAAAGGCCTTTGACGAAATTCAACAGCCTTCATGCTAAAAACTCTCAATAAACTAGCTACTGATGGAACGTATCTCAAAATAATAAGTGCTATTTCTGGCAAGCCCACAGCCAATATAATACTGCATGGGCAAAAACTGGAAGCATTCCCTTTGAAAACCGGCACAAGACAAGGATAGCCTCTCTCACCATTCCTATTCAACATAGTATTGGAAGTTCTGGCCAGGGCAATCAGGCAAGAGAAAGAAATAAAGGGTATTCAATTAGGAAAAGAGGAAGTCAAATTGTCCCTATTTGCAGATGACATGATTGTATATTTAGAAAACCCCATCGTCTCAGCCCAAAATCTCCTTAAGCTGATAAGCAACTTCAGCAAAGTCTCAGGATAAAAAATTAATGTGCAATAATCACAACCATTCCTATACACCAATAACAGACAGACAGCCAAATCATGAGTGAACTCCCATTCACTATTGCTACAAAGAGAATAAAATATCTAGGAATACAACTTACAAGGGACATGAAGGACCTCTTCAAGGAGAACTACAAACCACTGCTCAAGGAAATAAGAGAGGACACAAACAAATGGAAAAACATTCCATGCTCATGGATAGGAAGAATCAGTATCATGAAAATGGCCATACTGCCTAAAGTAATTTACAGAATGAATGCTATCCACATGAAGCTACCACTGACTTGCTTCACAGAATTGGAAAAAACTACTTTAACTTTCATATGGAACCAAAAAAGAGCCCGCATTGCCAAGAGAATCCTAACAAAAAAGAACAAAGCTGGAGGCATCACGCTACCTGACTTCAAACTATACTACAAGGCTACAGTAACAAAAACAGCATGGTACTGGTACCAAAACAGATATATAGACCAATGGAACAGAACAGAGGCCTCAGAAATAACACCACATGTCCACAACCATGTGATCATTGACAAACCTGACAAAAACAAGCAACAGGGAAAAGATTCCCTATTTAATAAATGGTGTTGGGAAAACTGGCTAGCCATATGCAGAAAGCTGAAACTGGATCCCTTCCTTACACCTTATACAAAAATTAATTCAAGATGGATTAAAGACTTAAATGTAAGACCTAAAACCATAAAAACCCTAGAAGAAAACCTAGGCAATACCATTCAGGACATAGGAGTGGGCAAAGACTGCATGACTAAAACACCAAAAACAATGGCAACAAAAGTTAAAATTGACAAATGGGATCTAATTAAACTAAAGAGCTGCTGCACAACAAAAGAAACTATCATCAGAGTGAACAGGCAACCTACAGAATGGGAGAATATTTTTGCAATCTACCCATCTGACAAAGGGCTAATATCCAGAATCTACAAAGAACTTAAACAAATTTACAATAAAAAAAAACCCCATCAAAAAGTGGGTGAAGGATATGAACAGACACTTCTCAAAAGAAGACATTTATGTGGCCAACAAACATATGAAAAAAAGCTCATCATCACTGGTCATTAGAGAAATGCAAATCAAAACCACAATGAGATACCATCTCATGCCAGTTAGAATGGCGATCATTAAAAAGTCAGGAAACAAGAGATGCTGGAGAGGATGTGGGGAAATAGGAACACTTTTACACTGTTGGTGGGACTGTAAACTAGTTCAACCATTGTGGAAGACAGTGTGGCGACTCCTCTAGTATCTAGAACTAGAAATACAATTTGACCCAGCAATCCCATTACTGGGTATATACTCAAAGGATCATTTTAGTATAAAGTCACATGCACATGTATGTTTATTGAGGCACTACTCACAATAGCAAAGACTTGGAACCAACCCAAATGTCCATCAATGATAGACTGGATAAACAATATATGGCATATATACACCATGGAATACTGTGCAGCCATAAAAAGGATGAGTTCATGTCCTTTGCAGGGACATGGATGAAGCTGGAAACCATCATTCTCAGCAAACTAACACAAGAACAGAAAATCAAACACCGCATGTTCTCATTCATAAGTGGGTGCTGAACAATGAGAACACATGGACACAGGGAGGGGAACGTCACACACTGGGGCCTGTCAGGGGGTGGGGGGCTAGGGGAGAGATAGCATTAGGGAAATACCTAATGTAAATGACTGGTTGATGGGTGCAACAAACCACCATGGCACATGTATACCTATGTAACAAACCTCCACGTTCTACACATGTGCCCCAGAACTTAAAGTATTTAAAAAAAAATTCTCATTCCCTTTGTTTCCCTAATATGACATGTTCTATGTTCATTTCCTTTTTAAGCTTTCTGTCCCAGACTGCTTTAAAGACTATACATCCTCTGAGTTCCCCATAAATAAAACTGTGACACATAACTCACACTATAATTCAGATGTGGAGAGAAAAATAAAATTTCTTCATTTCATTTAGAACTAATCTGACTCTCCTTCCTACACTCACAAGTTAGTGGGAAAAAATAACTAAATGTTCAGTTCAGTGTAAAGTGTATTCTTATTCAATAATTTACAAAATTCAATTAGGTCAATTTCAGTCTATCTTGGATTACCCAGTCAGATGTGTCCAGGAAGTAAATAATTAGCAAATTCCACCATTTGTCCTAGATATTTTCCAATTTAACCTTAGATTTTTGAACGTGGCATTTATGGCAAGGACTCATTTTCCTGTTATGCTGTCTCTTTTCTAACGAAAGAGAAATAGCTGTTAAGTTCTGACATTCACTTCCCCTCTCTGGAGTATCTTGACTACACTTAAATGATTCATACCAAAAGGCTGATCAACCCACATCAACAAGAATCAATTAAAAAAAGCAAAAACAGGGGAAAGTGGAAAAGTTTACTATGCCTATGTACATACTTGTATATGCACGTATAAATTCAACATGGAAGATCAGATGATTTATTAAGAAATATCAGTTGACAATAAAACTAGTAATAAAGACTATTCTTCAATAGACAGTACACTAATATAGAAGGAGGAGAAACAAAATGATAGGAGTGGTTAGAAAGGGCATTCAGAGTGTAAGGAAGGGGCAGAAGGAGAAGAGCAGAAAGGAGAAATGTAGTATTTGTCACCCATTCTCTTTGATAAGTGAATACAATGCTGTTGTATCCTAAATATGAGAACAGCTGACTTTAATATCAGGTCAAAGCACTATCTGACTAATAGGAAATGCAGTTATTCCTTCAGCTCATGATCAGGGCTTGAACAAGATCTGTTGTCATTTGTCACTCTGTCACAGATAGTTCAGTGGAATTATTCTGTTTCTTCTGACCTACAGTTGTATAGTCTCTTTGCTGCTATCATTATGCACAGCACTGAAATGTTACTTTAAACAGTACCTTAGAAATCAGCTCTGCAGTCATCTCCTTGATTAATTTAGAAACACCCAACACCTAGCATAATACCCTGGACAGAGTACATACTCAGCAAATAATTCCTGAATGAATGAATGAAGTTCTCCTTTCATTGAAGAAGATGGAGTGATGTCGTAGTCTTCCTTTCTTAAATATTCCCCAAAGAAAAAGATGTGAACATTTTAAATTTAACCCTGAATAAGGAACAAGTAGGACAGAACTCAAGAGAAAATAAAAAGGGGAATTAATAAATAGCTACAAATGTGCTAATACCTCACAGCAAGAATGGAAGTAGACAAGCCACACATAGTGAAAAAATAATTTTGATGACAAATGACAGAAAATGCATTATGCGCTTTATTGCACCAAGGACACTTCCATATCCTTACACATTTCCATACCCATACACATTTTCATTTATGTCTTCAAGGTTTATTCAATGTCCAGTGCCAACTCAAGGCAAATAGAAAAGTACAATGGGCCATGCACAAAAATACTGGCTCAAGAGGCTAATATGAATTTAAATTTCAATCTTCCTTCACAGCCGCTTTCCTGGTGTTTGCTAGCTGACTCTGACACACATTTTTTTGGCTCTGGAATTAAAATACAATGTTGGTGTAATTACTTTTCCAAGAATAGCAATGGTCACTATAATTTTTCTAAGCAGTTCCTAACCTTTTTACATTTTAGTGTTTGCAAATTCTTGGAAACACCACAATACATAATGTAATACATTTGGAAGTTATATAAGGATAGCCAAGTTCAACTTCCCTTAATCTGAAAATATCAAAAACTAGACATCCACATAGCCTAAGAAAAGATTATCCTATAACTTTTCTACACTGAATACCAACTGGAACCATTCTTAGAAGATATTAATTCAGATTTTGCTATAGAGGTCTAGCATGCCAGTATCATCTTTACTGTGAGGACGTCCTCTTAGGAAATAATTCAACTGTTAGTCAATGAAAAAACTAAGGCCAGGCGCAGTGGCTCATGCCTGTAATCCTAGCACTTCAGGAGGCTGAGGCGGGCGGATCACTTGAAGTCAGGAGTTCAAAACCACTCTGGCCAACGTGGTGAAACCCTGTCTTTACTAAAAATACAAAAAAATTAATTGGGCATGGTGGCGGGTGCCTGTAATCCCAGCTATGTGGGAGGCTGAGGGAGAAGAATTGCTTAAACCCAGGAGGCAGAGGTTGCAGTGAGCTGAGATCGTGCCACTGCACTCCAGCCTGGGCGACAGAGCAAGACTGTCTCAAAAAAGAGGGGAGGGGAGAGGAGGGGAAAGGAGGGGAGAGGGAAAAAGAAAAAACTGTTTAAACTTCCTCTGACCAATTACTAGGCCAGACACGGGTGCCCTCTGGCCTGCTGTCTGATTTGTCCTTTAGCTTAATGTTCCTAGGCCTGTGGAAAGTTTTAAATGTTATGTGTTGGTGGGGTGACCCTTTCCCTACCATAAAGATCAATAAATTTTATAATACAAACATCTATGACAAACAATTCTTTTTCAAAAATGGATTTATTGAGATATACTTTACCTATCATAAAATTCACCATTTAAAGGGCACAATTCAGTGATTTTTGATATGTTTACAACAATCTAATTTTAGAATATTTTTGTCCCTCCTAAAAGAAACCCTGTATCCATTAGCTAATTCTCATTCCTGCCAACACATTTCCTAATCCCTACCAACGCCTGGCAACTACTAATCTATTTTTTGTCTCTAATGGTTTGCCTATTCTGGACATTTTATAAAAAGGGAATCATACGACTTGTGGCCCTTTGGGTTTTACCATAACTTTTTCAAGCTTCATCTATGTTGTAGTATGTATCAGTACTTTCTTTTTATTGCAAAATCATATTCTATTACATGGATATACCACATTTTGTTTATCCTTTTCTCAGTGTATAGACATTTGGGTTGTTTCCACTCTTAAGCTATTATGAAAAATGCTGCTATGAACATTCATTAACAAATTTTTGTGTGGACATCTATTTTCAATTCTCTCGGTTGTCATCTTAGGAGTGGTATTGCTGGGTCACATGGTAACTCTATAAACATAGAGTTTAACTTATTGAGGAACTGCCAAACTGTTTTCCAAAGTGGCTATACCATTTTCTATTCCTACCAGCAGTATAGGAGGGTTCTAGTTTCTCCACATCCTCACAAGCAAGGCTTGTCTATCCATTTAATTATAGCCATCCTAATGGGTATGAGGTGGTATCTCACTGTCGTTTTGATTTTAATTTTCCCTATGACTAATGATGTGGAACATCTTTTCATGTGCTTATTGGCCATTTTTGTAACTTGTTTGGAGAAATGTCTATTCAAATCCTTTGCCCTTTTGTTATTGGGCTATCTTTTCATTATTGAGTTGTAAGAGTTCTTCATATATTCTGGATATGAGTCCCTTATCAGTTACATGATTTGCAAATATTTTCTCCCATTTTGTGGGTTGTCTTTTTACTTTCTTGGTGACATTTGCAGCACAAAGTTTTTTATTTTGATGAAGTCCAATTTAGCTATTTTGGTTTTTTTTGAGATAGAGTCTCACTCTGTTGCCCAGGCTGGAGTGCAGTGGTGTGATCTCGTCTCACGGCAACCTCCGTCTCCCAGGTTCAAGCGATTCTTGTGCCTCAACCTCCCAAGCAGTTGGGACTACAGGTGCTCACTACCATGCCTGGCTAATTTTTGTATTTTTAGTAGAGACAGGGTTTCGTCATGTTGGCCAGGCTGGTCTTGAACTCCTAGCCTCAAGTAATCTGCTGCCTCAGCCTCCCAAAGTGCTGGAATTATAGGCGTGAGCCACCATGCCCGGCCTCATTATGATTTTGATCTCATATCTACACTAATTTTGAATATAATCATATACCTAGAAATCCACTGCTAAGCCACTTTGTACTTCTTGGCGGAAAGGCAGCATGCATTATTGCTGTTGCCTACAGATTTAAAAGTTGGGTCAATTTAAAAACAAATTGCAATAGTGCAACCAACAGGGAAACCCTGCTAAAAATGGCTGGCATGTGCTACCAGCCATGTCTTAGTTATCCATAGAAATGAGGGAGATAGCCCATGCAACTGAAATCCACAGATGATATGCAATCTTTATTTCAAACATAGTTTTAAGCTCCCAAACCAGACCTCTAACCAGAGTTGGCTCCCAAACCAGACCTCTAACCAGAGTTGTTAAGAAGTAGACCACTCATTTGACTGAGTTTTACTTCTCCTGGAATCTGTACCACCATCTGACCAATACTTCCACAAGCTTCAAAGTAGCTTAAAGAAATAAGGCACACAAGAGTATAAGTAACCCAAATAAACCTTAAGCTGGACAGTGGGCTCCTTAAAAAACAGAGTAACCCTAGTGAATAAAGGGCTGGCTTTGCTCCTCCATTCCATATTCCAGCCATCAAAAAGTCACTATAAAAAGCCTTTGCAAACAATTTATTTATAAATAATATATTTGTTGAGATGTAAAAATGGAAAGTGACATAATCAAATTAACTCATTTATCAAATGAGGAATCAATAAGAAAAAAAGATAGAATAGATATTTGTTTCATACAACATTGTTAGAAGCAATAGGTAGAACTAGAATATCTTTCCTTGTCCTTTCTGTCATCTCCATTTGCATTTAAAATCCTTCAGTCAGTCAACAAATGTTATTTAATACCTACTATGTGCTGGAAGTACATATATCAATAATATATAACTCTTGACTTAGAGGAATCTGAAATTATTCAAGTCTAGGTCAACCTACTAATTCCTCTATGAAACCTTCCCAGAGTTCTCCAATTGGGAATGATCTTTTCCATTACTGATTTTGGATAGTATTTTATCAACATCTTTATTGGAAAGTTATAACCCTCTACTTTATGATTTAGTTGTTTATAAACATGTCTTGTCTCCAGCACTAAACAATAATCTTCTTGTGGGCAGGATCTATGTACAAGTAACCTTCCTGACCCCTAGATCACCCTGTATATGACCACAATAAATTTTAGTTTAGTGAATAAACTTTTTAAAAAAATCAAATTTAGGAACACCAGAAGATTAATATAAACCATATCTTTCACAAAAATTATATCTATGAATTATTAATGCAGAAGCTTATTACCTTAGTCTGGAATATCAGCTATTCTAGTTTCCATATAAATGATTTCTTCTCATCTTAAGCAGTGTGCAAAAAAAGAGAGTGGTTACATCTTTAGAATATTTCAGCTCAAGTAATAAAATTCAAAACACTAGAAAGAAAAAAATGATAGAGAAGTTATGCTTGAGGAGTATCTGATAACTAAAGAGTATTTTTCTTTTTCTTTTTTCTTTTGAGACAGAGTCTCACTCTGCCGGCCAGGCTGGAGTGCAGTGGTGTGACCATGGCTCACTGCAGCCTTAACCTCCTGAGCTCAAGCTGTCCTCCTACCTCAGCCTCCCGAGTAGCTGGGGACTACAGGCACATGCCACCATGCCTGGCTCCCTTTTTTTTTTTTTTTTTTTTTGGTAGAGATATGGTCTTGCTATGTTGTCCAGCCTGGTTTTGAACTCTTGGGTTCAAGTGATCCTCATGCTTCAGCCTCCCAAATTACAGGTGTGAGGCACACTGGCCTTTTTTTTTTTTCTTTTTTCAGACAGAGTCTCGCTCTGTCGCCCAGGCTGGAGTGCAGTGGGATAATCTCAGCTCACTGCAACCTCTGCCTCACAGATTTAAGTGATTCTCCAGCCTCCACCACACTGGTAGCTGGGATTACAGGTGCGCACCACCACACTCAGCTAATTTTTGTATTTTTAGTAGAGACGGGGTTTCACCATGCCGGCCAGGCTGGTCTCAAACTCCTGACCTCAAGCGATCTGCCTGCCTCAGCCTCCCAAAGTGCTGAGATTACAGGCATGAGTCACCGTGCCCAGCCTGGCCTTTTTTTCTTGAATTTAGAAAATATTTTCCTAAATCTACCCCAAATGGGCAATACATAAACCTACAAAGCAAATAATTAGATCCTAAATTGACTATTTCTCACTGGTCCTGAAATTCCAGAGCCCTGTTAAACTCTTTTCATCTTTCACCTCCTAATTACTGTATACATTCAGTCACTTTTTTTTTTTTTTTTTTTTTTTTTTTTTTGAGATGGAGTCTTGCTCTGTCACCCAGGCTGGAGTGCAGTCATGCAATCTCTGCTCACTGCAACCTCTGCCTCCTGGGTTCAAGCAATTCTCCTGCCTCAGCCTCCCAAGTAGCTGGGATTATAGGCACCCATGACCACACTGGGCTAATTTTTGTATTTTTAGTAGAGACGGGGTTTTACCAGGAGTTGAAGACCAACCTGGCCAACATGGTAAAACCCCGTCTCTACTAAAAATACAAAAATTAGCCCAGTTTTAAAGATATTACAGTTTTAAAGATTGACAGTTGTAAACATAGTACAGACTTCCAATATATCTGATACCATTTCCTTTCCTATTATTAACATCTTACATTAGTACAGCACATTTGTCACAATAACCAATATTATTATTTTAAAATAAAATCCATACTTTATTCACATTTCCTTAGTTCTAACCTAATGCTCTTTTTCTATTCTAGGATCTCACAATATATTCTGTAGTCATGTCTCCTTAGGCTCCTCTTGGCCGTTACTGTTTTTTAGATTTTCCTTGTTTTTTTATGATCTTGACAGTTTCGAGGAGTACTAGTCAAGTATTTTGTAGAATGTCTCTCAGTGGGGATTTGTCTGATGTTTTCCTCATGATTAACTGAGCTTATAGGTTTTTATAAGGAGGAAGAACTTATAGGGAGGAAGAACTACAGAGATAAAGTGCCATTTTTATCACATCATATCAAGGGTAATACTATGAACATTTATCACTGTTAATGCTGATCTTCATTGCCTGGCTAAGGCAATGTCTGTCAGAATTTTCCACTGTAAAGTTAACTCTTTTTTTTTTTCCTCTTTATGTGCTCTATTCTTTGGAAGTAAGTCACTATGTACAGCCCATACTAAAGGAGTGAGGAGTTGTGCTCCACCTCCTTGAGAACAAAGTAGTTACATATATTATTTTGAATTTTTCTTCATGGGAGATTTGTCTTTTCTCCCAATTATTATAGCTTTTTCTAGTCTCTCCAATTTATTCAGACTTTTATTTATATCAGTATGGACTTATGTATATTGGTTTTATACTTTGGGTTACAATGCAATACTACTTTATTTTGTTGCTCAAATTTTTCTGGCATTGACCATTGGGAGCTCTTTCAGTTGGATCCTGTGTCCCTTTAACATACGCAACCATTGTGTTTCTTTTGAGCACTTACTGTCTGGCACTATAAGATGCTTCAGGCCTATATTGTATATTTCCTGTCCCCATCCTAGAATCAGCCATTTCTCTAAGGATCCTTCATTCCTTTACCTGAGAATGGTATTCGAATCTAAGAGCCAAGTGCAAGGTGTACTTGTTACTAGTTGGGTACTATTGCTTCCACAGCCACTTCTTTTTACATAACATTTGTTTCCATTTCCAGAATCAAAATATTGCTCAGGACACCCTGAGATAGTGCCTAGGAACAATATTAGAGACCAGAAGTCCTTTCACTCTGATTTTGGGAAGCACCACTCTAATATATCAGTTTTAGTCCCAACAAAAGACACCATGACCATTTCTTAAACACAGTGAACAATTACACTCCATTTAATACTTATCCAGTGGTATACTTCTCTGTCCCTTATAGAATCATAGAATGTTAGAGCCAGAAAGGGCCTTAGAGAATACTGAATTCATTTGTTCATTCATTCACAAATGTATATTGAGGGTCTAGTATGTGCTGGGTAGTATCCTAGGTGATGGGGATGTAACAGGACATAAAATGAGACACACTCCCTGTCATGAGGGAGTCCATGGTCTGGTAAGAGAGATGCATGCTATTTTTAAAATATCACACAAATAATTACAACAGTGTAACTGTGCTAAGTGTTACAAAGAAGAGGTAGATGATATTATGAGATAATACTGCAGGGAGACTTGATCTGTTGTGGATTAGGAGTCAGGGAAGGCTTCCCAGAGGAAGCTAAAATCAGATGGAATAGGAGGTAACTAACTTAGAGCATGAAAACAACTTCAAACAAGGGGAAGGCAAAAGTTTGCAGCAGGAGAGAATGTGGTACATTAAAAAGCTCAGAGAGTTAGGGGGATACTGGCAAAAGATGAACATGGAAGGAAAGCAACCACAGTAGTCCTTGCCAGTCATGGTAAAGATTTAGTCTTTATTTTAAGAGCAATGGGAAGTTCTTGAAGTAAAGTTCATTAGAGTTTTAAGGAGGGTGGGATGGGTAGTGACATCTTGAAATTAGTGTTTTGCAAGGATCGTTCTGGTTGCTGTGTGGAGAATGAATATGAGTGGGTGAAAAGCCCAAATACTAGTATTTTTACTGGAATAGCAGAAAAAGATGATGCTAGAGAGCTTGGATGGGAGCGGTGGCAGTGGAGATGGAGAAAAGCAGACAGATTTGAGTTATGTAGGAAGCAAAATTGAGAAGACTCTGTGACATACTGGATATGAAACAAGAATAAGGATGGCTTAAGGCAAGACCTAGGTTTCTAGTTTTGCACAATCAGATGGACGATGGATGATGTCATTCATTAATAAAGAAAACACTGTAAGAGGACCAGGTTTGATAGGGAAGTCCACGAGCGCAGTTCATTCTGAGATATCCAAATGGAAAGGCTAACAAGATAATTAGATATAAAAAAACTGAAGCTCAGGGTGAGAAATATAAATTTGATATAGTTACTAATTTTATAGATGGTAACTGAAGCTGTAAGCACAGATAAGATAGTTTAGGAAAGAATTCAGAATATGAAAAGAAGAGGCACTGAGCAAGACAAGTTATTCACAAAATGAGATTAATAATTTCCATTTCATAGAATTATAGTCAGGATTAAACGTCATCACATGTGTGAAAGCAAATAGCAAACTGTAAGCACCCAACCTTTAAAGCATTGAAATTGTGCATTTTATAAAAAACACTCCTATGGAATATATCTATGGTTGTGTGCCTTCTCATGTTCAACTGCTTTATGTAATGTATATATGATCACTTATGTCTTTTAAAACACAAAATCTCTGGCAGTTATAGTAAAGGATTAACAGCTACTAATAACATGACAAACAGTGTTGTTTTAATGTTATTTCATTTTCCTAATCATTGGCCCACAGGTGAAAATGAGGCATTGAGGGAAGAAAGCATCAGGGTGTGGGAGCAGCTTTTATCCCAACCTCTATCCTATTATCTTCCCTGCAATCGTCCGCTCTCCAGAGCCATTTGGAACAACTGTTTACAACCATAAAAGTCCCAAACCCGCCAGATTTTACTAGAGTCTCTTCAAATACACATTAACTAATTCCACAACAAATAACATCTTGATTATAGAAACTGATTCTTGAGTGAATGCAAAAACATCTAATACAAAGAATGGTTTAACAGCTTGTAATCATCAACTGAATGCTATTTTCGTAGGGGTTGTCCGCCAAAGAATAGAATTATTCTAGCTATAATAATTCTATAGAATTATAGCTAATTCTATTCTTTGGAGAATATATTAATAATCCTCTAATTAGATTCTACCCATATTTTAATCATATGTAAACTCTTTGGGATAAAACTGTGAGTGATATGTCAGTTTTCAAAAAGGTAATACCAGAATCACAAGGATGAAAGGTACACAAGGATCTGCTTCCAAAAGAGTGGAGCTGGCTGGGCGCAGTGGCTCACACCTGTAATCCCAGCACTTTGGGAGGCCGAGGCGGGCACATCACGAGGTCAGGAGTTCAAAACCAGCCTGATCAACATGGTGAAACCCCATCTCTACTAAAAATACAAAAATTACCTGGGCGTGGTGGCATGCGCCTGTAATCCCAGCTACTCAGGAGGCTGAGGCAGGAGAATAGCTTGAACCCAGGATATGGAGGTTGCAGTGAGCTGAGATCGCACCATTGTACTCCAGCCTGGGTGACAGAGCAAGACTCTGTCTCAAAAAAAAAAAAAAAAAAAAGAGTGGAGCTGTTTCCTAAGATTGCACAGTTTGTGCACTGCTCAAAGGCACCTGGCTATAGGATCTGAAATGCAGCCCTGCTTCTCTCACAAAGCTTTGTGACCAGGAGCTAGGGTGGGTAGCTGGGGTGGAAGTTGTTTGTGTCTTATTTTATTTTTTTACTTGGCCCAGGATTAATGACTCTGGCACCTTATAGACTAGTAGTAGCACTGTAGAAGCATCAAACACAAGAACAATTATTTGGACTCCAGAAAAACACTGGAGTCTTTTATAACTTGATTTGAGTTTAGATAGTAGTCTATGTTTTTACGACAAAAGCAACTACTAAAGTGCTTTTATTAAATGATTAGCACTATCCTCAGCTACTAAGAGGATCTCATTTGCTTGTTGAAGCCCTGTAACTGACACTATACTATCAACATAAAGTCACTATACACACTACAAGCTTTACTATGCAATGCATTTTAAAACATTGAAAATAAATTAAAAATCAAGTCCTTTAAATTTTACCAATTATTGCTATGAAAAAGCCACCAAATAGGAAAAATAACTCTTCAGGAAAGGAAATATGAAACATTCTTAAAGTAGCTGTGGTGCTCTGTGGTACAAGGTAGATGTGGCACAATCATCTGCAATCCAAAGGCCTCAGTTCAAATCTTGGCCTCTGATCTTAACTATTGTGTGACCTTAAGTCACTTAACCTCTTTCAGCCTCAGTTTCTTCACCTATACATTAACTGGATTAAACTAAATTATTTCTAAGGCCTCCTCCAGCACTGACGATTCTCTAATTCTATAAATGTCATGATTATACATCTCCTTTTCTTTGCGTGATCTTCTTCATTTTCTATACCAGGTATTTTCTAACCACCATTTTACCTCCTTATCCTGGTACTTCTTCCCATTTGTCCCCAAATTGAAATAACCTCCTCCCTTATTCATTAATCAACATATGATTCTCTCTCATCTTCAAACCTTTCCAAACAAGTAACTTTAACATTTTCATTTGCAGTTATTCACTGAAGAACTTAAAGCTTTAATTACTTCTTTGTCCACTGTCCAAATTCTTTCTGACAACTTGGCCTAGAACAAATACTCCAGCTTATATTTAGGTAGTCAACAAGCATTTAAAATTCAAGGTAGTGGGGGGATTCCCAAAAATTAAAGATACCCAGGAGGAAAACTAGCATACAAACAAACCAGGATAGAAAAAATCTGAAGTAATATTTAAATGAAAGAGAGTAGGGCAAATACAGTGAAAATAAACTCTAAATAGCCAGAGCAGCAGAAATCTCAATATAGGCTAGTCAGTTCATCTGCAAAGAAGAATAAGAATTGAATTGACTGAGGAAATCTCTGCATGTGGGGCAACCTACACAGAAACCCAGGTACCAAGCAATTATAATTCTGAAAAGCCTTTCCAGGTGTTTTCTTTTTTCTAGAAAAGAGAGATGGCCAGGAGAACAAGTTTCCTAATGACAGTTTTAGTTACATGTTTCAATAGTCTAAAGAGTGTCAGCCATAGCAGTGTGAAAAAATGTCTCATTAGAAAAAAGAACATGACTGTCAATTTAAGCAATTCCTTCAAATACACTAGTTAAGGGGTCATCATGCTCATAAAGGATGACTTCAGAAACCTAGGCTAGGAAGGGCACTCTCTTGGCAAGTGTGTCAGACGCCTCTCCTTGGTTCTCCTCCACACCATTATCTCATTGACCCTTAAACACCTCCTCAGTTTCCCTCCACACCATTGTCTCATCATCCCTGAGGACAACCAGGGACATTGCAGGAGGGAGGAGGAAATCTTCCCTGTTGACTACAAATTAACTATATACCCAGAGCTTATGGATTCTCCTACCACTTCCAAACTTGGATGAAATCCTTCACCAGGGCATGGAATCTGGCTTTCCAAATGGAAGGGCAGCATGACACCACTCAGAACTGTGAGTTCACTCTCCATGACTGACCTTTGATAATGGGAAACAAGCAGCCAGAGAGGAGATGGGCAGATAAATTCCCTCTCCCTCTTTGCTCTTATGAACTGTTCTATTTTTTTTTTTTTTTCTCACTCTGTTGCCCAGGCTGGAGTGCAGTGACACGATCTCGGCTCACTGCCACCTCTGGCTCCGGGGTTCAAGCGATTCTCCTGCCTCAGCCTCCCCAGTAGCCACCACGCCTGGCTAATTTTTGTATTTTTAGTAGAGACGGGGTTTCACCAAGTTGGCCAGGCTGGTCTTGAACTCCTGACCTCAAGTGATCCACCTGCCTCAGCCTCCCAAAGTGCTGGGATTACTGGCGTGAGCCACCACGCCTGGCTGAACTGTTCTATCTATCCTATCTGGAGATATTGCACATGGTCAAGCATATGTACTTGCTGAATAACCAGCTGTGTCTCTTTGAGGATCATCATGACACAATTGCTAACATGGTAATCTAATCGCCTTGCTTTGCTTCTCAAAGCTTCTCACTTCTCATCTCTTTTCCTTCACTCTTACTCTTCTGAAATTGTACCACCAAATAAAGCTTCACTTAATTTCCAGTCAGGCTCTTGTTTCTAGAGAACCCAGGATACAACAGCAACAAAATCCAAAAGGAAGTAAAGAACCTTGGATTAGGAATCGACACACATTAGTTCTAATTTTGCTATAATTGGTTCTGTTATTAATTAACTATTTGATCTTGAACAATGAACATTCTGAATTCTGTAAAATGGGATAGGAGTTAGAGAAGAGGGACTAAGCTTCATGACTGCTGGGTCCCTTCCAGTTCCAGCGCTTTATGATCCTTAGGAATTAAAAACCTCAAAGCCTCAAATAACCCATTAGAAAATGGGTCAGTGTGAAAACCATGGAGTCCTATATATCCCAATTCATTTGACCACATCCATAGTTTGGATCAGCTTTATGAAATACATCTATAACCTAATCTTAGCTCTGAAACAGGGCCATTTTCATTATCATCAGCAGCCAATGTTATTTGACGTGTAACAGTATATTCTGCAACTTAACCAAATCTCACAAATCCAATAAAACCAGGCCACAGAAGGACTTATGAGAATTACAAGACCACATCTGTTCTGAGGAGAAGTTATAAATACAAGAATATTTCAAAAAAACAAATATCAAGCAGTATCAAGTGAAGGAAGCCAGTCACAAAAGACCACACATGGTAGGTATAATTATGTTTATATGAAATGTCCAGCATTGGCAAATCTATAGAGACAGAAAGTAGATTTGTGGTTTGCCTCAGACCGGAAGCTGGGGAACTGTGGAGTGACTGCTAAGGGGCATGAGGTTTCTTTTGGAAGTCATGAAATGTTCTAAAATTATATTGTGGTGATGGTTGTACAACTCCGTGAATAAGCTTAAAGCCACTGAATTATGTACTTTAAATAGATAAATTGTATGATGTGTAAATTATATCTCAGTAAAGCTCTTTTTAAAAGTAATGGGCTTTGGGAGGCCGAGGTGGGCAGATCACAACGTCGGGAGATCGAGACCATCCTGGCTAACACAGTGAAACCCCGTCTCTACTAAAAATACAAAAAATTAGCCAGGCGTGGTGGCGGGTGCCTGTAGTCCCAGCTACTCAGGAGGCTGAGGCAGGAGAATGGCGTGAACCTGGAAGGTGGAGCTTGCAGTGAGCCGAGATTGCGCCACTGCACTCCAGCCTGGGCGACAGAGTGAGACTCCGTCTCAAAAAAAAAAAAAAAAGAAGAAGAAGAAGAAATGGGGCTGTTTTATTGTGGGGAATGAACTGGCTCAGAAGCAAAAATGTGTGAGGAACAAATAGGCATTTTTCTGTAAGAACAGAGCATTTTTAAAGATTTTATCTTTTAAATGGCTCTGGAAGGGGAAGCATATAGTAACTTTATTTCTGTTTGACACTAAATTTCCCCAAGCAACAAAGAGCCAGGATCTTTGAGGACAAATAACAGGAAAAACTTAGGAACCTGTGCAACTGGCAGAGAAGTTTTAATGTGAGCAAATGCAAGATGACACATTTGGTGTGAAGAACCCTCAACTAGCATCAATCACAAACTACAGAAGGGACCTGGGAGTGAGCGGATTATTCAACTCAACAGAACATTTTGGAGAAAGCTATGATATACAAGGTATTATCTTAAGAGCTGTAGTAAAGAGGGAAATATAAAGATGATATAAATAGATTCCCACCCCCTCCTCGATTTCAAAGAGCCTTTAAGGGACAGAACATGCACATTTCAAGGCCAGGTGAATAAATGCTATGATAGAGTCTGCATAGGTTCTAGAAGGGTAAAGAAAGCCTTCATAGAAGAACTAGAATTTTCTCTGGGCCTTAAACATCTGAGAATACCAAGCCAATATGCTGGATAATAAATACAAAAACTAAATTATTCTACTCTTATTTAAAACAAGAGATATTCTTAGTATGGGTCACTATATTTCTTTCTTTCTTTTTTGAGATGGAGTCTCGCTCTCTTACCCAGACTGGAGTGCAGTGGCACAATCTTGGCTCATTGCAACCTCTGCCTCCTGGGTTCAAACGATTCTCCTGCCTCAGTCTCCTCAGTAGCTGGGACTACAGCCGCACACCACCACGCCCAGCTAATTTTTTTTTTGTATTTTTAGTAGAGACGGGGTTTCACCGTGTTAGCCAGAATGGTCTCTATCTCCTGACCTCGTGATCCACCTGCCTCAGCCTCCCAAAGTGCTGGGATTACAGGTGTGAGCCACTGCACCCAGCTAGGGTCACTATATTTTATAAGGTAAAGTAAAACTTCATTTATATAGAGACAGGTTTCTGGACAAATCCCTGGTTTCAAATTCAGAAACACCTTTAAAAAATAGTATTTAAGTTTCAGATCAAGTCCCTGAACACCTGGCAACAAAAATAGCCAAAAGTGCTAAAGAGCTGCACTGGCTATTTGTAGGAAAAGCCTTCTTCCAATCTGCTGACAATGTGTACGACACAAAGGAGAAGACAAGAAGGTAAGTGGAGAGAGCTGTCAGATAGAACAGAGATTAGAAGCAGAAGCAGAGGTTGGAAATGATGACAGAGTAGGCAGCAAGGTTGCAAGTAGCAGACACTGGCACATAAGAAAGCCAGTTACAAAAGAGGGAGAAAAGAAACTCATTCTACAGCCTAATCCAACAAAGAGTTACCAGCTCATAAGCAGCCCTTGAAGGCAGCGAGGGAAGACAGCATGCAAAGAGTGCCTAAGGACATGCTCCTTAGTATCCACACTAGGTGGATACCCAGAAGCGTGAAAACCAAGGCAGTTCAAGGGCCCAGGGGAGAAGGGGCTGTGACAGTGCTGAGCTCTACAGTGACAAATTAAATCATTCAGCTTCATGCCCTGCACCATATATATCTACAACACAGAACACTGACATTCCTAAACATGACCTTGAATCAACAATAGATTAAAGTAAGATAAACATTCTCTGTTTAAAAAGGTACATCTTAGAAATATTCCCTTCAAAATTAAAGTCAAAATATTTGGGGCAGAAATAATAAAATCCTCAACTATACAGCACACTTATTTTTTTAGTCCCCAAATGGCTTAGGCACTGATGACCTAGGACAACAGAAATTTCATTCCATAATGGAACAAGAGGGCAGAAATGATAATTCTATGACGACTGCCTAAAAAAAGAAAAGGTGAGAAGCCACTTAATTACATAAAATAATGAAAAAGGAAAAAAATCCCTGGCACACTAACTTATTCCTCACATCTGAATCTGAGAATACTTGGATTAAGGGCTTGAGCTCTAAGAGAGGAACTGAGACAGGCCCCTGTGTGCAAACATTTTATATCCCTTAAAAATATATAGGCTCAGTGAACAGGAGGAAACTGTTTCTTATTTGTCTCTCTATCCTCCACAGTACTTAGACATAATGTCTAGTATACAACATAAACTTTCAAACTGTAACACTCTTCTCTGCCACTTAACAACTAAATCTTATTTCACTGTGTACTTGCTGCTGCTTTTGATTAGCTCAGAAGAGTAAGGCAGTACCCTCCTACATTTTTCAGCTCTTGACACAAAGATACATCAATGGGGAAATCCTATGTCCTTCCTGACTCCCTACTCTTATGTGATTTACAGATGCAATTTTATCATTATATTCTCTTTTCTCTCACTTCCCACAACCTAGACATTCCAGCTTTTCTCAATATCATAGTTACTTAACTCTGACTCCTTCACAGTCAAAATCTAGGGGCAGATTTCAGGGACAAGTCTCAATGCATTTGGGAGAGATTATGGTTTCAGTCTGGGCTTAAAGTAGACAAACTGTAATGTCCATGGATGCTCTCACAGCCTCAGTCCTAAAGAAAAGTGTAGGGTTCTCCCAAGCTTCACCAAGATTACTGCTTTTTAGCAATAAAGGGCGGCCAGTGGTCTCTCACTATTAGTCTGGCCCTTTGGCTGGACTATTATCATTACCCTTTATGCTTTGAATTGTTTAGAGCTTCTGATATAGGCCATAAATGTGTAACTACTCATCCCAGTTTGTTATGCCAGTCCAATTTACCTGCTGCTGTCAGGGAAGTCCATAAAGTTTGACATTTGACATTTGAATCAGAATGTTAACTTTTCAAAAACTATTATTACTCGTTGCATTAAAATAAGCTGGGGTGGGTGGTTATGAATGTTGCAGGATCTTTGCTTTAAATTTCCAGCCTTTGTCATGGTCTTTTCTAATGGCGAGATGCATTAACATTTCCCATATGGTGTTAAATCTGAAATACGGCCAGCAATCACTTTCCCCCACCATTTTCTGATACCGGACGTAATACTTCTCTTTCAAAGATGGCATGCACATGCTTGCTGAACAAATGAAGTGTACAGGTACATGAGTGGCTAGGGACAGTTCATTCTTCCTGACCATGTCTTTTGTGAGATGCACAAAGCTGCTAGGCTTCCAGATAGTGAGGTCAGTGGGAAATGTGAGAAATTGTAGGTTAGATACAAGTGCAGGAAATACAATCTGAACAGCCTTGCTGCAACATATTTAGATAGTAGTCTGTATACTCTTTCACAGTGATTTTGTCATTTATTTTCCTGATGTAAATAAAGACTTTATTTTCTTGTGTGGTGATGCCTTTTTACTTTGCAATAAACATTTTTGGCAGCAATAAACTTTAAAAAGTTCATGTTTATAAAAATTTAAGTCCCAAATTTCCTTCTCAAGTAAGTTGATTATGAATATGTATACCACACAAAATACTGTATCCACCATGGGGACCACAGAGATGTTACTTCCAATATTAAAACTAGAAGACACGGTCTTTCTGAAGAAGTATCAGTATTACTTCAAAAGTTAGTAGCTACAGGCTGGGCGCTGTGGCTCATGCCTGTAATCCCAGCACTTTAGGAGACCAAGGCAGGCGGATCACTTGAGACCAAGAGTTCGAAACCAGCCTGGCCAACATGGTGAAACCCCGTCTCTACTAAAAATACAAAAATTAGCCAGGCATGGTGGTGGGTGCCTATAATCCCAGCTACTCGGGAAGCTGAGGCAGAGAACTGCTTGAACCTGGGAGGCAGAGGCTGCAGTGAGCTAAGATTGCACCACTGTACCCCAGCCTGGGCAACAGAGTGAGACTCTGTCTCAAAAAAAAAAAAAAAAAAGTATATGGGAGAATGTACATAGGTTACATGCAAATACTATACCATTTATATAAGGGATTTTGGTATCCTCAATGGGTCCTGGAACCAATCCCCCCCAGATACAGAGGGACTACTGTAATTTTTTTTGTATAAGGAGTATGATAAAGGTTGAGGTTATTGCACAAGGATATCCAATTTTTCCTTGGTACCTTTGTTAAAAAAAATCAATTGACTGTATATATGTGGGTCCATTTCTGGACTCTCTATTCTGTTTCACTGATGAATATATCTATCCTTAAGCCTAAACCATACAATTTTGATTACTGGTGCTTTAAACTTAAAATCAATGACAGTGAAATCTCCAGCCTTTTCTTTTTCAAAATTGTTTTGGCTATTCTACGTTCTTTCCATTTCCACATGATTTCAGTTTGTCAGCTTCTTTTTTAAAAAAGCCAGCTAGGAAGAGTTTGTATAGAACTAGTACAACGTATAAGTAAATCTATCTAGGAATACAGTTTTATTTTTGGTTTTGAGATTTTAAACCATTAATTAAATTTCTTTAAAAGACATAGGACTACTCCAGTTATCTTTTTCTTCCTGGGTGAGCTTTGGTTGTTTATGTCTCTCAAGAAATGTCATTTCAGTTGTCAAATTTATTAGCATAAATTTATTCATGTATTTATGTATTTTAATATAAAACAGTCTAAAGTCCACCAATGTATAAAACAATTTTTCAAATAAATATTTTGAAAATTAGGCTTTCTGCTCCTCCCGTTTGACAACAGCATCTTCTTGTGCAGGGCCAGCTGCACCCCTGGGACACCATGGTGAAGGTGAAGGCCAGGGTAAATGAATTTAGTTGTACTGGTCACCTGGTCACCAGGGCTGCTTTTAACTCTGGCAAAGTGGATATTGTTGCCATCAATGATCCCTTTGTTGACCTCAACTACATGGTCTACATGTTCTAGTATGATTCCACCCATAGCAAGTTCCACAGCATCATCAAGCCTGAGAATGGGAAACTTGTCATCAATGGAAATGCCATCATCATCTTCCAAGAGAGAGATCCCACCAAAATCAAATGGGGTGATGCTGGCACTAATTACATCATGGAGTCCACTGGTGTCTTCACTACCATGAAGAAGGCTGGGACTCATTTAGACGGGGGAACCAAAAAGGTCATCATCTCTGCCCCCTCTGTCGACGTCCCCATGTTTGTAATGGGTGTGAACCATGAGAAGTACAAAAACGGCCTCAAGATTGTCAGTAATGCCTCCTGTACCACCAATTGCTCAGTTCCCCTGGCCAAGGTCATCCATGACAATTCTGGCATCATGGAAGAATTCATGACCACAGTCCATGCCATCACGGACACCCAGAAGACTGTGGATGGCCCCTCTGGGAAACTATGGCACAATGGCTGTGGAATTTTCCAGAACATCATGCTTGCATCTACTGGCACTGACAAGGCTGTGGGTAAGGTCATCCCTGAGCTGAACAGGAAGGTCACTGGCATGATCTTCCATGTCTCCCACCACCACTGTGTCTGTCAGTCATGGATCTGATCTGCTATCTAGAGAAACCTGGCAAATATAATGACATCAAGAAGGTAGTGAAACAGGCTACGTGCAGTAAAACTCATGCCTGTAATTCTAGCACTTTGGGAAGACGAGGTGGGTGGATCAGCTGAGGTCAGGAGTTCAAGACCAGCCTGACCAACATTGAGAAACCCCGTCCCTACTAAAAATACAAAATTAGCTGGGCGTGGTGGCGCATGCCTGTAATCCAGGTACTCTGGAGGCTGAGGCAGGAGAATTGCTTGAACTCGGGATGCGGAGGGTGTGATGAGCCGAGATCTCGTCATTGCACTCCATCTTGGGCGACAAGAGTGAACTCTGTCTCAAAAAAACAAAACAAAACAAAACACATTGCCTCTACCTCCCCCTTTAGAGGAGCTTAGAAAAAATAAAAGTGAAAAAATCCTACTGAAATAATATCAGAAAGCACACTGTAGTCTTATATTACCTCCATTTCAAATCCAACTTTCAGAAAAGGAAGAAAACTATTTTGGGTAACCAAATAACAAGTCCCTTTTAAGTCCCAGAATTTAAAGATCACTGAAAAATGAAAATTATGTCTTGTACTCAAGATGCTCTGGAAATTATTTTTGAATTCCCACACCATTATCATTAATGGACACCAGCTGTGGGCTCACAGTATCATGGGTATATTACACAATAAAAACATAGACAGGATGTCACTGCACATATGCCATGCACACAGCTTGGTTCTAACTAGCATCACTGAGAATAGACATTTATTAAAGAAGATAGTGTAGCGGTTAAGAGCACAGGCTCTGGAGTCAGACCACCTGGGTTCCAATCTTGGCTCAGCCACCTATGCAATGTGTGACCTTGGGCAAATTATTTAAGTCCCATTTCTTCCTTTGAAATAACTCACAAAGTTGCTATGAGAATTAAACGAAATAATGAATATACAGTACTTAGTATAGTGTCTACCCCTTAGTAAGCACTCAATAAATATTAAGGATTATCACTATTGGTACTACTGAATAATTATAATGGTAAAGAGGTCCTGGTAGGACTAGGGTTTACAAAAATATATGGCACAGTTTCTCAGCTTTCAAGAACTTACAATTTAGAAATCAATTCAAAAAGCCCAAAAGGAAGGGGTAATGAAGGAAGGAAAAATAATGAAGAGTATCATTTTCCTATTAAGACCTGAAAGTTAATAAAACAAAATCACTTTAAGTCACCCAACCCAAACAGGTAAATATTTAATCGATTTAGTGTCATTTGAACACTCAACAGAGTTAATAACACTATGCATATGATGGAGGTTGAGTACGATCTAGTACACAGGTTGACTTAGACAGTTTAATATAAAAGTTTGGGACTGGGTTTATCCTTGAGAATATATTGATTTTGGTCATGATATTGATTTCATGACCCACCCATCCTTAAAGAGCCAGCTGAGAGACTGCTACCACCTACCAACCAGCTAACAGTAGTCAATAAGCATATAAACTGACCTACATTTTGTAAGAAATATTTTTAACTTTAAAGGTCAACTTATATGCAGTGCTTTAGAGTTTACAAAGTTCCTGCACTCATTACTTTTTATCTCCATAATTGGGAGATGAACATGACATCCTTCACAACAATTCTAGGGCCTTCATTCAAAACAGATGATACAGTTTGTCAGATAAGGTGACTTTATATCATTTTACTCAACCAGTTCCACTTTTTTTTTACTCTTAATGTTTTGAGATTAAAGAGTAAATATGCTATGCACTGATTGTTTTTCAAAAACAAAACTGACATTCAGAAAAATGAGGTTTTCAACTCCAGGTGCTCTGATTTGCTGTAAAGCTAAAGCATAAATTACCTTCTCAGTTTCACCTCCCACTGTCTACCCCATGTTTTCTGCTTTATCTTTTCAAGATTTTTCTCCACAGATGTAGGTGTCCAGGTTCTTGTTTTCAATTTAAATCAAAATAATTCAAGAAATACTCAATTCAATAAATCAATTCAAGAAATACCTACTAGCTCTACTAGCTCTGGGTGGCTGCTGGAGAGGTCCACAGATAGGTAAGTCTCTGCCTTCACAGAATTCACAATCTACTTTCAAAAGCTATAATACGAGGTCAAATAGTAAGGGCCACACAGTCGTTTACGATGTGATAGGGATTCAAAGATTGGAGAGCGCCCTCTGGTGGAAGGGGAAGAGATGATCAACAGAGACTTCAAGGCATTTAAATTTTACACAGAATTTCCATAGGAAGAACTGAAGGAAGACAGGCATTCTGGGGAAAAGGCATTACGCAGGAAACTAGTGGCAAGGGGGTGTTCACGGAAAAATGAGTTGTTCAGATCTATCAGAGTTGAGAGAACATGTTATGAAGGGCTTTGAATATTAGGCTGGGAGGTCCTATAGATAACTCGATATTAAATGAGTCATCAAAGTTTTTAGGCAGGAGAGTTAGGTGATAAGAACTTTACTTTGGGAAGATTCATCTGATAGAAAGTGTGTAAGAAGAGTCCAAGGGGAGACTTTGGAGTTGGAGGCCACTGAGAGGGTTACTACAATATTTTAGACGAAGTGAAACTGCTCTTTCAAGATTAAAAGTAAAGGGAAGGAGTCAGAGAGGTTGGTAGCTTAAAGGAAAAATAAAATTGGGCAAAGCTCCCCCTCAGTTCTTTTCCTTAAAGGGGCAACAAAGACCTGAGATTGTATGAAGGCAGAAAAGAAAGATTAGTAGAGAACAAAATATTATTGATGCTAGTGGGGAGAAAAAGATCAATCACTGAATTAAAGTCCAAGAAGAAGAGGGATGGAATGGACCAGGTGGAGGTATTCATTTTGAAAAGGAAAATTCCCGTAATTCAAAAGAAAGAGAGTATAAAAGGGAAAAGAGTGAAAATACATGGAAACTTATTGAGACAGAGGAAGTTGAAGAATTTATGGCAAATAATCTCAACTTTCTCAGAGAATAGGAGGCAAGCTCATTTGCATGGAGAACTGGGGAGAGACTAGGTATGTGCCATGAATTAGGTGTACTTAGAAAAGACATTGAGAGGGATATAATCATGAGCAAAAAAGTACTGGTTAAAATATTGCTTAGACACCAAAGTAAATGCAACCAAATAAAAAATAGTTAAAATGGTCATATTCAAAATGTAAAGACTTTTGTGCTTCAGAGGACACTGACTTAATCAGTGTTAGGCTGCTATAACAAAATACCATAGACTGAGTAGTTTATAAACAGTATAATTTATTGCTTACAGTTCTGGAAGCTAGAAGTCCAAGATCAAGGCACCAGCAGATTTGGTGTCTGGTGAGGGCCTGTTCCTCATGGATCATGCCGTGTTGCTGCATCCTCAGAGGGTGGAGGGCAGAGACAAGCCCCTTGAGCCTCTTTTATAGGCATACTAATCCCATTCATGATGGTGGAGCCCTCATGACCTAATCACGCCTAAAGGCCCCAACTCTTAATACTACAGCATTGGGGATTATTTCCAATATATAAATTTGAGGGAAATATCAACATTCAGACCATAGCAGACACTACCAAAAAAGTGAAAACACAACCCACAGAATGAGAGAAAATATTTGCAAATTTGATATCTGATAATCATCTGGCACCCAGAATATACAAAGAACTCTTAAAACTCAGCAATGAAAAACCAAATAATGCAATTTAAAAATAGGCAAAGATTGAAACAGATATTTCTTCAAGTAAATACAAATGGCCAATAAGCACATGTAAAGATGCTCAACATCATTTATCATTAAAGAAATGCAAATCAAAAACACAGTGAACTATTCCTTACCTACCAGGATGGTCATAGTAAAAAACACAAATGGACATAATAAAAAATAACAAGTGTTGCTAAGAGTGCAAAGAAACTGGAACTCTCACATATTGCTGGTGGTAATATAAAATGGTTCAGCCATTTTGGGAAACAGTTTGGCAGTTTCTCAAACAGTTAAATATAGAGTTACCATATAACCCAGCAATTAATTTCATTCCTATATACCCAAGAGAAATGAAAACATATAGCCACACAAACTTGCGCACAAATGTTCATAGCAGCATTATACATGATAGCCAAAAAGTGGAAGCAACTTAAATGTCTATCACTTGATGAATGAGTAAAGAAAATGTGGGATATCCATATAATTGAATATTATTTGCCATAAAAATGAAGTACTAACATTAATACATGCTGCAGTATGGATGAATCTTTAAAACATTATGCTAAATGAAAAAAGCCAGACACAAAAGGCCACTTAGTGCAGAATTCCGTTTATATGAAATGTCCACAATAGGCAATTTGATAGAGAAAGAAAGCAGATTAGTGGTTTCCAGGGGCTGAGGGAATGGGAAAATGGGAGAGTGCAGAGTGACTGCTAATGGGTACGAGATTCCTTTTTTGCAGTGATAAAAATGTTCTGAAATTACATACTGGTGATGTTTGTACAACTTTATGAATACTAAAACCCACTGATTTGTATACTTTAAACAGGCAAATTTTATGACATGTGAATCTTGTGTTGAAAAGATTGCTAGCAAGTTTAGATGACCTGTATTTTGTTCCAGATCTATTCAGAATGGAATCATGATTTTCTCAGGCTACAACACATCATAGAAGTCAGATGTGAGGGTTACTGTGAATAAGGTATTGGGAAGGCAGGAAGGCAGAGTCAAGGAATGAATAGCACATTGCTGAAATTGATATCTATAAAGCCCAGGCTCTTTCAAAATCCAATAATAAAAACACAAACAATCCAATTAGAAAATAGGCAAAAGACATACAAAGACATTTCACCAAAGAGGATATACTGATGGCAAATAAGTACATGAAAAGATGTTCAATAACATTAGCATTAAGGAAAGGCAACTTAAAACCATGAAATATCACTACACACCTATCAGGATGGCTAAAATAAAAAATAGTGACAACACCAAATGCTGGCAAGGATGCAAAGAAACTGAATTATTCACACATTGTCAGTGGGAATGTAAAATGGTACAGCCACTCTGGGAAACAGTTTGGCAGTTTCTTACAAATCTAAACATGAAACTACCACATAACCTAGCATTACATTCCTAGGCATTTATCCCAAAGAAATGAAAACCTATGCTCACACAAAAACCTTTACACAAATGTTCATAACAGCTTTATTCATAATAGCTGAAAACTGGAAGCAATCCAGATGTACTTCAACAGGTAAAGGTTAAACAAACTGTTATACCATGGAATACTACTCAGCAATAAAAAAAAAACTGTTGATACACTCAACAACCTACATTAATCTTCAGGAAATTATGTGGAGTGAAAAAAATCCCAAAAGGTTATAAATGGTATGATTCAATTTATATGACATTCTTGAGATGACTAAATTATAGAAATGGGGAAAGGATTAGTAGTTGCCAAGTGTCAAGGATGAGAGGGTGAGAGGTGTCTATAAAAGGCAATAGGAGGGATCATCATGGTGACGGAAATGTTCTACATCCTGACTGCAAGCATCATTGTCAGTATCTTGACTATGATATTGTGCTGCAGTTTTGCAAGATGTTACCATAGGGAAAAACTGGGTAAAAGATACATAGGCTCTCCTCTTTGTATTATTTCTTACAACTGCATGTAAATCTACAATTATCTCAGTTTAATTTTTAAAAAATAGCTCAGGTTAAGGGGGAGGCAAGACAAATCAAAATCTGGCATGCAGTTTTCATATTCATAAGAGGATTATAATAACTACTAAGGAAATTTTTTAAATGTATACAAAGTAAGGAGATTTGGGAACACAAGGTCTCTTAATGACAAATGGTAATTTAATATTACTTCTACCACTATTGAAATGGCTTAGGAACTACAAATGGCTAACCATTTCCAGAGGATTTATTCTCAAGGGAATGTGATGGCATAAGTGCCTCAAAGGGTAAATTAATGATACCTGAAACCCATAGGAAACCAGGGCTGGGTGCAGTGGCTCATGCTTGTAATCCTAGCTCTTTGGGAGGCCAAGGTGGGAAGATTGCTTGAGTCTAGGAGTTCAAGACCAGCCTGGGTGACAGACCAAAACCTTATTTATAAAATAAAAATAAGAAAAAAAAAAAAGGCAGATCCTCTAATGCAAGCTAGGCCCTCTCATTGAGAGTCTGCTTCTGTTCCAGAATGCTTGAACAAATAATGCTTGAACAAAAGCTTAAAGAACAAATCACAAAAGAATGGATCTAACTAATAGTTATGTGAATTAGAGATCTGCAGCTATAGCACATAAGTTAGCAAAACTACCTCCAGATTTGAATCTCACCTCACCAATACTGTGTGACCTCAGATAAGTAATCTGTGGAGCCTCAGCTTCCTCAAATATTATAAGAATCAAAGAGATGATATATACGCCACACTTGACATGGTAGCTCCATAAGCTCAATAAATGTTTGCTATTATTAATAATCAAAAGGGGCTAGAGTAATTAACTTATGTAGTCCAACATTTCCTGCATGAAAGGAATCACTCAACAACATTCTTAACATCCTATCCAACCTTTACCTGAACATAGCTACTGATAGGTAACTCACTGCTTTTCAAGGCAATCCATTCCAATGTTAGGCAGCTACAATGGCTAGAAAGTTGTTCCTTCGATTTTTGTCCCAAATCATCTCTGTAACTTTCAAACGTTAGTCTTGGTTCTGCCTTTTTAAGCTGCCAAAAAAGGTCTGGCCCCTCTTCTGCACAGCATATCACATGTTTGGCACCTGCTATCCCATTGCCTGGCATATTTGGAAACTAGTCTGTAGTCTGCTCCTCTCTCTTCATGTGACCCAAGACACATCTCTCTGAGCCTGCTTCCTCAACTTGAAAGTCAGGATTTCAGATCAAATAATCTCTCAGGCTTTCTTCTCCCAGAAGCAAGAGCTATACTTTTACTTATGTCTTTGCCCAGTTATTCTGATTCATCCTCCCAGGTCAGTTTTCAGTCCCCACATCCACTTGGTGCCTTCCTCTGAGTACACCCTAGCTGGTTAGCATCTTTCTTAAAATTTGATGCCCAGAATAGAACACAAAACTAAAGTTCTCACACCTGTAATCCCAGCACTCAGGGAGGCTGAGGAGGAAGATCATCGGATCCCAGGAGGTCAAGGATGCAGTGAGCCATGATGGTGCCACTGCACTCCAGCCTGGGTGACAAAGCAAGACCCTGTCTAAACAAAACAAAACAAAACAAAACAAAACAAAACAAACTAAAGTTCTGGCAACAGTAGTCAAGTGTACTATAAAACTCTCTCCTCCCTACTTAATACAATTTAGTTTAAGCATTTGGGACTAACATTTTACCACCTTGCTTTACGGTGAGCTTACAGCTAATTATAAACTTGGGGTCTCTTCCCATAAAATGCTGTGTTCTCTATCATGGGTATCCAGAGTTGATTTTTTGAACCTAAGTTCATGATTTTATGTTTATTTATGGTTAATGTACTCTTTTCCATCTCTTCCATCATTTCAGCCTATGAAGCTACATTGGACTCTTGTGTTATTCATTGCATTAGTCAAAGTACATTGACTATATTCTTAATAATTAAGAAAATATTTTTAAAATCGTTTAATATTCCACTATATACACAAGTGCTTGTATACAAAAAATGTTTCCTTACTATTGATGCTGAGACGGAATCTTGCTCTGTCACCCAGGCTGGAGTGGAGTGGTGCAATCTCGGCTCACTGCAACCTCTGCCTCCTGGGTCCAAGTGATTCTCCTGCCTCAGCCTCTTGAATAGCTGGGATTACAGGCGCCCACCACCATGCCTGGCTAATTTTTGTATTTTTAGCAGAGACGTGGTTTCACCATGTTGGCCAGGCTGGTCTCTAACTCTTGACCTCAGGTGATCCACCCACCTTGGCCTCCCAAAGTGCTGGGATTACAGGTGTGAGCCACCCCACCCAGCCGAGTTCTTAAAACTTTAAAATTTTTCTTAAGGGTTCTGATTGTACAAACAGACAAAACATGCTTTAGACCTATCGACCTCGTAAGTTCTTTTTTAAAGATTCTAAAACTTAACAGTTTCTAAGTATGACGTACAACAGTCAAAATAAGGAACAGGGTATGCCTCTCAGTGTGTTGGAACTGCCTGATAGAAAAGAACCCACTCCACACTACCATATAAATGTTTGTACCTTTTTGCTACTTGTTATAACAGCAAATGATTCTCCCTTGTTAATACAGTAAGAGATTTTGAAACACAGCTAGACTACCTTGCCCTCTCAAGGTGGAAAAAAAAGATTACTATAAAAATTTGCTGTTACAGACAATTTAACCAGCTTTAAAATGCTTTAGAATTATTACTGCTTACCTCCATTATGAAGCCTTCCAGTGGAAAGTTCTGGATGTTTTTGCTTTTGTAGGACACCAGAACATACCATGCTGTATTCCTTTATGTCATACTAATATTCATATGAAGACTGTGCTCAGATTGAAAGAAACTCTTTCAACTAATTGGATTATGATTCTAGATGGCAAATATTGTCCCTTTCAAAGATAAAATTGTCCCAAATTTGCGCTAGCAATAAAAAAAAACAAACTGTGTTTTCCATTATCTATGTTTTATACCTGAATAAAATGAAAGATCAAGGCTGGACACAGTGGCTCACACCTATAATGCCAGCACTTTGGGAAGCCAAGGTGGGAGAATTTCTCAAGGTCAGGAGTTCAAGACCAACCTGGGCAACATAGTAAGACCCCATCTCAATTTTTAAAAAATGTTTTTAATAGTTGGGCATGGTGGCACACACTGGAAGTTCCTGCTACTTGGGAGGCTGAGGCAGGAGGGTTGCCAGAGCCTGGGAGTTAAAGGTTAGAGTGAGCTATTGATCATGCCACTGCACTCCAGCCTGGGTAACAAAGCAAAACTGTCTCTAAAGAAACAAAACTAAAAATTTTAAGATAAAAAATAGTAAAAGTCCATATTTCAGGTAAATCTTACGTATTCCTCTCCCTATTGCATGATTTCCTGTTTATTTGCCTGTTCCAGAGTTTCAAATTCCTTTTCTTGACCCTTCCAGACACTCTGCACACAAAAACATACGTGTATAAGAGCAAACTTAATATTCAGCCCAAACACCTTAAAGTTAATTACTAATATTTATAATGATGTGGGTGTTTGCATATAATTATTGTCCATAAGTGCTGTAGCAAATGGATTAATATATTAATTTGAAGACTGCCTGCTAAATGGATAAGGACTTGTAATTAATTTTTTTTGGAACAATCAAATTATACTGACTACCTATTATATTCTGACATGTTAATAATAGCAGAAATGCAAAACATCATGGACATAGGAATCTTGATCCACTTCAAATCCTTGACCTGGCCCTGACTGCATAGTTTCATCCTTGGTTTTCTTTATAGGCCTTACAAAGGCTGATCCCACTGCCCACAAGGGTCACTCTCTAATGGATGCCTAGTCCTGATCTCAAGTTAATAACATGCACTCTCAAGCCATTCCCTCTCCTGGGGCCATAAGGAGGGGGTTCCCACATCCTTCCCAGACAAAAACAAGTCCTCTATGACACCTATTCATATGAAATTTTTAAAATCTAATAGAATTTTGCAGCTTACGACAATAAAACATTGGTATGAACTGTGAGTTAGATCATGGGGATATGTAATGACATTATATATAACTAGATATAATACAGTATTTGTTAAATGGGATTCTATCCATAAATTCTGTCCAAATTTATGTTAACAGTAATCCAACACCATGTATTCTTAAAAAGGAGCCAAGAACTTAAGGCCTCATTCTAGAATACCCTCTCCAAGCCCTATCCTATATATCCATCCTAAATAGACTCTGAACTGGGAATCAATTAGTTTGGCTTTGCAGGTAAGTCATTTCTACCTAACTCCTGAAGCATTACCATGTTTATCTATAAAATGAGTAGTTTAGACAATATTATTGATTTTTAGTCTGCGTGTTCAGAATCATAGAAGCCCCCCCAAAGTAATAATTGGGCCTGGAAGTTATTTTTATTTCAAAAAGCTTATTTGTTACACAAATATCTTTTTTTTCTTTTTTCTGAGCTGCAGCTAACCAACTGTAATTTTCTCATATTGACCAGAAGTCCTGGTTGGCTTTGGTCAGTAAAATTAGGAAACAAATGAATTATTATTTAATCAATAGAGAATAATAAATATTTCAAAATATGGAGGCCATGAGAAACAGAAATAATTAACATGATCTTTGGCAGGAGAAAAAATGGAAATCACAGAGCTGAATTTTTTTTTTGTTTTTTTTTTCTTGAGACAGAGTTTTGCTCTGTCGCCCAGGCTGGAGTGCAGTGGCACCATCTTGGCTCACTGCAACCTCCGCACCTCACCCCCCGGGTTCAAGTGATTCTCCTGCCTATTCTTCATCTAATATTTACTGTATACTTTTTCCTGTACCAGGTTTTTCACTAGGTCTTAGGGTTACAGGGATATCATTGAGAAGTCCATGGCCACAGTTCAATAAAGGGGATGAGGTACCTTCTAGCTGCTATGGAAGGTCTATTTATTTGTTAATGGAGAAGTTAGTTGCTATAAGAAACTTTTAAACTTCCTCACAAGGGGTACAATACCTCCTGCCTGCTTTTCATAGTGACGTCAGCTTTAGTGCCATCACCAGGCATTTCTTAGGTCTGCATTTCAGAGGTCTAGTACTAATAACCTAAGCACTAAGGAAAAGACCATTGGGGTCCCTCTGAGCTATAAGGTGAAGCTAGTGCTTGGGCAGCTCTGGGTGATGAGCAGCCATTACAGTGCCTTTCCCGGTCCAGGCCAGCTCTTAGCACAAGTGACTCCTGAGGGAAATGGCTGATTACTTGGCTCTGAATAGTATAAAATAGAACATGTTTGCTTCTTCATTCCACATAATAAATTTCTTTTTAAAAAATCACATAGGCCTTGGAGGGTTTCTAAACATGGCTGGTTTGATACAGAGCCATCATAAGTAGACCCAGAAAATATCCTCTCCCTGGCTTGAACATCAACAATTTTAATGAATTGGATGGGAAATGAGGTCTTAGCCAAATAGATCTCAACTGGAAATTCTAAAGTGGTGCCAATTTTGAAGGAAAATGAATAAATTTCTTCAAACAAGAGACTGCTCAACTCTTGAACAGTCATAGTTTATTACAAATATTAAAGGAGTTAAGGAGATGTAAGTTTATTAAGCCCCTATTTCCATCATTAAAAAAAAGTTTCCCCTCTTAATTTAAGTGAGTCCTGTCTCAACCTTTTTGACATTTATAATACAAAACACTCCATTGTAAATACTCAAATGATGGTATAAATATAGGGAATTTCTCCCTATTTTAGACAGTACTTTCCTTTTAACTTAGGGTTTAGCAAATCAAAGAAAACAGGTATGTATGTAGCCATGGAAGCATTCAGAGTTGCCTCCCCTGCATATTCTCTGTTTGACTCATTTTTTCTATAGACGTTCCACAGGAAAAGGAGTGTTCCAACTAAAAACCAAAAAACTATCCAAATTCAATTATTCACTCCCCTGATATGAGAGCAGGAGCTCGTGAAAGCACAAGTCCCGACAAGCAGAGGAAAACACTCAGATAAATGAAAAGCTCTATGATTGCCATTCTAACTGGTGTGAGATGGTATCTCATTGTGGTTTTGATTTGCATTTCTCTGATGGCCAGTGATGATGAGCATTTTTTCATGTGTTTTTTGGCTGCATAAATGTCTTCTTTTGAGAAGTGTCTGTTCGTGTCCTTCGCCCACTTTTTGATGGGGTTGTTTGTTTTTTTCTTGTAAATTTGTTTGAGTTCATTGTAGATTCTGGATATTAGCCCTTTGTCAGATGAGTAGGTTGCGAAAATTTTCTCCCATTAAAAAGTCAGGAAACAACAGGTGCTGGAGAGGATGTGGAGAAATAGTAACACTTTTACACTGTTGGTGGGACTGTAAACTAGTTCAACCATTGTGGAAGTCAGTGTGGCAATTCCTCAGGGATCTAGAACTAGAAATACCATTTGACCCAGCCATCCCATTACTGGGTACATACCCAAAGGACTATAAATCATGCTGCTATAAAGACACATGCACACGTATGTTTATTGTGGCATTATTCACAATAGCAAAGACTTGGAACCAACCCAAATGTCCAACAATGATAGACTGGATTAAGAAAATGTGGCACATATACACCATGGAATACTATGCAGCCATAAAAAATGATGAGTTCATGTCCTTTGTAGGGACATGGATGAAATTGGAAATCATCATTCTCAGTAAACTATCGCAAGAACAAAAAACCATATACTGCATATTCTCACTCATAGGTGGGAATTGAACTATGAGATCACATGGACACAGGAAGGGGAACATCACACTCTGGGGACTGTTGTGGGGTGGGGGGAGGGGGGAGGGATAGCATTGGGAGATATACCTAATGCTAGATGATGAGTTAGTGGGTGCAGTGCACCAGCATGGCACATGTATACATATGTAACTAACCTGCACAATGTGCACATGTACCCTAAAACTTAAATTATAATAATAAAAAAGAAAAGAAAAAAAAAAAGCTCTATGAACAAGTATAGAGGCTTTCTGGTCTCCAGACTTAAAATGATACCTCTTATAGTCATCTCTCAGTCTGAGATGTCCAGAAATGGGTATCTTAGAGTGACCCACAGTTGTTACCAAAAATCTCAATTCAACCATCACATGTATTCTCAGAAATGCCAGATTCATCTGCTTGGCTAGCACAGATTTATTCTTGGATATAGACTGCTATAGGGAAATGTTGTGATGTCTGAAATAACAACACTCTCGCCTTGATACTTTCCCCAGAAAACATTTCTTTTGCTCACTCTCTTGGAACATTTTCCCTGGGGAAATCTATAAGTCAAGCATAACAGGTTATGACATATCCATGTCAATGGGTAACTGAATACATTTTAGGAATAAATTGTCATTACCTATCATGCCTTAATGTTCATGTAAATCAAAGAAACTACTTTCCACTTAAAACACACAGAAACTATTATTTTTCCTTTTCTTCTCAAGAGCTATGGTGTACTACTCTGGAGTAGGAATATTACTAGAGTAGCTTGAGGATTTGTTTGTTTCTGAGAAAAATCATTACAAAGAAATGGGCACTTATTTAAAATGTTCTTAAACACATGGAGAATATATTCAACTGCATTGTCAAAAAACTAAACCAAAACTGTAAGAGATTACAAAAAGAAATGATAAATAACTGCAAGATTAAAAAAGAAGACAACAATGACTGCAGCATGCTTAAGTTCAAAGCAAAAGAAATTTGATAATTCAAATAAATACAAATATTGATGGGAAAATACTAACTTTTTACCTTTTAATAAAAATGAGTGAATCCAGAAAATTCAAAAAAATGTGATCACTAACAAATTTAGTAAGCACCTTTCCTTCAAACAGATAGGGGAGGAAACGAAGTGACTGGATGTATGAAGTAACTAAGCCAGAAAAGTTCCTTCAAATACTACCTATTATTGAACAAGAAAAAACAGACATAAAATTCTTATTAAAATTTCACTAAAAAACAATTATCAAACATCTGCTATGGAAAGTAACTGTGCTAGATTACATGAAGCTCATGAAGATGAGAAGGACTTATCTAAAAGCTCTCATGATTTATACATCCTTAAATAACAAAAGGTAGCCCCTGAAGATTTGGATTTTTACAGCTTGTTAAAGTGGTTAAACTATGTATATTTTTTATGTCTATATTACATACATATCTTATACATTGCAGAATAAAATCCCCAAAGCTTATTCATTTACAAAGCAAAAAATAAGATTATTGAGAATGGGTGGGAGGGGAGTCAATCTAAAACCTTTGCTAAAGGCAAATGCTGAATAGCTGAATGCTTTCCAATCAAACTTTTAAAAAATTCAAAAGGCATGATAACTGTTTTTTCAAATGTGGTTTCCTTCTTTTTCTCTACAAAGAAAATATCTTTTCAAATTCTTTATCCTGTAATCTTTTATTCCCCCTAAGGGTTTAAATAATACCATGTAGCCCTATACTGGCTTAAATTATCAGACCCTGCCATTTATCCTAAACTTAGATGAACTAGAGAGGATTACTTCAAAAGGAGTTTTTATATAAAAATGTCATAGAGGACTTCCTATAAAATACTTCAAAGACCACAAGTAAAAGTATGTTACTGTCCTATAATTCACATAGAATCTCAAGAATCCCAGAGTCAAAACAATCTTATAAAAGAAAAGCAAATTGATGTCTCACATTTCCTGATTTCAAAACTTACTAGAAAGCTACCATAATCAAAACAGTGTGGTACTGTACTGCATAAGAACAGACATATAGACCAAAGGAATAAAATAGAGCCCAGAAATAAAACATTATGCTATGAGAAATAAGCCAATGGCCAAATTATTTTTCAACAAGAATGCCAAGACCATTTAATGGGTAAAGGAAGTCTTTTCAACAAATGGCTTTGGGATATCCACATGCAAAAGAATAAACTTGGATCCTTATGTTATACAATATACAAAAATTAATTCAAAGTGCATCAAAGATCTACATATAGGAGCCCAAACTATAAAACTCTTAGAAGAAAACATAGGGAAAAAATTTCATGCCATTAGATTTGGAAATTTCTTAGACCACCAAAGCAAAAACAGATAAATTGGACTTCATCAAAATTAACAAAGGGCACTATCAAAGTCTGCCAAAGGACATAATCAACAGAGTAAAAGGCAAGCCACAGAATGGGAGAAAATATTTGCAAATCACATATCTAATAAGCAATTGACATTCAGATATATAGAGAACTCCTATAACCCAATAACAAAAAACATCCCAATTAAAAAATAGGTAAAGGACTTGAATAGATATTTCTCCATCAAAGATAAACAGATGGCCAATAAGCACACGAAAAGATATTCAAAATCACTAATCCATTAGGAAAATGCAAATCAAAATTACAGTGAGATACCACTTCACACCTATTTGGATGACTATTATCAAAAAAAAACCCAAAACAAGGTAACAAATGTTGTCAAGGATATGGAGAAATTAGAATGCCTGCACTTTCCTCGTGGGAATGTAAAATGGTGCAGCCACTGTGGAAAATAGTATAGTGGCTCCTCAAAAAAGTAAACATAAAAGTATCATATGATCCAGCAATTGAGCTGGGTGCTGGTCTACCTGGCCTGTAGTCCCAACTAAGTGGAAGGCTGAAGCAAGATGATCCATTGGAGCCAAGGAGTTCAAGGCCAGCCTGGGCAACATTGAACTTGTCTCTTAAACAATAAAACAAAACCCATCTGGGTAAGTATACCCATATGATAACTATACCCATATGATCTAGCAATTGCACTTCTGGGTATATACCCAAAAGAACTGAAAGCAGGGACTTCAATGGATATTTGTACACCCATGTTCATAGCAGTATTATTCACAATAGGCAAATAGTGGAAACAATCCAAATGTCCATTGACTGATGGATAAACAAAATGTGGTATATACACAAAATGGAATATTGCTCAGCCTTGAAAGGAAATGGAATATTATTCAGTCTTAAAAAGGAAGGCAATTCTAACTCATGCTACAAGATGGATGGACCTTGACAACACTATTCTTGGTGGAATAAGCCAGACACAAAAGGACGAATATTGTATGATTACACTTATATGAGGTATCTAGAATAAATTCACAGAGACAGAAAATAGAATGGGGAGCTACTATTTAATGGATACAGAGTTTCAGTTTGGGAAGATTTAAAAGTGCTGGGGATGAATGGCAGTGATGTTAGCACAACAATGTGAATGTTGTTAATGCCACTGTACTTTATACCTAAAAATGGTTAAAATGCTTATGTTATATATATATTTTACCACAACTAAAAAAAGTGAAGCATGTGACTGAGGCTATAAAGGAATAAGAAAATAAAACTTTTTATCTCCTTTAATTTTGTTTGAATTTCCAAACCCAATTTTAAATTAAGAGTTCATATATGCATTCTTTGTCTTCCAAAATTTGACAGTACTGTGTTTTACAATCTGTCCTTGTCATAAAGGGTTTGTAGGTATATGGGATTATGTACGTATATATAACAATGATCAGTTCTCGTGTGTGCCTAAAACACCTGAATTCTACATTTGCAACCCAAATAAATGATAGCTTTGAGAAAACACTCCATTTTTGTATGTGTATCTACATTTCTAAATCTACCTTTGAAGTAATCAGAAATGGAAAGTTTACATTTCTCTACTCAAAAGTTGATGGGAGAGGTCCAAAAGGCAGTTGACTACTCAGATCTGGGGCTTACAAGAGAAAATGAGACTAGGAAAAGACGTTTAGGAGTCTTCAGACATAGGAGTATTATTTTGTACCACTTTCTGGTATGCTTATTGTTTGTATACTTGTCTCTTTCTCCATAATAGATTATACACTCTTAAAAGGCAATGAAACACCTCACTCAGCTATTTGTTCCATGCAGCATTAGCACATCATTTTTAACAGAACAGGTAGGTCTTCAATAAATTTTTTAAAAATTGAACTGAATTGAGTCCTAGACAGAGAACCCTCAAGTCTTTCTCCAGCTGGTCTACCTAGATGTGAAATTTATGAATTTCCTCTAAATCTTGGCTAATCATTTTGGTTCATTTGCAAATGGAAGGTCAGAGGTTTGCGACTAGGCCATAATGCCTATATTTCAGTCTCCATTTTACTATATGAGCATCATTCAATAAATAATACAAATGAGATTTTTTTTGTTGTTGTTCATTTGGCACCATACTCTCCTTGCATACCTACCCCACTGAGGATCATGGCATAGAGATTCACAGCCAAAAATAAGGCAGGAGGTCAAGGAAGGCTCCTTATGCAGGAAGGATATTCCCTCCTTCCCTTTTGGGAACACTTCAACTAACCCTATTTTAGTTTGGCTGCTTTGCCTCATTTCTAAAAAAAATTCATTACACTCCATAGCCCTTCCCTTGATGCCCTAGTTAATTAAGTTTACATAATTTCCTACTGATTAGTTTTGAACAGCTTGTTCTGGATTTTCTCTCCTTTAATTTTCTGTCTTTACTGACTGCTTAAAATCCTCAACTATGAACTTGGGAAAGTCTATGTGTTACCACAAAGTTCTCTGTTACACATACAGAAAGAAAAGCAAATCGGCATTGTGATTCATAAAGAGATCTGGGATCAACTATTTCAGGAAACAGAAACTTTTAGGTGGAATCCAGTAACAAGCCAGAAATAATAAACACCAGGAAGACACAAGTTATATTCTTTCACACACAAAAATGAACTATGGTCCAGTCGTTTACTTATATTTCACGTTTACTGAGATCCTATGGGATTCTTTCTCTGTGCTTTGGAACTCAGAGGATTAATAAAAAGAATTATTAATATGTATTTAAAATTATTGTTCAAACTGATTTATATCCTCCTCAAATAAAATTCTGAACTGACATTTTGTCTGCATTTTGGGGCCATAAATGAATAGCTTACAAGGTAATTTAAAAATCTACCCATTTTGGCCATTTTTGTGGCTAATGTAAATTGCGACATAACCAGTGAAAGTTTCTAATAATGGAAATAGTGAAAATTAACAGGTCAGCTGTGCCACAATCTGGTCCATCTGCTACATATAGACAGCCTCAGAGGACAATGAAGAAGAAAAGTGAACCCAAAACGTCAACACCAATATCCTAAGGCCTTTCATGATCCAAGAAATGGCAATTGGCTGTGAAATTATTCTGAGACCTGCTTTTCCCAAAAATTCTTTCATTTTCTTGGTACTTTAGGGACAGTAGAACAATTTATTTTCAAAAATAAATTGAATTTTTTATTTTTATAAATACCAAAATTCTTATGACTGTTCAAAATTTCACACAAATTCTTTCTTGCTCACATTAACTCTACAAAACAAAGGTAAGGGTCCCCATACGCCACTAGCTCATATCGGAACACAGAGGGGAAAAGTTGAGTTTAAAGGTTGCAGCAAATCTCCTTCAAAAACACTCTATCTGCTAATCGAGAATAAGTCTGCACTGGCAAAACCAAACTAATATATTTTTAAATGTATTCTCAAATGACTTTTCTGGTGGTGAGATACTCTCCACCCCATATATTGAACTATGCTAGGTCAGCCAGTATTCTTGCTATGTGACAATCAGTCCTCCTCCCTGGAGAGACCAGGTGTTTGATTTCTGGTGATTTTGTCCATAATTGACAGCCAAATATGCTGTTTTGTACAAATTGCATTCAGTATTCTTTCATTTCTATTGAAGACTCCCTTGTTTTATATGCCAAGAAATTCTATGAGACAGGAAGTTCCTTTAAAATTTGTTTTAAAAAATCAGTTTCCACAAACAGTCTGAAGATATTTTTTTAACTCAGACATACATAATCATTTCCTAAAAGCATAGCTGAAGGTCATATTACACAGTGATGAGATGTCAAGGAAAGGAATACATACATTTCAATTTGCAAGCTCACAAATAAATGTTGGTACTTAGAGGAAAAAAATCACAGGCTTGGGAATGAAAGATAAGATATGAAACACTAGCTAATTGGCTAATTCACAAGGATAGCTTCTCCTTGGAACAAGCATAATTCCTATTATGATAAGCACTTTGCAGGTGTACTGAAGGAAGAAGAGATAAAGTTTGCCAATTAAGTCAGTGTTTTCCCAAGTGAATTCTGACTCCAACAATGGTACCAAAGGAGTGTGATGCAATTATGAACCTAAATTTCACAGGATTTTGTGCTGAAAATACTCTGTACGTGATTCACTGAAAGTGCTCATAATTCATGACAAGCTTCTCAAACACTTTCTGATTATATGCCTTAAAAGACAGATTAAAATGCCCTTCTTTTACCTTTGGACCTCAGTGGTCATATATAAATATCACAGGATATTTCATGTGATTTTTAGAAAGTGAAAAGAGAACTGGAAATATGCAAATATCCTACTCTCTTTGGTATGCTAGGAAGAAGATGAAGACATGTAATCTCACAGGACAAATCTATATGGTCCCATTTCTTCTAAATGCATCCACTAAAGCAAGAAAATTTATTTGATAAACTCCTCTTAAAATATTTAAAACAAGGATCAAGATTAGATTTCATTTTCTCATGCCAGTCTTGCATGGTTACTAATTGTAATATTTTAATGCTATGTGTTTAAATTTGGAGGACAGAATTGCTGTCCATTCATAGTCTGGAACAATTGTTTCTAACCTCTGTGATCCTGCTCAAGCTTCACTACTGGCTGATATACACCTAGCCGAGCTTCAACTGAACCCAGGATTTTTTCCCCCACTGCTTTTATTTCATTGTTCTTGAATGTCTTACTGCTTTTACTGTTATTGATGTTAGAAGTTACAATGCCTTGCTGTTTAATGCATTTGTTGTTTGTGTTAACCATTCAAGACGCTGAGATAAAAGTGGACTTGGAATAAAACGGGACACATGGGATCAAACTATGGAAATAATAAAACATTCAAAAACAATGATAAAAGCAAACAGAGAAAAGACATAAAGACATACACAGTTTAAAAGCCATTGTGTGTTAAATCAGTGGTTCATTCAGTTCAATATCTTCTTTCTGTCAGCAGCACCAGGGTAAGTTTTGTAGTAAAGCTTGTCATTTGTACTGTTTGATCTTATCCTCAAAAGGCTTGAAAGGTATCCTGAACATACCTACCTTTCATTAATAATACATTAAGGATGTGGTCATAACCTAGTCTTGGACCTGTCAGTTTTTCCATCCAGTAAATTATTTTTATCTTAATTATTAAAATGAATAATTCCATTATTTGTCTTAAAACAATAGGGAATCTAGTTCCAACTCTGCCACTGACTGGCTATTTGACCTTGGGCAATGTTTAATAACCTCTGTATCTGAATGTCCCACCTATATAATGAGGCGGCTAATCTCAAATTTTATGTTTTGACTACCAAATTTCAAGAAGATGATAACACACCTATCTTTACATTATACATACCCCCTGTTTTGCAAGCTGTAAACTTCTTCTCCCTTTGTTTTCTCTAGCCTTCAAAGAATCAATCTCTCATGGTAGAAAGAGACCGCAGAAATCACCTAATACAACCCATGGGATGCCTGAATCACCATTACAGAATTCCCCACTACCAGTCATCTTGCTCCTGTTTGGATACTATTATTGTTGGAGAGTTTTATGAACTCCCGAGGCAGCCCACTTTATTTTCAACTAATGCCAACTGTTAGAAATTCTTCTGATATGAATTCAGATATAAATGTTGATATAAATCTATCTCCTTGCAACTTCCTGGTTCTTCCCTCTGGGGCAACACAGCACAGACTTAAACCTTTTTTGTATATTATCCACATGATAGACCTTCTAATACTGGAGGAAGCTGTCACATTCTTATAAGTTTTCTCTCTTCTCCAGGCTAATAATCCTTTAGCTTTTATTCCATTGAATTGTACACTTTAAATTTAAATTGTACACTTTAAATGGTATGTGTTGTATCTCAAATTTGTTTTTTAAAAAGAACTATAGAAATGTAAGACACTTCAATTGTTATATCTCTAGTGAAAAACTGACAGCAGCTCCAACAATACATCCCTGAGCTATGAAACTCAGAGGCCACCATTCCCCATGGGCAATTATAATTCTGCCAAAAGATCGTGACTTTGATATACAATCTGGGGAAGCAATCTGGGGGTGTGGTATAAACCACATCCAGATATCATTACACACAAATGACTGTGATCTGAGCACCAAGAGATTTACCTATGGAAATCTAATATGGCTACCAGGAAATGTTCCCCTACGTACAAACTTCACTCAGCAGCTGTCATTTATATAGATTCTTATTTGGCAATTGCAACAATCAGTTTGTTGTGAATTTTAAAAGGTGAACAGGTATTCCAAATAAACAATGTGGTTTGGAGAATATTCATTAAATAGATATTATATAAGCACTATGTTCTAGAGCCTAGGAATATAAAGATACACTGAACTCACTTCTAGCCCTAACTCCTATTTGAGAAGCAAAGTGGAAAGACAGGAGATTAGACAAGAAATATAAAAAAGACTTATTTCTGTCAATAGGGTAGACCAGATAACCTAAAAAGCCTCTGCCAACAAAACTCAAAGAAACTTCAGAATAAAATATAGCAAACATTTTTTAAAAATACATAGCTAAGTTTTCAAGAAGATAAGGCAACGACTCATAGGTCAAAGTAGAAAAATTAAGTAAGAAAACAGAAGAGAAAGCAAATGACCTGATACTATGGCAGCCCTGTGGGTGGTTAGGATGCCAATACTGGTCTTGATAAGGAGCCACATAGGGCAAGAGAAGCCAAAGAGGGGTATCTCAAACCAAGTCTGGGCATTATCTTATAGGCATAGAGAGTTGTAAGAAAATATAAAATAGGGAAGCAATGGTTAATTTTGCATTTTAGAAAAATTACTCTACCAGCAGTATGGCTAATGAATTTTGAGGTAACCAAACCTGAGGAAGAGAGACAAGTTAAAAGATTATTAATAATCACAAACATTTATTGAGCCCTATTATGCAATCAGAAGGCTAAGAGCTTTATATGTATTATCTCAATTATGACAACCCCATATATACATTATCCTCTATCTTATCAATAATGAAATGGAGACTTGAAGACATTAAATAATTTGCCCAAATCACTTAGCAACTGGTTAGGTAAAATATACTAAGAGTCTGATGGTTTGAATGGAAATGGAAGCTTTTTTATTATCTCCTGTCATATTCAGGAGATAATTTTAAAAGGTAGAACCAAGAGGGCCTGAAGACTGCAGGAATGAGAGAAACAGAGGTGTTTAATAATGATACAAGCAATAATATCCATATGTGTTATACAATATCTATAAAATTATACAAGGGATATTAGAGTTTCCTCAATAAACTAAACATAGAACTACCATATGACATAGCAATTCCACTTCTAGGAATACACTCAAAGGAATTAAAAGCAGGTGTTCAAATACTTACATATGAATGTTTATAGCAGCTCTATTCATAACACCCAAAAGATGGAAACAACCCAAACATCCATCAACAGATGAATGGATAAACAAAATGTGGTATATTCATGCAATGAAATATTATTCAGTTGTAAAAAGGAATAAAGTATTAATACTTGATACAACATGGATGAACCTTGAAAATGTAGTATGTTAAGTGAAAGATGCCAAAGGCCACATATTAGATAATTCTATTTATGTAAAGTATCCAGAATAGGCAAATCTACAGAGACAGAAAGCAGATTAGTGGTTGCCAGGGGCTGCAGGTAGGAGAGAAATAGGAGTGACTGCTAAGTGGGTTTCCTTTTGGGGTGATGAAAGTATTCTGGAACTAGTGAGTGATGAGGTTACATAACACTGTAAATGTACTTAATGCCACTGAATGATACACTAAAAATGGTTACATTGGTAAATTTTATATTATGTGTATTTACCACAATTTTTAAAAGGTGAATATTGGCCTACTGATAGAGTACTTCCATGGATGGAGATATTTAAAGAGTAGGACTGATAGGGGTGAGGGACAAAGATTAGTCTGTCATTAAAAAGTAATAATCATGGCTTTTATGAAACATTTGTATTATAAAAGGGATACTGACCTTAAAATAAAGCAGTACTATGGAAAGGATTTCCATTCACTGTAAAAATCATCATCATTCATGGTCTTGATAATATAAGGGCAACACAGGACAACAATGGCTTTATCTGTTAGAAACAGATAAAGAGGTAGTCTCTGCCCTTACCAGTGTTTTTTTGTTTGTTCATTCTATCACCCAGGCTAGAGTGCATGGTGCAATCTTGGCTCACTGCAACTTTCGTCTCCCAGGTTCAAGCAATTCTCATGCCTCAGCCTTCCAAGTAGCTGGGATTACAGGTGTGTGGTAACACACCTGGCTAACTTTTGTATTTTTTAGTAAAGATGGGGTTTCAGCATGTTGGCCAGGCTGGCCTCAAACTCTTGACTTCAGGTAATCCACCCCGCCACAGCCTCCCTAAATGTTGGGATTACAGGCATGAGCAACCGCGCCCGCCCAAGTTTTAAAATAGAGTAAGTAGAACTCACAAAGAGCCCTACATTATAACACGTAATAACATATAAACTTAAGAGTAATGCAGTCAACATATGCAATGAATTCAGAGGAGAAAGTAGTCAAGGCAGGTTCCTTTGAAATATATGAACCAAAACATTACGGCACATTCTAGTGCAGTAGTTTAAAGTATAGGTTTTCCTGCAATATTGAACTTTGGCTCCACCACATACTACCTGCCTGAACCTGTGCAAGTTACTTTTCCTCAATGTCCTTACCTGAAACATGAGAATAATAATAGAACCCATCCCAAAATTGTTGTAAGGATTAAATGAGATATACATACACATATTTATTCATTTATTTTAAATGCTTAGAATAGTGCCTGAAGCATAGAAAGTGCTCAGTAAATATCAGCTGCTATCATCATCATCATCATCATCATCATCATCATCATCATCATCATCATCATCCCAGGCATTGAAGAAGGAGTAAATTGCATTTAGGAATAAAATTTGGTGTTCCAGCCCAGCAATGTTCAAACTCTTTGGGGAATGCAAATAAAATCAAAATTGAAAGCCCAATAGTTACACTGAGTTGAAGTAAAACTACTCTAGCTGAAGTAATTCCTGTATGGTGAGTCACATTGTCTGAGAATTCTGTCCTGGACTTACTCAAGGAGTCATTCATTATTCAGCATTTCGTGAACATCTACCATGTGCTAGTTTTTATGCTAGGCTGAGTGTTTAGAGAGGAAAGATATAGGTCCTGTTCTCCAAGAAAGTTACATTCTAGTTGAGATAGGCAAAAACTCCCCCAATTTTAAACATTTTTATTGAGATATAATTCACAATCCCACTCATTTAACATATAAAATTCAATGGTTTTTAGTGTATTCACAGTTATGCAACCATCATCACAATCAGTTTTAGAGCATTTTCACCATTCCCGAAAGAAACCATGTGCCCATTAGCAGTCACTCCTCACTTTCCATTAACTCTCTCCCCACCAGCTCTAAGCAACCCCTAATCTACTTTGTGTCTCTATAGATTTGCCTATTCTGAACATTTAATATAAACAGAATCATAAATATATGGTAAAAATCCAACAACTTTAAGACCACTCCACGATAATTATATTTATTTAAGTAATATCAGGACTTAGAAAAGAGAAATGATGCCCTGATTCTTGTTCCACATGTTTTGATTCCATGTGTGCACCTCTGACAGCTATCAACTGTTTCAGGTTATCCCTCCTCATGTTTTCTCTTCTTCCTTCCCCCAAAACCTTGGGTGTACAGAGAGGTACTCAGGACTGAAGTTAAGAGGAGAGAAAACAATACTGGAGGCTATCAGTTATTCATTCCATACCATATGCCAGGCACTATGATGTACTTTATATATGTGCTCTCCTTTAATTGTCACAATAACTCTGGGAGACAAAAACTACTAGTATCTTCATTTTACAAAGGAGGAAGCTGAGATTTAGAAAGGTTAACTAGCTCGCCCAAAGGCACACAGCCAGTGATGTCAGAGATGGGATCTGAACCCTGTTCAGTCTGACTACAAAGCCGTAAGACCCTAAGCCCCTAAACTGTTAAGCTCTTTCACTCAGTAGTGGTTTTCTCCTGACCCAGTCAAAGTGGCTTATTCTTCAAGGAACTCCTTAATGTATAATATAAATGGATTCTTAATATTGCTGATAAACTTTCATATTTATTCTCTATTTTACAGACTTACATTAAAAACTCAGGTTTCAAGAGAAAATAAAAGTTGGCCAGCAGACTGATATAATAGAAAGAATTTATCAGCACAGGAGGGGACAGAAAGATGGTGACTCTGTGTCTCCAGATCTATCCATGTTTCTCACATTTGTTTGCCCTCCCTTTTCCCACTCTACAGCATGAATGTACTTTATAACCTCAGACATGCTTTTAAATCTTTGTGAGTCCATTTTTATATATAGAACAAGAAAATAAACACCACATAAAACTATTAACGATGGTTTTAAGTATATGTGTAATGTGGAACTGACCACTCCTTGTCAGTACCAGAGTTTCCAGGAGATAAACAGGCATGTCTGCTTGTCCTTTAAAAAGTTTTTCAGGGCTGGGTATGGTGGTCCCCGCCTGTAATCCCAGCACTTTGGGAGTCCACATGGGAGAATCACTTGAGCTCAAGAGTTGGAGACCAGCCTGGATAGCATGGCAAAACCCTGTCTCTACAAAAAATACAAAAATTGGCCGGGCATGGTGGCATGCACCTGTAGTCCCAGGTATTTGGGAGGCTGAGGTGGGAGGATGACTTGAGCCCAGGATGCATAGCTTGCAGTGAGCCAAAGTCATGCCACTACAATCCAGCCTGGGCAACAGAGCCAGATCCTACGTCAAAAAAAAAGTTGGTCACTTCCTAATAGAAGGCATTTTATTTGGGTGGTTTTCTGCAGTCAGAGCAAGCAGAAGCAAAGGAACTGGGACATAAAAAACAGAATTTCAGTGAAAGATGTCTGTAGTGCATGTAGCCAGGTAAGTCAAGACATCAGAAGTGCCTATTATAAAGCAGGAACAAAGAGAAAGTGGCTGATTAGGCCTAAGGGCCTAATGAAACTTTGTCTTCCACCTCTCTCACTCTTTATCATAAAGAAAGAACACAGCAAAGGCCTCCATCACAGTATCTCTCAGCAGTGTACACCCTGCATGCACACACACGTGCATGCATGCTCACCTCCGTCCCTCACTTCACTTGAACTTAATCTATGTTTAGGGAGCTCCTACTTGAATTCCCATTTTAAACTTGTCTATCCTGAAGTTGAGGCCAAGAATCTGAAAATCTGTGGTATAGGTGAATGTTAGACACACCAGGGTACAATTTTAGATCCCATTTATAAGCTGCAAGGTCATAAGCAAGTTATTTAATCTCCTAGATCCTCAGAATGCTTGCCCATAAAATTACTGAGATGATGTAAATAAAATCCCTAGTGAGTACTGCTCTCTTTAGATGTCCCAATTGATTTGTAACTATATTTCAGAATATACAAGATTTAGCCACAATAGCTAGCTCAATATTTTAAAATTAAAGATAAAATGTTATGGAAGCCCTGTCTAAATTACCAAAGAGATGAATAACTACTTTTTTTTTTTTTTTGAGATACTTTCACTCTTGTCTGGGCTGGAGAAGAGCAATGGCGTGATCTCGGCTCACTACAACCTCTACCTTCTGGATTCCAGTAATTCTCCCACCTCAGCCTTTCGAGTAGCTGGGATTACAGGTGCCCACCACCATGCCTGGCTAATTTTTATATTTTTAGTAGAGATGGGGTTTTACTGTATTGGCCAGGCTGGTCTCAAACTGCTGACCTCAGGTGATCCGCCCGCCTCACCCTCCCAAAGTGCTGGGATTATAGGCGTGAGCCACTGTGCCTGGGCGAATAACTGCAATTTTCTTCTGACAATGTGCATGTTTAAATTAAGTCTTATAGTACTTATTTCCAAAGAAAGTGCTGTATTTTAATCACTCTATGTCCCATGTTTTGAATTTTTTTAAAAGACTACTATGAATCCTTACCATGACAACTAAATTCTTTCCATTACTAAAGCCTGCAAATACCCAATCTGAGAAAATGGGCAATTCAAGACAACCTAACACAACCAGCTTGGGGACCCTGCACAAAGAGCACTGTAACTATGGAAACACCTGTTAATGAAGTTACACTATAAATCACAGAACCTGTTCCATTATTCAAGTACCAAGCATTTGAGATCAATTTATAGCAACTGTAAGCTATTAATAATGGTATTCTATTTAATTTGTCAAACACAATTTTCTCTCTCAATGAAATCTTTAGGAAATACTTAAGTATTTTTCTTCAGGAGAAGAAAATGTTAAATCCACCTAAGTGTTACAGTATACCTGACTGGTGGTTTTTAACCTGTTTGTGAAACAAGCATTATGAAATCAAGCTTATTTAGCACTTGGCATATGTTTATGATATTATTTACATTTTACATATATAGCCTGATATATATAGATATATATGCACACACACACGCACATGCACACACACACACATATATATCCTGTTTCTTCAACCAGGTTAATAAATTCCTTAAGAACATAAAACATAACTTATAAGTCTCCTTATCACCAGTGCTTAGTGGAATGCCCATGATCCAGTCCTTAATGAATGCTTTCCTAACTAATTTTAGCTTCTCTTTTCTAAGCACAAGAGACTTTGGAAGAAGATAAATCACAGCACATTAATGTGAACAAGATTTTGTGATGGGAAAAATGGGAATCAGTAACTGAATGAATCTTATAGTGCTAAGTTCCAGAAGGAGGTATATAAGAAATACCCTTATATATATGGTGTCTGGTTCATTAAATACTCATCTTTTTTCCACAAACTTTTTTTTATTGAGAAAAGAAACTCTAGGCCAGTGCTAACTCTTATCTTAATTTTCTTCCATCCATGGGAATTTTTTTTTTAACTGACAGGATTTGCTTTTTCTCTAGAATTGTGTGCTGCCTGAGCCTCTACTCTCCTCTCTCCCTGCTTCCCCTCAGTCAAGAGAGGAAGGAAAAATACATAGTGCCTATGTATGAATTTAGGATAGAGGTGAGGCCTGACATCCTACATGAAATATAAACAGAGCACCTCACTGTATGACGACATGGGATGCAAGAGAAGCAGACTTTGAAGTATTTAAGTTTAATGCTCCCGATTTTTAATTTAAAAAGCAAGGGGAATAACTGCTTCATATTTTTCTCTCATAAAACAGTAACGTGTAGGTTTCTTTCTTTTGGTCGTCACTCTCTTTTGGGAATCTAGTCCCTCTGTTTTGGGAATCTAGTCCCTTGATTGAAAGGGTCTCTGCCTCTCCTGTATGTCTAGTCCTTCAGATTCCACTTCCACAATGTTCTACCAGTCAGCCTCCATCCTTTCTGTTCTAGCTCAGCTCAAAGGTCTTCATTAATTCTCAGCCAAGCTACCATATTCACCTCCAAATTGGTCTCACAGCTCCCAGTCTTCCCCTATAACTCATTCTATTTGGTGCTGCCAAATTAACGTTGCTAAGATACAGCTGTGATTCACGAAGTCACAAATATTTCTTAAGCACACACTCTCTATGCCAGACACTGTGCTAGACTCTAAAGAGTCAGAGAAAAAGACACACAGTTGTTGTTGTCATTTTATCTCATGAAGCTTACATTCTAATGATATACTCTGTGCAAAATTCATCAACCCACTGCCAATGGAATTAAGTGTAATTTCCTCACTGTGTTCATCATAGGATATGAGCTAAGTGATCCTTTCCAGATTTATCTCCTACTGCACCCTTGCCCTCTGTTCTAGTGAAATGGGTTTTGCTCATCTAGAATTTTGCTACAACCATGCTATTTTTTTCTGACTTCTGCACCCAGAATCCTCTCCCACCTCTACCCACATCACCTTCTAGAAACTTAATCTAAATTTCAAGGCCTGTCTAAAGTGAAATGTCCTTCATAAAGTCTTTCGCTGACCCCACATCCTAATGTTTCTCTCCCTATACTGTCCTCGGAAACTTTTATCTTACTTTGCATTATAGTAATTGTATATTTGTTCTATCCTCTGCCTTTTTTTTTTTTTTTTTTTTTTTGAGATGGAGTCTCACTCTGTCGCCAGGCTGGAGTGCAGTGGCACAATCTCGGCTCACCACAACCTCTGCCTCCCGGGTTCAAGTGATTCTCCTGCCTCAGCTTCCCGAGTAGCTAGGACTATAGGCGCGCACCACCACACCCAGCTAATTTTTGTATTTTTAGTAGAGACGGGGTTTCACCATGTTGGTCAGGATGGTCTCGATCTCTTAACCTCGTGATCCACCCACCTCAACCTCCCAAAGCGCTGGTATTATGGGCGTGAGCCACCGCACCCAGCCATTACTCCCTTTTTATTACTTATAAAAATTAGCACAGAAACTTGTATACATTAGATAGGGAGTATTTTTAGGAATGTACATATTTTCTAAACTCTCTTCCATTCCTTCCTTCAGGACAAAAAAAAAACAACTTGATCTTATCAGGGGTAGGGAAAGGGAAGGGCATGAAGCAACAAGGAAGACTGGCTGATGAGCACTTCTCCTGAAGAGTTATTTAATCTGAAACTTGAACTTGAATGAGGCTAGTCAGGTGAAGAAGGGTAGAAATGACTACATCCATTAGATTATGCAAAAGCATGGATGAGAGACAATACTTGGTTGACAAAACACTGCAACCATGCTATCTTTTTTTTTTTTTTTTGAGACGGAGTCTCGCTCTGTCGCCCAGGCTGGAGTGCAGTGGCGCCGTCTCAGCTCACTGCAAGCTCCATCTCCCGGGTTCACGCCATTCTCCTGCCTCAGCCTCCAGAGTAGCTGGGACTACAGGTGCCCTCCACCATGCCCGGCTAATTTTTTGTATTTTTAGTAGAGACGGGGTTTCACCATGTTAGCCAGGATGGTCTCGATCTCCTAATGTTGTGATCCGCCTGTCTCGGCCTCCCAAAGTGCTGGGATTACAGGCGTGATCCACCACGCCCGGCCCCTAATATCTTAATGGAGCAATACAACCCAGCCCCACTGAAAAAAAAAATAATAAAAGTCTTCACCATTATATATCATAATACTTGCATTTTTGGGGTGAATGAATCAGCTTGCAAGAACCCTCTTTCTCAAAGACCATACCTCCACATTGCATTCCATATCTCCAGAAACATATGGACTCTGGCATATGTGCTTACCATGAACCCAGGATACAAACTGACTCAAGCCAGGCCAGTCAGATTTCTTCTCCTGAGAGTTTGGAATTGAAATCATGACAACAAATCAAGGCAGTGTCTTCATGAGTTACTCAGGTACTGCAGCTTGGTGATTTTTCTACCAAGTAGACTGTGGAACAAAGAAATCTTGTCTGTATATAGATAAGAGGCAGATATGCAAACAAAAGCAGAGGGAGAGGGAGCATGGGCACCTCCTAGGTCCGGGCTGGCTTTCCATTTGTCCCCTAATTCCAGTCTCTCTCTGAGGCCCAGCTGCTCCCATTCTTAGGTCTGGCAACCTCTACATCCTTATAATAAACCCCTCTTTCTGCTAAGGCTAGCTCGAGTTCTTCTCAGACACCTACAACCCATTAGTCCTAACTAGGACATAAACGTTTTATTGAGCCACCAAACTCCCACTAAACAGTGTGTTGGAATTCCTCTAGTATTTATCAAGCTCCTACCATGCTCAAGTTATTCATCACCAGTGTACAGAAATCTAAGAGTTTTATTTTCCATTTTATTTAACATTTTCTTTTGATTGTAGCACAAATTATTTTAGGTCACACACTTAAAAGTTTTGTGTCATAATGTAAACCCAAAGCCTATGATTCCTGTTTTATTTTGCAGCTAATATTCACTCTGAGCTACTGATATATGAATATCAATATTCTGAAAGACACTTTGGGAGATAAAGGGGCAATTAGTTCAAAAGCCATTTTTCATCTCTTTAATCAGACCAAGTTCATCCACAAATTTCAATTGTGCTGATAGATAGTTTTAGGAAAATTCATTGAGGGACACATTGAAATGGCCTCTCTAGAAAGCTTTGACAAAATTATTATATCCATGGATATAACATGACCATGATCCAGTGATTCACGATGCATTACTCACTGGACCCCTAGGGAGCCAGCCGACATAGAGTCCCACCCAACAGGATTAATATAATCTAGCAGCAGAGTATTTCTCAAAATTACCCAAGCATAAGACTCATCTAGAGCATTTGAAAACATACAGATTCCACGAGTCCATCTGAGACCTGATCAGAATCTCTATGAGACAGGACTTGGACTCCATTCATCTAACAAGCACCTCCAGGGGATTCACAATTTCTTTCTTTTTTTTTTTTTTGAGTCAGGGTCTTGCTCTGTTGCCCAGGCTGCAGTGCAGTGGTACAACTGTGGTTCACTGCACCCTCAATCTCCTGGGCTCAAGAGAGCCTCCTGCCTCAGTTTCCCGAGTAGCTGGGACCACAGACATGCACCACGACACTTGGCTAATTTTTAAAAATTTTTTGTAGAGTTAGAGTCTCACTATGTTACCCAGGGTGGTCTCAAACTCCTGGGTTACAGCAATCCTCCCACCTTGGCCTCCCAAAGTAATGGGATTACAGGTGTGAGCCAACACGCCTGGCTTGAATTCACAGTTTCTGTTTAGCATGACTTTAAAAATGAACCCTGAGCTTCATGCCCAAAAGAGAGCCCCTGTCAGATGTTGCTGAAGGAGCTCTGATTCACCTGTGCTGCTTCTTCTTTCTTGCATTTTCTTACCTTCATTTAATGTTCTGGCTTCTCCTCAAATGTACCCCCTGCAGCAGGATTCTGTAGCTTTTCCAGAGTTCAGTTACTTTATTCCCTCCTGGCATGGCCAACTGGAAACCCACTAAGATAAAGGAACTGCTCCTATACCTTCTCCCCATTCTTGCCCTAGTCCTTCCAACTGTATGCTGCACTCAAAGGCATGCCTGACTGGATATGGCCTGGCCTTGAAAGCCCACTTCCATCCTTAACAGACTCCAGGAAGGCTGACCTACTCTTACTACATAAGAGTAAACTGGCCGGGTGCGGCGGCTCACGCCTATAATCCCAATACTTTGGGAGGCTGAGGTGGGTGGATCACTTGAGGTCGGGAGATTGAGACCAGCTTGACCAACATGGAGAAACCCCATCTCTCCTAAAAATACAAAATTAGCTGGGCGTGGTGGTGCATGCCTGTAATCCAAGATATTCGGGAGGCTGAGGCAGGAGAATCGCTTGAACCCAGGAGGCAGAGGTTGTGGTGAGCCAATATCACGCCATTGCACTCCAGCCTAAGCAACATGAGAGAAACTCCATCTCAAAAAAAAAAAAAAAAAAAAAAAGAGTAAATTAAATTATGTCCATCATTCCAACTCAGGGTGATCCATTTAATCACAAATGCCACACTTATGCTATATAAACACTAAAGCAATCGTAGTAGCATAAGCCCACTCATTTAACAACCTAAAACAAATGCTACAGTGTATTACTGAAGGATCAATCTAGTACGGTGTATCTTTTTTTTTTTTTTTTTTAGACAGAGTCTTGCTCTGTTGCCCAGGCTGGAGTACAATGGTGTGATCTTGGTTCACTGCAACCTCCGCCTCCTGGGTTCAAGTAATTCTCCTACCTCAGCCTCCTGGGTAGCTGGAACTATAGGCATGAGCCACCACACTCAGCTAATTTTTGTATTTTTAATAGAGACGAGGTTTCACCGTGTTGGCCAGGCTGGTCTTTTACTCCTGACCTCAAGCGATCCACCCGCCTCAGCTTCCCAAAGTGCTGGGATTACAGCACTTTGTAAGTGAGGTCACCACACCCAGCCTAGTAGTGTGTATCTTTAAAATAAATTTTGTAGAAGGGAATTTGCAGGAGGGCAGTCCTTGACCCAGCCCATTTCACAACCACAAATGTGTTCTTAAGGTCAATGTGCAGTCACCACTCTGTATTCCAGCTGTCACACAGGGGTACTACTCACTGAAAAATGTCAGGAGCAAGAAAGGAGACAGTGATAAGCAGGGATGATGGTGAGTGACCCTTGCCATATCTCACCCTTATTGATGCTTCATACAAAAAATGTGGGGTCTGCTTTGGAAAGTACAAAAAGCATGATAATGAATCAACAAACACAAGTAGAGAATGGATGTCTCGAAGAGTTTATTCATAGATTTACTGATAACAGTTAAATAATGTAATGATGCAAAATTATAATGCTATCATTTTAGTATGGAACATGCAGGATTTTTTTCCTTCACAAAAGCTAGTGAGAGAACAAGAAGTCCAACAAAACCACTTTGTTCTCTGAAATAAAGAATACATCTGATGGTTAAATCCACTTTGCCAGAGTTGATGAGTGAGAGTAAAGTAAACCTAAGGGGAGAAAAAAACAGCTACCCTCACCTGTAGGAACAGCAAGCTTTGTAGAAAAATTCTGAAGTGCCTTTAGCAAAGCCTCACTTTGCCTCTGCAAAACTGTGCTCTTGGGAGACTTCAGACAAGCAGTCTGGGCCTTAGGGCTTATCTGGGTCAGACCTGAACCCTTAGAATGACATGGCTATGAAAGTGTCCAGGTCAACCAGACAAGAAGAGGGGCTCCTGTACTAACCTTAAAAGAAGTAGGAGGTGCTACCAGAGCAGACTATAGGGAAGCTCTGAAGAAAGCAGTGTACCTCGGGGAGGGCTCTGCCTTTAACACTGTATATAGAATAATATGTTACAGTGTATAAACACAAATATATACACACACAGAACCGTCTATCTGTGTCTTGGAGATTCAGACTAGTAATTTGTCTAATGTGTGCAAACTCCTTCCGTGGGCAGAAGGACTGCTACTGTGTGCCCAGATGGGTACATAGGACAAATTATGTTTACTCAACTTCAGAGAAACCATGCCAAAATGTTCTTCCCAAACAATTGATTTCAACTTGTTCTTGTTTTCCTCCAATAGCAGCCTGACAAACTGTTTTATACATGCATTTGACTTTTCAAAAATTTGCATGCAATCATGGCAAACTCAGCAAGTCTTTGTGCTCCAGGAGCTGCAGAATGGCCTTTGAATGACATGTTTACTGCATCCTAATGTAAAATGTCATCTTCTTAAAGTCTGGGAGAAAGGACCTGCAGCAGCATGAACCTGGCCTGACCCTGTGTTATGTGCATCAGCAAGAGCCAAATGCCTAAAGCAGCCAGAAAGTAATGCCATGCTCCCAAAAGTTCAGAGTGACAAAACAAAAAAAAAAAAACTAAACAACAACAACAAAAAACTAAATAAAAAGTCCAAGCTTCAATGATTATGTTACTCTCTGTCACCTGACTCTTCAATGAACAGGAAGCATACTCTCTACTAAAAGGGATACAAGGCCGGGTGCAGTGGCTCACGCCTGTAATCCTAGCACTTTGGGAGGCCAAGGCGGGCAGATCACGAGGTCAAGAGATCGAGACCATCCTAACCAACATGGTGAAACCCTATCTCTACTAAAAATACAAATATTAGCTGGGTGTGGTGGTGCATGCCTGTAGTCCCAGCTACTTGGGAGGCTGAGGCAGGAGAATCACTTGAACTCAGGAGGCAGAGGTTGCAGTGAGCCGAGATCATGCCACTGCACTCCAGCCTGGCGACACAGCAAGACTCTGTCTCAAAAAAAAAAAAAAAAGAGAGAGAGAGACATAAGCAGAAAAGCAATCTATGACTTAGTTTCTGTCAGAGCCTTGAGTCTTTCTTTATCCACAGAGTTAGAAAACTATGAACCCAAACTGCAAATGTACCATTTCCTCACCAATGGTCATTTGTCACTTCTGATGCCTCTTGAAGAGACCCTGTCACAGTTGTGACTTAAAGAAGACTCTACGTTTTACTGCCTCCATTTTTTACATTCTCTTAATTCCTTTAAACTTCATATATTAGAATAATTAGACAAAGTCACCTTTTTCCAACATCTACACACTTCATGCAAAGCAAATTCTCATTTAAAAATTATCTTTTGAGCTTTTAAAATAGACTATTTGCTACTTATATAAAGATAATTGATTTGCAAATGAAGAGTAGCAAACTGCTCCCCACCTCCTGGACATGTTTATAAAGTTGAGCAGGACAGCAGTCATATATCAAAAACACGACAACATTATCTTTCAGTTTCCTAGGTTAAGGGCAACCTCATCAGAAACTGTTCAGGCTGGGTGTTACATGGTTTCTGCATGGAAGCCAATCACCTTCACATATAAACACCTCCCTCACATCAATATGTTGTAGTTCTAGTAAGTTCACAGTCATTTTAATAATCAAGAGAGGTCGGGAAATTAGTATGCACATGACCAATAAAATAAATAGCCACAGTTCCCTCTACCAATGCTCCTCAAACTTTAACATGCATGCAAACCACCTGAGGATCTTGTTAAAATACAGATTCTGATTCAGTAGGTCTAGAGTGGGGCCTGAGATTATGAAATCCTAACAAACTCCCAGGTAATGCTGCTGCTGCTTCTGCTGATCCATGGACCACATTTTCAACAGTAAGACAATCTACCATGACCTCTCTTGGAGGTGGTAATGTCCAAGTAATCTCTTTGACACACATGAATTCCCATCATATGATTATGAAAAAGGAGACTGTTAAAACTGAAAAAAAAATGTGGAAACTGCAATCATGGGTTCTGGAGAATGGAAGGAAGAAGTGAATTTGGGATTCTTGGCCCCTATTTTGATTCATATCATTATTCTATTATCTGTTCCTCAAAATTTGCTTGGCATCCTGACTCCCTCAAGAGAGATGGAGATTGTTTGTTGCCAAGGGCCACCAGTATCCAAGATACAAAAAGATACATCTTTTATCCTCTACTTGCAAGTACCATAAAGAGGCCAGCTCTGGGGTACTTTTAGGCTTGCTATGGAGGCAGCCACAACACTATCTCTGGCACTAGAAATACATCTGAACAATCTGGAATTAATTATAGAGTTGCAAAGAATTCCACAACATCTAAAAAGATAAGCTTGTATGAGTTCAACCGAACTATTCTGATTAAGCAATTTTTGCTAGCTTTCCTTCTTTCTGATTTAACCCAGAGCATTTAACAAGCACTCTGAAAGCCCCCCTACACTCTGAGTCTAGCCACACAAAAGCTGAAATCCAGTCATCCTGACTGTATCTAATAGCTTCTTCTTCTCTTTTTTTTTTTTTTTTTTTTTAAGATGGAGTTTCGGTCTTGTCTTGCCCAGGCTGGAGTGTGGTGGCATGATCTCGACTCACTGCAGCTTCCACCTCCCGGGTTCAAGTGATTCTCCTGTCTCAGCCTCTCAAGTAGCTGGGACTACAGGCATGTGCCACCACACCCGGCTAAATTTTTTTTTTTTTTAAGTAGAGAGGGGGTTTCACCATGTTGTCCAGGCTGGTCTTGAGCTCCTGACCTCAGGTGATCCACCCGCCTTGGCCTCCCGAAGTGCTGGGATTACAGGCATGAGCCATCGTGCCAGGCCAACTAATAGCTTCTTAATCACAGTTTTGCATCCCAACTCTCCACATTGTCACCTAGCAGCAAATGGAATCCACAGCACTATAAATAATTAGTGTATGTCAAACTGCTCATAAATGCATTAAGATTACTAATAAAGAAGCACATACCCTATGAATACAGTATACTTCCTCCTAGTACAATATTTAAAAATACAAGCTGTTGACAAGCTGCTCCTCTGAACTAAAAACCACTTCTACATTATTAATATTAGTGACCTCACATGGGACCCAAGCTCTCTTGTAACAACAGAAAGTGACAACCATCAATGAGACACAGTGCAAGGAGGTGCTATCTCCCAAGGCAGATGTGAACCACAGATAGCTTGACTTCTGAGACTAAGATTCTTTTTCTTTACCTCCCAAAGAAGTTGCTGTATGGAAAGAAACCCGGTTTTTCTGAATTCTTTTTATTCATTAGACTAAATGGCCTAAACAAGGGAACTAGTTCCTGCAGCTAGAAATAAACTAGTCTTGGGGCCAGGCACAGTGGCTCACGCCTGTAATCCCAGCACTTTGGGAGGCCGAGGCAGGTGGATCACGAGGTCAAGAGATCGAGACCATCCTGGCCAACATGGTAAAACCCTGTCCCTACTAAAAATACAAAAATTAGCCGGGTGTGATGGTGCACGCCTGTAGTCCCAGCTACTCGGGAGGCTGACGCAGGAGAATCCCTTGAACTCAGGAGGCGGAGGTTGCAGTGAGCCGAGATCGCGCCACTGCACTCCAGCCTGGGCAACCAAGTGATACTCCATCTCAAAAAAAAAAACAACAAACAAACAGAAAAGAAAAAAGAAAAGAAGGAAATAAACTAGTCTTTCCCACTCTGTGATGCCAGGGTGGAGAAGTCAGCTTTGTGGCCTGGCAGCTATTCACATGATTCTGAGGGGCTTTCCCCCAGAAAGAATATAAAGCAAGCTTGTGGATAGCAGGCAGGGTATGAAATCAAACCAAATCAAGTACAAATGTCACAAGATACACATCTTTCCCAAAATGTAGGCATAGTAGAGTATCTTAAACACTGTAAAACAATACTAACTCCATAGCCTCATTAACTAACCTACTTACTATGTATTTCTTGTTGCTAATTCCCTTGGGTGCCTCTGGATTCCAGGCCTCTTACAGATGATTCTGAAACTCCTATGAAGGTGAAAATAGACTTATCATGAAAGCTGGTAAGCCTGCTTCTTTTGGATCTTTTCTATAAATGACAATGAATGTACTTGTTCCCAAGGTGAGGATGAACAAACATAAGATGATGAGTACTGTTGTTACTTCACAAGTAGATACATTCCAGGTCCTAGGCAACTTTTACTATATTTTGCAGATTACTCTTAGTTCTTTCTAAATCTCTAGGGATGGAGCCTGTTACTAAAGGAAAGGTGGTTATGACATTGTTTCCTCTGAGAATGATGCCTGAACCAACTCTATCAGAAACACCTGGGTGCTTTTCAAAAACACAGATTCCTGGGCCCAACTTTAAGACAGTTTAAATCACAGATTTGGAGGTGTTCCAGAAATCTATTTTAAACCGCTACCAAAGTCTAGAAACTCTGGCTTAAGGTATTGCAGGGTTGAAAAGCTTTGGACTATTGACTAGTTGAAAGCCATGTAATTTATTCTTATGGTGACTGCCGTATCACACTCAATGGCAGAAGCAGTCCACTTGGCACCATTATCCATTCTTTGCATACCTTTAACCTCTTGGACATATCCACTCCCCTGGACCACAAGGTCTAAATACAAACCAGATGCAGTTGATCATGCACTGGCATGTAGAACCTTCAGAGAATACTCTGATTAGAGAATGTGAGGAATGTGTAGTTCAATGCAAGAAACAAAGATGAATCAGCTGAAAGGTAAGAAGTAAGCCTGGATGCTACAGTGTGAAAAATATAGTCAAATCCAACAAGCATCAGTTGAGTTCCACTCAAGGAAAGATTGAGTTCTGAGAAGGAAGGAGTTGTCAGGAATATTATCACATAAAGTTAAGTCAAAAGAGGACAGAAGGTTTTGGCATGAAGGAGGTCCTCAATCTAAGAATGTACTTCTGGTAAACGGATCTGACAAATCAATGGAAATAAAAGCTAATTGAAACAGGGCTGTGGAGAAATCAGGGTATGGAAATGAAGATCTCACAAACAGACTACTCTTCCATAGGAAAAGGAAAGAAAGAAATTGTCCTAGCTTGGAATTAAATATAGTGTTTGTTTGAAGATGGGAGGCTTTTCAGGAGTTCCCAAGCAGACTTTCATTCTGCCTGCAGAACAAAAGGGTAAGGGCTCAAAAGCTACCATGTAAGAGTTCAAAAAGCCTCCCAGTCCACAGCCTACCCAAACCACTAACCAAATGGATGGTCAGAGTTGGACCTAAGGTCTCACTGACTCACTTGGGAATCACTTAGACAAGCAACAGTATAACAAAACTGGCTGGACTCCCAGCTGTTCACTGTGTGTGCCTGAATGAGTAAACAAATCAGAAAGGCTCACTAGTCACAGCCTTCTGCTCTGAGGCTTGGAGACCTAAAAGGAATGAAAAGGGGAAATTGATAAAAGGAGATGACAGCTTTGGAACAAAAGCCTTGCCTACACTCATAACCTTGGGTACTAGGAGAGGGAAAGGAAGGAATTCCAAAAGTCATGGTAGGGAGATTTTCCTCCTATTATTCAAAGAAAGGAGGACACACATGGTCAATTAGGAAGAAAAACCTCTTTGTGCCTGATACATTGGATGCATTGTCCTCATGCCATTTGCCCTAATGTAAGAATAGTCTTGGGAACACAGCCAGCATGAGTGTCCACTTGACTCATTAGCTGCAACAGTACCAGTCTCTGAGAACTTGTCAGGTCAGTATAGAAGGAGCTCTGTCAGAATCCAAAGTTTCTCCAGAAAGAAGGAAGAAGGAATTAAATATTAATAAAATGGTAAAAGATATAGAGGATTTTTACCTTCAAAGGAAAAAATCATTCTATTCAAATTAGGAAGGAGTTTTATGGAATAGTTTTGATTAGACATATACTGGTAAAATGTAGTCTTTGGCGTTTTACCTTCCCTCACAACATGTATTTTCAAAGTTTTCAATATTCAAGTTATCACTCTAACTGTTGAAATACAGATAGATCAAACAGCTTTATAGAGGGATAACTCATATGCCATACAATTCATCTATTTAAAGTGTATAATTCAGTGGGTTTTGGTACATACATAAGGTTGTGCGACCTTTGCCATAATCAACTTTAGAACATTTTCATCACCCCAAAAAGAAATCCTCCCATATCCATTAGCAAGCAATCATTCCCCATTTCCCAACTTCCTTCTTCCCCAGTCTTGGAAAACCATTAATCTACTTTCTGTCTCCATGGATTTGCCTATGCAGTTATGCAGCTCATACAACATTTTGGTCAACAATGGATCTCATATATGACAGTGGTCCCATAAGACTAAAAGGAAGCTGAAAATTCTTATTGCCTAGTGGTGTCATAGCCATCATAATGTAATGCGTTACTCATATGTTTGTGATGATGCTGGTGTAAACAAACCTACTGCAATGCCAGTCATATAAAAGCATAGCACATATAATTATGTACAGTAAATAACACTTGATAATAGCAATGACTATTACTGTTTTATGTATTATTATACTATACTTTTTATCATTAACCATGTGTGTTATTTCCCCTGAAGACCTTCCAGTGGGACAAGATATGGAGATTGAAGACAGTGATAATGATGATCCTGACCTTGTGTACGCCCAGGTTAATGTGTGTTTGCCTTAGTTTTTAACAAAGTTTAAAAAGTAAAAATAAATTTTAAATAGCGAAAAGCTTATAGAATATTTTTAAATGTTTTTGTACAACTGTGCAATGTGTTTATATTTTAAGCTAGGTGTTATTATAAAAGAATCAAAAAGTATAAATATTCTAAAAGTTCATGAAGTTACAGTAAGCTGAGCTTAATTTGTTATTGAAGAAAAAAATTTTTACATAAATTTAGTGTAGCTTAAGTGTACAGTGTTTATTAAATCCATAGTAGTGTACATCAATGTCTGAGACCTTCATATTCATTCACCACTCACTCACTGATTCATCCAGAGCAACTTCTAGTCCTGCAAGCTCTATTCATGGTAAGTGTCCCATATAGGTGTACCATTTTTAATGTTTCATACGTTAAAGATGTTTGATGTTTTACTGTACTTTTTTATGTTTAGATACCCAAATACTTACCATTGTGTCCCAACTGCCTATAGTATTCAGTACAGTAACATGCTATACAGGTTTGTAGCCTAAGAGCAATAGGCTATACCACATAACCTGGGTAGTATATATAGTAGGCTATGCCATCTAGGGTTGTGTACACTCTATGATGTTCACACAACAAAATCACCCTATTCTCAGAACATACCCTGTTGTTAAGTAATGACACATGACTGTAACTGGAATCATACAATATGTAGTCTTCTCGATTGGTTTCTTTCATTTAACATAACGTTTTCGAGGCTCATCCATGTAGAAAACATATATTTCTTTTTATTGGCAATATTGCATTATATGGATATACCACACTTTATTTATTCATTTCTCAGCTGACAGATATTTGGGTTACTTCCACTTTTTGGCTATCATGAATAATGCTGATAAAACTTTCATAGTAGTACCATACATGGTAGTAAAGAGCCTATATCACTCAAATTCTTTTCTTTTTTTTTTTTTTTTGAGACAGGGTCTCACCCAGGCTGGAGTGCAGTGGCACAGTTACAACTCACTGCAGCCTCGATGTCCCAGGCTCAAGTGATCTTCTCACCTCAGCCTCTTGAGTAGCTGGGACCACAAGCGCGCAACACCTCGCCCAGCTAATTTTTGTATTTTTTGTAGAAACAGGGTTTTGCCATGTTGCCTAGGCTGGTGTCTAACTCATGGGCTCAAGTAATACACCTGCCTCAGCCTCCCAAAGTGCTGAGATTACAAGTGTGAGCCACTGTGCCCAGCTCAAATTATTTCAAAGGTGTGGAAGGCAAAATTTCTTTAAAACACCTGTGCTATTCAAGGTGCCATCCTAGAAGCAGAGTGACCAAGGCGCTAACTTACTGATCTTGAACTTCCCAGACTGTGGGAAATACATTTCTGTTCTTCATTTTTTTTAGTGTGCTAGTTGTAGGAAACCATCAGTTAGATTTAAATGGTGGCAATAAAAATGATGCAGATTTGGTAACATGTTTTGTCATTTATACTGAGTTGAGAATTTAAAGGTTTAGAGTTCACTTTACTACTATTTATTTGTAGCTTGTCATTTTTCCTTTCATGCCTGTACTGCTTTTAGCTCTATTAGTTCTCAACTTAGTCTTTAAAAAAATGGACCTATTTTTTACCTTCATTAGCTTCGACAAGAAAACCCATAATTACTACTGCCCATTAGAACTAAATGGATGGTGAGTATTTACCACACAATTTCTTCTTATTAAGCTCACTACAGTTGCCCCTTGGGGACTGGTTCCAGGAACCCCCACAGATACCACAATCCAAATGTTCAAGTCCCTTATATAAAATAGAGTAGTATTTGCATATAAGCTAGCACGTCCTCCTATATACTTTATCTTTCTGGGTTACTTATAATACCTAATACAATGTAAATGTATGTAAATGGTTGTTTAACTGTATTGGTTTTTTATTATTTTTTCTTGTTTTTTTCCTAAACATTTTCCATCCACAGTTGGTTGAATCCATGGCTGTACGATGTTTTAAAAAGTACGGTTACATTCTGTTTCCTAAGAAAACACTTAACTGTATTTTTCTGTTTACAAATGGGTCTGATACCCAATAATTAAAATTATTTTAATAAGCCAAATTCTTCATGCATAGAAAGACGAACTAATACCACATATGTGCTCAAAAATAAATAAATAAATAAATGTGGGGTTTCCCTTTAAGGATAGAGTCTAAACTCCTAAAAGGCTAAAACTGACTCTCTAAGAACTGTTCCCTGCCATATCTCCAGCCTCATTGCCACTACTCTTTAAACCCACCCTGCATGCAGTAACAGAGGCCTGCTTGTGTTTGCCTGTACATATTGCACTCTTTGCTTCCCTGTCTTTGCTCCTGCTGCTTCGTCTAGAAGGCCTCCTACAACCATCCTTCACCTGCCTCATTCTGATTTTTAAAATAATTGGTTCAGTGGTCACCTCCTCTAGGAAGGCTTAATAAATGTGGTTCCAGCCTCTCACTGACCCCTCCCCTATCACCAGTAACATAATCACAAGTTAAGTATACTTCCCTCTGGACTCCCGTGGTGTGTAAGATCTCTGCACTTACTGACTCCAACTGTACTTATCCTTTGAGAAGTATGTCTTCACCTCTAAACTGTGAGGCAAAGTTCTGCCACCGATTCTACACAACTAGTACTGGGACTGAAAATACAAAGCTGCTTAATAAATGTTTTTAGTTTGCTGATGAAATACATTAGCCATTCTCAAACTTTTTGGTCTCAGGACCCCTTTACACTGCTAAAAATGACTGAGAACATCAATGAGCTTTGTTTATGTGGATGATATATGGTATATTTTTACCATTTTAGATGTTTAAACTGAGAAATTTTTAAAATATGCATCAATTCAAGAAAAGAAAAGTTAATAAATAACCCTTAGCATTTTTTGAAAATATCTGTGACTCCAAGGACTCTCTGAAAGGGTGTCAGGGACCACCCAGGGCCCCAGCACAATGGTATTGTGGGTTGTTTGTTTCACAAATTACAAAATGTATTTTCATTCACAAACGAAATATTTGAGAAGGTTGATAGGCAAATGAAAAGATATAAAGGAAGGGAAGGGGGATACAACCTTAACCATAGCTAGAGAAAATAGCTGAGGACAGAGAGGCAAAGCCAAGGAAGAGTGGTAATAAAGTAGTATAAACATCACCAGTCTTAGGAAAAATAATAAAGAAGCTAAAAGTAATTCTGTACCAACAAAACCAAAAACAGGAACGACACAGAAGGACAAAAGTCTGAACGAAACCTTAAGTAAAAATTGATCTTTTGGGTAGGAAATGTACCACTTTAACAATTCTATTCCACACAACTCCCATCTTTTTATCTTTCTCAGTCCTCATATGCTCTTTATTACACATCTCTTCTGCCTCTTTTGGATATCTATTCTCTCTTGATTTGTAGTTATCAGCCGAAAAATGCTGCTCAAAGGTTATATGATTAGAGGGGGGAAAGCAACAGCTCTCATGAAGCTGCATGATTGGAATTCAACTGATAAATTTTTTAACATTCCATTAAAATATAAAAAATGTTAATGAGATTTTAAAATTAGAAATGCTGAAGTTATTTTTACATGCTGAAAATACATTAAAAATTACTGTTCTTAAAATATGCTGCATAAAGGCCAGGATTGGAAAGTAATTTGGATTTGGCTATTGTGCTAGGGTGGTAGAATTACAGATGATTTAAATTACTTCTTTAATTTTGTTATATCATTGCTCCTACAGCAACAAAAGCCACAGAAATATGACAATTAATTCTCAATTTCCATATGCCTTTGGTCCTTTCTACAGACTTTTCAGGGATGTGCAATTGGTTTGGATTTTGTTAAGTAGTCATGTGCACTGAGGTCAAAAGCTTAAAGTCTAGACCAGGGGTAAACAAATTATAGACTAAACCAAACTGAGCCCTCATACAGTTTTTGTATAGCCCTCAAGCTAAGAATGGTTTCTTACATTTTTAAAAGGTATAAAAACAAAACAAAATTAAAAAAGAATAATAGACAAAAGAAATTGTAAATAGTCTGCTAAACTGAAAATACTTACTGTCTGGACTTTTATTTTTAACAGTCTCCCTTGCCAGGTGCAGTGGTGCACACCTGTAGTCACAGCTACTGGAGAGGCTGAGGTGGAAGGATCAGAGGATCACCTGAGCCCCGGAGTCCAAAGCCAGAGACTCTGAGATCTCTTTAAAAAAATAAAAATAAAAAAAATAAGGCCAGGCGCGGTGGCTCATGCCTGTAATCCCAGCACTTTGGGAGGCCAAGGCAGGCGGATCACCTGAGGTCTGGAGTTCGAGACCAGCCTGACCAACATAGAGAAACCCCGTCTCTACTAAAAATACAAAATTAGCCGAGCGTGGTGGGTGCATGCCTGGAATCCCAACTACTCAGGAGGCTGAGGCAGGAGAATTGCTTAAACTCTGGAGGCAGAGTTTGTAGTGAGCCGAGATCACGCCATTGCACTCCAGCCTGGGCAACAAGAGTGAAACTCTGTCTCAATAACAACACCAAAAAACAAAAAAACAAAAAACCTCTGGGCACAGTGGCTCACGCCTGTAATCTCAACACTTTGGGTGGTGGCCAAGACAGGAGGATCTCTGAAGCTAGGAGTTGGAGACCAGCCTGACCAACACAGTGAGACACCTCTACCAGTAATTTAAAAATTAGCCGGGCATGGTGGCACAAGCCTGTAGTCCCAGCTACTTGGGAGGCTAAGGTGGGTGGATCCCTTGAGCCCAGGAATTCAAGGCCACAGTGAAATATGATGGTACCACTGCATTCCAGCCTGGGCAACAGAGTGAGACTTCTCTCTAAATAAAAATAAAATAAAATAAAATAAAATAAAATAAAATAAAATAAAATAAAATAAAATGTTTGCCAATGCCATTGCCAGATATAAAGCATTTCAGCTTAGTGCCCGGCCCATAATATGTACTCAATAAAATGTTAGATACTATTGTGATATTATTGCTGTCTTCTATTATCATTAATGGTTATGTTCCTTGAATAATTTTTTAATTTCTAAAATTGGTCTCATCACATTAACTATGAAGTATCAGTGCCACTGTTTGCTCTTTGCATTCTTTTCATCCAGCTTTTTCTTATATATCTTGATCTCTCCTTTCTTTTACTGTGGTAAAATACATATAACATAAAATTTACCATTTTTCTCCTTCATTTTTGAAAGACATTTCCACTGGTTATAGAATTCTGGGTTGACAGAATATTTTCCCATTTAAATATGTCACCTATTATCTTCTGGTTTGCAAGGTTTCTTTCTCTTCTTTCCTTCTTTCTTTGCTTCCTTTTTTATTTCTTTTTAGTTAATAAATTTTGTTTTTTTTAAGAGCAATTTGGGGTTCACAGCAGAATTGAGCAGAAAGTACAGAGTTCCCATATACTCCCCTACCCCCTACATGAAACCCACCCCCAACTATTGACATCCCACCCTACGGTGGTACATTTGTTATAATCAATACATTGATTATGAACCTACATTGACATACCATTATCACCCAAAGTCCATAGTTCACATTAGGGTTCACTCTTGGTAGTGTACTTTCTCTGGGTTTTGAAAAGTGTACAATGACGTATATCCATCACTGTCATATGATACAGAAGAGTTTTACTGCCCTAAAAATCCTCTTTGCTCTACCTAAGTTCCCTCCTTCTTTCCTAACCCCTGGAAACCACTGATCATTACTGTCTCAATAGTTTTTCCTTTTCCAGAATGTCATATAGTTGAAATCATATAGTATACAACCTGATTGGTTTCTTTCACTTTGTAAAATGCCTTTAAGTTTCCTCCATGTCTTTTCATGGCTTGATAACACAGTTCTTTTTAGTGCTAAGTGTACCATGGTTTATTTATTTATTCACCTTCTTGTAACTTTGTGTATTTACTGTAAATTTTTTGTATGTAATTTTTTTGTATTTATTCACCTTCTTGTAAAATAACCTCCTTTCTTCTGAAGAACATTTTGGTTGCTTCCAAGTTTTGACAATTATGGATAAAGCTGTTATAAACATCCACAGGCAGTTTTTGTTTTTTTAGAGACAGGGTCTTGCTATGTTGCCCAGGCTGGAGCACAGTAGATATTCACAGGCATTTATAGCTTACTACAGCCTCAAACTCCTGGGCTCAAGCAATCCCTCTGCCTCAGCCTCCTGAGTAGCTGGGACTGCAGGCCCACAGCACCATGCCCAGCTACGTGCAGGCTTCTGTGTGGATGTAAGTTTTCAGTTCATTTGGGTAAATACCAAGGAGTGTGATTGCTAGATTATATAGTAAGAGTATCTTCAGGTTTGTAATAAACTGCTTGCAAGGTTTCTGAGAAGTCTACTTTTTGCAGGACTTCATATATTTCACAACTGCAGTACAGACAGTCCTCAATTTACTACCATTCAACACAGTAAATCACTGATACAATCCTCTGGCAACTACTTTCCATTACCTCTCTTAACACAGAAAAAGTGTGGACCATCTCTACTTTTCCATTATAATCCATCTCTAGCTTCAATATTTTTTCACCGTTCTAGCTACTGCTAACCCTGAAACTCTCAAAGGTTAGCATTTTCTAATCCCTTTAATGAAGCCATGCTCTAGCACTTCCTTGCCTTATGATCTTCCTCAGATTACTGAATCTCTCTAAACTTGTTTCCCCATTTGCAAAATGAAGATAATAGTGTGAGAAATTAAATGAGAAAATGTATAATCTTTGAAAAGTGCTTGCCTATTATTGCCCTTTTCTATCACTAATAGCTGATTAAATATTACATTTATAACCAATTTTATAAAGACTCGGATATCTCTCCCCCAGTTAAGCATACAACTCTATTATAATGCTACTTCCAAAGGAAAACCAAATTAAACTTAAGAAAACCACTTCCATTTAATTAAAATGCCTTTTCCAGAAATTCAACCTGCTGTAAATATGACGTTCTCCTATGAACTACAAAATCTTTCCTTTCTTATTTTAACTCTCATGTATACATATATATGTAACATACATATATGTGTGTGCTTCTATATATATGAACCTGATGATTCGTGACTGCTCCTGAACATCTGGCCTTCCATCTGCAACAGGGACAGTGCCAGATTCAATGCTTAGCTAATTTTTTCTTGAACAGACTCCATTACTCACTCATATATTTCACTGACTCTGAAAGAACCAAGCAAATGATCTGATGGTTTTGGTAATTAAAAAACTTCCTGCCAGCACGCATTTTCAGCAATTGTCAAAAGTATTCCAGGGTGATAAACTGCTCCTGCAAGGGCCCGATCAATTTATTTCTCTTGATCATCAGGTTCAAGGGACTTGTCTATAAAACAATGTCCCTAAGAATATTTTAAAGCAACTGCTAGTATCCTTGGAAGGCTCACTGCGTATGCATTCCTTCATAACAGAAAAGTCTCAGGCTGAAAAAGGACTCATAACTTTCTCTCAACTCCAAAACATTTAAAGTTGTTCTTAATCACCCAATCGGAACCCTTTGAAGAAGCAGAGCAAGAAGCGTCTTGTTTCTAATCTCTGCAAAAGAAATAGATGCTACTCCTAGTACTCTCTCCATTCTTAGTCATTTGAGGTGCACGAAGGAGCTAGGGAATATTGGTTGGTGACAGTCACCAATCAGTATTTCAAAAGTCAACACGAGGAAACCCATACGCCAAAACTGATTTGTTGAATACTTCTCTCTTTTCCTTTTTTTTTTTTTCTGAGACAGAGTCTCGTGCTGTCGCCCAGGCTGGAATGCAGCGGCACCACCTCGGCAACCTCCGCCTCCCGGGTTCACGCCATTCTCCTGCCTCAGCCTCCCGAGTAGCTGGGACTACAGGTGCCCGCCACCACATCCGGCTAATTTTTTGTATTTTTAGTAGAGACGGGGTTTCACCGTGTTAGCCAGGATGGTCTCCATCTCCTGACCTCGTGATCCGCCCACCTCGGCCTCCCAAAGTGCTGATATTACAGGCGTGAGCCACAGCGCCTGGCCAAATACTTCTCTCTTTTCATATAAAAATGTCAGAAGTCCCTGGAGATAGAAGTATATCTTATTTTTGTATTTTAAAGTTGTGCTATATTGCTTAAGTGCACAGGAATTATAGTGAACTTATACTAGAAGTTTTATTTAAAAATTCCTGTTATATGGTTTTAGAAATCATTTTAAGAGAATAAAAGCCTGAAGGGACTGTTAAGAACTCCTTATATTATTTGTGTACTATTTTAAAACTCATAATTCAATCTTTCTAATTTTTAAAAAATACTGAAACAAAAATGTAATAAAAAAGGAATCCCTTATCTGCCACTGCACCTTCACTGATTTTTTTTTTTTTTTTAGATGGAGTCTCGCTCTGTTGCCCAGGCTGGAGTGCAGTGGCACCATCTCGGCTCACTGCAAGCTCCACCTCCCGGGTTCATGCCATTCTCCTGCCTCAGCCTCCGGAGTAGCTGGGACTACAGGCGCCCGCCACCATGCCCTGCTAATTTTTTGTATTTTTGTAGAGACGGGGTTTCACCATGTTATCCAGGATGGTCTCGATCTCATCGAGACCTCATGATCCACCCACCTCGGCCTCCCAAAGTGCTAGGATTACAGGCCTGAGCCACCGCGCCTGGCCTGTATTTTTAGTAGAGATGGGGTTTCACCATATTGGCCAGGCTGGTCTCGAACTCCTGACCTTGTGATCCACCCACCTCGGCCTCCCAAAGTGCTGGGACTACAGGCATGAGCCACCACACTCGGCCACCTTCACTGATTTTTTCCTTTCATATTTCTCTTTATAAGTCTTCTATTAAAATGAAAATGCTTCAGAGATAAGTTAAGCTTCATTAGTGAATACCTTTGTATTTAGCCAGATGAGAAGGGGGTCTTATAGGAATGGTTCTACATAAAACCTTTCTTTAACTTTTGCCCTTCTATCTGCAGCTGTCCCAGAGAAGATCAAAGGGTACCAAACTTGCAGGATTCTCCCTCACAAACAGGGTATGACTATATCCCCAAGAACACCTCTTGACAAGCTCTATGCCACTTATACCAAATAGGGTGACCCTGCTTTCCCGGTAGGAGCAAAGAAAGAAATTTCAAAAGAAACAATCTGCATTGTAGGGTTTTGCTCCCTTCTCATTTCGCATCACTAAGTCCACTGCCTGATTCTACTGCTTATCTTGGAAACATGGACTTTGAAGTCAGAAAATCTCACTTTAATTCCCAACCCTGTTACTTAATAGCTTTGTTTTTCACTTTTTAATTTTTGTGGGTACACAGTAGGTGTATATATTTATGGGGTATATGAGACACTTGATATCTCTCATGAGGTACATGATATGAGCATGCAATGTGTAATAATCATATTATGGTAAATGGGGTATTCACCCTCTCTGGCATTTATCCTTTGTGTTACAAACAATCTAATTATATACTCCTTTAGTTATTTTTAAATGCACAATTAAATTATTATTGACTGTAGCCACTCTGTTGTGCTATCAAATACTAGGTCTTATTCATTCTTTCTAACAACTTTTTGTGCCCATTAACCATTCCCGCTTCCCCTCCTCCCCACTTCTACCTTTCCCAGCCTCTAGTAATCATCTTACTAGCTTTTTGACCTTGAAAAAGTCACTTATATTCTCTGATCATCAGTTTCTTTGTTTTTAAAAATGGGAATCACGACACACTCGCAGATAACTGACACAGGGTCTGAACTGGATAAAACAACATGATATATGTGAACTTTATTTGCATAACTATGAAATATTAAACAAACACCAGATTAATCGACATATGAGAACAAAGTATACTCAGAATTTAGAAGACAAAACTAAACATGAATCTAGAAAGGGTAAACATATAATGGATGGTATCTCTATCTATAACAGTCGTCCACCATAAAAAGACCATTTGAGTTCCTCTAGCCCAAGTCCAATAAGGTAATTAGGTATTTCAGAAAAAAAAATGACATATATAAAGACGTAACCTAATGATACTGAAATTCATATAAAGAATGTATTAACAGAAGACAGTAGTATAAATGGAGTTTTTAGAAAGAAGGAGGGGGTTATAAAAAGAATTTCGCAGTATTCACCCAACACTGTCCAAGGAAAATGGATACTGACTCAGCAGGCATTATGATTTTGAGAGACAAATGTTTTGTACTATAAAGCAAACTTAATACATCAGTCCTCGCTAAGGTATAATGAAATCTCCTTCAAAACTACTGCTTCCTTTATTCTGAGTCTGTGTTCACCAAGCCACTTTCTGATTACTAACTGGATCAGCAAGAATAAAAACCAGACCTAAACTGACAAGATCTCCACAGGGACACTATGAGGCTCTGTAGGTAGAAGGCCAGCATTTCTTCTGACTTCTCTATTGACTCCTCTTTCTAGCTTCAACATTAGCTATTTTTATTGTGAAGGCACTTTGCATATTTATCAAGAGCCATGTAACTGTTCTCATTTTTTTGACTCTATACTTCTGCTTCCAGGTTATAATGCCAATGTGAAAGAATATGTTTACAAAGTTGAAAATCACAGAATTATATACACTTTTAAAAAGAAAGAAATCTGATAATTGTAGTACCCTTATTCCATGAATATTTCATAATACTTTAAAATAATGATTTATATAGTAGGGGTCACAAACTCAAACACCTACAGGATCAGGAAAGAAGCAATAAAGAGAAAAGTAGACTGGCTTGAGAGATTATAAAGAATGACGAAGACTGTGGCCAACTACTAGCTAACAAGGGCAGCCACTACTCAGCACTGGTCATTTACTGCCACAGAGGAATGTGGACCCAAAGTTGTTAAATCTTCTGATTTTTCAAGAGAAGCTACAAGTCAGGAACTCTTCCTGAAATAGCTTTACTTTCAAACATTGGCAATTAATTCACTTTTTAAAAAAAACTGAGTAAGCTAATATTATGAAGACCAAACAAAACATTTCTATAGCCTGATCTGGCCTGGAGTCTACCAGTTTGAATTCTGTTCTGCAACTCTGAAAAATGCTTATGTTATATAAAAAACACTAATATTGGAACATAAGTCAAATTATATAAATACAACATACTCTTCTCATAAACAGATACATAAAAACTATCTACATGCGTTACATGTAATACATGTAATAAGCCAGTAATAAATTCTGTTATCAACATCAACTTTTATCTCCATAAAAACAGTAGTTTTCTGCACTACTCAAACATATATGTCACATTGCATTTTATTCTTTTAATCTTGGATCAACTTGCAAAATAAACTTAACATATTCTATAGTTTTAAGTATACTTCAGCTGGAAATGCGTTTCTTTACAGTAAAGAAAACTAGAAATAATGTTCAGATCTTTAATAACATTTTGAGTCAATCATACATAGGGATGATATTATATGAAACTACAGATACATATATGTAAAATAATAAAAACTAAGACTGGGTTGAGATGATAGACTTTATGCACATAACTGAACCCCTTTCCATCCTAAATCCAGTAAAATGAAATACTTAAAAGAATAAATTCAAATTTTCAGTGAAAGCAAGGAAGAGTGCTAAGCAGATCACAGATTTTGAGGATTTCTCAAAGGAAAGAAAGCATGTGGAATCAGATCAGAGAAACAAGATCAGAGGAAATCTGAGTTCTAAACATTTGTAGGAAAAAACTGCTACAAAGGTAGGTGCAGTTTCAGGCAGCTGCAAACGTAGAGTCAATTGAATAAGGAGCAGATGCAAATTCTGAGGCAATCATCAGGATAAGAAAGCATCCAGGGTACAACAAGGCAGGTCCTTTCTTTCTCTGGATTATGCTAATAAGCAGCTGACTGATCAAAGCAACTAATGTGAGCACTGGAGTCCAACCTATTGCTTGTTAATAATTCAGGCCCTGTTCTGTCACCCCTATTTGATTGCCAGCCTTCCTCAAAATGACAGTTGCTCAGATGAATGCTAACCAGGGGAAGGAGTGCGATAAGGAAGAGGAGGAAAGATGATTTATTAGGGGAGATGGAATAATGTTTCAGAATATATCTATATACAACTATATATATTTTATATACATATATAACTATATATATTATATATATATAGAGAGAGAGAGAGAGGGAGAGTTTTGTTTTGTTTTGTTTTTAAGAGACAGGGTCTGGCTGTTTCACTCTTTGCCCAGGCTGGAGGGCAGTGATACAATCATAGCTCACTTTAACTCTGAAATCCTGGGCTCAAGTGATCCCCCTACCTCAGCCTCTGGGGCAGCTGGGACTAAGGACGCCACCACACCCAGCTCCAAATATATTTCTTTGGCTTTAACAACTGGCAGAGCCTGTGTCCTGACTACAGGGCTACAACAGCCAGAGAAAGGGTACATTTTGAAAACTGTCACAAAAGCATCTGAAGATGTCAAGTAGACATGTTGTTGCCAGCATAATACACTTTCATTAACTGGCTAAAGGGTTAAACAAGGAACCGGTTGTCTGCAACAGGTTAGGGTTGGGAGAGAGGGAGAAGGGTCAGCACTATCTCCTTTATGCCCCTCGCTCCCCAGTGTTGGTTACCAATCTTTTCTGTCTGCATCATTCCTCCCTTGGGCTCAGAAAACAGAATTCTTGGATCCTCAAAGAAACTTCATGTAACCTTACAAAATTTATTAAAGTGTGACTGCACGGGCTGGGTGCAGTGGCTCACACTTTTAATCCCAGCACTTAGGGAGGCTGAGGCGGGCGGATCACCTGAGGTCAGGAGTTCGAGACCAGCCTGGGCAACATGGTAAAACCCTGTCTCTACTAAAAATACAAAAATTAACCGAGCATGGTGGCGTGGGCCTGTAATCCCAGCTACTCAGGGGGTGGGGCAGGGGGGTGGGCGTGGTCTGAGGCAGGAAAATCACTTGAACCCGGGAGGCAGAGGTTGCAGTGAGCTGAGATCGCACCATTGCACTCCAGCCTGAGCGACAGAACAAGACTCCGTCTTAAAAAAAAAAAAAAAGTGTGAATGCACCCATCCAGGAGGAAGAGATAGCTAAAATGTATTTTGTCTTCACCCAGTTAATTTGCCTTCACTGCCCTCTAATGAAAGTTCTCTTTGGACTATCCACTTTCCCAGGACTTACTGTGATTCAGAATCAAGAGAATGAGTGGTAGAGAAAGGCAGGACTGAAGAGCTAAGAAGAAAGAAGAAAATATTCCTGCTTGCTCAGTTTCTGAACTCACCTTTGTAGAGAATCTGAGTAATGGGCAAGGAATCGAGAAAAATTAGAGAATAAGCCAAAAAGACTAAGTCTGCCCATCTAATAAAGAGTTGGGGAGGACAAGATGAAAGGGAAAAAAATCAGATTGGGGTAGCGGAAAGACCTCAGGCTGAGCATTTTCGGGGTTTCTGAGCAGTGCTACAATGAAAGAATTGGAGGGACGATAAAGAGATTGTAAGAAGCATTGCTATGGGTTACAACTTAGATGTTATTTAACAATCTTTGAGAAAAGCACATCAAGACTGAGATTCCTTTTAAATTCCTTCTGGATGCTGGACTGTGCTTCTTTGCATGCAATTCTGCAGAGATGGCCCACCTGGGCCTTAGCATTTATGAAGGCTAAGGCCTTAGAGAGGCCAGAGGAGGTTGAAGGGAAAGTGATATAAATACAATCAGGGGACCTAGCAGCTGGGTGTACTTCCTTTGTCCAAGATACTTATAACCTAAATTAAAATTAAAAGGAATTTCTAAATAAAACAGCAGTTTTCAATCACTAATAAATTTTCCCTCACTCTCAAAACCACTCAGCCTTTAAAGGTTTGCTTTGAGGAATTAGAGCAAGGACTAAAAACTAGTCAGTTAATCTGGATTCCATTTCTTTCTTTTTTACTTTTTTTTTTTTTTTTTTTTTTTTGCCACTGTTCTTTACAGGGAGAAACATTTCAAAGACTAATGAAGCTTGCTAGGGGTAGTGATTGAGGAGGATACATGTATTCCAGTAATTCTCTTCTAATTTAAAATCAAACTATGAGGAAGAAATTAAGGAAGTAATTATGAAAACTTCTGTACTTAAACTTCTTTAATAGCTACCAGGTAACTCCATGGTAAGGCCTACCTGAGCCAAATTTCAAAGCAGACCAAGTTAGTCCATAAGGGCTATAAAGTGTTTTCCCTTCTGGGTATATTGTATTGTACAAGGACAAAGACATCTTTAAAAGAATGTTCAGCCTTCACTAGTAAATGGAAAACACATTTTAAGGCAGATTTTAAGGGTCTTTCTGGGGCTCTAAAAATCCAGAACATATTTGTGGTCTCCTCCTCTGACCACTACAAGGCCAACTTTATTTAATACTCTGTATTATTTTAGCATAGATTTCCCATTTACCACTTCTACATCATTTTGCCTCTATATTCAATCACTTTCTTGGCCCCTATACTCACTTTTCTATGAACCTGTCTTCTTTTCATTTCCTATCCTACCATTTCACTGTACTGATTATTACCTCAATTTATCACAGCATTTACTTCTCTTTTTAAAATTCCAATTCAAACTCAAGCCTAAAGCAGGAAATCTTCATAAACCAGCCAGTCAAAATCTCAGATTCAACCAGATCCCCCGATGGGATTCGAAAGGTATAATACACAGCTTTGTATGGAATCTGTTCTCTAAGATTTTCCTTTCTCTTTTTTTAAAGGCAGGATCTTGCTCTATCACCCAGGCTGGAGTGCAGTGGCGCAATCACTGCTCACTGCAGCCTCGACCTCCTGTGCTCAAATGATCCACCCACCTCAGCCTCCTGAGTAACTGGGACTACAGGTTCATCCCACCATGCTAAATTTTTTAAATGTTTTATTTTATTAAATTTAACTTTTATTTTTTAGACAGGGTCTTGCTCTGTCACCCAGACCAGAGTGCAATGGCGTGATCACAGCTCACTGCAGCCTCGACCTCGTGGGCTCAAGCAATCCTCAGCCTCCTGAGTAGCTGGGACTACAGGTATGCACCACCACACCCAGTTAATTTTTTTTATTTTTTGTAGAGACAGGGTCTTACCATGCTGCCCAAGCTGGTGTCAAACTCCTGCTGGGCTCAAGAAATCCTCCCACCTCGGCCTTCCAAAGTACTGGAATTACAGGTGTGAGCCACTGCACCTGGCCACTAATATTTTTTAAATCACACTCATTAATTTATTACCATTTATAAGAAAACAGCACCTTTCCTCTAAAATGGCTTACCAATCTTCCCAAGATCCATGTAAAGGGAGGTAAGCAAGGCTACTGACTTCGAGACGTACAGTGACACTACCCACCATAACTTAACTGGTTCCATTCTAGGTTGTTTTTTTCTTTCTTGTTTCCAAAGTTTAAACTTTATTTTAGGCAATCTGGTGCTTAAAATTCCCCAAGCTTAAAGTTTCTCTGGCCTTTTGGAATAAAATATCCCTGGGAGGGATATTTTAAACCCTTATTTTTATTTCCCATGAATAAATTTCAGATCCTTTCATCAGAGCAGGTTCTGATAATAAAGGAGAGAAGGCAGTTTATGCATTAGCAATGGTTCCATCTCCTAGGAAGGATTCAGAAGGGCACATGATAGAAAAGCTGAAATCATAGAGACTGTCTACTTCTTTTTTTTTTTTTTTTTTAAGTTTAAGGCACTGTGTGAAGACAAAAGCACCTAACCCAGTTCTGGGTTCTGCCAGAACACAAACTCCATGAGCACAGGGATCTTTGCCTGTTTTATTCATTACTATTTCCAGCACCTAGAACAGTACCTAACATACAGTGAGTGGTAAAAAAATACTTACTGAATAAATGACTGAGCATCTCAGAGGAAGTAACCAACTAAACAAGACAGAATATATTTCAAGGGAACAGAATGTGCAAAAGCATAATAAGCAATAAACAGCATGGTCCCAGAGATGTACAGATAGTTCAATATGACTGGAGCATAGAACACCTGTCAGGGAATGTCAAGACATACAATTCTGAACAGGTACAGAGGAGAAAGTTCATAGGGGGACCTACAAACCATACCAAGGAGTTTGGGCTTTATGCTGACAATAATGGAACATTAAAGTATCCCAAGAAGAATGGCAGGGGCATACTGAGTTTTAGAAAGATCTCTCTGGAATCACTTTGCCAGAAATAGGAATGAATAGGAAAGAACTGTCTAGAGGCAGGAAGATTAGGTAAGAGGCCACTGGAGCTCAGGCAAAAATAATGAGGGCCTGAAATAAGACAGAGGCAGAAGAAATGGAGAAGGGCCAGATTTAAGACAGATTTCAAAGATAGAACCGACAAAACATGATAAGAGATTCATGTATAGGTGGGAAAGAAGAAGAATTATAGAATAAGTACTAGATTTGGCTTGGGTAACTAGAAGGATAAGGAAGAATTCCCCAAAAGTAGGGATTATTGGGAAGAGTGGATTTTTTTTTTTTTTTTTTGAGACGGAGTCTCGCTCTGTCGCCCAGGCTGGAGTGCAGGAGTGCAATCTCGGCTCCGCCTCCCGGGTTCACGCCATTCTCCTGCCTCAGCCTGCCAAACAGCTGGGACTACAGGCGCCTGCCACCACGCCCAGCTAATTTTTTTTTTTTGTATTTTTAATAGAGACGGGGTTTCACCGTGTCAGCCAGGATGGTCTTGATCTCCTGACCTCGTGATCCGCCCGTCTCAGCCTCCCAAAGTGCTGGGACTACAGGCGTGAGCCACCGTGCCCAGCCGGGAAGAGTGGATTTTGAAGATGAGATGATGAACATGCTGAGTTAGAGGTGCTGGAATGAACCCAAGTAGAGACATGTAGCAGGAAATTGGGTATACATACCTTGTGCTTAGGAACACAGCCTGAACTCAGTCAACTTATAAATTTAGTAGTCGTCAGTGTTTAAGTGGTAGTGGAAATTGAGGCCACAGGTAAAATCAATCAGAAAGAAAACACAGAGTGAGAAATGAGAAGTTCAAGTATAACCCCCTGAAGGAAGGAAAAAAGAAGCTGCAAAGAATTCAAAGATGCAGGAAAAGAATGAAGGGGAAAAGAGTAGTAATTATGTTGATTTTGAGGAAACTATCAAAAAGAAGTGTTTAACAATGTCGAATAGTGCAAAAAGCTCAATTAGTATAAGGGCTGATGAAGTATCACTAAGGACATTAACTAGGACATCTGGGGCAGGGGGGTGGGAGGGGGAGTCAGCTTTCAGTGGATGTGAAGGGAATAAATGCCAAGGAGATGAAAACAGCAAGATATCCTTCAAGGAGATTGGCTATGGAAGAGAAGAGGGAGAATAGAATTAAAGGATTTTTATAAAGTGGGAAAGGCTATTAAAAAAGTATTGCCATATTAGTGCTGAAATCTTGATCTGCTTTCAGTCTTCAATCCAATGATCACTGGTCTAAATGTAGCAAGATTTAAGATCTGTAGTCCCCAATGAGTAGACAGAGTCTAATCACCAAATCTCTCAAGCTCGAGGTTTCTCTCAAGCTTGACCCTTTCTCTCTAGTTTTCTAGATCTTTCATGGGTATCTCCAGGCTTTAAAGGGGAAACTTACCAAAAAAAAAACAAAAACAAAAACAAAAAAACTCCTTATATGACAGTTGAAATAGTCTATTCAGGCTGGGGCAGTGGCTCACACCTTTAATCCCAGCACTTTGGGAGGCTGAGACAAATGGATCATGTGAGGTCAAGAGTTCGAGACCAGCCTGGCCAATATGGCGAAACCCTGTCTCTAACTAAAATACAAAAATTAGCCGGGCATGGTAGCGTGTGCCTGTAGTCCCAGCTACTTGGGAGGGTGAGACAGGAGAATCGCTTGAACCTGAGGGGTGGAGGTTGCAGTGAGCCAAGATTGCACCACTGCACTCCAGCCTGGGTGACAAAGGGAGACTCAAAAAAAAAAAAAAAAAAAAGGAAAAGAAATAGTATACTTTTCACTGTAACACATGAAATATATTTATTCAAATCACATTCCTAAATTATAGTGACATGTAAGTAGAAGCTTTGGTAAAAAATAAAAATTTCATTAAAAAAACGTAACAAACCTTGAAATACTCAGACATTATTTTAACCAAACGTAAGCTATTTACTTAAGGAAAGAGACAAACTGTTAATGGTAAAAGAAGGCATAAATAAATTAAAAGTTATACGTCAAGTAGATAAGACTAAGTTTTGAAAAGATAATAGGCTGGGCATGGTGGCTCACATCTGTAATCCAGCACTTTGGGAGGCCAAGGCAGGCAGATCACTTGAGGTCAGGAGTTCAAGACCAGCCTGGGCAACGTGGCAAAACCTTGTCTCTACGAAAAATACAAAAAAAATCAGCCAGGCATGGTGGTGCATGCCTGTAGTCCCAGGTGCACTTGGGCTGTACTGTGTGGTCTGAGGCAGGAAGATCGCTTGAGCCTGGGAGGCAGAGGTTGCAGTAAGCAGAGACCGCACCAGCCTGAGCAACAGAGTGAGACCCTGCCTCAAACAAAACAAAACAAAACAAAAACAAAAGATAATGGCTGGGCATGGTGCTCACACCTATAATCCCAGCATTTTGGGATGCCGAGGGGCCCAACCCAGGCTGAGGGCAGATCACGAGGTCAGGAGATGGAGATCATCCTGGCTAACACGGTGAAACCCCGTCTCTACTAAAAATACAAAAACAAAATTAGCTAGGCGTGGTGGCGGGCACCTGTAGTCCCAGCTACTCAGGAGAATGGCGTGAACCCGGGAGGCAGAGCTTGCAGTGAGCTGAGATCGTGCCACTGCACTCCAGCCTGGACGACAGAGCAAGACTCTGTATCAAAAAAAATTTAAAAAAAAAGATAAAACCTCTAATTTAATAAGTTTAATTCAATACCAATTAAAAGCCTTTCATATTTTCAGTGATGATGAGCCTGATAAATACAGAAAATAACATGGCAAGAATCATTTTATGGCTATCATAATGTGAACATTAATCAAAATGATATGGCAGGCCTGGCACAGTGGCTCACGTCTGTAATCTCAGCACTTTGGGAGGCCAAGGTGGGTGGATCACCTGAGGTCAGGAGTTTGAGACCAGCCTGGCCAACATGGTGAAACCCCATCTCTACTAAAAATACAAAAATTAGCCAGGCATTGTGGCAGGCACCAATAATCTCAGTTACTCTGGAGGCTGAGACAGGAGAATCACTTGAACCCGGGAGGCACAGGTTGCGGTGAGCTGAGATCGCGCCATTGCACTCCAGCCAGGTGACAAGAGTGAAACTCCATCTCAAAAAAAAAAAGTGATATGGCATAGGGTTAAAGAAAAGTGACCCTCAAGGAATATGATAGACAAGTTTATTTGGTACTATTTTCGTATATAAACAAGCTGGAAATCAATAGCAACTCAATGTTGGGTAAAGGAATCACCACTTGGGAATTGTTGGGATAACTGACTATTAGTACAGAAAATTTATTTATATACCTAGCTTGTTTCATATACCTATGTATCTGTAGAATTAAATATTTTTTAAAAAATAAAGAAACCAGAAAATCAACTTTTATAAAAAGCAACACAACACATTGAGAAAACTGACAAAAGTTTCTTGTCCAAAAATGTAAAAGAAAACAAACATGCAATTACATAAGGGCGACACCTAAAATTCACTCATAAGTGGTCAAAGAGAGAAAAAGATAAATTTTGAAAAAGAAAATACAAATGGGAATCATCTGAGAAAATACAATGTTAGAAATTAAAGAAATGCTAATTAAAATAGCTTTAAAGTACTACCGCTTAACTAGCAAGATGTAAATTACAAAATCTGAGGCTGACTGGGCTATATTTCTACTTAGTGACATTATCATTTGGTAAACTCTTCTTGAAAAAAACCAAGATTATGTAATAAGTACTATAAAATTGTTCATATCTTTTGGTTGTTTTGTTTTTTTGTTTTTTGAGACAGAGTTTTGCTCTTGTCACCCAGGCTGGAGTGCAGTGGCATGACCTTGGCTCACTGCAACCTCTGCCTCCTTGGGTTCTAGCAATTCGCCTGCCTCAGCCTCCCAAGTAGCTGGGATTACAAGCACTCACCACCATGCCTGGCTATTTTTTGTATTTTTAGTAGAGATGGGGTTTCACCATGTTGGCCAGGCTGGTCCCGAACTCCTGACCTCAGGTGATCTGCCCGCCTCGGCCTCCCAAAGTGCTGGGATTACAGGCGTGAGCCACCGTGCCCATATCTTTTTACCCAATAATTCCACCTGGTATTACAAGGAATGTAAGGAAATATTCAGTATCCTCAAAATAAAAGAAGGAAGGAAAAAAAGAGGTAGGAAGGAAGAAGAAAGAAGAAAAATAAAGATGTTCTTGTGGGCGATGGCTCACACCTGTAATCCCAGCACTTTGGGAGGCCAAGGCAGGCAGATCACGAGGACAGGAGATCAAAACCATCCTGGCTAACACGGCGAAACCCTGTCTCTACTAAAAATACAAAAAATTAGCCAGGCATGGTGGCACGCGCCTGTAGTCCCAGCTACTTGGGAGGCTGAGGCAGGAGAAGCACTTGAACCTGGGAGGCAGAGGTTGCAGTGAGCCAAGATCATCCCACTGCACTCCAGCCTGGGTGACAGAGGGAGACTTCATCTCAAAAAAACAATAATAATAATTTTAAAAAGATGTTCTTAGACATGCTATTTAAAACAGTGAAAAACTAGAAATCATCCAAGTATCCCTCAGAAAGAGAACGGTTATAAAAATTAGGATATATGAATAAGACAGACTTCAAAACAACAATTAAGAACATATCCAGAAGCCAGGCGTGGTGGATTGAGCAGAAGAGGACGGGAAGATCGCTTGAGCCCAGGAGTTCCAGACCAGCCTGGGCAATATAGTGAGATCTCATCTCAAACAACAACAAAAATCCACTGACAAATAAGAACAATTAATTTGGAAAAATGTAAATAAAGTTTTGTTTTTATTGTATTGTAGTCCTTTTTTCTTTGAAGTTACTTCAGTTCATGAAAAGGGTGTTTTCTTAGGTTGTCAATAAGAATGTTGTGCAAGTCAAAATCAAAACCTTACTAAAACTAGGAAAGAATAACTAGCTGGGCATTGTGGTTCATGCCGATAATCCCAGCTACTCAGGACACTGAGGCGGGAAGATTGCTTGAGTCCTGGCATTTGAGACTGTAGTGAGCTAGGATCATGCCACTGCACTCCAGCCTGGGCAACAGGGTGAGACCCCCATCTCTTAATAATAATAATAATAATAATTTACTATTTCATCCTCATCTATGGGTCTTTCATTCTATCAGAGAAGAACAGGAAATAGATCTGACATGGCTGATTTTCAGAGCCATTCTGATTATTACCATAGTACCTTGTGCTCTTACACATAATACCAAGCTAAACGTTAGATGATTTATTCCAGTTTCTTTCTAAATGCTGAGGTTAAAGCTGATTTTAAAATTCCTTTGCTTTACCTCAGGGCCTATGGAATTGAGGCTAAAGCCTCAGCTACAATTTCTGAGATCATGAAATTCTTAGACATGAGACGGGTGGCCTGATGAATACTAACTACTGTGATTTGACATTCAGACAAAATAAAAACTCTTATTTCTGAAGAAGAAAAGAGGACTAAGAAGATAATAAAAATCAGTTTTTCTTAACAGTCTTCCAAATTCCGACATCATTTTTATGACCTCTTGTGGTATTTTTAATGTGTCAATGATCACTGAATACAGCACTCATCACCAATCTTGCCACAGTAGTCCTCCTTTACTGTCATGTAGAATTGACTCTGCTACCCTGCCACCACTGACTTCAGGGAAGCACATTGACAGGGAAGCCCAGGACATCTTAGCCTTTTCCGAGTCTATCTAAAAGCAATAAAAAGCTTTTGAAAATGTAAGTAGTCTTATCGGTAAATTCTATAAATTACCTTTCACTTGAAGAAATTCCCACAGAGTTATGATCAGATAGTATCAAAAAAACCAATATAAGTGAAGTCAGCTACTGCAATGATTCTGCTGGACAAACACCAAAGTCTCATTAAAAATTCACCTCTCTGAACCTCCTCCCAAGAGATAATCAGTACCAGGATCATTTTCTCCTTTTCTCTTATATATGTTACCACATTAAAATGACACAATCCAGCTTGGTGAGTAAAAAAAGATTCAAGAAATATGGCTCCAACTGACAGCTTTGAAATCCAGGCACTTCAAAGTGTTTGAGATAATGGCATTTCCCTATGACAGGTGCTACTTTCCATAGATTTAACCTTCTTCTTTGCCACAGTAATTACTTTAGATCAAACTTCATTTTTAGAAAAAGCTGAAATGCATGAACTAATACAATAAATCTTTAAAATAATCTAAGTTTGTATGTGATCTGTGTTATGCCAGTTTTAGAGACTATGGGTATCATGCAGTTCCTAATAAAATGTGAGCATCTAAAAAACACTGAGTTTCTCTTCCATCCACAATGACATGATCCTGCCATAAACCTTTGCAGAAACATCACACCATCCTCTTGACCAGGAGCCAATTCCAATCTGAGTTTCACATTCTTATTGCCACACTCCAAGGACCCTCTACTCTTCATACTCTCCCACATAGGCCCTAGACTCTTCCCTCATTAGAATTTATCTAGTCCTCATTCTCTTTACCAGCCCATTGTTCCACCCTTCCTTTTGGCTCTCATACGTTATGTTCCTCCCACTCTCAGCTGACCAATCTTCCAACCTGTCATTGCCTAAATAACTTTGGAAATTAGTCTCCTTCATAAAAACTTTCCCAAGTAACTAGAAGTAAGGGGAATAGTCCAGTCAAGAGAACGTTAAGCTAATTAAACTAATGTACTTCCCTCATACCAATCACTGGGCACTGCTACATTCATGAACTATAAATACTTTTTTAAGTACTTTGATCCTAATGAATGTTCATTCTGCAATTGGTCACTTTAAATAATAAACACCTAGAGAGGAACAATCTTTCTGTATTCTATAGAACAGAACATGTTTCATATAGTCATTTAATAAACGTTCTTTTGAAATGGAGTCTCGCTCTGTCGCCCAGGCTTGAGTGCAGTGGTGCAATATCGGCTCACTGCAGCCTCCACCTCCCAGGCTCAAGGAAGTTCACGCAATTCTCATGCCTCAGCCTCCCAAGCAGCTGAGATTACAGACATTCACCACCACACCGACTAATTCTTGTATTTTTGGTGGAGACAGGGTTTCGCCATGTTGGCCAGCCTGGTCTCAGACTCCTGACCTCAAGTGATCTGCCCGCCTTGATGTCCCAAAGTGCTGTGATTACAGGCGTAAGCCACCACACCCAGCCTAATAAATGCTTTTTTATTGTGAAGGTAGTAAGAGACTTATACCCAGATCTCAATCTGGAGTCTTCAGTGTTCATTTCAGAAACTGAAAAGCAATGACTATCCATCACCACTCCCCACTTCCATGACTACTGTACAATCTCAACTTCATTGCTCTTGGCTCTCCTTTCCCTCAATTATATTTATTAATAAAAATAACCAGGCCGGGTGCAATGGCTCACAACCCGTAATGCCAGCACTTTGGGAAACTGAAGCGAGAGGATCACTTGAGCTCAGGAGTTTGAAATCAGCCAGGGCAACATGGCGAAACCTCATCTCTACAAAAAAATACAAAAATTAGCTGGGCATGGGGCACACCTGTAGTCCCAGCTACTTGGAAGGCTGAGGTGGGAGGGCCGCTTGAGCCTGGGAGGTTGAGGCTGCAGGGAGTTGTGATCTCACCACCGCACTCCAGCCTGGGCAATAAAATGAGAGTCTGTCTCCAAAATAAATAAATAAATAACCCAGCAGATGTCGATAATATTCTAAGATAACAAACTTTTAGTAACGTGAAGGAGGCAGCTGTAGCAATCTGGCTTTTCAACATTTTCCCTTTTGCTTATGCTTCCATTTTTAATTATTTAACTTATTTAGCAGCTATGCCAAGAGAGAGGAAGGTAAAATTTCGCCCCCACCGTACAGACAGAATCATGGCAGTTACATTTCAATGAAGCTTCTGAGAAAAAAAGCAATCTTCAAAAAATGCCCAAAAGAGCAACTATTTTTATATCCATACTATTTAGCACTCATGAGTTAAGAAATTAAGTTTCACTGGGCACAGGGGCTCAGGCCTGTAATCTCAGCACTTTGGGAGGCCGAGGCGGGTGGATCACATGAGGTCAGGAGTTCAAGACCAGCCTGGCCAACATGGCGAAACCCTGTCTCTACCAGAAATACAAAAATTAGCTGGGCGTGGTGGCGCAGGCCTGTAATCCCAGCTGCTGGGGAGACTGAGGCAGAATCACTTGAACCTGGGAGGCAGAGGTTGCAGTGAGTCGAGATCATGCCATTGCACTCCAGCCTGGGTGACAAGAGCAAAATTCCATCTCAAAAAAATAAATAAATAAAAATAAATTAAGTTTCACAAAGTAGTATCATTGAGAAAGAAATGGGATTATGAAGCTGATTAAGATATATGGTAGGCATACATCACTAGGATTTCAATATTGGCATTCATCATTGAGTAGGTTAGGGTATTCCTAGATATGTGCTTACCTAAGCAAACTGGTACCATTATTCAAAAATAAAATAGTCATACAGTAAATAATATGACTACTTTCAGGAGCTCTTCTACCATCCCCTCAACATCATTCTTCCTTTAAACTGAAGATGATAGGAATCAGAAGGAATTAAGACTGAATTTTTAAGATTTGAACAAGGATAGAAATAGGGAAATTAAAGGAGCTAAAAAAAAGAAAAAGAAAAAAAAACAACACAGAATGATGTGGTACGAAGTCCCTAAGCATGAGTGGGGAGAGAAGGCATATATAATGAGTTACTTTTGGAGAAGGTAGGCAGTGTTAACCAAACAGCAGCTAGGAGTACAACATTAGTGGAGGTCTGAAGCTCTTTACACAGTCAACAGCACTGGGCATAAAACATTTCCACATTATAAAATCTCAGGCAAGTCCTACTTTGAAAGAGATAATACAAAAACTGAGACTACAGGCTAACCTTAATCCAAATAGCCCTTAAGGATCAATGTCAATTATATTGGAAACATGTACAGAAAGCTCTTATGATTCCCCAATCTAAAATGAAAAAAAAAATCCCTTGCTTACATGCTATTTTTTAAAGTCAATTCAAGAAACTCCATCTAGTAAAAAATAATTTTGTCTCTAAAGCCAAAACCCAACTTTTGTATACTTAGTAAACATTTCATAAACCTAAAACCTGACCATTTTGATTATAAGTCAGATTCTAGAATTGCAAGAAGCATTGTCCCAAAAATGTAATAAGCAAAGGAATCACAGACTTTATCCCAGGGCTATGGAACTGTAACAACTTTGTCCTGTTTCTGAAGAATCCAGTGAGGAGTGATGGCAATTCCTCTGATTATGTCTTTATCCTGTCATCTATATCTCAGAGGCACTTTTTTTTTAATTTAAAATAAACAAAAAGTTAAAGTAATCCTTAGAGGTTCTCTGCAGTCCCCAGATATTAGAACTCAGTTTCTGCTTCAATATCCCATTAACTCCAAACTAGGAAAGACAGCTTAAAGTCATTTCCAAGGGCATCAAGAGATACTGTAGGATAGGCTTTTAGAGTGAAGCTTCTAACAGCCGTCCACATCACAAAAATGACCTAACTAGAGCCCAAAACAGAAGGAAGAGCCTTTTCCTCTCCAATTTTCACAGTCATTTTGTTTCTTCCAACAGAAAAGTCATTCTAGATGCTTTCACTTGCAGCAGTTCCTCAGGTTAGTAACTAGGACCCTTCCCATGATTGACTTCTGGCAAGGAACAAATGAGCCCCAGGCAAAGCACATGGGTCAGCAAACTTTTATAACCACTGTTTCCCAGAGAACATCAGCTTGGGGAAGGCCAACCAAGGACCTCAATGTCCACATTTACAATGTCAACTCTCCCTAACTCAGTGTCCTCTTCCTTCTCTTAAAAGATGCTGGGATGGTTTGCACCTTGCTTGGTGATTCCTGTGGTCAATGGCGCTCCCTCCAGGTGGGCTGCACTAATACTATAACCACCCTCTCCCCTCTAAACCCATCATGCTTCAGCAGGTTGCTAACACTCGTCACCATTATCACATCTATTACCCTGTGCAAGGTGAGGACCATGAGAGACTGACATCCCCGCCAATCCTTGGAGGCAAGAGGATTCGCCCACTAGTCTGGGACAGCTCTGCCTCGCCTTCATGGCCTTTTTCCCCACGGTGGCAAAGTCTATTAGATTCCTTCCCCAGGACCCTGATGGCATTCCTTTCCAACTCTTTTTCCAAAGATTACACTTCAGTTCTACTATTCCAGGGAACTTCCAAGTGAGACACCTGGCTCACTAGTAAAGCTTAGTTTTAGGTGACCCTGAATAACTAATAAGAAAAAGGATAAATCTATTGCAGTCCAGGCAAAGTGAACCTTCTTCAAAGTTCTAAAAAATGACTCTGGAGCAAGTCTTTCCATAATATGTTATTATCTACTAGAACTATAAAACCTGTTTAAGAATTTGTATGCTTAGCACTTCAGAAGGTACATATTTCTTCCAAACTTGAATAGTTACAAATTACAGGGCAGCACCTGTTTACAGTTGTATGGAACAAATGGAAAAAAGTAAGAGGGAGAAAGCATAGCATCTCTTGTGGAACTTTCATTCATTAGAACTTCAAAGCACAAAATGCATAGATTTACAGATTTACTTACAACCTTGACTCTGGCAAGCAGAAGCCAGCTTAGCATAAACTAGTTGGTGTTTACATTAAAAGAAATTATTATTTATATACTAGTAATTTCACAGTAATAGCAGTAGCAAAAAATAAGTAAATAAATAAATAATTTGTTTTCTTTGACACAGATGACCTCTACTGACCAAAGGATGAATCCAAGCCAGGATTTAGCCTTATAGTTATCCAAACTTTATCTCAAAGGCTATCTAGCCTAACAGTTTCTAATCCTTCAATTGCATTTATAAAATCTCCAAATCTTACTGTGCTGCCAAGGTTAGTGCTATCCACTTTCATTCAAATGAGTATCAAAAAAGTAATTCTTTAGACATTTCTCCAAAGAAGATCTACAAATAGCCAATAAGTACATGAAAATATGCTCAACATTACTAATCATTAGGAAAATGCAAATAAAAAATACAATGAAATACTACCTCACACCCACTAAGATGTCTATTATCAAAAAAACAAAAAATAACAAGTGTTGGTGAGGATATGGAGAAAATGGAACCCCTATAAACGGTAGGAATGTAAAATGATACAGCCACTGTGGAAAACAATACGGCAATTCCTAAAAAAAAAATCAAAATATAATTACTATATGATCCAAAGATTCTACTCTGGGTGTATACTCAAAACAACTGGGTCTCAGAGAGATATCTGTATACCCATGTTCATAAGCAGCATTATACACAATAGCTAAAACATGAAAGCAACCCATGTCAATCAACAGATGAATGAATATGCAAAGTGTGGGATATACATACAATGGAATATTATTCAGCCTTTAAAAGGAAGGAAATTCTGACGTATGCTCTAATATAGATGAACCTTGAAAACATTAGGCTAAGTTAAATAAGCCAGTCACAAAAAGAGAAATACTGAATAAATCCACCTATATAAGGTACTTACACTAGTTAAAATCATAGAGACAGACAGTAGAACGGTGGTTGCCAGAGTGTGGTGGGAGAATAAAATGGAGAAGTATTGTATAATGCAGTGGTCCCCAACATTTTTGACACCAGGGACTGGTTTCATGGAAGTCAATTTTTCCACAGGTGGGCGGGAGATGGTTTTGGGATGATTCAAGTGCTTTACATTTATTGTGCACTTTATTTCTATTATTATTACATTGTAATATATAATGAAATAATTACACAACTCACCATATGTAGAAGCAGTAGGAGCCCTGAGGTTTTTTTCATACAACTAGATGGTCCCATCTGGGGGTAATGGGAGACAGTGACACATCATCAGGCATTACATTCTCATAAGGAGTGCGCAGCCTAGATCCCTTGCATGGGCAGTTCACAAAAGGGTTCACGCTCCTTTGAGAATCTAATGCCACCGCTGATCTGACAGGAGGCGGAGCTCAGGCGGTAACGTGAACGATGGGGAGTGGCTGTAAACACAGATGAAGCATCACTTGCTCGTCCACCACTCACCTCTTGCCGTGTGGCCTGGTTCCTAACAGGCCATAGATCAGCACCAGTCCATGGCCCGTGGGTTGGGGGACCTCTGATGTAATGGGTATAGAGATTCAGTTTTACAAGATGAGAAGAGTTACTGGGGACAGATAGTGATGATGGTAGTACATTATGAATGTGTGTGTGTGTATTTATTTAGAGAAAGAAACTCACTCTGTCATCCAGGCTGGGGTGCAGTGGCATGATCTCTGCTCACTGCATCCTCGACTTCCTGGACTCAAGTGATCTTCCCACCTCAGCCTCCCAAGTAGTTGGGACTACAGACATGTGCTATCACACCCAGCTAATTTTTCTATTTTTCGTAGAGACAGGGTTTTGCTACATTTCCCAGGCTGGTCTCAAACTGCTGGACTCAAGCGATCCTCCAGCCTCAGCCTCCCAAAGTGCTGGACTTACAGGCATGAACCATCATGCCTGGACATCATGAATGTATGTATGTATGTATGTATGTATGTATTTATTTTTTTGAGACAGAGTCTCGCCCTGTTGCCCAGGCTGGAGTACAGTGACACAATCTTGGCTCACTGCAACCTCCGTCTCCCGGGTTCAAGCAATTCTCCTGCCTCAGCCTTGCCTCCCGAGTAGCTGGGACTACAAGTGCTTGCCACCATGCCTGGCTAATTTTTGTACTTTTAGTAGAGATGGGGTTTCACCACGTTAGCCGGGATGGTCTCAAACTCCTGACCTTGTGATCCGCCCATCTTGGCCTCCCAAAGTGCTGGGATTACAGGCATGAGCCATCATGCCCAGCCACATGAATGTATTTAATACCACTGAACTTAAAAATGATGACACTTAAAAATGATTAGGCAGGAGAATCCCTTGAACCAGGGAGTCGGAGATTGCAGTGAGCTGAGATCGCGCCACTGCACTCCAGCCTGGCGACACTGCGAGACTCCGTCTCAAAAAAAAAAATCAAAACAAAACAAAAAAATGATTAAAATGGCAAATTTTATATGTATTTTAGTACTATAAAAAACTGAAAAGGCCGGGCACGGTGGCTCACATCTGTAATCCCAGCACTTTGGGAGGCCGAGGCAGGCAGATCACAAGGTCAGGAGATCGAGACCATCCTGGCTAACACGGTGAAACCCCGTGTCTACTAAAAATACAAAAAATTAGCCAGGCGTGGTGGCAGGTGCTTGTAGTCCCAGCTACTTGGGAGGCTGAGGCAGGAGAATGGCATGAACCTGGGAGGCAGAGCTTTCAGTGAGCTGAGATCGCACCACTGCACTCCAAGCCTGGGCAACAGAGTGAGAATCTGTCTCAAAAAAAAAAAAAAAAAAACTGAAAAAAGATAGAATTCTTAACTATGTCTGTGAGGAATCTTTAAAACTACTTATTTAAAAAGAAAAAATAAAGAAAGAAAAGATGCTAAATAGAACTTAATTCTGACAAACCAGAAAGAATAGGTTGGTGTTGTAACGATAACAAAACTCTAGGAAAAAGAAGAAGAAGCCTATATAAAATTCAAGTATTTAATCACACACAAAAAATTAACACTGGTCATATCAGGCATACATATTAAAGTTTAAGAGTTTTAAAGTTTTTAATAATAGATTACAAAAGTTCAGAGAAGAATCAGATATAAGCCAATGTCCAGAGATTGTAAATAATAATAATAATTTTAGCCCTAGAAGGCTGAAAAAATCAAAACTAAAAGAAAAGGAATAAAAGGGAGAGAACTCTAAATAAGCCAATATGGATGGTCAAGGAACTCTCTGAAGCACCCAAACTTTAAAAGATGTGTTCAAAAGATAGATGGAAAATAATCAGATGGCCAAAGCAAGACATGCAAAAGACTGGCAAATACTTTGTTTTTTTTTTTGAGACAGGGTCTCACTCTGTTGCCCAGGCTGGAGAGTGCAGTGGCACAGTCATAGCTGGAACTCCTGAGCTCAAACTATCCTCCTGCCTCAGCCTCCTGAACAGCTAGAACTACAGGTGTGCATCACCACGTCCAGCTTTACAAATACTTACAAAAGAATATCTGGAAGGTGAAGGCCCAAAATGAGCTAAGGCTCATGAAAAATATGGAGGGCAATATTAACAGCGCTTCTTAGAGGCATAGAAAGTGAGGAGAATAAGGGTGTGGTAATTGTTTAAAAAATAAAGCTAGGTAAGAGGATAGAGAGGTATATTTTATTTTTATTCTTTTGAGACAGGGTCTCGCTCTGTCACCCAGACTGGAGTGCAGTGGCATGATCTCAGCTCACTGCAACCTCCGCCTCCCAGGCTCAAGAGATTCTCCTGCCTCAACCTCCCGAGTAGCTGGGATTACAGGCGCGCGCCACTATCGTCTGGCTAATTTCTGTATTTTTAGTAGAGACAGGGTTTCACCATGTTGGCCAGGCTGGTCTTGTACTCCCGACCTCAAATGATCCACCCTCCTCGGCCTCTCAAAGTGCTGGGATTACAGGCACGAGCCAACGCGCCCAGCCCCGAGAGGTGTACTTTAGCTAGTCAGTGATAGCCTTTCTGAGAAGGTGGCATTTGAATGCAGACCTGAATTAAATGAGGGTGCAACCCATGGGAGAAAGACCCTGCAAGCTGAGGCGATAGCAAATGCAAAGGCCCTGAGTTGGCAAGATGCCTATGTGAGAAACAGCAAGAAGATTAGGGCTAGAATGGAGGGAACAAGGAAAGAGCAACAAGAAATAGGTGGAAAGATCTGACTCATACTTTGAAAGTGTTACTCTCGCTACTGTAGAAAAGAGACTATTGAGGGATAAGCATGAAAGGAGACGGACCTGCTAGGAGGCTACAAGTTCAGGACAGGAATGAACTCTCATTTCTAAAAAAGTTTGAATCCCCAAATCTATACAAACTATACCTCAGAGTACTGAAAAAATGTAAAGATGTGTGGTTCATACAACCACCCTCAATAATTTTTTACAACTTATAAAAAACAAGAGTAGTGCCAGAAGCCTGGAGTTAAATGTTTTTCTAAGTTTTCACAAATGGAGAAAAGGAAAGGCAAATTTCAGAAACTAGGAGTCAAAACAAGCCTACTATGAACAAAACAAGCCCCACTGGCTTTATTTCCTCTAAGAAAGCATCAGCTGTTTCCAATTTTTTCATATTTCCTTACAGTACCTATTCCTATGCATACCTGATTTTTCAGTTACAATTATAACATAGACATGTTTTATTGCCTAATTATTATAGATTTTACTATATTACAGACATTTCTCTGTGTTGTGACTCTGACATCAGTTTTTAAATAACTACAAATTGGGTCAGGCATGGTGGCTCACGCCTGTAATTCCAGCACTTTGGGAGGCCAAGGCAGTGGGGATCACAAGGTCAGGAGTTCAAGACCAGCCTGGCCAATGGTGAAACCCCATCTCTACTAAAAGTACAAAAATTAGCCAGGCGTGGTGGTGCACACCTGTAGTCCCAGCTACTCAGGAGGCTGAGGCAGGAGAATTGCTTGAATCCGGAAGGTAGAGGTTGCAGTGAGCCGAGATCGCACTACTGACTCCAGCCTGGGAGACAGAGTGAGACTCTGTCTCAAAAAAAAAAAAAAAAAAAACTACAAATCAAAGGCAACAAGGAGACAAGTTAGTAGACGCATAAAATTTTCAGGATATTTTTGCTTATTTCCTGAACTATATTCATAATATTATTTAAAATACAAATCTGACACCAGTTAAGTTTTGGGTCGCAGTAAGTAATGCCAGGAAAATTATTAAATAGAACATTTCCCTTTTTTTCTTTTCTTTTTTCTTGAGACAAGGTCTGGCTCTGTCACCCAGGCTGGAGTACAGTGGCGCCATCTTGGCTCACTGCAACCTTCACCTCCCAGATCTTCCCACCACCGTCTCCCGAGTAGCTGGGACTACAGAGGTGAGCCACTACACCTGCCTATTTTTTGTTTTGTTTTGTTTTGTTTGGTAGAGACGGGGTTTCACCATGTTGTCCACGGTGGTCACAAACTCCTGGGTTTAAGCAATCCACCCACCTCAGCCTCCCAAAGTGCTGAGATTACAGGCGTGAGCCACGGTGCCTGGCCTGAAATAAAACTTTTCTTATCAGGTGCAAATAATATTTTAATAAAAATGGAATGTCAGAAATCCCAGAACCCTTTCACAAAGATGGCTAGAGTTAATATTTTTATTCTATAAATTCTGGAGAAGGACTTTATTTCTCTAGGCACATAAGTCACAAACTGGCTATGATAAAATATAAAAGTAGAAAGAAAAGAGGGAGAGTAAGATTTATTTGTAGCTAGTTGATATTTTCTACTTTTGATCATATTAATTCATCATAGTCAAGGAACACAACCCTTTATTACCTTGCAGTGGTAGAAAAATGTGTTGCATCTTCCAAATGTCCTTAGGCCAATCACTTTGCATTAAAATCCTAATAAACACTGCCTTCTTTCTCCTCTTCTAGGGTAACACATGCCATTATATTTCAGTTTTGCAATGTTATGGTTGAGACAACCTTGCAATCAATAATGGTTTTACATACCAAGGAACAAAACGAAATCATTTGAAATTGAAAAACAATATAAGTAACAGATAATTCTTGTTAAAATGGCTGTGTAGGTTCATACTTTGAGGTCACACACCCCAACACATACAAACTCCTGCACCCTTCACACAACAGCGATAGATAAAAAATTAAAAAAATTCTTAAAAAAGGAAAATTATAGCTGCCATATTAGTTAGAGTTCAATTGCAGGTATAAAAAAACCTCTAATATTTTAAACAGGATCAGATTTAATATTTAGGTGCTAACACTTAGATGCTAATAAAATAAATGTAAGAGTTGGAGGAGGAGGTTATAAGCTAGACCTTAAGGAATGTAACTCAGAATCCACACAGAACTGGCCTGCCAAAGGAACTGCCACCTCTGCCACCATCGGAAAGCTTGAGGAAGCAAGGCACTCCTGTGCCAAGTGCTGGCTACAGGATCACACCTCCTTAGCCACAGTCCAGGAATTCGGTAGCCACCAGTGTGATTGCTGTCTCCAAGAACATACTGCCTTAGCTTCAGTTAGATCAATAAGCTCCCACCAGAATTGCTGGCTCTGAGGAATGCAGCCCATGGCTGCAATTTGGGGATTAGAAACACTGTAAACGCCAAACCACTGGATCTGCATCAGCAAAATGAATGCTCTGTGCCCTACCACCCTCTCCCCACTGACTCAATTCTGAATTCAAATCTCATGCAAGTAAATATGATTAATGGAATCGGAATCATATCAGGAACTCTAGAGGTAAGGAAGCCTAACTAGTACTTTTTACTTTCCAGTCACTGTAGCACAGGAAGGCATACCAGAAGGAGGTTAAAACAGATGCTAAATTAGCCCATCTATCATACATGCCATATCCATCAAAATGACAATAAATTATATGATTATATGATAGTAATTATTTAGAATAAATATTTCCAAGGACTATAAATGGAACAGAAACAGAAAGCAGTCAGTGAAGCCTAATGGGTTCCATATCTGAAAGCAAGCAAAGATGGTCAGGAGTTCAACTTCTGTAGGTCAATGAAAATTTAAGGTGTCTCACTTAAGGCAGGGGACTGAGGCCAGGCACATTGCTTAAAGCCAGGAAGTGGGCAGCACTCCAGAAATGACACTGGAAAAAGCAGTTATGTCATACTGTACAATAAAACAGGCAGGAGGCACCAAAATCTAAGCCAGCCACTTGCTAGCTCAGTGGCTAGATATGTACTATTTACCATTATCACAATGATCAGAAATCTGAGTTACCTACAGGAACCAGATGGAGGCAACCACAAAACTGATAGGCTGGGTAGGATATGATGATATTGGTTAACAACTGTCATTCGAGTTAAGCTTTCAAGCCAAAATTCCAAATACATGAAAAAAATTAACACCACGATTACCAATAAAATCAACTATTTGGTAGATGAATTCACTCAAGACAAAATGAAAATAATAAAACAATCTGAAAATGACCTTAAAATAAGTATTTAGAATTCTCAAAGGATATAAAGGAAAAATAGCCATAAAACATAGAGATTCAAAGTGCAATCTCAGTACCAATCAGGATAAACATAAATAAATCACACCTAGACATATTATAGTGAAACTGCATAACATCAAAGTGCCATAAAGAAATATCACCTACCAAAAAACAACAATTAGACTGACAGCAAACACTTCATCAGCAATAATGGATGCCTTGAAGATAGTGGAGTTATAAGTTTAAAATGTTAGGAGAAAAGAACTCTCAAGCTAGGATTCCATGCCCAGCTAAGCCATCATAAAGAATGTAGGCAAAATAAAAACATTTTAAAACCTACAATGACCATGTTACACTAACAGACTCTTAGTAAAGAACTGATATATCATAGAATATACTTCAGAAAGAAGAGCCCAAAGAAGGAAGCAAGACAGGTTGGTGGTCACAGAAACTGATAAAATTTATTATCAAATGCAACCAATTACAGATTATAAATAAATTATGATTAAAAGTGATTATGATGAAAAGAAAAGTGGCAACATGGATGAACCTTGAAAACATTATGCTAAGTGAAAGAATCCAGGAACAAAGCCACAGATTATATAATTCCATTTACATAAAATGTTCAGAATAGACAAATCTAAAGAGACAGAAAGTAGATTACTGGCTGCCTATGACTGGGGCGACAGAAAAGAGAGTGGGGAGTAGGCCAGCACTGTTGGTGAGCACAGGATTTCTTTTAAGGGGGACAAAACTAAGGGGACAAAAGTGTTGTAAAATTAGATCGTGGCAATGGTTGCACAATTCTGAATATACTAAAAAAATGACTTGTACACTTTAAATGGGTGAATCGTATAGTATGTGTATTGTATCTCAGTAAAGCCATTTTAAAAAGCGGAACTAGAAAGGAAAAGGGGATGTTCAAATACACTAAGATCCTTTTAAATTTTGATAGAAATTTTTATAATTATTTATGAATGTTAAAAACTTAGAAATAACAATTACAAGAACAGAAACACCATCTATAGCTCCCCCTCTCTCTACACACACACACACACACACACACACACACACTTTCTTTCATCTACTAAAAGACAGAGTCTATGAGACTAAGTTAAAAAAAAATCTTATTGAGAAGCCAGAATAGAAAAAGAAAAAAATCACAAAAATAATTTTTTAATCCAACTATACACTGCTTATGAGACATGTCTAAGCCAAAATGATGCAGAAAGTTTGAAAATAGACAGTGAAAAATATATCAGGAAGGTGCAAAAGAAAGCTGGTATAACAACATTAACAGACAAAATAGAACTTAAGATAAAAAACAAATTTGGAATAAAAAAAGACATTACAGGCCAGGCATGGTGGCTCATGCTGTAATTCCAGCACTTTGGGAGGCTGAGGGGGCAAGATCACTTAAGCCCAGGACTTGGAGACCAGCCTGGGCAATAAAGTGAGACCCAGTCTCTACAAAAAAAAAAAAAAAAAAAAAAAAAGACATGACATAATGATAAAAAAGAATACTCTTCAAAGAAGCTATAATGAATGAAAGTATACAATTAATAATATAAGCTCTCAAATGCATATGAAGCAATGGCAGATACAATTAATAAGGAGAGACTGACACAACTAGTCATGATGGGAGACTTTAATACTGTGTTACCAGAAACTCACAGACTAAATGGACAAAAATTCCCCAAGGATACAGCAAATCTGAACACAACAGTAAGTCTGATCTTATACATATACATATATACACATAAATATATACACATATGCAATACATGTCTGTGTCTATGTATATATCCACATACATATATGTGTGTATACATATATACACACATATAGATATAAAACTGTGCTAAACAGAAAAAGAATATACAGTGGCTTTAAGCACATAAGACATTTATAAAAATTTACTATTGTCTCAAAGATAGTATCAACTAATTTCTAAGAATAATATACTAATCACATTATGCACAATGCAAATTAGAAATCAATAATAAAAAGTAAACAGAAATAATCATATATAGAGAAAATAACGTACTAGAAAAACTCATAGGGAGGAAATCTAAATAGATATTATGAAATACTAAAACTGAACAACAATGAAATTACCATATAAAAAACTTTGTAAAAATACAACTAAACGTGTAAAGAGGGGTAGTCAAGAAGATAATAAAGATACCCGTTACCACCACTTCTAAACAACATTGTTTTGGAGGTCCCAGACAATACAATAAAGCAAGAAGAAAAATAAAAGGCACAAGAATTAAAAAAGAAATATCAAAAATGTCATTATTTGCATGCTATCATTGCTCTCATAAGAAATCCAAGAAAGGCCAGGCACAGTGACTCGTTCCTGTAATCCCAGCACTTTAGGAGGCCGAGGCAGGTGGATCACTTGAGCTCAAGAGTTGGAGACCAGTCTGGGCAACATGGCAAAACCCCAACTCTACAAAAAATACAAAAAAAATTTAGCTGGGTACAGTGGCACGTGCCTGTGGTCCCAGCTACTCAAGAGGCTGAGGTAGGAGGGTCGCTTGGGCCCAGGAGATCGAGGCTGCAATGATCCAAGATCACATCATTGCACTCTAGCCTGGGTGACAGAGTGAGACTGTCTCAAAAAAAAAAAAAAAAAAAAAAAATCCAAAAGAATTTACAATTAAAATAAAGAGGATTCAGCAGGGTTGCTGGATATAAGATCAACTTGTAAAAACTGACAGTGTTCTCTTACATACCGTAATAACCAACTTAGAAAATGTAATTTTTTAAAAAAAACCAATTACAATAGCAATAAACACTACAGGGTAACTGTGGAAAAAATCCTACAAAATTTGTAAAACTGTCAGATGAAAGTACACAATTATATTAAAAACCTCCAAAAATAACATGAATGGAGAAATATATTATGTTCACAAACATGAATACTTGATGGATAACCACATCAATTCTCTTCAAATTATGCCAAAAAAAATCAATATTCTACAAGGAAATTTTACAGAAGTTGACAAGTTCATTCTAAAGTTGACATAGAAGAATAAATAGCCAAGACAATTTGAAAGAAAAAGACAAAATAATTAAAAGAGTGTGATACTAGCCCAGGGGTAGACAAACAGATCAATGGACAGGACAGATAATTCAGAAACAGTCAAGTACATACACAGAAATTTGGTTCTAGACAATGGTGGCACTACAAATCAGGGGGAAATCAGACCACTCAATAAAAGGAGCTAGGATTAGCTATGCATAAGGCAAATTAGATCACTACCATATAACAAAATAAAATTGATGGAAGAAAAAAGAACCCTAAATGTGAAAAGCAAAACTGCAGGACATTCCACAGAAATTATAACATTGTGATTCCTTTGACTTTCTTACTTGATACAATTTCTAGGCTTTAAACTGTCCTACTTGTTCTCCTGAAGGGCACTCTGTACCCAGAACTGAATTCTCCTTGTAATTCGGAAGCTGCAGAGTTAGAGTGTGAGCATCACTTTCCAAGTGCTGTTATTAGACTTCTGGTGACACAACCTACCTCAGACCACACCAGCTTTACTTATTCACTACAAAATTGGAATGATGAACATTGCACTTGCCATCTATTTAACAGCTAAGTTAACAGCTACCTAACCTCTCACATCCTGGGCTCATTTGTATAGGGTTTTTTTGTCTTCTCCAAGTGTAAGGCCTTATTCTTACATCTACTCATTGCTGTCATTAAATTAGGCTTGTTGTCCTTGTCTGTGGCCTTTTCCATAATCTCTTTATGTCATCAGATGTATTCATTATCCCATCCTGCACTATGTCATTCACAAAATCAATAATCCTGCCTTCTATAGAAGGCTTCATCCAAATAACTGATTTAAAATGTTGATCAAGAAGGTTTACATAGAGAACCCTAGAGACATAACAGAAAATGTCCTCTTAATTAATACTGATCCACTTAATTATATTAGCAATCAGTCCATATTTTTCTATCTGGCCATCAAAACCCTTATAAGACAAGGTAAAATGTCCTGCTCAGTTTTGGTTTAGCTTTGCTTGTTGCATTTCCATGATCTGCCAATCTACAAAGCTTTTCAAAGAAGTGAGATAGAAGTGAGATAGTCTGACATCACTTGATTTTAGTGAACACATGGTAGCATCAAACAACTTGTACATCTTCTCTCAGATGCTCACAAACCACTCAAAAAATTTTAAGTAAATTCTGAAAAATTAGCACAAGTTACAGAAGAGACCAAATTATAGAGACTCCACACATTCATAACATAATTATTATAGTCTCTATGGGAAATATATAACTATTGAAAAAACATGTCCACAATATGCAGGCCAGAAAATTTCTTTAAAATCTATCATTCACAGAAAAAGAACTGGTAACGCTAAGAAATGGAGCCCCCTGGGGTGGAGAGGAATATGGGGAGAGTGATAAATGTAAAAGGATAATAGAGTTCAAAAACATTACTTTGATAGTTTAAATTAAGAGAAGGCAGACAGGTATACAACTGGGCAAATGCTGTACTTCCTCACAAAAGAAGAGTAAACGTAGGCCGGGCCGCAGTGGCTCACACCTGTAATCCCAGCACTTTGGGAGGCCAAGGTGGGTGGATCATGGGGTCAGGAGTTCAAGACCAGTCTGGCCAACATGGTGAAACCCCGTCTCTACTAAAATATACAAAAATTAGCTGGGCGTGGTGGCGCGGGCCTGCAGTCTCAGCTACTCAGGAGGCTGAGGCAGGAGAATCGCTGGAACCTGTGAGGCAGAGAGGTTGCACTGAGCTGAGACTGTGCCACTGCACTCCAGCTCGGGTGACACAGCGAGACTCCGTCTCAAAAAAAAAAAGAAAAAAGAAAGAAAGAAAAAGAATAAACGTGTTCAAAATCCAGATAAGTTATAAAACTCAGCTCCCAAGAAAACATGGGGCACCTATCCCACCTAATCACAAAGGATGTATCAGACACAGTACACCCTGAACACTGAAACTAGAGAGTAGAAAATATTCTGCTACCTTCATGTAGCCTGCTTTGAAACTGTTCCTCATTTGATCTTCCTGGTGAATTCACACATGAGCACCTAAGAGACTTACTTCTATCTGGTTCTCTCAGTGGTCCTCAGACACAAACTTTTCACTTGGGGACTAAGAAACCAGCTATCTACAAAGACATTGTATATAAGGAGATGGGCATATAGCCAAAAATTTTCACTGGCCATGAAGAACTATGATATGGAATAAATATTTTGCTACTTAAGGCATCTTTCCAAGGGTTCCATTAATAAGATATTATGAGTATTTAATTACAAAAACCCATTCTTTTACATTTCCCAACAAACTATAATAGAGGTATCAGAACGCATTACTAGATGGTAGAAAGTATTATCTTTCGGCTGGGCGCGATGGCTCACGCCTGTAATCCCAGGACTTTGGGAGGCCGAGGCAGGCTGATCACGAGGCCAGGAGATTGAGACCATCCTGGCTAACGCGGTGAAACCCCGTCTCCACTAAAAATACAAAAAATTGGCCGGGCGTGGCGGCACGCACCTGTTGTCCCAGCTACTCGGGAGGCTGAGGCAGGAAATCGCTTGAACCCAGGAGGCGGAGGTTGCAGTGAGCCAAGATCATGCCACTGCACGCCAGTCTGGGCGACAGACTGAGACTCTGTCACCAAAAAAAAAAAAAAAAAAGGAAAAGAAAAGTATTATCTTTCCCTGAAGCTCTATTTCTTGACTGTAAAAGAGAAACGTAAATATACAACACTCAAAAGCTAAAAACAATGCCAGATATTCTGTATAACTATGAAGTCCCTGAGAACTTTTCAGTGTCCAAAAAAGTGGCATTCAATAATTTTTAAATTTTATCTGCTCCATCTGCCAGTGTTCGTCATACTTCATTATAGGATTTCCTTCTCGTCTTCTTTTTTTCTAGCATAGCTTCTGCTTAAAAACAAAAGCTTTGTAAGTTGAGGATATCTATAGAGTAGGTATTATTTTTATAAATATTTCTTCATCTTTTCAGTTAAAGGCTCATCCGGAAAAGGAACTTGTAAGTAAATAAGTCCAACTCAGCCTCCAATTCTGTATCAGCTTGTGGTCTGAATGTTCCCTCTTATCTCTTATCCACTGGGTGACAGCTAGGCATGGATAGTGGGTAGAGCCAAGGACACAGTAAATCAGTGAGTAGAAAAAGGAGTGTGCTCAGGAGTTTCCATCTATTTCATTCACAGGACTCCATGTGATACAAGAGTTTAATCTATAGAGGGTCTTGGGCCCAGAGGACTTTGTGGTTCAGGGTCCCCAAAGGATCCTAGAATACACAACTTCTCTTTCCAGGGGCACCCTGAGCTAAGTGGTTTCTGTGAACTAGCTTGAAAACCTCATCACCATTTAGAATACTGTATCTATTTAAAACACATCTTCCCATAATAAACTGATGTTCAAACACTTGCATAATTCATAAATATGCCATTGTTATACTTAAGATTTTCCATTCATTTTCTCAAAAACAAAATTCTTCCAGAAGGGGGAAACTGCAACGGAGTGAGTCAAGTCCTTCCAAGCGTTTTAAAATGTGAGAAGATTGAGGAAACCTGTGCTTGTTCCCTTTCTGTAGCAGGCTGGTCCTAAGTGTAGAAAGCTGGTCCTAAGTGCAGGGTTGGTATGCAGGATAGGAGAAGAAAGGGTCCTGACTGAAACCTGGCCAGTGCCCAGTATCATAGAGTTACTAATGAATTTGTCCTGATAAAGTGTTCTGGAAGCAGAATGCTCTTATCCTTTTCAGTTTACTAAAATTTAAAATTAAAATTTTACACTGAAGTAGAATCCCAGGGGGATATATAAACTACAGCAGCCTATTTCTCTGTTTTTGCTCCTGATGCTGCTTGACAGCCCTACCTATAAAAGCCTCCTGCAAACATTTGTCCTGAGGTCCCAGTGCTCCAGGCCATCAGGGAGCTGGCAGATAGCAAAACTGCACAGAACTGAATGCACCAGCTACTCATTTCAGTCCAAAATGGGAATGGAAAATGTCTTTTATGACACCATCAACTTAGTGTGCCTGTTAACACAACCACTTAAAATCCTGCATTTCTTTAAAAACTCACTATTTCAAGTAAAGTATTACTTTTTACTATTATATTTATTTGAACAGTTGTTTCATAAATGCAGTGTTCTTGTACCAGTGAAACTGACAGGGATTAATTGCTGGTATCACTAAGAAAGTTTAGAGGAAGAGGATTTGGGGTTCTAAACTAAGGTTTGACAGGAAAAATTAAATGCAAACTTAGATTAAACATACATTTCAAAACACAAAATTTGGAAGTAAAATCCGTTTTGGTGTAAAACTCATTTTGAACAGGACTCCAACTCTAAGAAACCTAACCTTAGAAGTTGCTTTCAGAGTCTGGAATTTGCTAGCATATTACTCACAGTTACAATTCTGATTACACACTAGCAGTCCAATTTTGTTTGATAAGCAGCAGGAACACATGGCTACCAAGGATAATTCTGCCGAACTGAATGAAAGTTTAAGATTTAACACAAGTAATTTAGTGGGCATTATTCGGCCACTAATAAAATATAACTGACCCTTTGTCTTTCATTTTAATCATCCTTATTAGAAGAAAAACATATCATACTAAGGGAGCTTACCATATGGAAATGGCAACTTAAACTTGTATGCTGTATTAACATGCAGAAATTTAATACATTACATTTTTGCATACTGAGAATGGAATTGAACTTTCACTTTAAACTTTTTAGTTCCAGGATACATGTGCAGGACATGCAGGTTTGTTACATAGGTAAACATATGCCATGGTGGTTTGCTGCACCCATCAACCCATCACCTAGGTATTAAGCCCCGCGTGCATTAGCTATTTATCCTGATGCTCTCCCTTCCCTTGCCATCCCCCAACAGGCCCCAGTTTGTGTTGTTCCCCTTCCGTGTCCATGTGTTCTCATTGTTTGGCTCTCACTTGTAAGTGAGAACATGTGGTGTTTGGTTTTCTGTTCCTGTTAGTTTGCTGAGGATAATGGTTTCCCGCTCCATCCATGTCCCTGCAAAGGACATGATCTCATTCCTTTTTATGGCTACCTAGTATTCCATGATGTCTATGTACCACATTTTATCCAGTCTATCATTGATGGGCATTTGGGTTGATTCCATGTCTTCGCTATTGTGACTAGTGCTGCAGTGAACATACATGTGCATGTATCTTTATAACAGAAAGATTTATATTCATTGGGTATATACCCAGTAATGGGATTGCTGGGTCAAATGGTATTTCTGGCTCTAGGTCTTTGAGGAATTGCCACACTGTCTTCCACAATGGTTGAACTAATTTACATTCCCACCGACAGTATAAAAGCATTCCTATTTCTCCATAGCCTTGCCAGCATCTGTTGTTTCTTGACCTTTTAATAATTGCCATTCTGAATGGTGTGAGATGGTATCTCATTGTGGTTTTTATTTGCATTTCTCTAATGATCAGTGATGTTGAGCTTTTTTTCATATGTTTGTTGGGTGCATAAACGTCTTCTTTTAAGAAGTATCTGTTCATGTCCTTTGGCCACTTTTTAATGGGGTTGTTTGATTTTTCTTGTACATTTGTTTAAGTTCCTTGTAGATTCTGGATATTAGACCTTTGTCAGATTACAAAAACTTTCTCCCACTCTGTAGGTTGCCCATTCACTCTGATGGATAGTTTCTTTTGCTGTGCAGAAGCTCTTTAGTTTAATTAGATCCCATTTGTCAATTTTTGCTTTTGTTGCAATTGCTTTTGATATTTTTGTCATGAAATCTTTGCCTGAGCTTATGTCCTGAATGGTATTGCCTAGATTTTCTTCTAGGGTTTTTATAGTTTTGAGTTTTACATTTAAGTCTTTAATTCATCTTGAGTTAATTTTTGTATAAGGTGTAAGGTCAGGGTCCGGTTTCGATTTTCTGCATATGGCTAGCCAGTTTTCCCAGCACCATTTATTAAATAGGGAATCCTTTCTCTGTTGCTTGTTTTTGTCAGGCTTGTCAAAGATCAGATGGTTGTGGATGATGTGCAGTCTTATTTCTGAGATCTCTATTCTGTTCCACTGGTATACATGTCTGTTTTCATAACAGTACCATGCCTTGCAGTATAGTTTCAAGTCGGGTAGCGTGATGCCTCCAGCTTTGTTCTTTTTGCTTAGGATGTTTTTGGCTATAGGGGCTCTTTTTTGGTTTCATATGAATTTTAAAGTAGTTTTTCCTAATTCTGTGAGGAATGTCAATGGTAGTTTAATGGGAATATCATTGAGTCTGTAAATGACTGTGGGCAGTATGGCCATTAAGTTGAAAGCATTTTGTCTTTGAACATGACTTAGAAAACAGGTGTTAGACCAGTACAGGTAAGGATTTTGGTAAGATGGCAGAGTAAGAAGTACCAGGAATCTGTTGCCCCACCTAGACAACAAATCTGTCTGATGTAACTATTTTGGAACTCTGGAGTCTACTGAAGGCTTCCAACTTCCAGGGGAAGGCTTGGATGGTAAAGTGTGGTTAATTTTTATAAATTTCAGCTGTTATCACATTAGCAGCTGCCCATTCCCCACCCCCAGCCCTGTGGCAGACAGCTGTGCACCTACTCCTGGAGCTGCTTGCACATAGCTTGCAGGAGCCAGGGTGGGCAAAAAAAGACTTTGTCCTTCAAATATCAGTGATCTGTGCTTTCAGTGCTGATTGCTGCTTCTGACCACAATATCTGTTATGACATTATCAATTTAGTGTTCCCATTAACACCTAACCACTTAAAATCTAGCATTTCTTTAATCCAGCATTTCTTCACCAGCTGAAGTGACTTCCAGAGTATTTAATGGGCCCACATCCTTTTTGTTTCCCTCCCTTAATTTTTCTCTTTTTCCCCTTTTGGAAGTTGGATAATAAAGACTAAGATATTCAAAAGTAAAAATAATAAAATAAGTAAATAAATGAAGATATAGGCATACCTTGTTTTACTATGCTTTGCTTTCTTGTGCTTCACAGATATTACTTTTTTTTTTTTTGAGACGGAGTCTCGCTCTGTCCCCCAGGTTGGAGTGCAGGGGCGCAATCTAGGCTCACTGCAAGCTCTGCCTCCCGGGTTCACGCCATTCTCCTGCCTCAGCCTCCCGAGTAGCTGGGACTACAGGCGCCCGCCACAACGCCCGGCTAATTTTTTGTATTTTTAGTTGAGACGGGGTTTCACCGTGTTAGCCAGGATGGTCTCTATCTCCTGACCTCATGATCCGCCCGCCTCGGCCTCCCAAAGTGCTGGGATTACAGGCGTGAGCCACCGTGCCCAACCTACATTTTTTTTTAACAAATTGAAGGTCTGTGGCAATCCTGTGTCAAGCAAGTCTATCAGTGCCATTTTTCCAACAGCTGTACTTTGTGTCTCTGTGTAAGCATTTTTAGCAATAAAATATTTTAATTACAGTATGTACATTTTAAAAGGCATAATGCTATCGCACTTAGTAAACTATAGTATAGCATAAACATAACTCTTTTATGCACTAGGATACCAAAAAAATTGTGACTCACTTTATTCCAATATTTGCTTTATTTCAGTGGTTTAGAACCAAATCCACAATATCTCAAAGGTGTACCTGTAAATACCTGGGCAATTATAAAAGCTAGTATTATTGTAACAATGATTTGTAACTCCAGTTTTTGTTTTCTCCATGATTTGAGAGACTTATACGTTTTAAAAATTATTAGTCTAAAAACTAATATTATTATAACTTTGGTTTGTGACTCCACATTTTGTTTTCTACATAATTTAAGAGACTCATGTATTAAAAAGATTTAGTTTATGTTTTGGCACACACAATGTATAAGGATGTAATTTTGTTATATCAACAACCAGAAGGAATGGGGACAGAACTGTAAAGCATAGTTTTTATGTGATTAAAGTTGAACTTGTAAAAATTCAAATTAAAGCATTATAACCTTAGAATGTTAAATGTAATCCCTATAGTAACCACAGAGAAAATACCTGTAGAAAACACACAAAAAGAAATAAGAAAGGAATGTAAATAATTCACTACAAAAAGTCAACTAAACACAAAAGAAGATAGTAATACAGAAATGAGAGATTTTTAAAACTATAATATATATAGAAAACAAACAACAAAATGACAAAAGTGCTTCCTCATCAATAATTACTTTAAATATAAATGGGTTAAATGCTCCAATCAAAAGACAGATTAGCAGAATCAATTAAAAAACACATGATCCAACTATATGCTATCTATAGAAGACTCACTTTAGATCCAAAGACACAAGTAGGTTGAAAGCGAAAGGATGTAAAAATATATAGTCACCATAAGAGAGAAGGAGTGGCAATATTAATATCAGACTAAACAGACTTTAAATCAAAAAAGTTAACAAGAGACAAAGGACAATATATATTAAATATTCAATACAGCAAGAAGATGTAACAATTACATTTATGCACCTAATAACAGACCATCAAAATATATAAAGCAAAGACTGAAAGAAATGAAAGGAGGTAGAGACAGTTCTCATTCTCATTCTAGGAGGGCAGCACTACCCTAATAGCAAAGCAAAGACAGTATTAAAAAATTACAGAACAATACCCCATATGAACATTTTGCAATGCAAAATTGATGCAAAAATCCTCAACAAAATACTAACAAACCAAATTCAGCAGCATAGCAAAAGGATTATACAACATAACCAAGTTAGATTTTTTTCCTGCAATGTAAGGATGGTTCAACATATGAAAATCAATCAACGCAATATATCACACTAACAGAATGGAGGAAGGAAAAAAATAATCATTTCAACTGATGCATAAAACTATTTGACAAAAATCAACAGCTTTTTGTGATAAAAACATTCAACAAACTAGGAATAGAAGAAATTACCAATATAAGAAAAGTCATATATGAAAAATCCACAGCAAATATCATACTCAATAGTGAAAGACTGAAAGCTTTTCCTTTAAGATCAGGAACAAGGCAAGGATGCCTACTCTCACCACTGCTATTTAATATAGAATTGGAAGTTCTTAGCAAAGAGATTATGCAAGAATAAGAAATAAGTCATAGAAGTTAGAAAGGAAGATATAAAATTGTTTGTTTACTGACGATATATAATGTGTAGAAAAATCCCAAAGATTCCACCCCCATCAAAAAGAAAAAAAAAAAAAACCTGCTACAACTAATAAATGAATTCATCGAAGTCTCAGGATATAAAGTCAACACACAGGCTGGGTGTGATGGCTGACTCCTGTAATCTCAGTGCTTTGAGAGGCCGAAGCAGGAAGATCGTTTAAGCCCAAGAGTTTGAGACCACACTGGGCAACACAGTGAGAGACCCTGTCTCTACAAAATTCTTTTTTTTTTTTTTTTCAATTAGCCAGAAGTGGTGCTATATGCCTGTGGTCCCAGCTACTCAGGAAGATGAAGCAGGATTGTTTGAGTCCAGGAACTCAAGGCTGCAGTGAGCCATGATCACACCACTGTACTTTAGCCTGGGCAACAGAGCAGACCCTGTCTCAGAAAATAAATAAATAAAGAGGCTGGGTGCCGTGGCCCACGTCTGTAATCCCAACATTTTGGGAGGCCAAGGCAGGTGGATCAATTGAGATCAGGAGTTCGAGACCAGCCTGGCCAACATGGCAAAACCCCATCTCTACTAATAATACAAAAATTAGCCAAGCGTGGTGGTATGCACCTGTAGTCTCAGCTACTTGGGAGGCTGAGGCAGGAGAATTGCTTCAACTTGGGAAGCAGAGGCTGCAGTGAGCCGAGATGGCACCACTGTACTCTTGCCTGGGCGAAAGAGCAAGACTCTGTCTCAAAAAACAAAACAAAACAAAAAAGGACCGGGCGTGGTGGCTTATGCCTGTAATCCCAGCACTTTGGGAGGCCAAGGCGGACGGATCACGAGATCAGGAGATTGAGACCATCCTGGCTACCATGATGAAACCCCGTCTCTACTAAAAATACAAAATATTAGCCAAGCATGGTGGTGGGCGCCTGTAGTCCCAGCTACTTGGGAGGCTGAGGCAGGAGAATGGTGTGAACCCAGGAGGTGGAGCTTGCAGTGAGCCAAGATCGCGCCACTGCACTCCAGCCTAAGTGACAGAGCGAGACTCCATCTCAAAAAAAAAAAAAAAGAAAGAAAGAAAGAAAAAAGAATTAACACACAAAAATCAGTTGGGTACTATATACTAACAAATAATAATCCGAAAAGAAAAGTACAAAAACAATTCAATATATAATTGCATCAAAAAGAATAAAATACATAGGAATTAACCAAGGAGGTAAAAGATTCATTGGATGAAACTACAAAACAGTGCTAAAAGAAATTAAAGAGTAGTGCTAAAAGACCTAGATGTAAAACCTAAAACTATAAAACTCTTAGAACAAACAGAAGCTTCACAACACTGGATTTGGCAATGATTTTCTGGATATGAGAACAAAGGCACAAGCAAGGAAAGAAAAAAAAGTTTGGACTTCATGAAAATTATAAAAATTTTGTGCATCAAAATCAACAGAGTAAAAAGGCAACCCACAGAATGGGAGAAAATCTTTATAAATCACATATCTGATAAGCGATTAATGTCCGGAATATATAGTAAACTCCTAAAACAAACAAACAAAAATCACAATTAGTAAATGGGCAAAGGCCAGGCCAGGCGCGGTGGATCACAACTGTAATCTCAGCACTTTAGGAGGCCGCGGTGGGCAGGTCACTTGAGGTCAGGAGTTCGAGACCAGCCTGGCCAACATGGTAAAATCCCCTCTCTACTAAAAATACAAAAATTAGCCAGGTGTCCTGGCGCATGCCTGTAGTCCCAGCTACTCAGGAGGCTGAGGCATGAGAATTGCTTGAACCTGGGAGGCACAGGTGCAGTGAGCTGAGATTGCGCCACTGTACTCCAGCCTGGGTGATAGAGGGAGACTGTCCCAAAAAACAAAACAAAACTATATTTTCCCCTTTTCCAGTCAAAAACCTGCAGCAGTAAACACTATTGTACATCTTTTGTGTCTCCCTTCTTTTGCTCAATTTTTAAAGATAAATCTAGGTTGTTATATGTATCAATACTTAATTCTTTAACCTTATTGTGTAGTATTACTCCAATGTGCAAATACATAAATAAGCCACAATTTGTTTATTCATAATCCTACTGAACATTTGGTTTGTTCCAGTTTGGGACAATTATAAAGTTGCTACACACATTCTCATACAAGCCTTGCAGAATAAGCGTATGTTTAATTTTATTAGAAACCACCAAACAGCATTCTTGAGTTACCTCAGTAAATGGGAAAAAGCTCCACCAGATTTGATTGTGAGCTAAGTTGCTCTAATCTCTGGTAACACTTGGCCTTAATTTTTTTTTAACTTTAACCACTCTGGTGGATGTCTACTGATATTGCACATCAATTTTTACTTGCACTTCCCTGATGAACAATAATGGAACATACATTTACTGACCATCTGGAGATAGTCTTTTGTGAAGTGCTTGATGACATATTTTGTCTGTTAAAATTGGCTGTTTATCTTTTTCTTATTGCTTTGCAGGAGTTGTTTATATATTGTGGATCTGACTTCTTTATTAAACTGTACTGCAAATATTTTCTAAAAAAAAAAGTAAACGGGCAAAGATCTTGAATAGACATTTCTTCAAAGAAGATATACAAATGGCCAATAAGCACATGAAAAGATGATCAACATCACTAATCACTGAGGAAATGCAAATCAAAATTACAATGAGATACCTCCTCACATCATTAAGATGCCTATCATCAAGAAAAGAGAAGACAAATGCTGGACAGGATGTGGAGAAACTGGAACTCTTATGCACTATTGGTGGGACTATAAAATGGTACAGCCACTATAGAAAATAGTATGGCACTTCCTCAAAAAATTCAAAATATAATTACCATATGGTCCAGCAATTCTATCTCTGGGTGGGTATATACTCAAAATAACTGAACACAAGGTCTCAAAGAGATACTTGTATATCCATGTTCACAGCAGCATTATTCACAATAGCTAAAATGTAGAGGCAACCTAAAAGTCCATCAACAGATGAATGAATAAGCAAAATGTGGTATATACATATAATGAAGGATTATTCAGACTTTAAAAGGAAGGAAACTCTGACATAGGCTTTAACATAAATAAACCTTGAAAAAACTATGCTAAGTGAAATAAGCCAGTCACAAAAAGACAAATACTGTATGATTCCATTTATATGAGGTATAGACGAATACTAGAATGGTGGTTACCAGGGGTTGAGGGGATAGGGAAATGGGAAGTTATTGTTTAAAGGGTATAGAGTTTCAGTTTTACAGATGAAAAAGACTGTGGAGGTGGATGGTGGTAATGGTTGCACATTATGAATGTATTTCATCTGACTGGACTGTACATTTTAAAATGGTTAAGGCCGGGCATGGTGGCTCACGCCCATAATCCCAGCACTTTGGGAGGCCCAGGCGGGTGAATCACCTGCTGTCAGGAGTTCAAGACCAGCCTGGCCAACATGGTGAAACCCTGTCTCTACAAAAATTCAGAAATTAGCCGGGCATAATGGCAGGTGCCTGCTATCCCAGCTACTCAGGAGGCTGAGGCAGGAGAATTGCTTGAACCCAGGAGGTAGAGGTTGCAGTAAGCCAAGATGGCGCCACTGCACTCCAGCCTAGGTGACGACAGGGCAAGTCTTAAAAAAAAAATGGCTAAGATGGTAAATTTTACATTATATTAATTTTAAGTACAATTAAAACTTGGGAAAAAATGTTGACGGGTGCAATGGCTCACACCCGTAGTCCTAGCACTTTGGAAGGCCAAGGTCAACAAACTGCTTAAGCCCAGGAGTTGGAGTCCAGCCTGGGCAACATGGCAATTACCCCATCTCTATAAAAAATACAAAAATTAACTGGGTTTGGTGGTGCATGCTTTTCATCTCAGCTATTCAGGAGGCTGAGGTGGGAGGATCAATTGAGCCTGGGGAGGTTGAGGCTGCAGTGAGCCATGATTGCACTTCACTCCAGCCTCAGTGAGAGTGAGTCTCAAAATACAAAAACAAAAACAAACAAAGAAAAAAAACCTTGGGAAAAAACTTTAAAAAAAAAAGACCAATAGAGTACACAAGTTTTTAGTTTTTCCGAATCACCATGTTAACTTTCTTTATCGGCTTACATACTTGGTTATTGAGGGCACCAAAGCTTTTACTTTGGGATTAATTTGGTTTTTAATCCTATGCAACAGTATAAAATAGTTATTTATGATTTATAATCAGTGCATACTTAGAAGATGCTTAGAGTGGAAACTGCTTGGTAGATACTTTTAATCAAGCTTTAGTGAACTGTTTTCCCTGCAAAGCAGGCAACACTTTATGTGTAAAACCTTTATTGCAACTATTATATCTGCACAGTCACAAAGTACCTCATGTTGTATGATTCCATTTATATAAAATATCCAGAATAGGCAAGTCTATAGACACAAAAAGTAGATTAGTCATGCGGAAGGGCTGAAAGGGAGAGGTTACATAGTGACAGCTAAGGGGTGCAGGGTTTCATTTTGGTATAATAAAAATTCTCCAAAAATTGTGGTGATAGATGTACAACTCTGAATACCTTAAAAGCCACTTAATTGTACACTTTAAATGGGTGAATTGTAGGACATGTGAATTATGTCTCAAGAAAGTTATTTTTAAAAGAAAAAGAAAAATAGGTACTTCACTAAAAAAACTAATAAATATAAAAAGATACTCAATATCATTAGGCATCAGATTAGCACCAAAGTGAGATACCATCATACATCTATCAGCTAAAATATAAAAGATGGATAATAACATGTGTTGGTGAGGAGACAGTACAGCATACACACACTGTTGATAAAAAGAAAAGCTGGCCAGGCACGGTGGCTCACACTGTAATCCCAACACTTTGGGAGGCCAAGGCAGGCAGATCCCAAGGTCGGGAGATCAAGACCATCCTGGCCAACACGGTGAAACCCCGTCTCTACTAAAAATACAAAAATTAGCTGGGCATGGTGGCACGTGCCTGTAGTCCCAGCTACTCAGGAGGCTGAGGCACAAGAATTGCTTGAACCCAGGAGGCAGAGGTTGCAGTGGGCCGAGATCACACCACTGCATTCCAGCCTGGTGACAGAGCGAGACTCTGTCTCAAAAAAGAAAAAAAGAAGAAAAGCTGTATAGTCACTCTGGAAACTTATTTGTTATTATCTATTAAAGCTGAATATAAGCATACCATATGATGTAGAAACTCCATTCCTTTATCAAAAAAAGGGTTGAATTCTTTTATTCACTAATTTAATTCCTCCCCAAATATATATATACATTTTTTGCGAGACAAAGTCTCGCTCTGTCACCTAGGCTGGAATGCAATGGCACCATCTCGGCTCACTGCAACCTCCACCTCCCAGGTTCAAGCGATTCTCCTGCCTCAGCCTCCCGAGTAGCTGGGAATACAGGCACCCATCACCACGCCTGTCTAATTTTTGTATTTTTAATAGAGACGGGATTTCACCAACGTTGGCCAGGCTGGTCTTGAACTCCTGACCTCAAGTGATCCGCCCGCCTCAGCCTTCCAAAGTGCTGGGATTACAGGTGTGAGCCAACACGCCTGGCTCCTCCCCAAACATATTTTTTGAGTGACCACTGACTAGGTGCAATAAGGAATATAATGAAATATGCAAGAAGTTCTCCAGAGGAAAGCAGGAAAAAAAGAGCTGATAGTCATGAAAAACAGCACAGTGTCACAAAAGTTGAACCACTGAGGCAAGGTTCAAAGCCTTAAGTGTATTGAAAAAGACTAATATTTAGTCTCAGTGAACTGAGGTCAGTCAACTACTTGCCCAATAGTGAAAAATAAAAAATGACATATAATTTTTTTTTTGAGACAGAGTCTCGCTCTGTCACCCAGACAGGAGTGCAGTGGCATGATCTCGGCTCACTGCAACCTCTGCTTCCCAGGTTCAGGTGATTCTCCTGCCTCAGCCTCCCTAGTAGCTGGGACTACAAGCAGGCGCCACCACGCCCAACCAACTGTTGTATTTTTAGTAGAGACGGGGTTTCACCATATTGGCCAGGCTGGCCTCAAACTCCTGATCTCAAGTGATCCACCCACCTCAGCCTCCCAAAGTGCTGGGATTACAGGCGTGGGCCACCTTGCCCAGCCCGTATAAATAATTTTAACTATAAATAGAGGCCAAAGATTGTGCTTTAAAAAGTAAGGCAAAGTTGAGGATTTTTTAGTAGCTTTTAGTATTCTAAACATCCCTTAAAACATGTGAGTCCAATGTTTGAGGTTCACACATTTGACTTTTTTATGTGTTTCCAGGAACATATATATGATCTAAGAAAGTTGAGGAATACCTATTAGACCCAGATAGGCTTCTGTTGCTTATGAACATAAATCTCATCTCTACCCTGTCATTTGGAAGTATGAAAATAGGATTTGATATGCATCTTGACTTACACCCATTATATGTTTGGTGCTGTAATACACATCAGGAATGTATCTTTTTAATTGTCTCTTCTACTCTAGTACCAGCTACTTGGAAAACTGAGGCAGGAGGACTGCTCCAGCTCAAGAGTTCATGACCAGCCTGAGCAACATAGAGAGATTTTGTCCCAAAATATATATATATAAAAATGCAAAAATAAACTGCCCCTTCTAGATACATAAGAAACTAGTTAACAGTAGTTTTTCTGAACAGGCAAGCTGGGAATTGGAGGTCAGGGATGAGACAAAGATCAGTTTTTCATACTACATCCTTTCTCTCTGTCATTAAAAATAGGTCAACCTTCTCAAATAAAAAAGGCATTATGATTACAAGCTACATATCATATTAAATACATACAATAATTTTTACCTGTATTATTTTATGAGAGCTAAAATCCAGACACCTTCAGATATGTTTAATTCCTACTTCTCTAGAGGAAGCCTCCTTTCTTCATGAAAAGTAAAGCATACTTTATGTCAATGAACACTTATCTTCAAAAATTTTATCCAATGTCCAAATGTTCAAGAGTAATCAATCAGTATCAATGCAGGCAATATTCTATATTTGTAATCTACCTGTGAGGTCCTCTCACATTAGGAACTGGACCTTCAGACTGCTCTTTAAATAACTTTGGGTCATGTGATTATATGAAAAGCCTAATAGATGTCTAAATTATTAGTACCACTGTAGTATCCTACAGGTAGTAGTATTCACATAATACTTCATATAATTCATAATGACGACTTAAAAAGTCCTAAGCAGGTAAATCACACTATCAAGCAATTAATTGTTCAATGTGCTAAAACAGAAATTTCTAAATGTGTTGTGTGAAAAACAACTATTGCTAAGTCATTTATATCATAAACTGTAAATAAAAAATACCACTAGCTCTATGGTATGCAAATGTACAATCTGATTTCACTTTAAGTTTGTCTCACTTCCTTTCTTCACTAGACTCCAAATAAGAAAATGAAAGAGTACAATTCAGGAGATGAAAGAAAAGGAAAATCCAGGAAATTCAATCAGATCTACATGACTCATGTTGTGTCAACTGCAAATTTCTGATTTCAAACTTAAAAAAAAAGAAACTTCAAGGACCCTTCAAATTATGTTCAAGTCATATGCCTGATGAGACAATTGAATCACATTACTGGACTACATTTTTTCCCCTTGATTCAATCTCTTGCTGCCACAAATATGTTTGTTCAGTGTAAATGGAGTGATAAAGATTGACCTTTCTAGTTGAGCATCTGGCGGAACTGGATTTTAAATAGTATGCTTAGGATTTTACTTCACTTGATTTAAGGCAAAAGAAGTGACATAAAAGTCCATGGATAATAGATCCATATATCTAATTTTAATTCTAGGAATTTTAGAGCCTCTGTCTCACCCTCTTTGACAAATTCAGCATCTCACACCAGGATGAGGTATAACCACAAGAGAAACATTAAACTACTACTGTGAGAACTTAGTAGCAGTTCTACTTTTAAGAATTGTTCCCATCTATTTTCTGTTCTAAAGAAAGGAGAAAAAATAGAACAGAAGGGAGAAAAAAATTGTTGTGACCTTAAGCCCTGTCTAGTACCTTGACTCATTCCAATGTCTTTTCACTGATTTTCTATCCAATAGCACCAAAATAATAAGACTTCCAGTTCCTTCTTTCTTTTGTACCTCATAACCTGACAAATAAAACAGTCTTGGAAACTGTTCTGGATATTTAAGACCACATATATTTTCAGCTTTTTGTAAAATTTTTACTCTTCCTAATATTTGTCACCTTATCCTAATTACTGTATACTCATGACCCAACCCATTACTAAAATTATAAACATAGAAGATTATGTGCAACTGCTGAGAAATTACATACTCAAAGCAGCCCTCAAAAACAAATTTCCATGAATACCTAATGTAAAGAAGAGCCTACATTTACGAAATTTCTTTTAGACCTGCTACCTGATTTCCATTCAATGCTAGCATGTGATCAAGAGCTAATTTGCATAGCTGATAGGAAGCTGAGTCCAGTCATTTATTCACAGCAGGCATAGTGCTAGAAGCTAAGGATGCAGAGATAAAAGACTCAGTCAGACTCTTCATTCAAAGACCTCAAAGTCTAGTGGAAGAAAGAGCCACACATACCTACAATCACAATATCATGGGCAAGTATCATGGCAGGAGTATGCCCAGCATGGCATAGGAAGACAAAAAAAATGAGCACCTAACTCAAGTCTGAAAAGACTGGGAAAATCTTCTCAGACAATGTAGCACTAGAACCAAGCCTAGAGAGATCCTTAGGAGGAACAGGGATGGGAGCAGAGGAACAGGGCATTCTATTCAGAGGAAAAAGACACACATGTTCTGTTTGGGATGATGAAAACATTCTGGAAATAGAGAGTGGTGTTTGTTACACAAATCTCTATTGGTGTACCTAATGTCACTGAATTATACACTTAAAATGATAAATTTTATGTGTATTTTACCATACACACACGTTTGGGAGGGTAGAAACACCACATAAGGTATCTGTGGAGGAGACTGAGTGGCAAGAGAAAGGACTGAGATGCAACAGGGCTAGACCATAAAGGGCTTTGTATTCCATGGTAAAGGAGTACGGAGGCTAAACCAGGGTGGAAGAAAGACTGGAAGGGGCAGGAATGATTAGGAGGCTACTGATATCTCCAGATGAGAAATTAAGGTCTAAATTCTGAGAGGCAGTGAGACAAAAGGAATGAATTGACTTCCAAGACAGCAAGAAAGAAGAATGAAGGGATCTTGGAGCCTAAAGTTAAGGAACAAGAGGAGTTTAAGATGCCTCTCAGGTTTTGTGCTTGAGCAATCAAGCAGATGACACTGCCAAGTCACCTAGAGAATGAAAATAGGAGAAGCATCAGGTTGGATCAGGAAGCATTGGTAATTCTTGCTTTGATCTGCCAAGTTTGAAAGCTTGTGGACAAAGGATAAAGATTAGCAGTTAGAGGAGTTGCTTCATTTCTTAAGTGGATCTGTGGACTTTGTGCTGCTTCAAGGCCCAGGCAACAAATAGCAGCTGAGATTTAAGGAGGAAGCCATTTTTCATACCTTTAAATAGAATCCAGCACTATCACCCAGACAATCAGGGGCTATGACAGGCTCAGGGGGTAGCTTCTCTCGCAAGGTCCCGAGGTTCTCAGTAGTACCTTCAGTGAGGCTCCTCAAGTGGCAGCATCTATCATCAAGGGTGAGCCAAAGATGAATAAGTAGCATGGCTGACCCTTCACGGTAGCCACTGCTGACATTTAGTTCTCATAGAAATAACTGGGGAAGTGCCAGGCACAGTGGCTCACGCCCATAATCCCAGCACTTTGGGAGGCTGAGGTGGGCAGATCACTTGAGGTCAGGAGTTTGAGGCCAGCCTGGCCAACATGGTTAAACCCTGTCTCTACTAAAAATACAAAAATTAGCTGGGCGTGGTGCCACTTGCACCTGTAGTCCCAGCTACTCAGGAGGCTGAGGCAGGAGAATCACTTGAACCCGGGAAGCAGAGGTTGCAGTGAGCCGAGATGGCGCCACTGCACCCAGCCTGGGCAACAGAGTGAGACTCCATCTCAAAAAATAAATAAATAAATAACTGGGAAAGTTTTGCAGGATAGAACAGAACCTGAAAGGTGGGGAGGAGAGGGACGGATAAGTTGTAATCATTTTGAAATGCAAATGGAACCTCTTGTATGATTCCAGATTACTAAAGCCTACAGCTTACCAGTTTATAAACATTTTAGCAAAAGCAAAACATTGCTCATACTGTTTGTATACTGCTTTATTGTAATTAACAATATGGTGAGCATCTTCCTGTATTATAACATTCTTCTATAACTTCATGTTTAAAGCTAAATAGTATCTGATTATATATCATGATTTATTCAACCACCTATTGTTGGATGCTTAAGTTTGAAGAAAGCTTTTCAAGCTAATTTTAAAAATTAAGCCCATCATTCTAAGTAATCCTAATTCCATTTTTATGGTGACAACTAGCAATATCTTAGTATTTTATTTGATGATTCCTTGTCTATAAAATTCCCTTTAGATTTTTGTTTAAATCATTTTTAAAACCTATATAACCAGCTAAAAGAATGCATAGCAACTTACTAGCCCTTTCATAAGAAGGAAGTAAATTGCTCACTTGTTGGGGATGCATTAATTTTATCAAGCCACTAGTGTACCATATTGTACAAGAGAGGAGGCAGGTAATTCACTAAATAGCACCCTCGTGGCACAAAAGAGTAAATACATCTCCAATAAGTGAACCATGTGCTCTCTGTCAGCAGGATCAGCATATTATTTTATATCTCCTTTCCCATCCCATGGATGCTTACTGGTCCCTCCTTGAGTTAACAATAAATGTAGACAGAGATGCCTCCATCTGTGCTCATGTTGTTCCTTCCACCCATGTCCCACAGCTCCCTCAATTTCTATTCCCAACCAACTCCTACTTATTCAAAAAAGTTCAACTGCTGCTTCCTCCAGAAAGTCTTCTCTAACCATGCTCATCTTGAGTCAAGTGGTCCCAAAGTGTCCTGCCTGCACCTCTGAGTATAGAATATAGTTTACTAAAATGGTAATTTTATATTCACCCACCAAATCATAAGCCTCTTTAGGATACCTCATAGCTTCATTAAATAATTGCTGAGAAGGAATGCTGTGATTCAAAGAGTGCCACAAAGTTTTACCTGCCTTCTTCACCTGTAATATTAATATCTGCAAGCAACTGGGCAACATGCTTAACTATTAAGGTTATGTATAATTTTCCAATAAAATACAATAATTTGACACATGCTCAATGTGTAATCATTGTTGTGATGCATGGTATTTAAACATGATTTGTATAAATTACTACCATTGGTAGTTTTCAGGAATGTAGTGGGATGGCATATGGTGACCAACTTCTCCCTCTCACAGATATGCAGCTGACCTCATCTACCTCTGTTCTACATCTTTCCAAATGTTCCAAGTTCCAAAACAGCCCCTTACTATACCGTATCTTCCTCTCCTTCCACAAACTCTCCACTAAAATGACTATTTTCACAGGAAATTGAATTCAGCTGAGACTTTTATCTCTACTTTTGTACTGAACTGCCATCTTTATGAGCCTTATGTTCTGTCATCCCTTCTTGGGATTTTTAGGTAGAGGTATTTCCTTGAAAGGTTATAAGAAACTCAGACTTCCCTCTTTTCCTTGTCTTTTCCTTGTCTCTCCTAGTGCCCTAGGCTGGAGTACAATGGCACAATCTTGGCTCACTGCAACCTCCACTTCCCAGGTTCAAGCGATTCTCCTGCCTCAGCCTCCTGAGAAGCTGGGATTACAGGCGTGTGTCACCACACTCGGCTAATTTTTGTATTTTTAGTACAGATGGGGTTTTCACCATGTTGGTCAGGCTGGTCTCAAACTCCTGACCTTGTGATCCACTCGCCTCAGCCTCCCAAAGTGCTGGGATTACAGGTGTGAGCCACCGTGCCAGGCCTTTTTTTTTTTTTTTTTTAAGACAGATCAGGTCTCACTATTTTGCCCAGGCTGGTCTCAAACTCCTAAGCTCAAGCAATTCTCCCACATCGGTTTCCCCAGTGGATGGGACTACAGGTCCACGCCACCACACCTGGCTTATTTAACTCTTTGTCTTTATATTAATATTTACATTACTTTGCCTAACACTGCATTTCCTCCCTTTGCTAGCTTTCTTTCATTATAATTTGCCAATTTTGTATTTCTATTGGCTCTAAAGTCATGTTTTTTCCTGCCTCCAGGCTGAAAATTTAATGTTCTCTTTGTCTTAAAACTCCCATGTCGGCCGGGCGCGGTGACTCACGCCTGTGATCCCAGCACTTTGGGAGGCCAAGGCAGGCAGATCACCTGAGGTCAGGAGTTTGAGACCAGCCTGACCAACATGGAGAAACTCCGACTCTACTAAAAATACAAAATTAGCCAGGCGTGGTGGCGCATGCCTGTAATACCAGCTACTTGGGAAGCTGAGGCAGGAGAATTGCTTGAACCTGGGAGGCAGAGGTTGCGGTGAGCCAAGATCGGGCCACTGTACTCCAGCATGGGCAACGAGAGCGAAACTCCGTCTCAAAAAAAAAAAAAAAAAAAAAACAAGGCTGGGCGCGGTGGCTCACGCCTGTAATCCCAGCACTTTGGGAGGCCAAGACGGTCGGATCACGAGATCAGGAGATCGAGACCATCCTGGCTAACACAGTGAAACCCCGTCTCTACTAAAAATACAAAAAAATTAGCAGGCGTGGTGGCGGGCGCCTATAGTCCCAGCTACTCGGGAGGCTGAGGCAGCAGAACAGCGTGAACCCGAGAGGCGGAGCTTGCAGTGAGCCGAGATTGCGCCACTGCACTCCAGCCTGGGCGACAGAGCGAGACTCCGTCTCAAAAAAACAAAACAAAAAAACCCCTATGTCTCCCCAAATCCGCATCTTTCAGCTCTTATATTATGTTTGACTCTCTCAGGATATTAAGGAAGTGTTAAAAATCCTTGTAACACTTCTTGATTATATTCAATGTGTCTACTTCTTCAGTGGACTGTGAACTCTTCAAGGGCAGAGAATAGGTCTGTCTGCCTTCTCTGCTGTACCCCCGTGTACATAACTAGTGCCTGGAATAGAGGGGTTGGGCATTCTAATACTTTTTGAACGACTGAGTGGATAAATAATGAATGTGGTCATGGTACACTTCTTTAGCTTTAACAGATTCATTACATTGTTTTGATAACTTCATATCAAATTTTCCTACCACTTGTATCAATTTGTTAACTGCTCTGGAGTCCTATTATTCATCATCCTCATATGACTAACAAAAGCTGAGTTACTGAGAATTTGGCTTCAGTGCATACAGATATTCTACCATTTGATAATCGAGTTGCTAACTAAATCTGCATGAAACAAAACGTCCAAGTATTCATTCTTTACCAGACTTAAAAGGGAATAAAGTGAACGTCTAATGAATAACAACTTCTGCAGGGTCTCAGGAAAAGGTAAAAACTGCTATCTCCCTCTCTTCTCTCTGTTCTAAGATTTTTAATAAGGCCACTTCTCTTGCTACATGGGGAGAGTGTGCAGCTGATCAGAGGCCCTGAATGTTGCCTAGTCAAGTTCCTCCACTTCATTCTGTATAGGCCAAATTAAATGTTGACAGACATCATCATCCATCTTTTAACTTTACATTCTCTGTCTCTGCCTTGCTTCTAGCAAGGGGAAGTCTTTCAAACCTGAGATCCATTTTATGCTGCTCCTTAACCTCCGCACCAGTTCCTAAGAATGCAAACAAAATGCTTCTCTCCTTCAATCCTCATCTGTTCTTTCCTGTTTCTCACTGTCCTCCCCACCTTTCATTTCTTCAGCCCCACTCCCTTCCAGACAATGTCTATCCCCGATCATGTTTTCTTTGGTTTCCCTGAAAGCCCTTACTTACTTAATGATAGCTTAACCTGAAATTCCCCCTACTTGATCATGGTACATTCTAATAGTGTACTATTTTTGTAAGCACTTTTTTTTGCATTATAAGAAAAATATACTATTTCCAACTTTTATGGATTCACTTAACAACACTGACTACTTACCATGTTCACATATTATTGGTCATTTTTTTTTTGCAGATGCACTATTCTGCAAATTAAAATCAGCCTAAGGATCAGGGACCACATAGAAGATAGATTGTGACATACTCATAAATAGCACCATACAATAACAGAAATTAATGATGTTAGCCTATTCACTAGCAAGATAAGAGGCAACAGACAGTAAATTTTAAAACTTTGTTCATAATTTGATGAAATAACATAAATATAATGGATTTTTTCCTGCTCAACATGGGAACTACTTTCTATACAAGTCTTAATGGGAGACACTTTAGAAACTGAAAATACCAGATACCTACTTTCCCAGCCTCCCCTACAGCTAGGATAGAGTACATGACTTGGGCTTGGCTACTCAGACACTCCTACCTTGGTCTTTGACAATGAAACTGTCACAGTGAAGAAGCAGGAACCACGGAGAATACATTTTGTTGGTCAGCAGAAGCAGCTAAGACAGCTGCACCACCAGTATGAAGTGCACAGGGGCAGATGTGGTAGCACTGTGGCACCGGTGCCTAGTGTTCAGTGTCCCAGATGACAGTAGAGCAAGCTGGAGCATCCAGATACATGTTCGGAGGTGGAGGCAGCAGTGTCCTCTCAGACTGGCTCTGTAGTAGTATTCTGGGTCCTGGGTGCTCCCTAGCCTCCCTTTTTGTTGTCCACTTTCTAAGCCCATTTCTGCCTGCACCCTGCTTATAAAATTTCTGAGCTACCCAATGTCCTTGCAATAAAGTCCCCTTCTGTTAAAATCAACCAAAGTCGGCCAGGAGCGGTGGCTCACACCTGTAATTCCAGCACTTTGGGAGGCCAAGGCAGGCGGATCACCTGAGGTCAGGAGTTCGAGACCAGCCTGGCCAACATGGCGAAACCCCGTCTCTACTAAAAATACAAAAATTAGCTGGGTGTGGTGGTGGCACACGCCTGTAATCCCAGCTACTGGGGAGGCCGATGCAGGAGGATTGCTCGAAACTGGGAGGTGGAGGTTGAAGTGAGCTGAGATCATGCCACTGCACTCCAGCCTAGGCGACCGAGTGAGACTCCATCTCAATCAATCAATCAATCAATCAATAAAATCAACCCAAGTTGGGTGCTATTGCTTGCAACTAAGAACTCCAACACAATAAGACAGTAACTAGCAGGTAGCAGATATTAAATTAATCTAAATCTATCAAATTGGCAGCTGGCCATGGTAGCTCATACCTGCAGTCCCAGCACTTCGGGAGGCCAAGGTGGGTGGATCTCTTGAGCTCAGGAGTTTGAAACCAGCCTGGGCAACATGGTGAAACCCCATCTCTACAAAAAATACAAAAATTAGCCAGGTGGGTGGCATGTGCCTGTAGTCCCAGGTTCTTGGGAGGCCGAGGTGAAAGGATTGCTTGAGCTGGGGAGGCTGAGGCTGCAGTGAGCCATATGCCACTGTACTCCAGCCTGGGCGACAGAGTGAGACCCTGCCTCAAAAAAATAAAAATAAAATAAATCTATCAAATTAATATTTCCCACTCAGCCTCTGAGTATTAAAAGAGGTATAATTAACATACATGTTTCAATATGTAAAAGAATTTTTTTCACTATTATAAATAATTTTCTAATGAACATCTTGGTATAAAAATTATTTTCTTCTATTTTAAATCATTTCCTTAGGGGAGATTCCTAGGAGTTAACTTGCAAATCTTTTAATAAAGACTGTACTGACTTAAACTTGTACTCAGTATATTCTTATCATTATTTTTTAGTTCCTGCTAATTTACATAATACATTTGGAACTTATTTAACTTACAGTTTTTGCTTACTAGTGAGGTTGAAATAAACATTTTTCACATGTTTATTAGCTAATTGTAATTCCTCATTGTATTAATTGTCCACTTTGTGGCATTCTCTCCATCGAGCTAGAGTTCTTTTTAGTGTTTATATAATGGATGATGATGATGGTGGTGGTGATTATTATTAAGGATAGTAACCCTTTGGCATATTGGCTGCAAATTTTTCTCCTAAATTTTTACTCACTTTCTAGCTATTGGCTTTGATGTTTCTGACATAAAGAGATTTTTAATTTTTATGTGGTATATCTTTGGATCTTTTTCTTTTTTATTTCTCTCGTTATCTTTACACTTAGAAAATTCTCATGTACGCCAGGTGCGATGGCTCATGCCTGTAACCCTAGCAATTTGGGAGGCTGAGGATGGTGGATCACTTGAGGTCAGGAGTTCAAGAACAGCCTGGTCAATGTGGCAAACCCCATCTCTACTAAAAATACAAAAATTAGCTGGGCGTGGTGGTGAGCAGCTGTAATCCCAGCTACTCGGGAGGCTGAGGCAGGAGAATGGTTTAAACCCGGGAGGTAGAGGTTGCAGTGAGCCAAGATCACACCACTGCACTCTAGCCTGGGTGACAAAGTGAGACCCTATCTCAAAAAAAAAAAAAAAAAAAAAAAAGAAGAAAGTTCTTGTGCAAAGATTAAAAAATACTCACCTCTATTTTCTCCCAGTAACTCCGAATACTGCTTATTAAGGTCTATCCAAAGTGAGAAATCAAGTTTACTGAGTTTGTTTTTATCTAGTCAGTATGTCTGAAAGTCAGTGAATCATTGAATCATTCCAACTAAAGGAAATGAAAATAGATTTAGCATCCTTCAATTCAACTAACTCCTTAATTAGCAATTTTTTTCTGAGACTTCTATTTCTACCAATTAGACTTTTCCATATAAAAATAACACTAGATGGAAGAGCCAACAGTTTCACCTCCAAGCAACTGGTTCATATTGGCTGCCCAGAGCGCTGGATTAAGAAAAATATTCAAGCCTGGGCAATGTAGTGAGACCTCGTCTCCACAAAAAAAATTTAAAATTAGCCAAGCATGGTGGGACATCCCTGTAGTCCCAGCTACTTAGGAGGCTGAAGTGAGAGGATCATGTGAGCCTGGGAAGTGGAGGTTGCAGTGAGCCAAGATCGCATCACTGCACACCAGCCTGGGCAACAGAGTGAGACCCTGCCTGTCTCAAAAAAAAAAAGTGTTCAGCAGAGAACATTACTGATTGTGGTTCAGGAAGGAGAGTGTAGTAACAAATACTCTCTCTGCCCTAGACACCTGGATCCTGGAGGACTTTATTCTTTATCTTCTATATTTGGCCTACTACCTTTTGAGTGACCAAATGATGTCCAATCCAAGGACCTCTCTCTGAGGCATCCTAAACACTTTAGTGAGGCATTTCATTATCACAATTTTTTTTTTTTTTAAGACAGAGTCTTGCTCTGTTGCCCAGGCTGGAGTGCAATGGCACAATCTTGGCTCACTGCAACCTCCGCCTCCCAGGTTGAAGTGATTCTCCGGCCTCAGCCTCCCAAGTAGCTGGGATTACAGGCATGTGCCATGATGCCCGGCTAATTTTTGTATTTTTTAGTAGGGACGGGGTTTCGCTATGTTGGCCAGGCTGATCTCGAACTCCTGACCTTAGGTGATCCACCTGCCTCGGCCTCCCAGAGTGCTGGGATTACAGGCATGAGCCACGGGGCCCAGTCATTACAATTTAACTTCAAATTTGTGACAGAGTCACTGAGACAAAGTCCATATTCAACAAAGCAGAACATCGCTCCTATTTGTTCTGTTCTAAGATACACTGATACTAATATAAGTTAACACTACAAATGATCTTCAAATTAGGTAAAGTGAGTAGAAACTCCATTACCAATCAATCAATAAATGGATAACCAATCCTTCATTAAATGGGGGAATAATTTACTTAACTGTTAGGACAACCGTTAGAATAAATCAAATTGTTTGCATTGAAAAAACACACCTCTTATGGCAACAGAGTGAATACACCAAACAGAATGGACCACCGCATAGTTTATGTGGCTGTTTAAACACAAGTCTTGTGATCTTTGAGTGACTTCCCAAGCAAGAGGGAATAATGTTATAATGCAGTAAATACTGGCATTTTAAAAATTGCTCTTAAAGTCAGACTAGACTGTGACTAAGGGCCTTTATGAATTTAGGATCCTTTCACATATAGATCATCTATTTGATTAAGTTCTCATAAGGATTAGTGGAAGAATCATGCATATAGACTTGCTCAGTGCCAAATTTACGTGAATTTTAAGATTCCTGTCTTTAATTCTTGTGTGTCATAGCCAATTTTATTTTGGGTGGTGAACACAACTGTAACTATATTAGTAATGACAAGAACAATTACTTGATGTAAAAACTTTTCTTTAACAACTCTACTTTCTGAAAGTGAAAATAATAAACTGTATCTTTATTGTCCAATCAGAGTTCAGGAATCAACTTAAATGTATGTTAGCGTTAAAACTGTAGGTACATCTATATTTAGGGGCTAGGACAATTCAAATAATTTGCCAATATCCCCAACGTACTTCATTTTTGATTGTCCAGATTTTGTTTATTTCATTTCTACCCAATCTTTCTCTTCTGATTCTCTCCGAGGTGCTGATCTTAATGCGCTAGGATCCTCTTCTGCCAAGGTGACTAAACGCTATTTCATCCTAACACCCACCTGCTGCTACAAGCCTCCTTTACTTCAAATGTTTCTTCTCTCCCTGTTGTTCCTTGATCAATATCATTTCAAGATCGCCTAGGCTACTCCTCCCCATCGCTTATTACTTCAGGTTGCTCTATTTATTCTCTCCTGTGTTCACGTGCAATCATTGGTCACAGGCCCTGATGAACCAACTTCAATTTTATTCAGTAGAAGCTGGTAAATATAAAAATTATGCATCTAATAAAATACTTACTTTTGGCTTCTGTATTATACTCAGATTTACTCTATTCACCTCCCCAATTATTCCTGTCGCCTTTTCTTCTCACCTTGCATGTAAAGGCTTTTGTCGCCTTTTCTTCTCACCTTGCATGTAATTCTTCAGGGTATGCTATACCCTATCTTCCACAAGGAAAATGTAAAACAGTCCCCTAGATTCTCCGCCATTCCTCCAGACCTTACATGAAGGTGACCTTTAACCAAATGATTCCTTTGGAATTAGAATCCTTCCATAAAAAAAAAAATTAAGAGAAGATAGTTATTTTAAAAAAAACCTCTGAGACCTAAGATCACCAGGTGGAAAGGGAGTAGAGAGAAGTGAAGCTCCTAAGAAACCAGAGTTGAAAGGAGAGAGAACAGGCAGAAAGCTTATGAGAACAGAGTTATCCTGAAAATATTCAGGCACATCTCTCTTTCCAGGAAATGTCAGTGGATTTCCAGGAAATCCCAGAAGATGTGGGGTCAGGTTTTATATGGGTTTCCTTAACAACAGCAGATTTCTGGGGACCCTTGCTTTATCACCTCTCATCAAAATATGTGAGCTCCAATATGATACAATAACAAAACAAGGAAGTTTTTAGCCCCAAATGATAGCTATTTATATATAATTTCTGAGAATATAAAATTCAGTTAGACTACCTGAATATACTTTTTAAAAATATGGTAACTATAACTATTTCCATACTTAGGTATAATACTACTGAAACTCCTTTCCATGTGTTATAGAAAAATATATGTAATTATTACTGAAACATATTCAGAGGTGAATATAATATTCAGCCTTTCACTTATTGCCTGTGTATAGAACTACTACATACTCTTTTGTTCCTGGAGAAGAGATAGTATCAACATATAAATTGCTCCTTCTTATTTTTAAATATTATTTTTTAAAGTTTTCTTCTCAAATACAGATTTCCCAAAACCTACTTTTGCCACGTGGTTGCTTTTTTTGTTTAAGAGACAGGGTCTCACTATGTTGCCCAGGCTGGCCACAAACTCCTGAGCTGAAGTGATCCATCTCAGCTTCTCGAGTGGCTGGGACTACAGGAGAACACCATCAAGCCCAGCTGGTTGCTTATTAAATATACTTTAATTAGGCCAGACATGGTGGCTCACACCTGTAATACCAGCACTGGGAGGCCAAGACAGGCAGATCACCTGAGGTCGGCAGTTCGAGACCAGCCTGACCAATATGGTGAAACCACGTCTCTACTAAAAATACAAAAGTTAGCTGAGCGTGGTGGCATACATCTCTAATCCCAGCTACACGGGAAGCTGAGGTGAGAGAATCACTTGAACCCAGGAGGCGGAGGTTGCAGTAAGCCGAGATCACACCACTGCTCTCCAGCCTGGGCAACAGAGTGAGACTTCATATCCAAAAAAAAAAAAAACTTTAAATATGTTTTCAGATACCTTTTTGTACATGGAAAGAAATCCCCGTTTCCCCATAATTTTTCCCATTCTGTAGTTATGATCCTATAGTCACTCTCTTTTTGGCCCCAACAGTGTTCCTAGGCCCAGGGACTTTTGCAAAGAAAGCAAGCTGAGTCTCTGAACCCTGCCAGCCACTTTTGATGGAGTTTTTTCCCTTAGATAAGCCACTGGCTTTTGTCTGCTACTCCACAAGGCGTTACCTTACCCAGTTGGTTATACTACAACACCTATAACATGAAAACTCTAAATTGAGTTATATATTACTTTAATTTATACATGATTTTTCACTTAACAAAGAGACTTACTATCGATTTTTACAGTTTATTTTAAAATACTTCCATTTATAATATTTTAGAAAGCCATTCCATGACAAGATATACCTATATTGCTCTATCTCATAAAGCTTTAATTGATGTAATCTCTTCATGTTGCTATGTTTTTTAAAAACACACACATAACCATTAAAATCTAAAATATCCATAGCTTGGTGACAAGATATATGCCTATAAGCAGTCATCTTAAGAAGCCACAGAGATACCCTAAAATATTAAGTAAAAGAACCTACTTTTCTTAAAGTATGTGTTAGTGCACATTTTTTGCATAATATCTGAATACAAAATATACTAAGTTATCACAGAATAGTGACAATTTTAGAATTTCTTGATGTATATATTGCTTAAAAATATGAAAGCTAAATTATAATTGTTACCATAACTATGTCTAAGTGATATTTTAAAGCAGTCATTCTATTTCCAGCCAGTTCATTGATCAACTTGTTCAAACTGCCCAATTTGCTAGTTATGAATCTTTCTCGTCTACTGAGTATTCAACACTACAAGCTTTTGGTTATAATTTCAAGGCTGTATAAGGAATCCAGTATTTTTGTTTGGGGTTTTGTTTTTAATATACGTTGAAGTATATAATAATACACACTGAGAATGCTGCCCATGTAGTATCTTTAGAAATTATTTTTTTTTCTGGGTTAAGGTACGATTTTCCCAAAATATGAATGATTAAAGTATATGACAACCTCTGAATTTCCAATGAGGTTGGGAATTGAACTCAACTGGCATTGATACTTCACCTACCCCATTCCAGCCTCTGTCTTTCTACCCCTCCATGAATGATTGCTATGAACAAAATGACCCTAGAATGTCATTATTAGAGAAAGTATGCCTTTGGTCAGTATCTGCTGGCTTTTGAGACAGAGTCTCGCTCTGTCACTCAGGCTGGAGCACAGCGGCGTGATCTAGGCTCACTGTAACTTCTGTCTCCCGGGTTCAAATGATTCTGGTGCCTCAGCCTCATGAGTAGCTGGGCTACAGGCGTGCGCCACCATGCCCCAGCTAATTTTTAGATTTTTAGTAGAGACATGGTTTCACCATGTTGGCCAGGCTGGTCTCAAACTCCTGACCTCAAGTGATCCACCTACCTCAGCCTCCCAAAGTGCTGGGATTACAGGCATGAGCCACCATACCCAGCCTCTGCTGGCTTTTAACACAATATCACTACACTTTTTTTTTTTTTTGAGGCAGGGCCTTGCTCTGTCACCTAGACTGGAGTGCAGTGGCACAATCATGGTTCACGGCAGCCTCGACCTCCTGGGCTCAAGTGATCTTCCCACCTCAGCCTCCTGAGTAGCTGGGACCACAGGTGTGCACCACCATATTTGGCTTTCTTTTTCTCTTTTTCTTTTTTTTTTTTTTTTAATTTCTGAGGGACAGGGTCTTGCCATGTTGCCCAGGCTGGTCTCAAACTCCTGGACTCAAGCCATCCTCCTGCCTTGGCCTCCCAACCAAAGTGCTGGGGGTTCAGGTGTGAGCCACCATACCCAGCCCATTTTTATTTCAGAAAACATACATTAAGAGTGTGGTTTCTGAAATACAAAGTATAAATAACCAAGAGGTAATTCTAGGCAAATTATAAACACATCAGTCAGTATTGCTATTTCCTTTGCTTTAATTTAGAATTCAGTGACTTTTTGAAAACTAGCCTCTAGTTTCAAAAATGGGACATGCTATTATTTAAAAAATATTACTCCAAATGATGAAAGTAGATCTAGCAAGCATATGAAACTCCCAAGAATGAAACAGTACTTGATGCAGATGTGCTTGTTCTCCAGAATACCCATTCATCTCAGAACTACTTAAAATATACAATTTTATTTTTTAGTTAATTTAAATAAAAATAAGCGATTAGCTAGAAACCACTGAAAATAAAAACCTTCAGGAAAAAGTTTTCCTTCTCTTAACCAGGAAGAAAAGGAAATAACACTAAAATTGACAACCTTACCAGCTTCAGCTATCAAAAGGGAAGATACTTCCATTTCACCAACATTGTTTCCAACATTGTCTCCTGTGTCTGCAGTTACTGAGGACTGGCAAATAACTTTTAACTCCATCTAAGACAGAGGAGTCAAATCAACACATGAAATCGCTTGTCATCATTATTGGAGCAGTTGAAATACATGACCCCACCGTTCATGTCTACAAAATATATCATGATAAAGTATTGTAACTCTATTACAGACCAACAAATGGGCTTGACCAAGGTAAAGGCATATTAGGTTTCAAACACATCTAAAGGAAACAAATCCCAGAGGAAAGGCAGGCAGAAGTACAAGGAACTTAACCACAAGGAAGGGAAATTCAATGCCAAATAAGAAAACCTACATGCAGCTTATAGGTTTGATACTTTAGCCAGGGTTGTTAGGCTAAATATATGTAGAAAATAAAAACTATTTCATTTTTTCCATAGGAAAAAAGTAATACAGCTAGTTCTCCTAATAGACAAAAGTGAGAAAATGTCATCTATTTGAAAGAGGAGGAGGGGGACTAAGGACAGAGCAAAGTTTCCAAAAACTCCAAAAATGAGAGACATAGGACAGAGGCTAAAAGAATACAAGTAAATTATAGCCAAATATAAGGAAGAAAAAAATATACATATTTTTTTCTTGAGACAGAGTCCCCCTCTGTCACCCAGGCTGGAGTGCAGTGGCACAATCTCAGCTCACTGTAACCTCCAGGTTCAAGTGATTCTCCCACTTCAGCCTCCCGAGTAGCTGGGACTACATGCATGTGCCATCATGCCTGGCTAATTTTTTTTGTATCTGTAGTAGAGACAGGGTTTCACCATGTTGCCCAGGCTGGTCTCGAACTCCTGAGCTCAAGCGATCCTCCCATCTCGGCTTCCCAAAGTGCTGGGATTACAGGCATGAGCTGCCGCATATGGCTGAAAAATCATTTTTTAAAAATCCTGTGTGTTGCAAGTTCAAAGATGATTATTAGTAATAAAACTATAGCTAAATAGCACTAAAATGTATAAAGTACTTTCAGATACATTTTCTCTATTTTTTTTTTCTCATCTTCACACAACTCTTGGGAATAGGCTGATCACAGAAGTTAGGTGACTCATTCAAGGTCATATAGGTAGTATGAAGCAGAGCCAAGGTTTGACCTCAAGTTTCCTGAGTTCAAACACTATACTCCTTTCACTATACCATTATTAAATAAAATTTCTACTCAAATCCACCAAAGGCATTCTAATAAAATTCTGCTCAATGTAACCATGCATTGCTCACTCATCAGTCCCAAAGCCAATCTCAGAATTGCCAACACTGTATAGAACTGCTTTCACACTCTGGTAATTTCTAGAAAAACCTCAATAAAGAAAAGATTTCAGAACTGAATTTTTCTTATTAAAAAAAAAACTTACTCTAACCATTATGATTGCATCTAATGAATTCAATTTTACTCTTTCAACATTGATGAACCATTGTCAATGTTCATCAAAACTGATAACAAAATACAATGTCTGTTTCCCAATGGCAAATCCCTGCTTGTTCCCTCACCTATTTCTATAATGTATTGTCATTTATAACCTCTGACAGTTGTGCCACATTTCCCACATTACACAGAAACCAAGCACAGTAATTTTGGAAGGTTTTGTACTAGAAATTGGATTCCTGAAGAAAAGATAACCTCATTTTTTAGTCAGTACAGCTAACTCATGAAAAATGACTTAGTTTCCATATACTACTTTTCAATGTAAAAGAAAATTTTTAAAATATTTATGACTTCAACAAATCTTGGTCAGAAGAGTTTTTATCATAATTCTTGAGTCAACAAACAGTAGAATCTGAAAGTTATGACAAGATAGTGCACTGCAGAATAAAGAGCCCTATTGTATGAATCCATTTCAGACTACAGAATCTTGGGTAAGTCAATTTACCTCTCTGGGTCTCAGTTTTGCCCTTTAAAAAAATTCAGTTCAAATGAGAACACATGGACACAGGGAGGGAACATCACACACCGGGGCCTGTTGGGGGGTTGGGAGGAAGGAGAGGGAGAGCATTAGAACAAATAACTAATGCATGCGGGGCTTAAAACCTAGATGACAGGTTGATAGGTGCAGCAAACCACCATGGCACATGTAAACCTATGAAACAAACCTGCACATTCTGCACATGTATCCCAGAACTTAAAGTAAAATAAAATTTTTTAAAAAATTCAGTTCAGTAGCTTTCATTTTTGTTTAACAGAGGCACCTTTTTTCTAACAATTTATCACCTGGAAATTCAATATTTTTAAAACTGATAAAATGTAGAGCCCTTCTAGGCAGGTTGCTCAGATCCCACCCACTCAGCACTCAGCATGCTCCTCAGTCCCCAAATCCCCACCTCAGACACCCCATGAAATATGTCTGAGGAACAGAATATAAAAACCAGAAATGAACTCTTTCAAGTCTCTTCCAGCTCTAAAAGTCTAGGATTTCATTATTTTATACTCCATATCATTAGCCATTAGAGAAATGTAAATTAAAACCTCAATGAAATATCACTATATACCTATCAAAATAACTTTTTAAAAAAATGTTAATAACACCAAGTGCTGGTAAGGACACAAAGTATCTAGAATTCTCATATATTGCTGGTGGGAATGCAAAATGATATAGCCACTTTGGAAAACAGTTTGGCAGTTTCTTATAAAGGTAAACAGACACACATATACAACTAGTAACTCTACTTCTAGGTATATACCTAAGTAAAATGAAAACCTATATTTATATAAAAACCTGTATGTGAATGTCTTTTTGCAGCCTTATTCATAACTGCCAAAAAATGAAAACTCCAATGTCCCTCAATGGGTTAATAGATGAACAAATTGTGATACATCCATAAAATAGAATAGTACTCAGCAATGAAATGAAAAAAACTGCTAATATACACACTAACATGAATGAATCTCAAAAGCATTATGCTTACACTGAAAACCACAAAGCATTTTTTTAAAAATTAAAGATCCAAATAAATGGAAATACATCCTACATTCATGAATCAGAAGACTTAATACTGTTAAGATGGCAACACTCCCTGAATTGCTGAATTGATCAACAGATTCAATACACTTCGTATCAAAATTCCACCTGGAATTTTTACAGAAATTGACAAGCTGATTCTAAAATTCATATGGAAATGCAATAAACCAAGAATAGCCAAAATAATCTTGAAAAAGAATGAAGGTGGTGAACTCATACTTCCCAACTTCAAAACCTACTACAAAGTTATTAATCAAGATACTGTGGTAGTGGAATAAAGGTAAATAGATAGATCAATGGAATATAATTTAGAGTCCAGAAATAAACCCATATATTTATGGTCTATTCATCTTCAGCAAAAGGGCTAAGACAATTTAATGAGGAAAAGAATAGCCTTTTCAACTGATTGCGCTGGACAACTGGATATCCACATGTAATAGCAAAACTTTGGACACCTATCTCACACCATACACAAAAATTAACTCAAAGTTGATCATAGACCTAAATGTATGAGCTAACACTATACAACTCCTAGAAGAAAATACAGGTATAAACCTTCTTGACATTGGGTTAGGCAATGATTTCTTAGATATGCCACCAAAAGCACAAGCAATAAAAAATAAGATTATTAAATTGGACTCCATCAAAATTAAAATCTTTTGTGCTTCAAAAGATACCATCAAGAAAATGAAAAGACAACTCACAGACTAGGAGAAAATACTTGTAAATCATCTATCTGATAAAGGACTTGTATCCAGAATATATAATAAATTCTTATAACTCAACAAAGAGACAAATAACCCAATTTTTAAATGGCCAAAGACTTGAATAGACATTTCTCCCAAAAAGATATACAAATGGCCAGTAAACATACGAAAAGATGCTCAACATATTTAGTCATTTGGTAAATGCAAATCAAAACCACAATAAGATACTCCTTCACACCCATTAGAATGGCTGTAATAAAAAAAGGCACATGTATACATAGGTAACTAACCTGCACATTGTGCACATGTACCCTAAAACTTAAAGTATAATAATAAAAAAAAGAAAGTTCATAAAATAAAATATGTAAAAAAAAAAAAAAAAAGGCAGACAATAGTGAGGATTGGCCAGGAGAAACTGGAACCCTTGAGCCACTGTGGAAAAGGGTTTGACAGTTCCAAAGGGTTTGAGCACTGTGGAAAAGGGTTTGAAAAAGGGTTTGGCAGTTTGCTGGCTCGTGTGGTAACAAAGAATTACCACACAATCCAGCAATTCCACTCTTAGGTATCCATCCAAAAGAAATAAAAACATACTTCCACACAAAAACTTGTACAAAAATGTTCATAATGTATTCAAGAGAAAGGAAAACATGTCCACACAAAAACCTGTACATAAATGTTCATAGCATTATCCATAATAGCCAAAAAGTTGAAATGTCCATCAACTGATGAATAAACAAAATGTGGTATATCTATGACCTATACAATGGGAAATTACTTGGCAATTAAAAAAATAAAGCATTCATGTTACTACATGAATGAACCTGAAAAACATTATACTAAGTGAAAGAAGTTACAAAAGACCACGTTGTATGATACCATTAATTAATATATCTAGAATAGGCAAATCTGGAGAGATGAAAAGTAGGTGTTTGCCTAGGATAGGGAGCTATGGGAGGGGAGTCAGAATTGGGGAATAACTGCTAATGAGTACAAGGTTTATTTTGGGGTGATAAAAATGTTTTAAAATTAGATATCTTGATGGTTGCACAACTCTGAAAAGATACTAAAAACTGTTGAAATGTACACCTTAAACAGATGAACTTTATGGTATGTAAATTGTATCTCAAAAAAGCATTATGCTAAGTGAAAGAAGCCAGACTCAAAAGATTACATATTGTATGATTCCATTTATAACACTGTGGAAAAGGCAAAACTGTAAGGACAGAAATCAGGTTTGTGGCTGCCAGAAGCTGGAGAAAGAGGAGAGGACTAATCACAAAGGGGCATAAGAGAAATTTACAGGGTGCTGAAAATATTCCATACAAGGTAGTTACACAACTTGCATATATTTGTCAAAATTCATAGAACTGTACAGCTAAAAAAGTTAATTTTAATCTATGTAAATTGTACCCCAATAAATCTGACTTATAAAAGGCAAGTTTTGCTGGGCACTGTGGCTCATGCCTGTAATCCACTTTGGGAGGCTGAGGCGGGCAGATCATGAGGTCGAGAGTTCGAGACCAGCCTGGCCAACATAGTGAAACTCTATCTCTACTAAAAACACACAAAAATTTGCCAGGCATGGTGGTGGGTGCCTGTAATCCCAGCTACTTGAGAGGCTCACACAAGGAGAATCGCTTGAACCTGGGAGGTGGAAGTTGCAGCGAGCGGAGATCACACCACTGCACTCCAGCCTGGGTTACAGGGTGATACTCCATCTCAAAAATAAATAAAATAAAAAAATTAAAAGGCAAGTTTACATTTAGGAGATACAGAAAACTATATTTGGAAACTTGAGATCAAAACAATAGTGGAAACCTTTGAAATATACCAGAACTCACCCTTACTGAGTTCTATAACTAAGAGGAGCATGCCTCCTACGTATACCGTCAAGTTTATATATTGCCGATGACAGAATGACAATATAGTCGAAAACATATGGACCATGGCAGAATTCCCCTTGGAATTCGGGATCAATGTTAGAATGAGTCCTCCCTCTGAAAGGTGAACTAGTGAAAGTCAACATAAAACTAAAGTTGTCTGGCCAAGTCCTCTAACTTAGAGGGGAAATGACATTTAGATTTGAGTCTTAAGAAATACCCAAGTCTAGGCCGGGTACGGTGGCTCACACTTGTAATCCCAGCACTGGGAGGCCAAGGCGGGTGGATCACCTGAGACCAGGAGTTCGAGACCAGCCTGACCAACATGGTAAAACTCTATCTCTACTAAAAATACAAAATTAGCCAGGTGTGGTAGCACGCACCTATAGTCCCAGCTACTTGGGCGGCTGAGGGAGGAGAATCGCTTGAACCCAGAAGGCAGAGGTTGCAGTGAGCCAAGATTGCACCACTGTACTCCAGCCTGGGCAACAAGAGTGAAACTCTGTCTTGAAATAAATAAATAAATAAATAAATAAATAAATACCCAAGTCTAATCAAAGTAAACAGTATCATGTAGACTGGGATGTACCTTTAAAAAAATAAGAAAAGGAAAAATTAACCTATCTGAAAAAAAGTCATATTAGCATAGGTACAATAATCTGCATGAAGCAGGAGAAAAAGAGAAGACTACCAGCCATTAGTAACTACTACTTAAAGGAGAAAGAAAACTGATTCCAAATATAATTACTAGAACTCTACTACAGAACAGAGATCATTTATAAGACTTTGAATCTGAAAAATACCCCTCAAACCCACTTGATTCCCTTTGCCTTCCAAATAGTTTCTAATCTGGTTTTCCAAAGTCTCTGATCCTAAAAGAAGTGCCTACAATGGCAGAAACCAGTATTCACTATTCCATTATAATTGACAAACTAAGATTCTGGATTATACATAAAAAACAAAAGCTCTTACAATTTTGGTTAGCATGAATCAATTCCCGAGAACCTGAAATCAGTTGAATGAGCATATAAAGCTGTATTTTGTGTTCTGCAAACTCAAAGACCAGATCATAGATGGAAGCAGTCACCAAGCTCTTCCTTTGACATCTCTTTCTTTAAAAGGAACATCTGTATTTATAAATAATATCCTTCACAGAGGGAACACACACACATTAAACAAACAACTTATAGAGCCAAGGATAAATTTCTTGAACTACAGAACATCTGTGCTAAAAGGGGCTGGCGGGATCATCTATTTGTGCCTCCTCATTTGGCAAATAAGAGGGTTACATTGCAATTTTAGAGATTAAGTTACCTGACCAAGGTCTCAAAGATAATCAGTGCCAGGCATTTAACACAGTTCTCTCAATTCACTCCAAGTTATCATCAGAGAGAAGTAAAACAACTGTAGCTAGGCACAGTGGTGTGTGCCTATAATCCCAGCCACTTCGGAAGCTGGAGTGGGAGGATCATTTGAGGCCAGGAGTTCAAGGCTGCAGTGCACTGTGCTCCACACCTGTGAACAGACACTGCATTCCAGCCTGGACAAGATAGTGAGACTCCATCTCTTAAAAAAAAAAAAAAAAAAAAGGCAAAAAAGGCAAAAAAAGAAAACAACTCTGCAGTCACACAGATGTAAGTTCAAATCCCAGCTTCCCGACTTACTACTCCTGGGACATTAAGTTATTTCACTTGTCTAAGCCTCATTGCACTCATCTGTAATTACAGACAATATCATTTTTTATCTTATAGATAAGATTAAATGAAAGAATGCATATAAAGCACTTAGCACAGAGCCTGGAACAAAGAACTCAATAATTTTTTAATCAATTAACATATATTACAAATTAAAGATATGTAATATGGACTTTATAGCAAATAACTCTCTAAGACACAAAAATGGCACCGTGTCATAATATTCATAACTTATCAGTACCTTCATTTTAATTGTAATTATGTCAGAAATATTATTTTTAAAGGAACAAAGAATTACAGAGAAAGGATGTAAAAAAAGAATACTGGCCAGGCGCGGCAGCTCACACCTGTATTCCCAGCACTTTGGGAGGCCAACATGGGCGGATCACTTGAGGTCAGGAGTTCGAGACCAACCTGGCCAACATGGTGAAACCCTGTCTCCACTAAAAATACAAAAATTAGCCAGGCGTGGTGGTGGGCACCTTTAATCCCAGCTACTCAGGAGGCTGAGGCAGGAGAATCGCTTGAACCTGGGAGGCAGAAGTTGCAGTGAGCTGAGATCCTGCTACTGCACTCCAGCCTGGATGACAGAGTGAGACTCCATCTCAAAAAAAGAAAAATACTGCCAAGATACCATTTCTAAATCCTTAACTTTTATCTTTTTATTAGATTATAATTGATAATTATATAGGATTATTTATAAGTAGATAGGTTTTGACATATGATACTTGAGAATAAAATATTGACATAAAATTTTAAAAAGTAACTGGATCTCTAATCAAGTGAGAAAACATTCTATAGCAATTCTAAACCATAAACCCAAACTTAATCATAAACACATTTGGTTAGAAAAACTAATTTAATCACTTTTTTTATTTTTAAGACCAGATCTTGGTCTGTTGCCCAGGCTAGAGTACAGTGGTCTGATGACAACTCACTGCAGCCTCCAACTCTGGGGCTCGAGCAATTATTCCACCTTAGCCTCCCAAGTAGCTGGAACTACAGCAGCATGCCACCACACCTAATTTTTTTTTTTATTATTTTTGGTAGAGACAGCGGTCTCACTATGTTGCCCAGGCTGGTCTCAAACTCCTGGACTCAAGCAATCTTCCCGCCTCAGCCTCCCAAAGTGTTGGAGGCATGAGCTACTGTGCCCATCCTAACCTTTTTACATTTTTTTATTATGCAATAGTTATAGATACACAAAATTGCAAAAAATAGTAAGGAGATGTCCCATGTGCCCTTCACCCACCTTCCCCCAGTGGTAAAATCTTACATAACTATAGTATGTTATCAAAACCAGGAAATTTACATTAGCACTGAAATTTAATTCACATACCATAAAATTCACCATTTTATAGTATACAATTAAATGGTTTTTAGTATGTTCCCAGAGTTGTGCAACCCTCACCACTAACTAACCACCTTTTAAAGTCATCATAAGCTGGGCACGGTGGCTCACACTTATAATCCCAGCACTTTGGGATGTTGACGTGGGAGGATTACTTGAGTCCAGGAGTTTGAAACCAGCCTGGTCAACATAGCAGGACTCTGTCTCTACAAAAGAAAATTTTAAAAATTAGCTGGGCTTGGTGGCATGCACCTGTAGTCCCAGATACTGGGGAGGCTGAGACAGGACTGCTTGAGCCCAGGAGTTCGAGGGTAAAGTGGGCCAAGATCATGCCACTGCACTCCAGCCTCAGCAACAGGGCAAGACCGTGTCTCAAAACAAAACAAAACAAATAATATCACCATATCATAACTCTCAAAAATAGAAAACATGATGGGTTCATTTTTTCACCTATTTTGCTCAAGCTATAGGTAACTTTACATTTGCTTTTTTTTTTTTTTGAAACGGAGTCTCACTCTGTCGCCCAGGCTGAAGTCTAGTGGTGCGATCTCGGCTCACTGCAACCTCCATCTCCCAGGTTCAAGCAATTTTCCTGCCTCAGCCTCCCGAGTAGCTGGGATTACAGGTGTGCGCCACCATGCCTGGCTAAGTTTTATATTTTTAGTAAAGACAGGGTTTCATCTTGTTGGCCAGGCTGGTCTTGAATGCCTGACCTCATGTGATCTGCCCACCTTGGCCTCCCAAAGTCCTGGGATTACAGGCGTGAGCCACCACACCTGGCCCTACATTGCTTTTCTTTTTTTTTTTTTTTTTTTTTCTGAGACGGAGTCTCGCTCTGTCACCCAGGCTGGAGTGCAGTGGTGCGGTCTCGGCTCACTGCAACCCCCACCTCACAGGTTCAAGCAAATCTCCTGCCTCAGCCTCCCAAGTAGGTGGGACTACAGGCACATGCCACCATGCTTGGCTAATTTTTTGTATTTTTAGTAGAGACGAGGTTTCATCATGTTAGCCAGGATGGTCTCGATCTGACCTCGTGATCCACCCACCTTGGCCTCCCAAAGTGCTGGGATTACAGGTGTAAGCCACCGCATCAGGCCCATTTGCATTATTTAATAATCATTTTTTCAGAGCTAATACTTTTATTCATACACATCTACAATCAACATATATTAAGCCCCTTGGTGACACCTTAGTTACTAGCTGTACAAAGATATCTCTGCTCTTCAAACAGTTCACAGTACACTGAGAGACAGACATGTGAGAAAATATTCACATTTCATTTTTTGAGACGGAGTCTCGCTCTGTCGCCCAGGCTAGAGTGCAGTGGCATGATCTCGGCTCACTGCAAGTTCCGCCTCCCGGGTTCACATCATTCTCCTGCCTCAGCTTCCCCAGTAGCTGGGACTACAGGCGCCTGCCACCACGCCAGGCTAAATTTTTTTTTTTTTTTTAGTAGAGACGGGATTTCACCATGTTAGCCAGGATGGTCTCGATCTCCTGACCTCGTGATCCGCCCACCTTGGCCTCCCAAAGTGCTAGGATTACAGGCGTTAGCCACTGTTCTGGCAAAAATACTCACATTTCAATATGGTAAGTGCTATAAGTCCCCCAAGGCACTGCCCAGCAACAATGGGGAGGGAGTCTACCCTGGAACAAGAAGGCTGGTGATCCATGCAGTGAGAAAAGGTGCATACAGAAGATGAGACAAGACAATGCTGGAAAGGGGGGTAGCAGAGAGATTATGGAGGGCCTTCTGTGCCATGCTAAAACGCTCCTGTTATCCTGTAGGCAATGGGAAAACCATGTAGGATTTTTAAAAGATAAAATATTAGAGGTGCACTTGGGAAACATGTGAAAGATGTGAATGGGCCCACCACTCCACAGGAAGGTAAAACCTACACAAGTTGGTCCCCACATCTGGCAAGGGCAAATGGGAAGCCAGAGAATAGAATGTGGTCAGCACTAAATAGTTAGTGGCCCGTCCAGCAGAGGGTTCTATACCCAGCACCAGTGCACTGTGGCAGAGTATTGTGCAGTGAGGTGTTCACTATGACTCATTGATTGTTGAATATTTTAAATGTCACCCCCACATGGAGGCCAGGCCCAGAGGGCTCCTTTAAACCATTAAGCCTCTACCATCACACACAGCTACAACAACAAAAAATAGATCTCAGCCGGCGCGGTGGCTCAGGCCTGTAATCCCAGTACTTTGGGAAGCTGAGGCAGGTGGATCACCTTAGGTCAGGAGTTCGAGATCAGCCTGGTCAACATGGCGAAACCCTGTCTCTATTAAAAATACAGAAATTAGCCAGGTGTGGTGACTTGAGCCTACAGTCCGAGCTACTGGGGAGGCTGAGGCAGGAGAATCACTTGAACCCAGGATGCGGAGGTTGCAGTGAGTCAAGATTGCGCCACTGCAGCCTGGGCGACAGAGCAAGTCTCCGTCTCAAAAAAAAAAAAAAAGATCTCCAATGTTCTTTCATTATCCTCAACCTGCTTCTCCAGATTCTCCCTCCAGATTCGTCCAGGTATTTCTGCTTAAGGCTCTCACTCCAACCCCTCTGTTTCTCTGTTTTGATCTTTTGTTTCTCCATTTAGTCAATCATTTTAATTCTCCCTCCACTCTAACTTCGGCTGTCTAAAGTAAGGCTTTACTGGCCATGGAAAGTCCACCTCCTGCCATCATGTCTACCCATTCCTGAAGCACCAGACCTGAAGACATAGTAGACACAGAGTCACATTGGGTCTATTAATCCATTAAGAAATTATTACCAAAAAAAGTTAATAGAAAACTCTTAACATATAATACCAATCCAGCTAAAGCCCAAGGTTTTCAGGAATCTTTAGGTTGGAGTTTCAAGATGTCATTTTATACAATACAGATTTCCATTTGTTTGTACTGCCTCAATTAACTAAATATACAACACTCTTAAGTTTAAAAATGAACTTAAAGTACACATATCACATTATGCCTTAGTGTACATTTACATACACTATGAATGCACCTATTTAATACCTCTCACTACCAAGAGAAGGTGTGACCATCACACAAAGAATCTTACCAGCAAAGGTATAACTAAGCAGTGATGGCAATTAGAAATGGTGATAAAAGACTCTATTAAATGAGAGGCTAATAGTATAAATTAGCATAAAGCAAAGGAGATAATAAGAGATGAACAGAAGGGCTATCTTGTTCAGGAAAGATGGCAAGAAATAAAATTGTGGAATTCAGAAAGTGAAAAAAAAGTAAAATTCTTCCACTTCTTTTGTCATTGTCTTTCAGCCAGAAAGTAGCTTATGTGAGATAAATCATTAGTAAAAATAGTCCATAATATTTTATAATGACACACTGAAAGATCTCATTTGCAGCAAGATAGTATATCATTATATCTGTCTCTTTAAAAATAATCAGACTGACCAGTATACCCAATATTACAAATTAGAATATGGGTAATATCTCCTTACCATAAAATTAGAAAACAGTTTATAGATGTACAGTCTGTAATGTGGCTATTCATTTAAACAAACTTTTTAAAATTATTTAAGATAAATTTAAAAGTAAGCAAAGAAAGTATTAAGTTTTCAGATTAGCTGTGCTGCTTAGTTGGTTCAGTGTTTTATGTTCTGTAGCTACACCAAGCAAACTCCTCTCCTGGTTTTTTTAAAACCTATTTCACATGTACTAGAATCTGAAGCTGGGCATAGTTTGAAGAAGTTGCATTCCAGTACTGGGACTTCCTTATGTTTTTATCAGAGTTTCACTGCTCAACAGCCAAATTTCTTTTGATAGTATAACTTCCAAATGGCCTCCCGAAGAGCTGAGGGGCTATTCTGTTAGACAGATAAGTGTATACTGAGAAATTGCAGGCTTAATATGCCTTATAACATTCCAGGCATCATTGCCAATCCATGGAGTCCTTCTGACCTACAAACCTCCAATTCCATAATAACTTTGGGGCCTTTAGAGTCTTCTAGAGGCAAGGCCAGGCATGGTGGCTCACACTTGTAATCCTAGCACTTTGGGAGGCTGAGGCGGGTGGATTGCTTAAGGTCAGGAGTTTAGAAACCAGCCTAGCCAACATGGTGAAACCCCTTCTGTACTAAAAATACAAAAATTAGCTGAGCGTGGTGGTGCATGCCTGTAATCCCAGCTACTCAGGAGGCTGAGACGCAAGAATTGCTTGAACCCAGGAGGCAGAGGTTGCAATGAGCCGACATCATACCACTGAACTCCAGCTTGGGCGACAGAGTGAGACTCTTATCTTAAAAAAAAAAAAATGCTCTAGAGGCAAAAAATCTAAAAGAGGGCAGGCTAGATGCTTTCTCCATCTTAAATTACCTCTGGAAGTACATGAGATCCTTATGTGAATTCACTAATTCTGCTTTCTTGTGTTTTTTGTCTGTTTGTTTGTTTTGAGACAGAGTTTCTCTCTTGTTGCCCAGGCTGGAGTGCAATGGCGTGATTTCGGCTCACCCACAACCTTCGCCTCCCCAGTTCAAACGATTCTCCTGCCTCAGCCTCCAGAGTAGCTGGGATTACAGGCATGCGTCACCACACCCAGCTAATTTTTTATTTTTAGTAGAGACAGGGTTTCTCCACGTTGGTCAGGCTGGTCTCAAACTCCAGACCTCAGGGGATCCACCCACCTCGGCCTCCCAAAGTGCTGGGATTACAGGCGTGAGCCACCGCACCCGGCCTTTCTTGTGTTATGATCAATGTTCTTACCTGCTTGGTTCAAGTCTAACAAAACAAGAATCTTAGTGGCACCTCCTGCCTAGAGTATTTGGAATCCTTTGGAAATCCTGAAGCCAACTTTTCCACTCAGTATCCTCAAAATTAGACTGAGGCCCAGACTACAGGCCCTTGGGTTAAGTCAGGGTGTAGAGAAAAAAGGCTCTGCACCTGTCTGGAGGTGAAGGATAATTTGCCTGACTAAGGAGTGCCTGGATGGAGTACCAGACTATGAGGGTTCCTAATGATTTGGCTTTTTCCTGCTACAAGTTCACTGAAAGTGGCCAGACATTTGAGTGTGCCCTAGGGCATGCGGGTTTGATGTACCACTATTTATTTCAGGTCTTGGGCCTGTGGGCCTTTGCTAATTTTTCTGGCTCCCACAATACCACTTCACAGCAAGCCCCCTTAATCTCTCCAATAAAGTGGAGTGTCCGTATTGTCAGTCATCCCCTATTCATCAGTCTTTAGACTATCCCTTCTTTTTCTCCTTTTCCAGAGCAAAATAACCTATTAGCATTGGCATTCTGCCGAACACTGATTGCCCAAATGCCGAACAGTGCTTTCTTGGAGGTTCCCATCCCCAAAGCTCTAGCCTGGCATTGTGTTGAGTGCTAAAAGTACACCCTGTATAAGGCTGGGAACTTCGAAGCTGTCAGGGGTTCACTGGGGAATTCAGAGACGCAATCCTCGGTCCTCAAGAGAAGCTATTTTTGGTGGCCACTTAGGTTTGGGAACAGAGATGCTGAAATGTGCCTTTTAGGACTCCATGGGTCACATTTCTTAACTGTTAATGCACAATTGGGGCTGCACTGTATTCATCAAAGGATTTTCAAACATCGGCTAAATGTTACAATTTGATACCCTCTTTTTTGTCAGATGATTAAACTGATCCTGAAGAGAAGAGTCCTCTTGGAAATAAAATTCATATGTAGTTACTGCAGCCACAGAATGAAGATTGAAATCTGAATCCACCTTTTCTTGACATAATGCCATTGCTTTGTGAAGAATCTTAATTTGTGTTATACAATTTTAGAATTAGATTTAATTCAACACTAGCTTTATGCATTATTAGTTTAGATTGATTCCTCTCTGCATGTCAAGTATGATTGAAATTTACTGACAGGAATTTTCCCCAAGCAGATTTCTGTTGTTTGACTCAACTATACCAGAGTAAGTCAGATAAACATACTAAAGAAAAAAACTAAAGACTTTACATTTTTAACTTTTCCACTTAGAAGTAGTCTGCTGTTAACTCAGCCTCTAATGCTCTTTACGCATCCCCATGCCATTTTTGCTTTTGGCAATTTTTTTTTTTTTTTTAGGAGACAGCGTTTCCATCTGTAGCCCAGGCTGGAGTACAATGGCACAATCATAGCTCATTGTAACCTCAAACTCCTGGGCTTACAAAATCCTCCCACCTCAGCCCCCTCATGTAGCTAGGACTACAGGTATACACCAACATGCCAGCCTAAATTTTAAATTTTTTGTAGAGACAAGGTCTTGCTATGTTGCCCAGGATAGACTCAAACTCCTGGCCTCGAGGGATCCTCCTGCCTTGGTCCCCCAAAGCACTGAGATTATAGGCATAAACCACAGTGCCTGGCCCTGCTTTTGGCAATTTTTCATAACCTGGTTCAAATTTCATCTCCTTTGAAAAACAATTATTAATTTTGGAATCCCTCCCCATTTCCCAAACTCCAACCCAAATCTGCATTGCCACAACATATCCCCTTGTCTTAGCTCCAAATTCCATGATGCTTTATAGTTTGTTATTTACGTGTTTGCAATCCCTAAGTTGTAAGCCCTTCGACAACAGGGGCCTTGACTTTTCCTTTCCCCTAGTGCGTCAAGTTGTGAACAAAATTTATTTTTAAAAAATATACAAATATACAATAATCTACTGTTTTTAGGTCAGGAGAGACAAAAAATACTAACCAATAAATACAACAGCATCAAACTGGTATAATGACGCACTGCAGAATCTTTAGACTCCTACCCACTTGAAAATAGGTATGCATATCTGTAGACAACCTAGCATTTACCTTGCAAGGGAAGAGAATCTATTAAGACAATTCAGGAATAAATCAAAAGTTAGAAATGTGAGATTCCTTCTTCACCTCTCCCTCTCCCTCACATTTTACATCCAGTCAATCAACACTTGTCCATTTTACCTACTAAATATCTCTGTAACCCAGTAGTAGTGATTCTCAAACCTCAGCAAGCCTAAGAATCACCTGGAAGACTTGTTAAACAGACTGCTGAACTCCATCCCCGGAGTTTTTGATTCACTAGGTCTGGGATGGGGTCAAGAATTTGCATTTCTAACAAGTACCCAGGTGATATGGATAATGCCTATCTAGGGGCCATACTTTGAGAACCACTGCTTTATCCAATCCCTTATTTCATTTTCCATGCTTTGAGAGGCCTCACAATTTCTACTGAAGGAAAAGGGCCCCTGAATTGTGACATAGTAAAATGACTCAAATGAGGCATAAGAATAGCTAGATTTGGTCCTGATTTTGAATGGTTTTTCTTGGTGGGCAGTGGTTGTCTGAGGCTTTGAACTGATCTTTAACACACAGGAATGAGTTCTAGGCACTTCTGGAGTGGTCCAGAGCACCTCTAAATACGAAGCAGCAGATGAGGTCATGGTAATTCGGGGAGTCAGAAGTGGAAGGGTGGGGGGTTGAAAGCTATAATCACTGTCAAAGGGGTGTTTTCTGTAGACAAGTGAATGGAGCTATTGTACACAAACTCAGTGGTTGCCAAGCATGTGGCCCAATTATTTTGCCTTCATGAGCATGGCACGGAAGGATCTCTTTAGAGAACTTGATTCACACAAGTTTGTGTTTAGTCTAACGGTAGCAGGCAAAAGCCTGGGGAATTTGAACCTAAGAGTCTTTACAAGTTCCTGCCTCCCAAATCTAGGATATGATACTAGAAAGTTGGTAAGACCACAAAAGTAAAACACAATCTTTAGAAATAATACAACAATTACAACTGTTGAAAGACCAATATAGGGGCCTATCTTGGTCAAAATGTTGACAACAATAATGAAGATCACATGTTGACCTTGGGAGGCAAAAGGTCCATAATTTAAATTTCTCTGAGACAGTTTTAGCCTGATGGAGAAACTGGAGGTTGGGAGTATGTGAACTTAGACCCTCTGTTCCCCCTGGTTTATCTTTGGCTCTACCTGTATTTACAGTGCTTGTAAAAGTCAAGACTTTTTTTTTTTTTTTTGGGACAGAGTCTTGCTCTGCCACCCAGGCTGGAGTGCAATGGTGCTATCTCGGCTCACTGCAAGCTCCACCTCCCGGGTTCAAGCAATTCTCCTGCCTCAGCCTCCCGAGCAGCTGGGATTACAGGCATGTAACAGCACACACCTGGCTAATTTTTGTATTTTTAGTAGAGACGGGGGTTTTACCATGTTGACCAGGCTGGTCTCAAACTCCTGATCTCAAGTGATCCTCCCACCTCAGCCTACCAAATTGCCAGGATTACAGGCATGAGCCACCATGTCTAGCCAAAAGTCCAAAGAGTTTTATTGGTCACCAGGGTCTAGGGTCTTAAAAAGGAATGGAAGACCTGCTTCATTTGCTAGGATAGACATATGAATTGGCGATTTGCTGTCTTAGGGGAAACACCATTCTCCCTGCAACATGGGAATGGAGATGCTTTAGTACCCTTCAAATTTCCCAGCTGCATAAGAAAACCACTGAGGTGGTTGGCCTAAGCCCCAAAAAGTCAAGACCAGAAAACAGGGGCAACAACCATCACCTGGCCTCCAGGAAAGCAGCACTGTCCTTCCTGGGCACTACAGAAGTGAGAAACAGAAGCTATAAGGTTGCTGCCAATCCTCCATGATATTCACTTCTTTAGTACAAGCCTTAACTAGACACATTTGAGAGACGAGCAACTCGCAGAGTCAGACAGGATGTTATAGATGAGGCTATCAAAGGTGAATTCAACTTAAAATAGATATAACTAGAAACAGGATGGGAAGCATGGTCCACTTCCTCTTGGAGCAAGAGGTGAGAAAATGAGGCTGTGAGGAGGTCTGTCTCCTCTTTTATGGGGTACTAAGGGGAAAAGTGTGAAGGAAACTTCTGTAGCTATGGTGATCCCTACATCCAAAATCCTAATTCTGGCAGAACTCTAACACTCCATGAAGTACTGCATCACACAGTATTCATTTGATCTAAGCCCTCTAAACTTGCAGAGATGGAGGCAGGGGGACCTGAAAGTTTTGAAATCCTAAGAGACAAACCAAAAAGTCATAGGAGCTATACCAACTGGCACTCCACTAATTCAACAAAGGATAATTGCAGAAATTGACTTCATAAATACCTCAAAGACCTCATAAATACCACACTAACATACTGTACTTCTCACCCGGGAGAGGGGTCACACAGCAAAACGGTTTGTAATGGAATGGATTAAAACTATAAAGAGTTATACAGGTGTTAGAACTGTTTATTGTTTTCAGGAATAAGAAAATTTGAAGTGAAGTTAACATAGCAATCATGTAGCACAAACAAATTAGAACAAATATTTATTGAATTAAAACTATGTAAGGCATCGAACTAGATGTGATAATTCTTAGGGTTTATGATTTATAGCTTTCTCTTAATCTATTATAAACTCTAGAGTGCCTGGCAAGCACAGGGCTCAATACATTTGTTCTCTCCCTCCCTCTCTCACCCTAGCTACCACAGCTACTAAGTGGTTGAGCCACAATCAAATCCAAATATTGGTTATACTATGGAAATGCCCCTGCACACACATTCTATTTATGGTAGTATCTTATTTAACTGCACAATTTAACCTGGCTGCTTAATCCATTATTTTAATATGTCTCTCAGTAAAATCAAATTCATTTCTAGAGTAGCTCACCTTTCAGTAATCACAAAAAACTGATTAACATTTCTGACTTGAAAATAGGTATTTTTTCAACACATATTTCTATTAGAAATGTTGCAATATATATTCTCATAATTTATAAACTATTATAAGCTGAAAGATAGTTCAAAATCTATTCCTGGCCGGGTGCAGTGGCTCATGCCTGTAATCCCAGCACTTTGGGAGGCGAGGCGGGTGGATCACGAGGTCAAGAGATAGAGACCATCCTGGCCAACATGGTGAAACCTCGTCTCTACTAAAAATACAAAAATTGGCCAGGCATGGTGGTGGGTGCCTGTAATACCAGCTACTCGGGAGGTTGAGGCAGGAGAATCGCTTGAACCCAGGAGGCAGAGGTTGCAGTGAGCTTAGATTGCGCCATTGCACTTCAGCCTGGGCAACAGAGCGAGACTCCACCTCAAAAATAATAATAATAATAATAAAATAATCTATTCCTTATAAGCAGGGCATGGTGGTGCACTTCTGTAGTCCCAACTACTTGGGAGGCTGAGGCGAGAGAATCACTTCAGCCCAGGAATTCAAGTCCAGCCTAGGCAACATAGCAAGATCCCGTTTCTTAAAAACATAAAAATTCCTTAGGATATTACATGCCTAAGCACGTAAATGACTCCTTCAGTATACTGAGTTCAAAGATATTAGTTATCTTTTCATTTTTTAATTTTCCCTATTTTCTCCAAATAACAAAGTAAGCTGATAAATGTGGTAAATATATATATATATATATATATATATATATTATATATATATATATATATGTATCTCCATAAATGAAACAGATGAATGAAAAACAGATGAGTAGACCAGATCTGCATTTACGAGGAAATGACCTTCAAAACTGGCAGGGAGCTGTTAACAATGTTCTTCACAGGGGAGCAATTATACTACAACCCTCCTATGTATACTTTCATTTCTCATGGTCTACAAATACATTTGCATATCAGAAAGAGTGAAAGAATAGTCTGGTAACTGTGGCAACCTTCATTGAAAAGATATAAGGCATTTTCATTACCTTAATAATTACATCCTAAATGCCAGATCGGAATAAATGCTGCATTATGAAAGGATAGACAAATACTTTGACAGAATTTCTTATAACTGAAATTTACCAAATGGAACTATCATGACTCCAACCCAGTGATACATTTCTGATTCTGTAATATCCTAAGTAGTCTCTGATTATGCTAAGGCAGTAAAATCATTCTAAAATAGATACTTTATTTAAACAAAAATATGGCATACAACACTTTAAGGAAAATGAGTTCAAATTATCACCATAAAATATACAGTGCTACAATGCCTAAAATGTTGGGAATATTGCTTAACCTAATAAGAAGTTCACAGATCCTTTCCATACTGATTTAAAAGATCCTATGCCCAGTATTTAACAAATAAGCACATGCACATATACACACACACTCACTACAGAAATGCATGAAGGGAAAAGCTGATAAGAAAAGCTCAATTTCTAAATGTTCAAAAAAGCTACATGCAGAAAATGTTAATTTCATATAAGATACTGTCTTTTTGCTACATTTCCTCACATGGGTAAAAACAAAAGCAATTCGCCAAAGTGATGCCAAAGAATGACAACATTACATATACTTAACAATCCCTGTGTTCTTTAGATTCCATGCAAAAATCACAATGCACAATCATTAACATGTCTAGACAGTGGACACTTACTACAGTGTGGCCATATTACACCAAGCTTAATTTTTTAGGTGGCCTAGATATTTTATAAAATTAAATTGTAATAATGTAAAATGAGAGCAGTAGGAAAATAAGTACAGCTATAGTGGGATATAGCAAGCACAAATCCAATAAGTCCTATTTAACTCAAAAATATTTTTTTTCTAAATGGTAATAAAAACTACCCACAATTATAATACCAATCAAGCAACCTCAAAGGTTCCACTAACTGGGAAAAAAATAACTATTTGCCTCACTGCAATACTTTAAAACCACAAGGTTAACAATCATTTCTAGCGAAATGGTGATGTGAATTGTGTTTTATTTGTATTCTACACCTTGGCAAAAGTTAATGACCTGCCTCGGAAATTATTTCACATACCCCAAAAGTATTCTTAGGACTTATAAAGTCTAAATCTCACACTCCCCTTGATATGCTATTGGATAAATGCTTTAAATTTTAAAACAAAAGGATAAAGACTTTTAAAAAGCTCTAGACAATATACTCAAATGGTGAAGATATCAACTCAATGTATTCTCATACCCCAGCAAAACAAAAAAAGCAAAAAAAAACTGGACATGGCACAATGATACAATAGGAACAAAAAGTAGTATTCCACTCATTCAGCAAGGAAATAATACAGAGCATCTCTCTATCATATTCAACTACAAAAATCCTTTCACTTGATGGCTAGCATCTTTATGACTGCTTAGTCTGTATTTAAGTAGCCTTAAAAAGAGATTTTGTGCTCTTTCTCTACCCTCATGGATCTTTGGCAGCAGTCAGCACTTATGCCCAGAGCTGGTTTCGAGGGGAGGGAGAAAAGGGAAAGTGAGGAGAAGGCTGAACTGAGCACGGAGTCAGCAGAGACCAGCTGCTCTCATACACTACCCAGTGTCTTTCTCACACACCGCTATTTTCCGCGATTGAGCACTGTCAGCAAAAATAAATAAATAAGGAGGCGGGGGGCAAGAAGACACTGAGGGTAGGACCCAGGCCGACAGTTTTTGTCTGTCACATCTGAGCCAGAAGCCTCCTCCTGTTTTCCTGCTGCAAAGGCAAAGGATCAGGTGAGACCCCTCTGGGTCCAGCTCAATTAGCTTCTCCACAAAGAGCAGCTTCCGGCGATGAGCGCAGGATCCTCCTGGCTGATGAACTAAACACGGGAGCATTGTCAATGTTTTCAATCTCTGACTTTTTCATAAGGGAGGAGAGAGGGCTGTGACTGCATTCCCGGGAAAGACTACTACTCCTGACGTGCACACAGCAGTAGCGAAGGAACATGAGCAAGAGGTTGTAAAAATCCCTTCAAAAATACCAGGTTCTGAAAGAAATGCTGTTGAGCATTACCGTATTGTTGGCGTTTTTCCTAAGTCGCCGATTCTTCCTGGCCACTTCCAAGCCCCAAATCGCTGGGACTTGTTGCTAAATCTTTACCTCACGTCCCCTAGAACCGCCCAACACAATAAAATTTGGGGATCAAAAGGCGGGAGGGGGCCTAAATCTCTAAAACCCAGAGGACTGGGCTTCCTTCAATAGGCCACTCCGCATGGGCTGCGCGTTCAGTTCTACCTTCTGAAAGCTCTGACTCACAAATGGTGGGGGGAGGAATTATGACATAAACCATTATCCTTCCAACCCAAGAAAGATAAGAAAAGCCAGCCATACGTCCTTGCCCGGGCAGAGAGCCAAAGCCTGCGCCCCCGACGGGGCGGCCGGGCTAGGAGCCTACCGCCCTACCCGCCTCCCTCCGGGCGCCCCGGAAAGGTGCACCTTACTCGGGCGGGCTCGAGGAACCAGGACGGGGCGCCCTCACCCAGGGAGAGCAGGGTAGGACTTAGGGGTGTGGGACGCGGAGACTCGCCCCGCGGCGGCGGTGACACACCGGGTGCCAGGGCTCCGGCAGGGGCTCCGGTGAAGACGCCCTGCACTAGGGCGGTCCGCCGCAACCAGGAACGGACAAAGCACGGCGCTGGGGCTGGGGCGACCCCTGGGCGGCGGCCGCCGCCGGCCAAGTTGACCAGACTTGGGGGACAAGGGGGTCCCGCGGGCGGGGCGGGGCGGCGCGGCGCTGACCTGGATGGTGCAGGTGTACTCGCTGTCGTCCAGCAGCCGCACGGTGCAGCTGTACTCGCGCTCCAGGCTCCTGCTGCTGCCGCTCATCAACCTGCTCAGCATCTTCCCGCCCGCCCGCCCGGGAGCGACGCGGCGGCGCTGCGGACCCTGGACCAGGCGTCCCTCAGCCCGGCAGCTCCGCACCGACCCCAGGCACCTGCACCATCACCCCGGCCCCGTCGCTGCCGTTGCCTCCTGCTGGCCTCGTTCCTCCTCCTTATCCTCCTCCTTCCCTCAGCCGCCACCGCCTCCCCCCAGCCCAGATCAAGCGCCGGGCTCTGTCTCCTCGGCGCCCCAGTGCCCGTGCCCAGCTCGCGGGGCGGGGCCTCAACTGGAGGGGGCCAATGGGGGTCAGCGCGGCGGAACCGAGTGGCAGACCGAAAAGCCAATCGAGATAGAGTACTGGGATGATGGGCGGGATAAAGAAGCAATCACAGAAAAGCAGTCGGACCTAGTCAAGCCGGAGCAGCCCTCTAGCGTCCCAAACGAGGGGTTCCTCTCCGCCCCGTGGTTCCTATGGATGCTGTTTCCCCTCCCCCGGGCCAGGTGTGAGCACCCAACTGGATTGATGTCTGCCGCCTGAAATACACTTGATCTGCGTTTCCGAAGCCAAGCCTCGCACCCTGCAACACCGCGGTTCCCGCCCTCTTGGGAGCCGGAGCGAGGAGGCGGCAGGGTGCTGGATCACAGTCCCTGCACCTGCAGAATGCGGATACCTCTCGCTCCAGATAGGGCGACTGCCCCCGACCTGTGCTGTACCCTAAGTTGGCCCGTCTGGCCTCTGTGCTCCAGCCCTCTTATTTTGGGAAACAGGAGCTACTTAAATAAAAGCTAAAGGGACCTCAGAGGTTCTGAAGTACCCAGGTTTAATCCCCTAAAAAACCCTCCACTCTAACACCCTTTGCCTCCTTTTTATTTCAGAAGACAAAAGGAGACTGCTCCTTCAGCTGGTAGGGAGCAGAGGAAGCAATGAATCTTCTCCTTGCACTTTTAGAACTGGAAATTATGTCTTCAGACTTTCTCAATAGAACAACATAGTATGTCAGGAGGTATACATCACAAAGAATTGTCTCCTTCTCTTTGTCACCCCAAATTTACAGACTTCAAGGTTTTTTACCAGAACTTCAATAAGAGATATTCTCCCTCAAAGATTTTTGATGTGAGGAAATGTTATAAAATAATTATGTCGGCCGGGCGCAGTGGCTCAAGCCTGTAATCCCAGCACTTTGGGAGGCCGAGGCGGGCGGATCACCTGATGTCAGGAGTTCGAAACCAGCCTGACCAACATGGTGAATCCCCGTCTCTACTAAAAATACAAAAAAATTAGCCGTGCATGGTAGCACGCACCTGTAATCCCAGCTACTCGGGAGGCTGAGGCAGGAGAATCGCTTGAACCCAGGAGGCAGAGGTTGCAGTGAACCAAGATCACGGCCATTGCACTCCAGCCTGGGGGACAAGAGCAAGCCACCGTCTCAAAAAAAAAAAATAATCGTGTCAACATAGAACATTAATGCTGTAATAAATATATTAATTTAAAATAATGAAATAGGCATAATTTCCTATTACTTTCATTTGCACTGTTCTTGTTTATAGGTATAATGTGTAACAAAAATGAAACTCTACATTAGCCTAGAAAACTATCCCGCCTTTAAAGTATGCTTCTTCCCTAGTGTCTTTGGATTCCAATATTTTCCCCAATTTTTTTTTTTTTTTTTGCATGGGGAGATTCATTCTCTTTCATTCTCTCTCTCTCTCTCTCTTTCTCTCTCTCTCTCTCTCTCTCTTCCTCCCCCTCTCCCTCCCCCTTTTTCTTTCTATCACCTTAGTAACCTGGACTGCTCTTAATTGGTTGCATTCTCCTTTGTGGCATTTAATAGCCATAGGAGCAGGATTCTCTTTTCAATGCAATTTGGATGGAGTTAGTTATGAGTCTAGAACTAGTAAGTCAAGTGTTCCAGGCATAAAACCAGGCATGCGCTCCACTACTTTGTAGCTTCAGCAGGTAGTCTGATGCCTGAAACATAATAGGTATTCAATAAGTGTTGAACTGAATACAAAAATTAGCCGGGTGTGGTGGCATGCGCCCGTGGTCCCAGCTACTGGGGAGGCTGAGGCAGGAGAATCGCTGGAACCCGGGAGGTAGAGATTGCAGTGAGCTGAGATTGTGCCACTGCACTCCAGCCTGGGCAACAGAGCAAGACTCGGTCTAAAAAAAAAAAAATTGATGAACTGAAGTAAATGGAATTGACAGGTGTTCTACAGCACTTAAATCCCAGAGGAAGAAGACCTGTGAAGAAACTCAAAATTTCAGGAAGATCTTGGAGACAAGTAAAATTATTAATATGCCAAAGTGATATTCTACAAAGCTCAGCTTTGTTATGTAGCTGTAAGAAGATAATGAAATATTTCAGGCTGGGCGCAGTGGCTCACACCTGTAATCCCAGTACTTTAGGAGGCCGAGGTGGGTGGATCACGAGGTCAGGAGTTCAAGACCAGCCTGGCCATCATGGTGAAACCCTGTCTCTACTGAAAATACAAAAATGAGCCGGGCATGGTGGCATGTGTCTGTAGTCTCAGCTACTCAGGAGGCTGAGGCAGGAGATTTGCTTGAACCTGGGAGGCGAAGGTTGCAGTGAGCTGAGATTGGCCACTGCACTCCAGCCTGGGAGACAGCGAGACTCCATCTCAAAAAAAAAAAAAAAAAAAAGAAAGAAAGGAAAAAAAATTCAAACTGAAAGAGCTTTTGTTGAAGGCAAAAGTTACTGTTTGTTATAGAATCAACAAGAGCAAGAAAAAATGTCCAAGCTAGAGGAAGTCCATAAGTGTGATGGTAGGAAAGTGTTTTTAACAGGTTATCCAAATAAGCAGCTGTTAGAATGAAAAGGCAAAGCACTATGAATCCAGAAAAGCTCTAAGGAACTGAATGCAGTCTTTTTTCGAAGTATGGCCATAGTTGCAATCAACAGAGGTGAGACTGTATTTCCTATGTCAATGTGTTAAGTAGAATCCTTGCTCAGTCTGAGAAAATCATGTCTGAGGCTGGGTGCAGTGGCTCATGCCTATAATCCCAACATTTGGGAAGCCAAGGCAGGCAGATCGCTTGAGCTCAGGATTTCAAGACCCACCTAGGCAACATGGTGAAACCCCATAGCTACAATAATAATAATAATAATAATACAAAGATTAGCTGGGTGTGGTGGCACACACCTGTAGTCCCAGCTGCTGGGGAGGCTGAGGTGGGAGGATTGCTTGAGCCTAGGGGGAGGGGAAGGTTGCTGTGAGCCAAGATCACACCACTGCACTCCAGCCTGGGCAACAGAGCCAGATCCTGTCTCAAAAAAAAAAAAAAAAAGGAATTAAAAAAAATCACATCTGCTTAGATGCTCACCTCACCGAAAGACCAGTTAGATATTCATTCATGCTTAGGTGTAATATCCAGAGAGAACTTCAAACTCTCCCTTCTTCTCTGATACAAAACACTTTGTGAGGAATACAGAGAATGAAAAAATAATGGAAGAAAAGCAAGAATCTAGATGTATGTCTCCACAAAAAAGCTCATGAGAAGAAGCATAAGGAGAACTAGAAAGGAAGGGCTCATATAAAACCAAACTGAATTTTGGGAGACTGGGCAGAAGAATCAATTGAGCCAGGAGCTATGACTGCATCACTGCACTCCAGCCTGGACAACAGAGCAAGACCTTGTCTCCAAATAAAATAAAAAGTAAAACCAAACAGAAATATTTTGTTTATCTTTGTTTTCCTCAAATCTATTAACTAGGATGCCCAGAATGGAAAGGGCTTATTTAATAAAAGGCCTTATTTGCCCTTGAGAACCAGCGTGCCATAGCTTTCATGTGTCTTTAAGTATAAAGGAGGCCACATTTAAAAATAAGAATCCAAATTATAATGGCTCTGAACCCCCACCTTCCAAATTATCAGAATATCAGCCGTCTTTTGAATTTCTTTTCCTTCTCTACTATGAGGGAGTCCCCAGGGGAGGTACTATCCCCCACGTATGCCTGAAAAAACTAAACAAAGCATTTCGTGTCTCTGCTTCAGATATTCTATACCCTGCTGTTCTGGGACACTGGTCTCTCTCTTTAGCCAATGCAACCTTCACCATTTCTTTAGATTTTGGCAGGAAGGAGTACTGCCCTCTCTTCACCAAGACATGACAAACACAGGCCCTTCCCATCAAAGTTTCCCCCAACACAGCTAAGACCAAGCTATAACTCCTAACAATATTTAGGAAAAAAAGAATAATCTGAAGTGTAACTTGGACGTATGACATAGCTACTTTCAAAGCCTCATGGACTATGGATTAGATACAGGCCTGGCCTTACTGTCAGGCTTCCATTCTGGTTCATGTGGCTGAAGATAGCTTCCCCTCTCCAGCAAGAGTTCCCCTGACTACGTCTTAGGCATTTACTCCCAATCACTGTGAAGAAAACAACTCTCCTTACCTAGGTTAGGGTCCACTTTCCAAGTCCCATTTTCTGTCCCAGGTGCTACCTCTTCCTAGAATGACTAACCATGGAAATATTTACTCTTCTGGAGGAAACCCCACCCTGCATGCCCAAGGGTATGACCTTGACCTCTGATTCAACAGGGCTGTCATATCAGAACACAATAGTCAACATCAGCATGTTTCTCACAAAGGTTGAATTATTCAGTCTTTACACGTGGGTCAAGGTAAAGCCGTGTCAAAGCCAGTCCTGTCCCTTTGCATAATTATTTCTCCAGTAGAGCAGTGAAAATCATGCCTGTCCTTGCTTTCCTATATTCATTAGGTCTCAGCTTCTGCTATCTAAAGAGCAGGGGCTCAAAAGGACATTCACATCTCCACAGAAATAATAATGCATTGACACATATATGCTCTAAATCCACACAGAGGAAAGAAACAGATTTTCTGTTCTTCTCTTCTACATCAATGTCTGCAGAAGCAGTACTTCTGCTCCACACACAAAGATTTGCATATTCAAATGAAGCACTCTGCTTCTCAGTCTAAAGCATTTATATTCGGGTTAATTGTTGCTTTATAGTTTTCTAAGAGTAATACGTGTCTACTTGTTTGAATATGAGTAACTAAACAATTCATGTAGTTTTCCCAGAGTAGTCTTCTCTTGAAGAAATGCTCTAGTTTTCCCATTTATCAGGACAGAAAACCACATACAGTTTAAGAGACAGTTTTTCTACCTAACCTTTAGACTTTTGGTTAGCCCCCATTACACTTAGAAGAGGTGGGTTTTTTTATATGGAAATATAAGCAGTACACACGCTTTTTAAAATTCCAAACTACAAACATTTATTGAGCGTATGTGTTAGGCACTGTGACAATGTTCTAGAATATGTAAGACATAGCCCAGATATGGGAAAAGGAAATAAGTCAAGAAGTGTATAAAGAAAAAAATTCTTCACAATGTAAGAGAGAGTGTTAGATGTATGTAAATTAGCTATAATACAATACATGGAGCATAAGCAAAGTACTACAAGAGCACAACAAATGGTACAATTATGTAGGCTTAATTAGGAGAGACAGTGAAGCCTTACAGAGAAAGCATTTATGTTGGGCCTTGAGGACTACAGTAGGCTCTTGATTGTGAAGAAGGCAGAAAAGATGGATATGGGATGAGGAGTGACATTTAAATAGAGGAAATTGTATAAGCAAAGACACAGAGGTCCAAATAAGCATGAGTATAGCATGCTCTAGAAGCTGCAAGTATCCCTGAATGGATAGCATGTGAGGTGCCTTGGCCAGAAAGAGATGGACTGAAGCCAGGTCATGTAGGACCTTGATTGCCATGGTTAGGAGTTTGAACTCTGTTTCATAGTCAATAGGCTGTCATTGGAGGTTTTTAAATAGAGAAGTGACAAGATCAGATCTGTGTTTAAAAATGATAATTTTGATAGCAGTGTAAAGGATTAAATTAGAGTATGAAGAAATTATTTGCTGGGGGAAAATGGATTCTGAAAACAATAGAATATCTTTAATGAAGCATCAGAAGCATTTATAACAGGTCTCTCAGATTTGGGTGACAGGCTTTATTATATTCTCCAATTACGGCTCATTTTTCTTATATTCCCAGCTAGTTTTCAGCCATTATTCTAGCAACAAACATAAATGAAACAAAGCAAATTAATTCATTTATTCAAAAAAAGTATTGGTGGTCTACTATGTGCAAGTCCCTATGCCATGTGCTGACAGAATTCAAAGATGAATAAAACATATCTCCAATCCTCATAGAACTTACAGTCTTATGCAACTGGAAAAATTACTTCAACATTTATTAAATCATCAGTTTATGTAGATTGACATTCAATACACATTGGTTAAAAAAAGATATAAAGGGGAAAGGCAGGAAATATATGAGAAATAGCCCAAAAAAATGTGAGCAAAGAAAATATATAAAGAAGAAATCAGAATAGCTCATATTTCTTGGCCAGGCACCATGGCTCACACTTGTAATCTCAGCACTTTGGGAGGCTGAGGCCGCTGGACTGCTTGAGACCAGGAGTTCAAGACGAGCCTGGCCAACACGGCAAAACCCCATCTCTACTAAAAATACAAGAATTAGCTAGGCGTGATGGTGCGCACCTGTAGTCCCAGCTACTTGGGAGGCTGAGGCAGGAGAATCACTTGAACCTGGAAGGTGGAGGTTGCAGTGAGCCGAAATCGTGCCACTGCACTCCAGCATAGGTGAGAGAGTGAGACCCCATCTGAAAAAAAAAAAAAAAACAGAAAAAGTGTCAGTTGACCACTTGCTCTGTGAAATAAGATATTTAGTATTCGTATACTTCCTCCTACCTCCGTATTCCAACTCCCAATCTTGTGGTTTCTATTATTTCTATTTTGTCAGGGTTTATAATTTATAGCTTTTGTCAGTCATACAAGGGGACTTCAAAAAATTTATGACAAAAGGGAATTAAAAGATAAACATAAAAATATAAACTTTCTCAATATAAGCTCCATCAAGTTCAAGGCACTTTTGTAAGTGATGATATCAGTCATTTAGTCCATCCCTAAAGAACTGAGCATCTTGGGAATTTAACCATATCAATGCAGTCTTTTACATTAAAATGTGTGCCCTTTAAAGATTTTTTAATATTAGGAAACAAAAAGAAGTTAGAAGGATGGTAAGGTGGATGCCTAGTGATTTCCCATCAAAACTCTCACAAAATTGCCCTTGTCTGATGAGAGGAATGAGCAGCAGGAATATGTCATGGTGGAGGAGGAATCTCTGGTGAAGCTTTCCCAGGCTTTTTTTTTTTTTTCACTAAAGCTTTGACTAACTTTCTCAAAACACTCTCATAACAAGTAGATGTTATGGTTCTTTGGCCCTTCAGAAAATCAACAAGCAAAATGCTTTGAGAATCCCAAAAAAAACTGTTGCCATGACCTTTGCTCTTGACTGGTCCACTTTTGCTTGGACTGAACCGTTTCCACCTCTTGGTAGCCATTGCTTTGATTGTGTTTTTGTCTTCAGCACAATCTGGTAAAGCCATGGTAAACTGGTAGAGCCATGTTTCATTTTCTGATACAATTCTTTGAAGAAATGCTTCAGGATCTTGATCCCACTTATTTAAAATTGCCTTTGAAAGCTCTGCTCTTGTCTTCAGTTGATCTGGATGTAATGGTTTTGGGACCCCTCAAGTGGAGAGTTTGCTCAAGTTTAATTTTTTAGTCAGAATTGTATAAACTGAATAATTTGAGAGGTCTGTGGTGTTGGCTATTGTTTCTGCTGTTAATCATTGGTCCTCCTCAATTAGGGCATGAACAAGATTAATTTTTTTCCTCACAAATTGATGTTGATGGCCTGCCTCTGTGGGCTCCATTGTCAACATCATCGTGTCCCTTCTTAAAATGAGTTATCCATTTGCAAATTGCTGATTTCTTTGGGATATTTTCCCCATAAACTTTTCATAAAGCATCAGTGATTTCACCATTCCTCCACTCAAGCTTCCACCATAAGTTTGATGTTTGTTCTTAGTTCAATTTTAGCACAATTAATGTTGCTCTGATAGGAGCTCTTTTCAAACTTCTGTCTTATCCTTTTTAGTGCTTCAAACTAGATCCTGTTCAACATGTTATAAAAGTTATTATAAGTTTATTTTCTTGCAAGAAAGTTTTGAAATCAACGCATAGTTTTTTGGGGTTTTTGTTGCTGTTGTTGCTATTGTTTGTTGTTTTTTGAGACAGGGTCTTGTTCTGTTGCCCAGGCTAGAGTGCGGTGGTGCAAGCATGGCTCGCTGCAGCCTCAACCTCCTGGGCTCAAGTGATCCTCCCACCTCTGCCTCCCAATTGGCTGGGACTACAGTGCATGTCACCACACTCAGCTAATTTTTTAATTTTTTTTTTTTTAGAGACGGTGGGGGGTCTCGCTTTGTTGATCCAGGCTGGTCTTGAACTCTGGGCCTCAAGCAACCCTCCTACCTCAGCCTCCTGAGTAGCAAGGACTACAGGCTTCTAAAGAATAGAGGCAAGGTGAGTAGCCACACCTTACTGCACCAGAATATTCTGTTTCTTTTATTGTCTCCCCACCTTTTTTGTTGAGACAGAGTCTCACTCCGTCATCCAGGCTGGAGTACAGTGGCAATCTTGGCTTACTGCAACCTCCGCCTCCTGGGCTCAAGCGAGTCTCATGCCTCAGCCTCCCTAGTAGCTGAGATTACAGGCGTGAGCCACCACACTTAGCTACTTTTTGTATTTTTAATAGAGATAGGGTTTCACCATGTTGGCCAGGCTGGTCTCGAACTTATGGCCTCATGTAATCTACCTGCTTAGGCTTCCCAAAGTGTTGGAATTACAAGCGTGAGGCATCCTGGCTTTTTTTTTTTTTTTTTTTTTAACATTTCACTTATATGTAAGGTTTTCCCCTTTACCTTGTTGTAGCTGCTGTTTGAACTTTATCAATGTATTTTTGTTGTTCATTTCATTAGCTATTGGTGCACAGAAAAATCTGTGACTTTATCTAATTCTTCTATCCTTACTCAGAAGTTACTTAGCTGAGCTCAGCTGGGCTTGAAGCAGTTGCAAATCAAAGATATTTTCATAAAGAGGTTCAAACAGAGGAGAAAGGAAGAATAAACATTCCACAATGCACATGCTAATTATTCAGTAAATGTCTGCAGAATTAATTTCAAAGGTTCTCTGGACATAGTTCAATTAATTAAAATTGCAAATCATGATTACACCTTATCATTTCACTTTTTCCATTATAGTAATAAGGGAGCATTCACTATATGCCAGAGACTATGGTGAGTACTTTACATATATTATCTAATTGAATTCTCATAATAGTGTTGTTAGATTGTGCTATTGTTATCATCCGCATTTTATAGATGAGGAACTTTCAGTGCAATGAGACTAAATAACTTGTTGAAAGAACACAGCTATCAAGAGGCAAGACCTGGACTCATATCCAAGTGTCTGGTGCCAAACACTGTGTTTTTAACAACTACATTACACAGCTTTCGTTTTCAGGAATTTAGTGGAAAGAGCGTTGAATGTGGAGTCACAAGTCCTGAATACAAGCCCCAGCTCTAACATTCTATGCCATGTAATCTTGGCAAGTCATTTAAATTCTGTTTCTCATTTGTAAAATGGGGATTAGAATGCCTTCTCTGGTTGTTTTGAGAATCATAAGACTTTTGCTTAAAAATGGCAGGTTAAACACACGTATTTACCTCTGCTGTCACACCGAACCACTGAAGCAACAGTAAAGTGATGTCTAAAAGGCTTTAACCAGGCCAGGTGAGGTGGCTCATGCCTATAATCCTAGTACTATGGAAGGCTGAGGCAGGTGGATCCCTTGAGCTCAGGCGTTTGAGACCAGGTTGGGCAATGTGGCAAAACCACATTTCTACCAAAAATACAAAAATAAGCACCTGATGGTGCACACCTGTAGTCCCAACTACTTGAGGGGCTGAGGCAGGAGGATCCCTTGAGACTGGGAGGTGGAGGTTGCAAAGAAAGATCGTGCCACTGCACTCCAGCCTGGGTGAGAAAGTGAGACCCTGTCTCGAAAAAAAAGGAAGGAAGGGAGGGAGGGAAGGAAGGAAGGAAGGAAGGAAGGAAGGAAGGAAGGAAGGAAGGAAGGAAGGAGAAGGGAAGGGGAGGGGAGGGGAGGGAAGGGAAGGGAAGGGAAGGGAAGGGAAGGAAGGTAGGAAGGGAAGGAAGGGAAGGAAGGAATAAGGCCGGGCGAGGTGTCTTACACCTGTAATCCCAGCACTTTGGGAGGCCGAGGCAGGCGGATCACGAGGTCAGGAGATTGAGACCACCCTGGCCAACACGGTGAAACCCCTTCTCTACTAAAAATACAAAAAATTAGCTGCGCGTGGTGGCGGGCACCTGTAGTCCCAGCTACTCTGGAGGCTGAGGCAGGAGAATGGTGTGAACCCGAGATGTGGAGCTTGCAGTGAGCTGAGATCGCGCCACTGCACTCCAGCCTGGGTGACAGAGCGAGACTCTGTCTAAAAAAAAAAAAAAAAAAAAAAAAGAAGAAATAAATAAAAGGCATAAACCTAAAAGACCAATTTAATGGAAAGAAGCCACAACAACAACATTTTGGAATCCAGAAAGCATATGGATGAGGAATAATTGACTGAGCAAACCCAAGAAAGCTGAATCCAAAACTAGCAGGGCAAAGCTGAGAAGCAACCTGATCTGCACTGTAGAATGCACAAAATATTTAGAAATTGATTTACCCAGTTCTTTTGGAAATGAAGGTAGAACTGAAAACAGGAGGATTGTTAGAAAGTCAATTTAAGAAGCAATTCCCTTCTCTGACTCTGTGCAGCCAAGAGACTTCTTTTCTTCACCCTATCAGAAAAGTGAAGGGTAATTCTCTGGAGAGACTAAAACAGAATTTCTGAACCAGAATGGGGTCGCCAGAAATTTAAGAAATATCTCTAACATAAAATATAGAGACTAAAACAAAAGGAAAACAGGCAACTTGGAGGACAGAAAAACTAAGTAGGAAAAAGAAAAATTTCAAAATGGAAATTATTAGTAAATATCCTAATAGAGATAGAAGATCTTGCATCCAGTAAATAAGTCTGGGATGCCATTTAGAAAAAGAGGGGAAAAAAGCATTCTGAGAATTAAAAATAACATGTGCAAATGTAAAATAAAATAGGATAGGTGAAAAATAAAACTAAATAGAAATAGAAATAGGGGGAGAGTGCCAGATACGGTGGCTCACGTCTGTAATCCCAGCCAGCACTTTGAGAGGCTAAGATGGGAGAATGGCTTGAACTCAGGAATCTGAAACCAGCCTGGGCAACATAGTGAGACCCTGTCTTTACAAAATAAAAATTTTTAAATTAGCCAGGTGTGGTGGGAGGTGCCTGTAGTCCCAACTACTCAGGAGGCTGAGGTGGGAGGATCACTTGAGCACAGGAGGTCAAGGCTGCAGTGAGCTGGGATCATGCCACTGCACTCAAGCATGTGGGTGATAGAGCAAGATCCTGTATTAAAAAAAAAAATGGGAAAAATGGAGGGCAAAAAATTATCAAAGGCATAATTCAAGAAAATTTCCCATAATTAAGGACATGAATTTCCAAATTTAGAGTGGGTACCAACTGTCCAGCACAATGGATAGAAACAAATCCACACCATAACATACTACTATGAAATGTTAGAACACTAGGAACAAAAGTAAGCCTCCAGAAAAGGAAAAAAAAAGTTACAAACAGTATTAGAATTACATTGAACTTCTCAACAGCAACATTGGAATCAAGAAAATAGTAGAACAGCATTTACAGATTCTGAGGAAAATTATTTCCAATATAGAATTCTATACCCAAATACACTACTCTTGAGTAAAAAGACACTTTTAGACATGTATGAACTCAATATCTAATATCTTATACTCATATATACCCTTCTTCAGGAAGCTTTTGAGGGATGGGCTCCCCAAAAATGTCAGAGCAAACAAAGATATAAGAAATAAGAGCCGGGCACTGTGGCTCACGCCTGTAATCCCAGCACTTTGGGAGGCCAAGGCGGGCAGATCACGAGGTCAGGAGATCGAGACCATCCTGGCTAACACTGTGAAACCCCGTCTCTACTAAAAATACAAAAAATTAGCCAGGCGTGGTGGCAGGCGCCTGTAGTCCCAGCTACTCCGGAGGCTGAGGCAGGAGAATGGCGTGAACCCGGGAGGTTGAGCTTGCAGTAAGCCGAGATCGCACCACTGCACTCCAGCCTGGGTGACAGTGAGACTCCGTCTCAAAAAAAAAAAAAAAAATGAAATAAGAATACATGGTAGATTATGTATTATGTCGCCTGTAATCCCAACACTTTGGGAGGAAAAAGTGGGAGGATCACTTGAGCTCGAAAGTTCAAGACCAGCAAGGGCAATATGGCAAAAACCCATCTCTACAAAAAATACAAAAATTATCTGGGTGTGGTGTGGTGCACACCTGTAGTCCCAGCTACTCGGGAGGCTGAAGGGGAAGGATCACTTGAGCTGGGGAGCTCAAGGCTGCAGTGAGCCAAGATCACGCCACTGTACCCTACCCTAGGTGACAGAGCGAGACTCTGTCTCACAAAAATAAAATAAAATAAAAGATTGTGTTATGTCTTCAAATATTCACTGTCGTCTCCATTTCTACCTACCCTACTGGCATTAAACTTGACCACTGATTTGGTTTGAACAATAGAATGTAAGTGAAAACATGTATATTATTGATCTTTTCTTTCCCAAAAGACTGGCATGGCCCAGATGGAGCTTGCTCCTGGGTCCTGGGAAGAAGCCAACACGGAGTAGACGACACAGCCAACCCACAGAGGATGTCTAATGAAAGTGAGAAATAAATCTTTTTTGTTGTAAGCTACTCATATTTTGGAGTCATTCCTGAAAAAAAAAAGTATCAAAAGCTGACTAATACACATGGCATCCTGGAAACAGGATCTAACACAGAAAGAGGTAATGTAAATTCTCAGAATAATTGTGAGGTTTGATCCCAGAATAACAGCTGTGAAGCTAGTCTAGAAAATAATCAAGGTCAGAAGGGAGACAATCAGATGGCTCCCAGGTGTTTCCAAGAAGACGAAATTGATAGACTACCTAATATGCCCGACTATGTAGTAATGAGAAAAAATACACTTCTAGGGGAGAATTTGGTTATAACTTAGTGATAATTATATTAAAACAAAGTAAGAGAAAAATAAAAACGAAGCTTGTATTAACTTTAGGAAAAACAAAAAGTTGTATAAGAAAGGAAAAGTAATCATAGCACGTGTATAAGAATTTATATAATCATAATAATATACTTATTACTAATTTAACTGACATAACTATATTGGGATAATGGATAGAAAAGTATGTGTGATTGGGGTATGCTGGGGGTTGGAGTAGTTGAAAGAAATAATATATCTTTCATAGATAACACCTACATTTTAAAAAATCAAGAAATAGCAGTATATGCTAGGCACAATGACTCATGTCTGTAATCCCAGCACTTTGGGAGGCCAAGGCAGGAAGGAGGATTGCTTGAGCTCAGGAGTTCAAGACCAGCCTGGGCAACATAGGAAGACCTTGTCTCTATTAAAAATAAAAATAAAAAAATTAGCCAGATGTGGTGGTGTGTACCTGCAGTCCCAGGTACCTGGGAGGTTGAGGTAGGAGAATCACCTAAGCCTGGGAGGTCGAGGCAGCAGTGAGCCATGATCATGCCACTACACTCCAGCCTGGGCTACAGAGTGAGACCCTGTCTCAAAAAAAACCAAAAAAACAAAAAAGAGAAATAACAGTAAAAGCATATTATTTAGAAGAATTGAGACAAATGCAAAAGAAATAGCTAAAATAGCTAAAAGTTATTATGGGGGCGGAGGGGGGCGGTAGAGGAGGCAGAAATTGAGGCCTAGGGAATTGATTTTTTTTGTTTTGTCTTGTTTTGTTTTGTTTTAAGGCAGGGTTTCACTCTGTTGCCCAGGCTGGAGTGCAGTGACCCAATCCCAGCTCATTGGAACCTCTACTTCCCAGAATCAAGTGATCTTCCCACCTCAGCCTCCCAAGTAACTGGGATTATAGGCATGAGCCACCATGCCCAGCCCTGATTTTTTCTTTTTTTGTAATAGGCCTTGTAGAGCTATTTGACTCCTAAACTATGTACATGCCTAGTTTTGATTAAAACAAACATTCCAGCACAGAGGCACCTTGAGGCTTAAGAATTTGAAAGATGCAAAAGAAACAATATGATAAATCAATACAACACACATTTATACACCAGGAAAAAAAAGAAGAAGAAAAGAAAAAGGAAAAGAAGAGAGAGTTTGAAAGGACTTAACTCTAAAACACGAGGAACAAGTTAGAAGACTCGGTAGCATGGAAGCAAGAGAACATGGATAAGAGTATGGGCTCTAGGTTCCAATAATCCCAGTTTACGCTCTGCTGTGTACCAGCTGTGTGACCTTGAGAATGCTGCGAAGGCTCAGTTTCCTTATTTGTAAAACAGGTATAATAATAGTCCCTCTCTATGAGAGACTGTGAGAGTAAAATGAGATAAGCCTTTGCACAAAGAAAACATTGGAAAGTTTTAGCTACTATTAATCTCTTGTTCCTTCATTTTCTCTGTGGATTAATAGACATTAAATGGAGGACTAAAAGGGAGTCAGTTTAAGGGAAAATCTAAACCAAAAATCTGAGATGATACACAAACTGGAGAACCAGCATCCGAGTACCTGAAAACTGTGATTGTTATGTTATCGCTTCAGCAGTGTAATTGGTGAGCCAATTGCCTTAGAGTTACAGCTATTCATGCCTTCCTCTGTCCCCTTTCCTTTTCTTCTTCATCCTAACCATTGTCATTATCATCATCTTTTAATGCTTACTGAGCATTTCATTCATTCAGCAAATATTTATTGAATGCCTAATGTGCTTCTTTTAGTCTCTGATTCCCATGTGCTCAGCTGATTTAGCTACATTATTTAGACAACAGGTTAAGACTATAGCTATGGAAAGGAACAGTTTTTCTGCAACAAGAAGTAGGTGTGATCAGTGACAAGTAAGGAGGCAAATTAATCTAAGAGCAACCACAGGGCATCCAACTCTCACAGAAGGTCATTTTCCTCTATAACTAGTGCAATTCTCCTTCCAAACACCATTCCATTTCCCTAATCTGGTAATCACAAAATGTGAGTTTTCGAATTAAGTTTTTATGTTATTCTAAATACGCCTGGCTCTTCCTTGAATTCTAGGGAACAAGTTTCTTTTTGTTTTCTTGTTTGTTTGTTTTGAGACTGAGTCTTGCTCTGTCACCCAGGCTGGAGTGCAGTGATGCGACCTCGGCTCACTGCAAACTCCGCCTCCCGGGTTCAAGCAATTCTCCTGCTTCAGCCTCCTGAGTAGCTGGGATTGCAAGCACATGCCATCACGCCCAGCTAATTTTTATATTTTTAGTAGAGATGGGGTTTCACCATGTTGTTCACGCTGGTCTCAAACTCCTGGGCTCAAGCAATCCACCCGCCTCGGCCTCCCAAAGTGCTGGGATTACAAGCATGAGCCACCACACCCAGCCAGAATATAGTTATTTTTGTTGTTGCTTTTGTTGTTTTTTCTACCCATCACTCAGAGATATAGCCATGGCTGAGGCATTCTTTTTTTTTTTTTTTTTTTGAGACAGAGTCTTGCTCTGTCACCAGGCTGGAGTGCGGTGGCACGATCTCGGCTCACTGCAACCTCCACCTCCTGGGTTCAAGTGATTCTCCTGCCTCAGCCTCCTGAGTAGCTGGAACTACAGGCGTGCGCTACCATGCCCAGCTAATTTTTGTATTTTTAGGAGGGACGGGGTTTCACGATATTGACCAGGCTGGTCTCGAACTCCTTACCTTGTGATCCGCCCGCCTCGGCCTCCCAAAGTGCTGGGATTACAGGTGTGAGCCACCGCACCCAGCCTGGGCTGAGGCATTCTTACGGACCATGAGGCATTCTTAAGGACCACCATTCCTTCACTGAGAGAGTACCCAGAGTTAAATGGTACTTTCTGTGACTCAAAGTTTAAAAGACAAAAGAATGCTTGAAGAACTGCCTCACTGTCCTTTATAGACATCCAGTTGTTCTTTTCTCCCTCCCCCTCCCAGCCTCTTTTATCCTTCTTATCCATACAGCTGAGCCCTTTGGACCTGAAGTTTCCACCCAACCCATCCCTAGGACCATCCTGACCAGTCTTTATCCCAACACCCAGTGTAAACTTGCCATTGCGGCTCTGGTTCTGGTCTTATGCTACAGTTTCAACAGAGTTCAGATTTCTGAGATCTGGCCCCGACTTCTAGTTTCTGAGCTCCTTTTTGATTCCTTTCATTGGCTCCCTTGTCTTAATACACCATGAAATCACAGTCCCTCAGAGATGGAATCCAATATGCTCCTACTACTCTCCCATTGCAGATGCTGCTATTTGCAACATCCCTTACTCAAATAGCAGGCTGTTTGTCTGGATCTCTGAATAGTCCTTCTTCTGGGTTACCCATCACTGTGCTATCCAGTTTAGAAAAATTCTCTAGCTCCAAGTTATTCCTTCTTGTCAACAACTTCCCAGGCTACCCTCCCTTCTGATGTGTACCACTGAGGCTGGACTTCCTTCTAGAATCTGCAGCTGGTTTCATCTTATACTTGTCTTGACCCAATGTACCTTGTCCACCTATAGTTAATCAGAACATGCTGGCCCTGTCCTAAGACAAGACAGTCATTCAACCAACCTACTGGGCAGAATGTAATTCTCATAAGGAAGTAGGAGGTCTGAATTTTGAGATCAAGGCTACTTCTACATACATAGCTCTTATACACATATATACACATAACCCATATACACACCATACCGTTCCTTACCCACATTGCTCTCTGCTTGTGAAAAGCCAGACATATATCTATTTCCCTACTTTTGAGTCACTGACTGGATTTGAAAGGATATTGCACTAATAAAATAATTAGCTCCATTGGCAGAGATTTCAAGAAAATACAAGGTTTTGCATATGGGTATAATAATGACTAATGCAACTTACTATAAGCTAGGCTCTGTTTTAAGTGCTTCATATAAACTAACTCATTTAATCCTCATAACTATCCAGTGAAGTAGGTACTATTATTATCCCCATTTCACAAATCAGAAAATTGAAGCACAGAGCCTGGGTATGGTGGCTCACGCCTGTAGTTCTAGCACTTCGAGAGGCTGAGGCAGGAGGATCACTTGAGGCCAAGAGTTCAAGACCAGCCTGGGAAACATAGCGAGGCCTCATCTCTAAAAAAATAATAACAATTTTTTAAAAAAATTCGAGACAGAGTCTTGCCCTGTCGCCTAGGCTGCAATACAATGGCACAATCTCTGCTCACTGCAACTTCCGCCTCCCGGGCTCAAACAATTCTCCTGTCTCAGCCTCCCCAGTAGCTGGGATTACAGGCGCCTGTCACCACGCTCAGCTAATTTTTATATTTTTAGTACAGAGAAGGTTTCACCATGTTGGCCAGGCTGGTCTCGAACTCCTGACCTCAGGTGATCCATCCGCCTTGGCATCCCAAAGTGCTGGGATTACAGGCATGAGCCACCAGGCCCAGATGAAAAAATAATAACAATAATTTTTTTTAATGCTTAAATTAAAGCACAGAGAGCTTGAGTAATTTACCAAAGATCATACAGTTAGAAGAACTGGGTGTTGAACCCAGGCAATACTAGAGGACTACTATGCTATACTGCTTCTGATCTTTACATCCTCCTTCAAACTGGATTTTGTAGTCCTTAAAATAAAGTTCAAACTGATTACTCTCAGTGAATCAAGAAACTCCTAGTACATTTGGCACTGTCTTCATAATACATTTGCTAATGTAAACAGGAAAGCAACCAATTACCAGTAAAGTGTGTTTTGTATTTATTATTATTATTATTATTTTGAGATGGAGTTTTGCTCTTGTCACCCAGGCTGGAGTGCAAAGGCATGATCTCAGCTCGTTGCAACCTCTGCCTACTGGGTTCAAACTATTCTTCTGCCTCAGCCTCCCTAGTAGCTGAGATTACAGGCGTCCACCACCACACCCGGCTGATTTTTGTATTTTTAGTAGAGACGGGGTTTCACCATATTGGCCAGGCTGGTCTCGAACCCCTGACCTTGGGTGATCTGCCCGCCTTGGCCTTCCAAAGTGCTGGGATTACAGGCAATGTGCCACCGCGCTCAGCTGTTTTGTATTTATTAAACAATACTATAAAATTCTGATGAAATCCGTATTGTAATTCGGACTTGAGGTTTCTTTTTTTGATCTTCAGAAACTGGTCCAGCTGTTTCTCCAGCTGCCTGGTAATTCAACAGGAACAAAATCAGTGTATCAGTTCAAATTCTTAATTCTGAAAAGAATGCATTTCCTTTTGTCTTCATAAGACACCTACATTTAAATTATAATGCAAAAGCAATCAGATGCTGTGGGGTCAAATTTACATAATTGGTGTCAGGGGTCTAAAGCAGAAGCAAAAGGGGGCTAGAAATTGATGGAGCTGATAGAGCTGATTATTCCATCCATCTTAGAATCTTTTCAAGTCTTTTATAATGGAGACATTAAATTGCTGTGCATATCTCCTTTGTCTCTCTATATTAACGGGGTTTAATTAAGTTAAAGAAAGCTAATTTAACCATAGGTTTTGCATGCTTAGATCTATACTTTTTGGTTTAGAACATGTATGGTAAAACATGTGCCCACTGCTGCAAACGATTTCGTGCCAATCAGCATTTCTTTGTGACCCATTTGCTCACAGAGCCTGCCACATCTGTCATACTAAACAGCCAGTTCATCTACTGGAAGGCTAACCTTAATAATTTAAGCAAAATTTTCAGAAGCCAAATACCTGCAGTAGATGTGGCATATGTTCTTCATAGATTTTAGCCATTCTATGTATAGAGACATAGACATATTTCTTAAGACAGCAATAATTGTAGGGCACTGAATCCCACTCAAATTAGTTCAAGTACAAGGGGATGATGTTTATTGAAAAGATACACACATAACTTATAAAACCAAAACTGTTAGGACAGTCAGGTTTCACAAGGGATTTGACGTGGAACTTGAAAGTCACAAACTGAAGATATTACTTTCATCTCCTCTAGGCTCCATAATGTCTTCTCTCCTTTCTTCGAAGATTGGCTTTCTCTGCTTCAACATCCCCTTGGTAGAAAATGGCAGTCAGCCCCAGCTCTTCATTATCTAACAGTTCCAGTGCCCAGTATAAACAAACCAAAGACTCTGCATCCCAATTCCAAATTCCCAGGAGAAAGAATGTAATTAACTTAAGTCAGGTGTCTACCTCTTATTCAATCAGCTGTGGGTAGACGAGCAACATCATACAGTCACTGTGTTGCTTTCTCCACATGAGGAATTGCGGTTAGCCAGCGTTCTAAAAAGGATTCACAATTGCCATTCTTTGAAACGAGAGATAAGGAGGTAATGCATATGTTAATTAGATCAATTGGGCCATTCCATAATATTTCAAAACACCATGTTGTATATAATAAATATATATATTTTTATATATAATTATATATATTTATTATGTACAATTTTATATATAATTTTGTTTTGTTTCTGAGATGGGGGTCTCTCTGTTGCCCAGGCTGACCTTGAACTTTTGGGCTCAAAGGATCCTCCCACCTCAGCCTCCCAAGTAGCTGCGACTAAAGGCATTTATCTCTACATTCGGCTTATACATAACATTTTTGTCAATTTAAAAAATTGAAAAGAAATTTTAAAAATTAGAGACAATGAATTGCAGATACTTAGCGTTTAAGCCCTTTAGGATCCACGTTTTGTCCATCTTCACATTTCAAATCCATTCTGGCCTCTACTAATAACTGCAACACTTGATTTTTTTTATTTCTGTATCTGCCCAAATCACCAACCAAGTGTTGACAAGATAGTTGTGAGCATTTGTCAATTTGTACAACTGATGCTGACTCTCCTTGTGGAGAATTTCCTGGAAATTTTATGTTTATGCTTCAAGAAATTTCACAAGTAATGCCTGCAAATATCTCCACCTTCCCTTGAGCTAGGTGCTCAGTGACCAAAATTAACATCAGGAAAGCCAATCCACATCTTTTAATTTTAACCTCCAAATAAATGAGACCAATGTAAATACCATCTGAGTGTGCAAATGTGTAAAGGAAAAAATCAAGGTGATACCCTTATTAATTAACACATTATAATTTCAACTTCCAACCTGAAAATGAGCCACTTCATTAAAATATAGCCATAACCAGAAGAGGTTGCAGTGAGCCGAGATTGTGCCATTGCACTCCAGCCTAGGTGACAAGAGCAAAACTCCATCTAAAAAAAAAAAATACATATATATATATATATATATATGGCCATACCATTGTCAATTCCAAGTCACATTTCAGGGAAGAATAAGTGGTGATCCATCTAATGACCAAATTCAGTCACGATAATCCCATGTCACTGCAATTTAGCCCAAGCCTCTTTCTATGCAAAGACAGAGAAAGTGCCCTCCTAATTGTTTTTAATTTTCTTTAATTTTTAACTTTTACACACTATATGAAAGTTCCCTTCTGGCATCTAGAGTTTCCTAGGAATAGGAGATAAAGATCTCATGCTGAGTGGCTTTTTTAACTCACTCAGTAAGAACTTAGAATTTTAGGAGCTGAGCTAGAGATGATTTCCAAATGCATCTGTGCAGAAAATGCTGATTATGGGTACTAGTCCAGGAATAACCACAGCCATTTTTTGGCCTTCTTGTGTTTTCCAAATGACTCATAAAGGACCTTCTGCATTCAAATAGTGTGTCATGAAATGGGAATGATAAAATACAGAAAGCGGACATTGCTGTCTCTTCTTGATGAATGCAGCTTTTTGTTACCTGGTATGAGGCCAGAATAGCCCGTCTAAAACAGGAGTGAGTTGTACTCCATGCCAGCCACTTCCTGTGCTCTGTGCTATTTCTCTGCTATTTGTGTGACTTCTCCCTGGGGGAAGCAATGCGGCTTTGTCTTTGAGAATGTCTGGTCCAGTGGTTCTTAACCCTGTCTGCAAATTAGAATTACCTGGGAACTGTTAAAAAAAAAAAAAAAAAAAAAAAAAAAATATATATATATATATATATATATATATATATATATATATATGTTAATTCTGCCAATTAAATTAGAATTTCTGGGAACTAGACTTGGATATCAGTGTTTTTAAAAAGCTCTCCAAAAGACTTAAATGTTCCACTAGAGCTGAGAACCCCCTAAATTAGATTTGATGAAGATAACCTGACCATTATAGACCAATGTTACTCAACCTTTATTTCATTATCACCTCTCAAGGAGCCTTTTTAGACTTTTTTCCTAATCATCCCCCCATAAATATTTAATATATAGTATATCTATTTGTGTACTATATATACAATAACATCTGTGTGTTTTGTTTTTGTTTTTTTTATTTGGGGGGCTCAAAAATCCTCCTGTCTCAGTCTCTCAAGTAGCTGGGATTGCAGGTGCAGGCCACTACACGTGGCTAATTGTCTTATTTGTTTGTTAAGGGATTAGGGCTCACTATGTTGCATGAGCCACCACACCCAGCACATCTGAGTTTTATAACATTTAAAAAAAAAAAAAAAGCCCGGGCACGGTGGCTCACGCCTGTAATCCCAGCACTTTGGGAGGCCAAGGTGGGTGGATCATTTGAGGTCAGGAGTTCGAGACCAGCCTGGCCAACATGGTGAAACCCCATCTCTACTAAAAATACAAAAAAAAAAAAAAAAAAAATCAGCTGACATGGTGGCGGGCACTTGTAATCCCAGCTTCTTGGGAGGCTGAGGCAGGAGAATTGCTTGAACCGAGGAGGTGGAGGTTGCAGTGAGCCAAGACCACGCCATTGCACTCCAGCCTGGGCAACAAGAACAAAACTCCGTCTCAAAAAAAAAAAAAGGCCAATTTTTGCCTTCCATGGGGTGAAACCTCTCCCATTGAGAATGTATGATGTAGGGTTGTGCTACAGTGACAAACAACCTTAAAAAAGCAAAAGCTTACATCTCATTCACACCACATGTGCATTGGAGGTCAGCAAAGTTGCTCTGCTCTCTCCATCATTATTTTCACTTTGGCACCCAGACTGCCAGAGCAACTTCTGTCTGGAATGTTATTGGTAACCATGGCAGAGGAAAAGCAGACCATGAAAAAGCATGCTCTGGCTCTTAAAACTTCTGCCAGAGGAACCCCCAGAGCTTCCACTCACATTTCAATGGCCAAAGCAACTCACATGGTGACATCTGAGCTCAACAGGACAGGTTATTGTGATCTTTCCACATGAAGAGGAACCAGGTATCAGTGAGCAGTCTACTAGAGCCGGCAGTCTCTCAGACATGTCCACTGTGATTAAGAGACATAAACACTCCCATTGGCCAGTAAGAGCTGATCTTCTGGTTATCGTGCACCTGGCTCCAGACCAAGGTAGGGCATAACATGGCACTGGCAATGCTATTTCCTTCTGATTTGTATGCCCATCTTTCACTTAAAATTGAGGTGGAATTAAGAGGACACAGTGGCTGGGTGTGGTGGCTCATGTCTGTAATCCCAGCACTTTGGGTGGCCGAGGCAGGCGGATCATGAGGTCAGGAGACCGAGACCATCCTGGATAACACGGTGAAACCCCGTCTCCACTAAAAATACAAAAACAAAATTAGCCGGGTGTGGTGGTTGGTGCCTATAGTCCCAGCTACTCAGGAGGCTGAGGCGGGAGAATGGCGTGAACCCGGGAGGCGGAGCTTTCAGTGAGCCGAGATCGCACCACTGCACTCCAGCCTGGGCAACAGAGCCAGACTCCGTCTCAAAAAAAAAGAAGAGAGAGAGAGAGAGAACACAGTTACGGTTCTTCTAACACTGTGACAACGAGCCCAGCACTTGCATTATTAACAAGAATGTTTTTAGTAGATTCTCCTAATTAGCTCTGGGATCACATCAGGTTTTCTTTATTGGCTTTTAACCGGGTTTCATATTTCCAGTCTGAGGTTTGGGAGTGCCCATTGACTAAATTATATAGCCTGTGCAAAATTTGTTTTAACTTCAAACCTAGAAAATGCAGGTCAACATCCTGGGTTTTTGTTGTTGTTTTTGTTTATCAATAAAAGTTCTGCCAGGACTATATAAGATGTCTAAGCCTTATGAAGGCAATAGCCAGGATTTTTCCCGTTACAAACCATGATCATTGGACATATTGCCAAGCACTGTAATCCAGAATGAAGTTTGGATACAGCACGGAAAAAAAAAGTGGAAATTCATAGTTGAAATCAGGCACATCATTTAGAAGTAGCCAGGGGTCACTAAAAGAAGTAATGCTGGCTGGTCGCAGTGGCTCACGCCTGTAATCCCAACACTTTGGGAGGCCAAGGCGGGCGGATCACGAGGTCAGGAGATCGAGACCATCCTGGCTAACACGGTGAAACCCCGTCTCTATTAAAAATACAAAAAAGTAGCCGGGCATGGTGGCAGGCGCCTGTTGTCCCAGCTACTCGGGAGGCTGAGGCAGGAGAATGGTGTGAACCAGGAAGGCAGAGCTTGCAGTGAGCTGAGATCCCGCCACTGCACTCCAGCCTGGGGGACAGAGCGAGACTCCATCTCAAAAAAAAAGAAATAATGCTTGTGGAAAGTAAAGATTTAACTTAAACTGATTGACATTATGACTCAAAGTATTTAGTATGGTATTTCTCTCCATTGTTGTAATTAGGTACAACAATTCCCATTAGTTACCAAAAGACTGTCTAAACTACAAAGTTGGTCTAAGAGCTCAGCAGCTTTTAGAAAGACTCTTGATTAGAAAAAAAAAAAAAAATGCTGGTTCTTGGTCCTGTGTTCTAGGCTCTATACCCATTACTTTGAAGGACCCCAAACAGTAGATCACATCACAATAGATCCATAATAATTAGAGACGTATCTTGCAAATTCCATAATGTGTTTCCCACATTCTTCTTTCTCTGTGGTTTGTCTGGGTTTACCTTGGGAACAAAGCTTCACTCTTAGTAACTGTCCCTCACACAAACCTTTTCTGTCATAGTCCATTCCTTGCCTCTGCTTCTGCCCCTGCCCCTATCCCTGCTGCAATGATCTCAAGGATTTGAGGAGACGAAGAGTTTTCCTTTCTACAATTCCATCACTTACTACTTTCTTCAGTTCTGTCCTCTCCTAGGTCATGGAGAAGCATATTATTGAATGTCACAGAGAAGGGTCATTCTCTCAGGATCCTAAAGATGTCACCAGTAACAAACGTTTTATTCCAGTAGATATGTGATCTCACATAGAAAGTCTAAAAAGCATTCTCCTCACCATATGTCGCTAGAATTTAATGACCAAAACAGGACCATCTGTGCTTTTTATCACCTGTTCCTGCTGGAAATCTACAAGGTTGGGAAACTCAAACATGATCTCCCCAACTCTTTTTGGGGAAGGGCACTATTGAAAGATCCAGGTCTTTTCTAGTAGCCTAGAGACTTCTGGAGCCATGAGGGATACTGTGGAAACCCTTGAATTGACTGGGTCCAGTTCATTGTAAAGAGAAAATTCTGTGCATGACACAATTGGATGCACGCTTTCTCAAAACTGACCCTAGCTGTTGCAGTTCCTCCATGGAGATAGGAAATTGATAGAAGTTTTCTGGGCGGCAACCCACTGCCCTGTGCTTCATTTGGTTCTCTCCGTCCCTAACCTATTTCCTACTGTTTATCCACACAGTTACAGCTCTATCTGGTGCAGTTCTTTGTTCACTTTTGGTTTTTCTCATGACGGGAATCTGGCTTTGACCTGGCATTTCAGTACCAGGGACTGATTCAGTCACTGGGAGAATGACTTGAATATTCATAGTCGACTCTGGCAGTCACTGTCTGGCCATGGGGAGATTGTTGAAGAGTAAGCAATACTGCCGCCTTGTGGAAGACAATAGTTATATTCTTTGTGGCAGAAATGGCAACAAAGAAAAGTAACCTCTGCTTTTTTTTTTTTTTTTTTCTTTTTTTTGGAGAGGCAGTCTCACTCTTGTCCACCAGGCTGGAGTGCAATGGCACTATCTCGACTCACTGCAACCTCTACCTCCCAGGTTCAAGCAATTCTCCTGCCTCAGCCTCCCGAGTAGCTGGGATTACAGGCAACTGCCACCACGCCCAGCTAATTTTTGTATTTTGGGTAGAGACGGGGTTTCACCATGTTGGCCAGGCTGGTCTCGAACTCGTGACCTCAGGTGATCCACCCGCGTCAGCCTCCCAAAGTGCTGGGATTACAGGCATGAGCCACCGCGCCTGGCCTTAACCTGTGCTTTTCTACTTTGTACTTTTTTGAATTGTTTGAATTTTGCCATTTGCATGAATGACTCTTATTTTAAAATAAATTTAGCCCGTTAGAAAATTAATTAAATTAAATTTCAAAAAGTGAAAAAAAATCTAGGATATTTTAATATATCCTAAAAAATATTCTATTGTTTAAGTCATTTAAAGTTTGCCCTGGCTCCACCTCTAACTATCTCTGTAAGTTTAACCATTTGAATTTTTTTCTTCATTAGTAAAATGTGGGAGGTGAATTTGATGACACTTAAATTACAATTAATGCTCTATATTGTCCCATTAAACTTTTCCCAACCTTCTTTTGTCAGGTATAGTAATCAATGTGTATGTGACTCACATAATAGAAAAATGAAAACCTTTTAGTAATGAGGTTAAATCAAAACAGGGTTATTCTAACCTGATAGTTCTTAAACATAGCTGCACATTAGAATCCATCTGGGGAGCTTTAAAAATTCCACTTTCTGATCCTCACCCCAGACCAATTATATTAGACTCTCTGGGGGTGGGTCTCGGCAATAGGCATCTTTTAAAAGCTTCTCAAATGATTCCAAAGTGCAACTAAGATTGAGAATTACTGCCAGTTAAATTATTGCCTGACCTAAAAAACATCTCCTTTACAGAGCCTAAAATTCCACTACAAAATCATTGTCACTGGGGTTAATGACTGTCCTTTCTCAACTGTAAATATGCGTAAAGATTAAATTAACCAAATGCTTTGATTCAAATTAGCTTAGTAAGAGCACTTGCTTCCTAACGCCTAGCTAAGTTGAGCCTTTTGAAGAGGTTGAAAGTTTAAACAGAGTTAGAAATGGCCGAGTGTGGTGGCTCATACCTGTAATTCCAGCACTTTAGGAGGCCAAGGTGGGCGAATCACTTGAGGTCAGGAGTTTGAGACAAGCCTGGCCAACATGGTGAAACCCTGTATCTACCAAAAATACAAAAAAATTAGCCAGATCTGGTGATGTGCACCTGTAGTCCCAGCTACTGAGGAGTCTGAGGAAGGAGAATTGCTTGAACCTGGGAGATGGAGGTTGCAGAAGGCCGAGGTCGTGCCATTACACTCCAGCCTGGGCAACAAGAGCAAAATTCTGCCTCAAAAACAAAAAACAGAGTTAGAAAAAAAGACACCTCATTTTGGAGTACACTGTGTCATGAAATACTTTCAGAGAAATAAGTTCTGAATAGACTGCAAAAAGGAAAGCAACAAGCAATTAGAAACCATCATGTGGACACCAGGAATGTGAATACAGAAGAGGATGAACCTGAACACAAAGGGGCAGGAAGGTGAACCAAAGACTAATTGCAACTACTTCAAGTTTGTCTAAAAATGTTCCTTAGTCCAATTCATAATGTAAACATTCCTAATAATATCAAGTCTTTAAGGTTGTATGGAGAAGGCGTCTAGATATGTAGAGTATCTTAGTATTTTTTCTATGTATTATTTAATTGATTAAACATTTACTGTACTTACTTGTTATTTTATGTAACATATTTAATCCTTACAGCCTCATGAAGTAAACAGTATTATCTCCATTTTATAGATAAGAAAACCGAGTAGGTTTGAAGGAAATGGGATCAACTTTGCTTTGTCACACTGAAAAGAAACTTAATCATGTCTCTATTTGGTATCTGAAAGAAGAGGTGTGTGTGTGTGTGTGTGTGTGTGTGTGTGTGTGCACGCATGTGTATCTCACAGCTGTCCTGAATAATTATGCTTCATAACTAGCTATTTTCCTTAAATATCTGCTCATCTGTTCTTTCCTTTTCTTTTTTGAGATGGAGTTTCACTCTTGTTGCTCAGGCTGGAGTGCAATGGCACGATCTTGGCTCACTGCAACCTCCGTCTCCTGGGTTCAAGCGATTCTCCTGCCTCAGCCTCCTGAGTAGCTGGGACTACAAGCATGCGCCACTATGCCCGGCTAATTTTTTATATTTTTTTAGTAGAGACAGGGTTTCACCATGTTGGCCAGGCTAGTCTCGAAATCCTGGCCTCAAGTGATCCACCTACCTCGGCCCCCCAAAGTGCTGAGATTACAGGCATGAGCCATTGCACCCGGCCATGGCCTGTTTTCTTTAATCGTGCTTATTCATACCCACACACACTTCCCATTTTGATGATAAATGGCTATCTTGAAAATTTTAAAAATTACTAAGCATAAAAGTAATCTGACACAAGATTACCAAATATTACACCTAGACAGATTTTCTAACCTCACAAAAAATTAAAAGCATAACCTGTTGTTTTATGAAGTAAGGTAAGGGAGAGATTTTATTTGCATACATTGAAACATTAGCAACCAAAGCAGGAGGCAACTAATGAGAAAGAATGAGCTTCCTTTCTTGAACTGAAAGGAATGTCATTTCCACCAGTACTTAACAAGTGACGTTTATAGAGAAGTTTCCTGTAAAATGAGACTGGCAGTAGTTTTAGTTACAGTGTTTTCTTCCTGATACAGGATCTTCAGGGACCACTAGAGAAGAAATTATTATTTGCTCTGGACTTAGTGAAACCTGGAATCACAGACCTGAGGTCACTTGGAGAAGAATGCCCAGGTATTTAAAAGTGTTTGTTCCCCCTGCTACTCAGGAGGCTGGGGCAGGAGAATCGCTTGAACCTGGGAGGCGAAGGTTGCAGTGAGCTGAGATCACGCCGCTGCACTCCAGCCTGGGTGACAGAGCGAGACTCTGTCTCAAAAAAAGAAAAGTGTTTGATCCATGGCCGGGCAGGGTGGCTCACACCTGTAATCCCAGAACTTTGGGAGGCTGAGGTGGGTGGATAACCTGAGATCAGGAGTTTGAGACCGGCCTGCCCAAGATGGCAAAACTCTGTCTCTACTAAAAATACAAAAATTAGGCCAGGCGCAGTGGCTCACACCTGTAATCCCAGCACTTTGGGAGGCTGAGGTGGGCAGATCACCTGAGGTCAGGAGTTCGAAACCAGCCAGGTCAACATGGAGAAACCCTACTGAAAAAATACAAAATTAGCTGGGCATGGTAGCACATGCCTCTAATCCCAGCTACTAGGGATGGTGAGGCAGGAGAATCTCTTGAACCTGGGAGGCGGAGGTTGCGGTGAGCCAGGATGGCGCCATTGTACTACAGCCTGGGCAAAAGAGGGAAACTCTGTCTCAAAAAAAAAAAAAAAAAAGTAGCCAGGCATGGTGGCATGTGCCTGTAATCCCAGCTACTCGGGAGGCTGAGGCAGGAGAATCGCTTGAATCTGGGAGGCGGAGTTTGCAGTGAGCTGAGATCACACCACTGCATTCCAGCCTGGGTGACAGAACGAGTCTCCATCTCAAAAAAAAAAATAAAAGTGTTTGTTCCTGATGACTGTAGTGTCTTGGAGTTTATACTTATGAGCCAATTAATTTACTTCAGTTCAAAAAACATTTATTAATGACACTGGAAACAAACACTTGTACTCGACCTTGTAGGGGATGCAAATATCTAAGGGTCTAAGTTACCACAGTCTCTTGCCTGAATAATTGCAAACAACAAATAAAACCACCTCCCACCAAAATAAACAAATAACAAACTCTTGTGTCTCAGATACATTCATATTACAGCAAACATGTGCTTTTATTTTTTTATTTTTATTTTTTTGAGACAGAGTCTCACGCTGTCGCCCAGGCTGGAGTTCAGTGGCACCATCTCAGCTCACTGCAACCTTTGCCTCCCGGGTTCAAGTGATTCTCCTGCCTATTCTGTTGGCCAGGATGGTCTCTATCTCTTGATCTGTGATCCACCCACCTCGGCCTCCAAAAGTGCTGGGATTACAGACTGGAGCCCCGCGCCAAGCCAACATGTGCTTTTACAAACATAATTCTGACCTCCTCATTTCCCTTATTAAAACCTCCAATTACTTCCTACTGCCCCTAGGATAAAATCATAAATTCTTAGGACAGCGTGATTCAGCTGCTGTCTGCTTCTACAGGCTCACATGGTGCCACTTTCCTCCTCATTTATTAAATTCCCACAACCTTGACTTTTTTCAGTACTAAGAACATGTCATTATTTCTAAAGTCTTAGCTTTCTTAGATACTGTTCCTGTCCTGTTTCTGTCCTCTTTCAGTTCCCTTCCCATTTTCATCTTTTTGGTTCCTACTTTTTTTTATTGTTTATTTGTTTGTTTGTGTGTTTGTTTTTGACACAGGGTCTTGCTCTGTAGCCCAGGTGGGAGTGCAGTGGTGCAATGATGGCTCACTGCAGCCTCCATCTTCCAGGCTCAAGCAATCCTTCCACCTCAACCTTCCTGGTAGCTGGGACTATAGGCATACACCACCATGCCCAACTAATTTTTTATTATTTTTTAGTTTTTTTAGTAAAGACAAGGTTTTGCTATGTTGCCCAGTCTGTTCTCGAACTCCTGAGCTCAGGTAATTCTCCCACCCCAGCCTCCCAAAATGCTGGGATTACAGGCATGAGCCAAAGCACCAGGCTGGTACTATCCTTTAAATCTCAGTTTAAGTGTTACTTTTTCCAGGAAGCTTTCCCCAACTACTCAGACTAAATTATGTTCCCTTCTAATATGCTCCTATTAAAACTTACCTTTCTGTCATCATATTCAACACACTTGTAATTATTCGTTAATGTCTGGCTTTCCTTGTTGACTAGAAGCTTCATGAGAGTGTTTAACACAGTGACTAACCCCATTCATTATCGAATGACTAAAATTAGTGAAAAATTTGGTCACTGCTCTTAGGAGCCCAAGTCCAGTAGAGCAAACATATTTACAAATCACTCTTAATTTGAATACAAGATAAACCAAGTGTAGTAGTGACACAACACATGCAATGAAAATAATAGGAAAATAAGAGAGAGAGGCATTAACCCTCAATAAGGAGATGTAAAATAGCACTACTTCAGCTGGGCCACGAAGGATGGGAAGGACTCCAAAAGGAAGAGACAGATGATAGGAAAGGATTTCACAAGGAGAAACTACCATAAGGAAAGATATGGAGATAAGAGACTGTAAGTAGGTTTGGGAAAAGGCAAGCCCTCTAATGCAACTGAGGTATAGAATATGTGAAAGAGTATGGTACAAAATAAAATTAGAAATATAGGCTGACATTATCAAACTGAATATCAGACTGAGGAGTCTGCATGCTATTCTTCAGGCAGTAGAACCAAATCAGGCTTTATAAAGGACATTTTGCATCTTATACAATTAAGTGAAAGACAAGGAAAGAGGCAGAGAGATCATTTAGGGACTGTTTAGAGAAGCAGATCTATTTACAGACAGCAGTCTCTCTATGATCTAAATATGTCTATAAACATTTAAAACACACAAGAGATTAGGAAACTTCTATCCTGCCGCATGCAAGCATTTCCAGAAAAAATGTGGATTATGCTATGGATATTACAGATGCTAATTGCAGAAGAATATAGGATCCATCCAGCTAAGTTTATTCCAAAGGTGCAAGTTCCAAAGTTAGTGTGGTCTTCTTCTTTCTTTTTTCTTTATTTGAGAGATGAGATCTCACTATGTTGCCCAAGCTGGAGTGCAGTGGCTATTCACAAGCACTATCATTGTGTACTACAGCCTCAAACTTCTGGGCTCAAGCAACCCTCCTGTCTTATCCTCCCAAGTAGCTGGGATTACAGGTGTGCACCATTACACATGGCTATAGTGGTTATCTTTTTGAAACAGGTTTTTATCAGGGCTAAATAACAGTATCTCCAATAACAGTGCTGGTAATTTCACTTAAAGAGCAAAATGCCTTTGGAAAAAACTGCTTTAAAGTTCATGTAGAACTAAAAAAGAGCCCACATTGCCAAGACAATCCTAAGCCAAAAGAACAAAGCTGGAGGCATCACACTACCTAACTTCAAACTATACTACAAGCCTACAGTAACCAAAACAGCATGGTACTGGTATCAAAACAGATATACAGACAAATGGAACAGAACAGAGGCCTCAGAAATAACACCATACATCTAAAACCATCTGATCTTTGACAAACCTGACAAAAACAAGAAATGGGGAAAGGATTCCCTATGTAATAAATGGTGCTGGGAAAACTGGCTGGCCATATGTAGAAAGCTGAATCTGGATCCCTTCCTTACACCTTATACAAAAATTAATTCGAGATGGATTAAAGACTTAAATGTTAGATCTAAAACCATAAAAACCCTAGAAGAAAACCTAGGCAATACCATTCAGGACATAGGCATGGGCAAGGACTTCATGACTGAAACACCAAAAGCAATGGCAACAAAAGCCAAAATTGACAAATGGGATCTAATTAAACTAAGGAGCTTCTGCACAGCAAAAGAAACTACCATCAGAGTGAACAGGCAACCTATAGAATGGGAGAAAATTTTTGAAATCTACCCATCTGACAAAGGGCTAATATCCAGAATCTACAAAGAACTTAAACAAATGTACAAGAAACAAACAAACAACCCCATCAAAAAGTGGGCAAAGGATATGAACAGACACTTCTCTAAAAAAGACATCTATGCAGCCAACAGACACAAGAAAAAATGCTCATCACTGGTCATCAGAAAAATGCAAATCAAAACCACAATGAGATACCATCTCATGCCAGTTAGAATGGCTATCATTAAAAAGTCAGGAAACAACAGATGCTGGAGAGGATATGGAGAAATAGGAACGCTTTTACACTGTTGGTGGGAGTGTAAATTAGTTCAACCATTGTGGAAGACAGTGTGGCGATTCCTCAAGGATCTAGAACTGGAATTACCATTTGACCCAGCCATCCCATTACTGGGTATATATTCAAAGTATTATAAATCGTGCTACTATAAAGACACATGCACATGTATGTTTATTGCAGCACTATTCACAATAGCAAAGACTTGGAACCAACCCAAATGTCCATCAATGATAGACTGGATTAAGAAAATGTGGCACATATACGCTATGGAATACTATGCAGCTATAAAAAAGGTTGAGTTCATGTCCTTTGCAGAGACATGGATGAAGCTGGAAACCATCATTCTGAGCAAACTATTACAAGGACAGAAAACCAAACACCGCATGTTCTCACTCATAGGTGGGAATTGAACAAGGAGATCACTTGGACACAGGGCAGGGAACATCACACACTGGGGCCTGTCGGTGGGGTGGGGAGCTGGGAGAGGAATAGCATTAGAGACATACCTAATGTAAATGATGAGTTGATTGGGGCAGCAAACAAACATGACACATGTATACCTATGTATCAAACCTGCACATTGTGCACATGTACCCTAGAACTTAGAGTATAATAATTAAAAAAAAAGAGCAAAATGCCTCAATTTTTCAAAGAAAAGAAGTTGATCTGGCCTTCAAAAATAAAATCAATAAGATCAAATTATTTAAAACTCTTCTTCTAGTTCAGGAAAATAAATTCTCATAAACAACTGGTGTGACCACATCTGCCTAAAAGACCAATTTGGCAATTAGTTTCCTATAAGCAAAAGGCACCTGATAATGTTTCCATTTTCTATGGCACAATGCTTTAATGACAGTCCTGTGTGATGCAATAACACAAACCTATCATGACCTTGAAATTTCTTACATGTATTCTGAGGGATTTGGCATTTTTTTTTTCTTGCTTTCAGGTGCATTGTTTGATGTGTGAATGGCATTCCTTCTGCATGCATCTCAGTAACAGAATATAACACAGTTCCATATACTTGTGGGTGTCTTCTTTCCCTAGTTCCTGCATAAAGTATTTGCAAGAAAGTATGGAATTGTGGTAATTCCTCCAAGGATGAATATTTCCTATACTTATATCAATGTATGTTTTGCTGCTGTTTCTGGGCTTTTCTGAAGACAGAATAAACTTTCATTTCAATTCTGAATCATGATGCAATCATGATTAATTTTAAATGGTGATTAAGCTTAATACCTGTATTTCAAACAGTGCCTATAACTTAAGCAATATCAACTGAACAGTATGACCAAGGCCATGCACACATGCATAGGCATTGACAACTATGAAAAGGCTGCTGCTTGGGGCGTGGTGGCTCATGCCTGTAATCCCAGCACTATGGGAGGCCGAGGCAGGCATATCACCTGAGGTCGAGAGTTCGAGACCAGCCTGGCCAACATGGTGAAACCCCGTCTCTACTAAACATACAAAAATTAGCCAGGCATGGTGTCGGGCACCTGTAATCCCAGCTACTTGGGAGGCTGAGGCCTGGGCGACAGAGTGAGGCTCCATCTCCAAAAAAAAAAGAAAGAAAGAAAGAAAAAAAGAAAGGCTGCTGCTTGAGTAAGGAGTAAGAATAATTTTATGATTTTATACTCTGATTTCAGAAACACACCCTCATCTCAGAGATGCTAAAAGATGTAGGGAAAAGAAAGAGAGATCAGACTGTTACTGTGTCTATGTAGAAAGGAAAGACATAAGAGACTCCATTTTGAAAAAGACCTGTATTTTAAATAATTGCTTTGCTGAGATGTTGTTAATTTGTAGCTTTGCCTCAACCACTTTGACCCAACCTGGAGCTCACAAAAACATGTGTTGTATGAAATCAAGGTTTAAGGGATCTAGGGCTGTGCAGGACGTGCCTTGTTAACAAAATGTTTACAAGTAGTATACTTGGTAAAAGTCATCGCCATTCTCTAGTCTCAATAAACCAGGGGCACAATGCACTGTGGAAAGCTGCAGAGACCTCTGCCCTTGAAAGCGGGATATTGTCCAAGGTTTCTCCCCATGTGATAGTCTGAAATATGGCCTCATGGAATGAGAAAGACCTGACCGTCCCCCAGCCCGACACTCGTAAAGGGTCTGTGCTGGGGTGGATTAGTAAAAGAGGAAAGTCTCTTGCAGTTGAGATAGATAGTGGAAGGCGACTGTCTCCTGCCTGCCCCTGGGAACTTAATGTCTCGGTATAAAACTCAATTGTACATTTGTTCAATTCTGAGATAAGAGAAAAACCGCCCATGGTGGGAGGCGAGACATGTTTACAGCAATGCTGCCTTGTTATTCTTTACTCCACTGAGATGTTTGGGTGGAGAGAAACATAAATCTGGCTTACGTGCACGTCCAGTCATAGTACCTTCCCTTGAACTTAATTATGACGTAGATTCTATTGCTCACATGTTTGTTGCTGACCTTCTCCTTATTATCACCCTGCCCTCCTACTACATTCCTTTTTGCTGAAATAATGAAGATAATAATCAATAAAAACTGAGGGAACTCAGAGACCGGTGCTGGTGCAGGACCTTGGTATGCTGAATGCAGGTCCCCGGGGCCCACTGTTGTTTCTCTATACTTTGTCTCTGTGTCTTATTTCTTTTCTCAGTCTCTCATCCCACCCGACTAAAAATACCCACAGGTGTGGAGGGGCAGGCCACCCCTTCAAAAAAATATGGAGAAAAGGAAGTACATCAGAGAGCCAGTGAAATATGGTGATCCTGCCTCCCCAACTAGACTGTGTCTTTGAAAGTTGGAACCTAGCTTCAGGTAGGATGCTTTCTGCAAATAACATCAATACTGATTCAAACTGTCCTAAATCAAAAGTTTATTGACTCACAAAAGCTTCAGCGTTAGTTAACTCAGAGGAAAAATTACATGATCAAGAACTCAGAGCCTCGTGTGGTGACACATATGTGTAGTCACAGCTACTCAGGAGGCTGAAGCAGGAGGATTGCCTGAACCTGGGAAGTCAAGGCTGCATTGAGCCGTGATTGCGCCACTTGCACCCCAGCCTGGGTGACAGAATGATACCTTTTTTCTCAAAAAAAAAAAAAAAAAAAAAAAAAACCTCCGTTTTTTCCATCTCTCTCCTCTGCCTTCTGTAATATAGGCTTAATTCTAAGCCTCCTCTGCCATAATCTCAAGATGATCTTCAGTAACTATCAGGCTATATAGGCTACATTCTACCCCTTAACACCCAGCAAGATCAATGAAGTTCCTTTCCCAGAGGCTTCCAGCAAACCTCCTGTGACTTGTTGGTCAAAATTGGTTCACATGTCTCTTAAGCCAATTACATGACAATGGAAAGGAGGGTTCTTTTTTTTTTTTTTTTTGAGACGCAGTCTTGCTCTGTCGCCCAGGCTGGAGTGCAGTGGCTCAATCTTGGCTCACTGCAACCTCCACCTCCCAGGTTCAAGCGATTCTCCTGCCTCAGCCTCCCCAATAGCTGGGACTACAGGCACCTGCCACCACGCCTGGCTAATTTTTGTAGTTTTTTTGTGGAGATTGTGTTTCGCCATGTTGGCCAGGCTGGTCTCCTGACCTCAAGTGATCCGCCCACCTCAGCTTCTCAAAGTGCTGGGATTACAGGTTTCAGCCACCGCGCCCAGCCCAGAACCCTCTTGAATACTTCTTTTGCATCTCTGCTAGTACCTAGCACCTGACATACGAAATGATCATGTTTTTTAAGGCCAAGGACTATGACCTTATGTATTCTCTAATTTCCTTCACTTAACTGATGCTCAATAAATGTCTGCATTTTTTTTTTTTTGAGACAGAGTCTTACTCTGTCACGCAGGCTGGAGTGCAGTGGCCCAATCACAGCTCACTGCAGCCTTGACCTCATGAGCACAGGTGATTCTCCTGCCTTAGCTTCCCAAGTAACTGGGACTACAGACAAATGCCACTATGCTCAGATAATTTTCTTATTTTTATATTTTGTAGAAACAGGATTTTATCATGTTGTCCAGGCTTGTCTCAAACACCTGGACTCAAGTAAGCCACCTGCCTCGGCCTCCCAAAGTGTTGGCATTACAGGCATGAGCCACTGCACCTGGCCTATTATTTAATAGTAGCAGTATTGTTTTTGTTTTGTTTTGTTTTGAGACAGAGTCTCACTGTATTGCCCAGGCTGAAGTGCAGTGGTGTGATCTTGGCTCACTGCAGCCTCTCCCTCTGGGGTTCGATCAATTCTTGTGGCTCAGCCTCCCAAGTAGCTGGAACTACAGGTGCGCACCACCATGCCCAGCTAATTTTTTGTATTTTAGTAGAGATGGGGTTTCACCATGTTGCCCAGGGTGATCTCCAACTCCTGAGCTCAGGAGATCCGCCCGGCCTGGCAGTATTGTTTATAATATTGATTGCTTTTCTTGCCAAAAGAATTCTAAAATTACCTATAGTTTCCTTTTCTTTTTTATTCAGAGGACTCTGTACCAACACAAAGAAATCAAAGATTGGGCCCGGCACAGTGGCTCACGCCTGTAATCCCAGCACTTTGGGAGGCCAAGGCCGGCAGATCACGAGGTCAGGAGATCGAGTCCTGCCTAACACGGTGAAACCCCGTCTCTACTAAAAATACAAAAATTAGCTGGGCACGATGGCAGGCGCCTGTAATCCCAGCTACTCAGGAGGCTGAGGCAGGAGAATTGCTTGAATCCGGGCGACAGAGGTTGCAGTGAGCTGAGATCGCACCACTGCACTACAGCCTGGGTGACAGAGTGAGACTCTGTCTCAAAAAGAAAAAAAAAAAGAAAAGAAAACAAAGATTTTGCTTGAAAAATCTGGTCCATTTGGATTCTTGGGCTAAATTTTTGCATGGGCATGGCAACTTATCCATGAAAGTAAAGTCAGAAAGTGTGTAATAGCTAAAGAGTGAACCAATGTCATTAAAAGAAACAGGATTATATTAACCAAAGCTGTTTACCAAAAGCTTTAATAAGGATTCAAGGAAAGGAGGAAGTAACCCCACATCTATATCAAAAGATTTCTTTTGCAGAACTCTGCTCCAAGGAAGACAAACAGAGATTATAGCTTTTTGTTTTTTTCTTACACTGGTTGTATTCCAGTATGACTCATTTCTTGTTCTAAACTATTCTGCTTTCCTTCTATTTGATCCCCAAAGTCTGAAAACTAAAGATAGACAAGATCTGCTTGGCTAGCTAATCTTTTTCTCCCGAGTAGTCAGAGCTTCATGCCTTGGAGACTTTTTTTTCTATTTGACATTCATTTTAAATGTCTCAAAGGCACCAACCAGAATGTGAGCCCTATGTAGGTAGGGACATTGTCTGTGTTATTCCTGAATCCCCAGTTCCTAGCAGAGTGTGCAGTCCAAAGAAAGTACTCAATAGTTTTTTGAATAGAGCTTGCTTAGGCAGCACATATACTAAATTTGGAACAATAATTGTTTTGAATAATGCAATACATAAATGAGAAGAATGCATTAAGAAGAAATGATGTGGTTGGGAGCTGTGGCTCATGCCTATAATCCCAGCACTTTGAGAGGCCGAGGCAGGTGGATTGTCTGAGCCCAGGAGTTCGCAACCAGCCTGGGCAACATGGTGAAACCCTGTCTCTACTAAAATACAAAAAATTAGCCAGGCATGGCGGCGTGTGCCTGTGGTCCCAGCTATTCGGGAGGCTGAGGCAGGAGAATTGCTGGAACCTGGGAAGCAGAGGTTGCAGTGAACCAAGATAACGCCACTGCACTCCAGCCTGGGTGACAGAGGGAGACTCCGTCTCAAAAAAAAAAAAAAAAAGAAGAAGAAGAAATGATGTTACTATATAGTAAATTGTGAGATATTAGTACTTTGGGGTTTTGTTATTTTATTTGTTTTTTGTTGATTTTATTTTATTTGTGTGTGTACTGTGATTTTTTTTTTCTTTTTCTATTTTTTTGAGATGGAGTCTCACTCTATCACCCAGGCTGGAGTGCAGTGGCATGATCTTGGCTCACCACAACCTCCACCTCCCGGGTCCAAGTGATTCTCCTGCCTCACCCTCTCGAGTAGCTAGGACTACAGGCGCATGCCACCATGCCCAGCTAATTTTTGTATTTTCAGTAGAGACGGGGTTTCACTATGTTGGCCAGGCTGGTCTTGAACTCCTGACCTCGTGATCCGCCTGCCTTGGCCTCCCAAAGTTTTGGGATTACAGGCGTGAGCCACCATGCCCAGCCCTGTGTTGTATTTTGCACCTAGAAAGTGCTGTTAGAGCCTTAAGTGAGGAGTACTAGGAATATGCACAATTAAGCATTTCATAGTAATGGTTTCTCTCATAGAAAATTGAAATCTTCAAGGTGCATATTTGGAAAAATCCCAAATCTTGATTTTCGATAAGGTAGAAGTACATAATTTTAGAAGTGTATAATTTTATACATGATTTGTAAGAGGAGCTTAGAATTAAATTAGCAAAAAGTGTCTTTCACAGAGAAGGCATTTCAGAGACTGATTATTGAATTTAATTATATTATCTTATAAATCAAGTGGTAGGGATGGAAGAGACAAGTAGATGACCTATGGAAAAAAAACACTGGCATACTGAACTGGATAATTTTCATATTCAAATGCCTTTGGTTACTTAGTATCTTCAACCATTTACAGATAATGCCCCAGCATCCCTAGAAGTATTACTATGTGAGTGTCACTGAGCACTTAGATGGTCAATAGCAAGTAGAGGCTGGGCGTGGTGGCTCACGCCTGTAATCCCAGCACTTTTGGAGGCCAAAGCAGGCAGATCATGAGGTCAGGAGATTGAGACCATCCTGGCCAACACGGTGAAACCCCATCTCTACTAAAATACAAAAAATTAGCCGGGCGTGGTGGCGCACATCTTTAGTCCCAGCCACTCAGGAGGCTGAGGCAGGGGAATCACTTGAACCCGGGAGGCGGAGGTTGCAGTGAGCTGAGATTGCACCACTGCACTCCAGCCTGGTGACAGAGCAAGACTCTGTCTTAAAAAAAAAAAAAAAGGCAAGTAGAAGGGATATTGGAAAAAGATGCTTGATGCTTGTCCTTATTCCATTTCAGGTAATTAGTCAATAAAATTTAATTGCAATTTTAGGAAAAAGGTTTGACAATAGTATTCCCAAAGCGATTTCTAGGCATGGCAAAGTTTATCAGATGCTCTGTAGACATAACTTCATACATCCTCCAACACCCTACAGGAGGAAAAGTTCTACTTCTGTACTGCTTAATATGTATGTTTGAAGGCAGCTTTCTTTCATTTTTTTTTTTTTTTGAGACTGAGTCTTGCTCTGTTGCCCAGGCTGAAGTGCAGTGGCACGATCTTGGCTTACTGCAACCTCCACCTCCCAGGTTCAAGTGATTCTCCTGCCTCAGCCTCCCAAGTAGCTGGAATTACAGGTGTGTGCCACCACACCTGGCTAATTTTTGTATTTTTAGTAGAGACAGTGTTTCACCATGTTGACCAGGCTGGTCTTGAACTCCTAACCTCAGGTAATCCGCCTGCCTCAGTCTCCCAAAGTGCTGGGATTACAGGGGTGAGCCACCGTACCCAGCCTGAAGGAAGCTTTCGAATTAGGGTGACTAACTGGTCCTGATTTGCCAGGACTTTCTCAATTTGTTAAAAAAGTTCTGTATCCTAGGAAATTCATCCGTCCCAGGAAAACCAGGATGGTTGATCATCCTACTTTGAAAATTTCTTTCAAAAAAGCATAGAAAACTTACTTGAACCTATCCGGATTTCTTAATGTACCTCTTTTCTCCTTCTTTTCTTTTTCAAGTTTATAGTTTTTCTATTGAAATCCTGAAATGTTTTTCCCTTGTACCTCTGTTGACTTGTTTCCCTTAGTTTATTGTAGATTTATATGCCAAGGTTTTTGTTTTATAGCTGAACGCTTACTATATTTGTTAAGCTCTAAATAGGTGGATGGTCTCCATGAATTTTATTTGAGTGAATAAATAATGCATCAGATAAGGTGATACAGGTGCATTGACAGGCTTTCTTTTATTAGCTTGAGCCTTTATTTATTTATTTATTTATTTGAAACTGAGTGTTGCTCTGCCACCCAGGCTGGAGTGCAATGGCACAATCTTGGCTCACCGTAACTTCCGCCTCCCAGGTTCAAGCGATTCTCCTCCCTCAGCCTCTCAAGTAGCTGGGACTACAGGCACACGTCACCATGCCTGGCTAATTTTTTGTATTTTTAGTAGAGACAGCATTTCACCATGTTGGCCAGGCTGGTCTCAAACTCCTAACCTAAGGTGATCCACCCACTTCGGCCTCCCAAAGTGCTGGGATTACAGGTGTGAGCCACACGCCCTGCCCGCTTGAGCCTTTATAATGAGGGATCTTAGAATGAAAATGAACACTAACGAAATTGTGCTTTATAGATTTGAAAATACAAGAGTATGATAATATTTGGTGGCATAAAGATTTCTCCTTTTTGGAATTTTCCCTCAGTTTTTAAAAAATAATTCAATCCCTTTTTCTCTTGGTTTACTGTATCCCAAAGTGGGGCACACATACCACTAAGATACAGGAAATAATTTTAGGTGATAGGCACAACATCAATTAACTTGGGCAACAAATATAATATTTTCCTTTTAATTTTCTTTTAATAACACTGATTATGTCAAGAAGAAAGTTTCACTTTAATGCTAATATGTCTTAACATCTTTCTAACATCTACCAATCTTCCTTTATAACAAAGAGTGAGTCCAGCCTTGGGCTGAGAGTCCAAGAGTATCTAGCTGGAATTTGATGAAAAAGTTTTATTTTTGTTGTATTTCTTTTCATGGTTACATTCTGCTTATGATAACCGAAATCTTTTTTTTAATTTATGACAGTGATACAAATATACTTTTTAAAAATAAATGTATACAAATAAAAATAGTTAATTTAAAGAAAAATATTTGGCAAAAACCATGAAAGTAAGACAAAGATTACTGAAGCATAGAAGCCCTTGTCTAGTTAATTTTCCACATTCCCAAAGGACAATAGGGGATAGCCTGAAAGAGAATGGCATCTAAAGCTTCCTATGCCTCCACACACATATATACACCTATTTCCCTGAGGCAGAACTGAATAAAAAGGTGTAGCATACTATGTGAAATAGAACACCATAGAATCTTATATTCGTAGCAGTATTTTAAAGGAAAACATATCTATATCCCTTTTTTCATGGCACACTGTACTTCTTAGCTTCCAACAACTATAACCAACTAGCCCTGCAATTGGACTTAACAGATTGCTCTAAATTCTAAGGTCTTGGCATGTCCAGAAATTGGAATTGTCATGTGAGAGGAAAGCTATGAGCTATCCATGGTATTAATGTTGGAAGGACTGAAATGAATAAGTTTTACTTGTTGAGCTCACATTTAAAAGAAACAGAAACTGTATTATTATTATTATTATTTTAGACAGAGTCCCACTCTGTCACCCAGGCTAGAGTACCTTGGCACGATCTTGGCTCACTACAGTCTCCGCCTCCTGGGTTCGAGCGATTCTCCTGCCCCAGCCTCCTGAGTTGAGTAGCTGGAATTACAGGAGTGCATCACCATGCTCAGCTAATTTTTGAATTTTTAGTAGCGACGGGGTTTCACCATATTGCTCAGGCTGGTCTTGAACTCCTGACCTCAGGTGATCCACCTGCCTCGGCCTCCCAAAGTGCTGGGATTACAAGTGTAAGCCATTCTGGCCCAAACAGAAACTTTAGATGGGGTTTGATTTTCATAATTTTTATTCCTTTTTATGAAACGGTTTTTATGGATCAATTTCAGATAAAAAAGATAAATCTGGGAGTTAGCTTTCATCAATAGCAAACTTTTTGTTTTTATTAAAGTAAATGGTACAGTAACATTTACCTTCTATTCAATATAAGACAGACAGCATAATATGATATTCAGTCAAATTATCTGGAATATCACAGATCTTATCTTGGACTGAAATTTGAGAAAACTCTGTTTCCCAAAACATCACCTTCATCATAGTAATTTCCACTATATCAATCAATCATTTCTTTTTTTTTTTTTTTTTTTTCTGAGACAGAGTCTCATTCTGTTGGCCAGGCTGGAGTGCAGTGGCACGATCTCGGCTCTCTGCAACCTCCACCTCCCTGGCTCAAGCAATTCTCCTGCCTCAGCCTCCTGAGTAGCTGGGATTACAGGTGTGTGCCACCACGCCTGGCTAATTTTTGTATTTTTAGTAGAGACGGGGTTTCACCATGTTGGCCAGGCTAGTCTCGAACTCCTGACCTCAGGTAATCTGCCAGCCTCGGCCTTCCAAAGTGCTGGGATTACAGGTGTGAGCCACCGCACCTGGCCATCAATCAATCATTTCTGAGCTTCTCCTATGGACTCAGCTCACTTAGATACTGAATAGCATACAAAGAGTAATAAATCATAGACTCGTCTCTTAATTGATTTGTGATACAAGTAGGGAGAGAGGCTATACTAACTAACCCATGTGAAATAAGTAGACATAATAAGTTGGAATCAATACATGCTAAATAGAACCATAAAGATTTTATATATAAAGGGAATTACATAAAGTTATGTAAAGAAAATAGCAGGTTACACTAGTCTAAGAACTTTTCACTTTGAAGTGAAATAAAGATAGTGAAATAAAGCAAGATCTCCATGATTGAGAACATGATTAAAGCGTGAGTTAGGATGATGTCAGGACTGGGTGTGAAGGAAAATCTGTAGGACTAGTGGGACCACCTTGGGTAGGCATGGAATTTGTGAGAGGTACTGATGAGAGGAAATACTGGGTAAATGGAATGAGACCAAACTGTGTAAGACCTTAACAACCAGCTTCAGAAGATCAGCTAATTGTTTAAGCAGTAGAGAGATGATTCTCATAGAGTTGCTGTGAGGGTTAAAAAAGGTCATGTTATGTTGTATTCGTCCGTTTCCATGCTGCTGATAAAGACATACCCGAGACTGGGCAATTTACAAGAGAAAGAGGCTTAATGGACTTACAGTTCCACATGGCTGGGGAGGCATCACAATCATGGTAGAAGGCAAGGAGGAGCAAGTCACATCTTAACGTGGATGGCAGCAGGCAAAGACAGAGAGTTTGTGCAGGGAAACCCCCCATACAAAACTGTCAAATCTCATGAGACGTATTCACTGTCATGAGAACAGCATGGGAAGGACCTGCCCGCGTGATTCAATCACCTCCCACCGGGTCCCTCCCACATGTAGGAATTCAAGATGAGATTTGGGTGGGGACACACCCAAACCATATCATATGTGAATTGAAATGGAATTTTCAGAATATGTGTCTAACAGTAATAGGCAAGATAGATTAAAATGAAAGAAGAAAATGAGGGAGCCAGAGAGAAAGCTATTTCAATATTCTAAATATGAAGCCGTGAACGTCTGGACTATGTTGGTGGAAATAGGGATAAAGAAAAGAGGCAAATCTGAAACATTTTAAAATAAGAATCTAGTTATTTATATTCTGATTTGTTTCTCATTTAACATTTATTGAGCAACTGTTATGTCCTAGGCACTGAGCCAGGCACATGAATTGATAGAACTCAGTACATAAGATGTCAAAGATTTCTGAACAAAGAGATTAGAAATAACTTCATCAGATTAACTTCCAAATAAAGGTGGCATCTTAACAGAGAGATCCAAGAGAGTTGAGAAGTATGCTTCTTGGGGAAAGCTCCAATTTGTATATTTGATATTTGAGGAGAAAGCATTTATTTGTCAAACACTAGCAAATATTTATCAAAACATGCTGAAGCTACAAGAAGGTGTAAGAAAAGATCCCTACCTTCAAAGAGCTGACATTTACACCAGGGAAAGAAGAAATATTAATCAAATGGTAAATGACTATACACAGTGACATATGCTTACTCTCAGATGAGTGGTACAGATAACAAGTGCAAGAGAAGCCAGGAAGGGGGCACTGTGGTAGGAGCAGTCTGAGGAATTTTTATAAAAGATATAGTACTTGTGCTGAATATAGAAGGTAAGGGGTAACAACAATGGAATCACTACTATTTGTTAACTGTTTGCCTTGTGCTTATATCATCTCATCACATACTTACTTCCTTTAATCCTCACAAATGATATAGATACAGAAGAGGAGATGAAGTCTTGGAGAGATGAAATGCCTTACACAAAGTTATGTGGTTGGGAAGAAATAGAACTGAAATACCAATCCAGGTTTGACTCTAAAGACCATACTTTTAATAACTTCTCTACAGGGAGGTACGAGACGTTATAGGAATTAAAAGTAAGGAATAAATTCAAAGGGCATGCAAGTGGAGATATATTAACAGCAGATTTAAAAACTAATCTAGAGCCTAATAAAAATAATAGTAATACTGACATAGAGTTACCATGTAGTAGGCATTATTCCATACATTTTACATAAATATATTTAATTCTCCAACAATCCAACCAAGTAAGTACTATTATTATCCCCATTTTACATATGGGGAAATTAGGTGACACTACTAGTAAGTGGCAGAGCCAAGACTTGAACTCAGGCATTCTGACACCACAATCCATGCTCTTAAGCTGTATATCATTTTACCTTTTTTTTTTTGAGATAGAGTCTCGCTCTGTCCCCTAAGCTGGAGTGCAGTGGTGCGATCTCGGCTCACTGCAAGCTCCGCCTCCCAGGTTCACGCCATTCTCCTGCCTCAGCCTCCCGAGTAGCTGGGACTACAGGCACCCACCACCATGCCCGGCTAATTTTTTGTATTTTTTTTTTTTAGTAGAGACGGGGTTTCACTGTGTTAGCCAGGATGGTCTCCATCTCCTGATCTCATGATCTGTCCACCTTGGCCTCCCAAAGTGCTGGAATTACAGGCGTGAGCCAGTGCGCCCAGCCAAAAATTAAGTCTTAGGAGAGGAATATGTATGTATAAAGAAATAGGAAGGTATTAAAATGAGGAAGAGAATGAATGAGACAAAGCCAGGCCCAAGGACCCAGCTTTAGGGGCAACACAATTGGGTATAAAAGAGGGGAGAGGCCAGGTGCAGTGGCTCACGTCTGTAATCTCAGCACTTTGGGAGGTCGAGGTGGGCAGATCACCTGAAGTCAGGAGTTCGAGACCAGCCTGGCCAACATGGTGAAACCTGTCTCTATTAAAAATACAAAAATTATCTGGGAGTGGTGGTACATGCCTGTAATCCCAGCTACTTGGGAGGCTGAGGCAGGAGAATCTCCTGAACCTGGGAGGCAGGGGTTGCAGTGAGCTGAGATCGTGCCACTGCACTACTGCCCGGGCAACTCTGTCTCAATAAAAAGAAAAAAGAGAAGAAATGTTGGCAAAGGAAATGTAGTGGTGGGCCACCAAAAGGCACTACAGAGAGATTCTTCCATCAGCAGAACAAATATTGCTAAGAAGAAAATATGAACTCAATAAAACTGACTGAAAGAATATTGGTTATCTTGGAGAGAGCAGTCTTAGGGATGGAAGTCAAAGCTCAAGATGTTAAGAAGAGAATGGGAGAAGATGTGGGTACAGTGAATGTGAACCACACATTTTAGGAGATTGACGGTGAAAGGAGAGAGAGAAAGGACATGAGCTAACAGTGTCAACAAGGTCCAATAAGGCCAGTCTCTCAGTTTTCCTTCCTGCCCTCAGGGACTTGGACATAGAAAGATATTCCACACCTTCCCTCCATAATTTGAACAACCGGGTCCCAGAGAAGTCTCTCCTTTTAGGTGGATGAACAGAAGCTGGAGTTGTGCAGTGGTGCAATCACAGCTCACTGCAGCTTTGAACTTCTGGGCTCAACTGATCCTCCCTTCTCAGCCTCCTGGGTAGCTGGGACTATATATGTGCCATCACACCCAGCTAAGTTTTTTTTGTTTTTTTTTTTTGTTTTGTAGAGATGGGCCCTCAATATGTTGCCCAGGCTGGTCTTGAACTCTTGGCCTCAAGCAATCTTCCTCCCTTAGTCTCCCAAAACACTGGGATTATAGGCATGAGCCACCATGTCCAGCTGTCCTTTTTTTTTTTTTTTTTTTTTTTTTCTTTGAGACGGAGTCTTGCTCTGTCACCCAGGCTGGAGTTCAATGGCACGATCTCAGCTCTGCAACCTCTGCCTCCTGGGTTCAAGCGATTCTCCTGCCTCAGCCTCCTGAGTAGCTGGGATTACAGGCGCGTGCCACCACACCCAGCAAATTTTTGTGTTTTTAGTAGAGATGGAGAGTTTCACCACGTTGGTCAGGCTGGAACTCCTGACCTTGTGATCTGCCCGCCTTGGCCTCCCAAAGTGCTGGGATTAAAGGTGTGAGCCACTGCGCCCGTCCCCAGCTGTCCTTCTTTATGTATTGTTGCAAGTTGTAGTTTATTACAAGATAGTGCTACAAGTATGCTGTTTCATGCCTCTGAGCTTTTCCACTTGTTTATCTCTTCATATTCTCCAAGGTTCCATTCAAATGCCGCCTCTTTTGAGGCCTTCTCCGGCCCCAGTCTGAGACTCTGCTCTGTGTCCCCACAAACCTCGCTCCCACCCTATCATAGCACCTACTGCACTCTCCTATAATCACTAGCATTTTTATCATTCTCCTCACATAGACCAAGTGCTCTTGTGGGAAGAGAGCAGGGCTTTCATTGCTGGCTTCCCAATGCCAAACACAGTGCCTGACATAGAGTAAGCACCTGTAAATGTTTATTGAATAAAGAAGTAAATAAAAGAAAGTAGGATTATAAGGCATCGAGCTGTACTTTATTTATCCATTCAGTTCATCTGTCATCCTATAAGAACAAGCTCAGGACTGGGCTTCCAATAGCATTTGACTTTAAGGTGGTATATCACAAGTTCCTTACCTGCAAGATAAAGTTTTGTTAGTCTTTAAAACAGCGATTTTAAACTTTGTAACCCCCTTTCAACATATGCCTGTGAAAGAGAAGTGGAAGTAGAAATTAGCATTTTTATCACTTTTCACAGATAAGGAAATATGTCAGAAAGCAGTGGAATAATTGTAAGAAGCTCATCTCTCTCTTTTTTTTTTTTTTTTTTGAGACACAGTCGCTCTCTTGCACAGGCTGGAGTGCAATGGCGCGATCTCAGCTCACTGCAACCTCCGTCTCCCCAGTTCGAGCAATTCTCCTGCCCAAGTCTCCCCAGTAACTGGGAGTACAAGCGCATGCCACCATGCCTGGCTAATTTTTCTACTTTTAGTAGAGACGGGGCTTCACCATGTTGGCCAGGCTGGTCTTGAACTCCTGATCTCAGATGATCCACCTGCCTCGGCCTCCCAAAGTGCGGGATTACAGGCGTGAGCCACCGTGCTGGGCCAGAAGCTCATCTCTTTTTTATTTTTATTTATTTATTTATTTTTTGAGACAGAGTCTGGCTTTGTTGCCCAGGCTGGAATGCAGTGGCGCGATCTCGGCTCACTGCAAGCTCCGCCTCCTGGGTCCACACCATTCTCCTGCCTCAGCCTCCCAAGTAGCTGGGACTACAGGCACCCACCACCACACCCGGCTTTTTTTTTTTTTTTGTATTTTTAGTAGAGGCGGGGTTTCACTGTGTTAGCCAGGATGGTCTCGATCTCCTGACCTCGTGATCCGCCAGCCTTGGCCTCCCAAAGTGCTGGGATTAGAGGCGTGAGCCACCACGCCCGGCCTAGCTCATCTTTTATACTTAGGATCTCAGGGTCTCCCAAGAGTTGAATGGTTTGCTCAGTCTGTGCTGAGTTTCTAGGTAAGAATGATCTGTGACTCTGGTTTTTTTTGTTGCTGTTGTTTGTTTGTTTTGAAAAAATTTATTTATTTATGGCTGGGTGCGGTGGCTCATGCCTGTAATCCCAGCACTTTGGGAGGCCAAGGTGGGTGGATCACGAGGTCAGGAGTTCAAGACCAGCCTGGCCAAGATGGTGAAACCCCGTCTCTACTAAAAATACAAAAATTAGCCGGGCTTGGTGGCCGGTGCCTGTAATCCCGGCTAATCGTGAGGTTGAAGCAGGGAATTGCTTGAACCTGGGAGGCGGAGGTTGCAGTGAGGTGAGATCGAGCCACTGCATTCCAGCCTGGGCGACAGAATGAGACTCTGTCTCAAAAAAAAAAGAAAAAGAAAAAATTTATTTACATAAGTTCATGGGGTATAAGTGTAATTTCAGTACATGCATAGACTTTGTAATGGTCAGGATTTTCGGGGTATTCACCACCCAAATAACATATATTGTACCCATTAAGTAATTTCTTTTTATTTTTCCCTAGGGTATAGATCCTGAACATTAAGTAATTTCTCATCCTTTACCCAACTGCCATGATCTGTGACTCTATTAACCCTCCATCGGCCTCCTACACATACATACCCCATAACTGGCTCCTATTCTCAGAATTCAATACTCTGCCCTGGGCAAAACTGTCCCTATGCCAAACACATATTTGCTTGCAAAAACATCACCCAAATGCTATCACAAATCCTCTGTTAGGCTGGGCTCTTTCCCAAATTGGCTCATTCTCATCTGCAGATCAGAATCTGAACCACCAGAGGCTACATGTCTTTCTTATAGAAGCTTGCAACAAAGGGCAGAGGGGTTGGGAATCATGACATAACAAAATAATTTGGGGCCAGGCACAGTGGCTCACACCTGTAATCCCAGCACTTTAGGAGGCTGAGGCAAGCAGACCACTTGAGTTCAGGAGTTTGAGACTAGCCTGGGTAACATAGTGAAACCTTGTCTCTACAAAAAATACAAAAATTAGCTGGGCATGGTGGCATACACCTGTGGTCCCAGCTACTCCGGAGGCTGAGGTGGGAGGATTGCTTGAGCCCACAGGTGGAGGTTGCAGTGAGCCGAGATTGTGTCATTGCCCTCCAGCCTGGACAACAGAGAGAGACCCTGTCTCAAAAACAAACAAACAAACACCCCCCCCGCAACAAAAAAATACCCAGTTTGGTTAGTTTGTGTTTATTTGATAGGTTTTCTTTAACCATGTGAGATGAGCTAAAGTAATTATTTCCATGGTATCTATTCCTTGAGTCTTGGGCATTCAAATATATGTGATGTACCATATAACTCCAGCTCTGTCCATCTGTAAACACAATGGCCAAGTCAGGTTTTCCAGGTAACTAGGCTGTACTCTTCTGCTGATTTGTAAATTTTAAGGCAGTTGGGCGTCTGGCTCCACTTAGTGCTGAAATGTCATAGTGCAGCCCGGTTACTGTTCTACAACCATAGAAATTAAGGAAAGGGTGAACCATAGGTCACTTTTTAAAAAATTATTTTTAGTGATAGGATCTCACTCTATTGCCCAGGCTGGAGTGCAGTGGCAGCCCTGAACTCCTGGGCTTAAGTGATCCTCCCGTCTTAGCTTCCCAAGTAGATAGGACTACAGGCGCGTGTCACCACACCCAGCTAAGTTTTGTATTTTTTGTAGAGATGGAATCTCACTATGTTACCCAGGCTGATCTTGAACTCTTGGCCTCAAGAGATCCTCTCGCCTCAGTCTCCCAAAGTGCTGGAATTATAGGCATGAACCACTACACCCAGCCTACAGGTCACTTTTCTGACTAAGACAGATATGTGACAATTACAGACAATCTGAGAAGTTGAAGATCAAATCCTATAGTGTTTGTGGTGAAAATAATAAAAACTAGGGGCAAAGCCTATGAGAACAGAACTGAGTTGAGAGAGAGGAGAATCTCTGGCCCTCTCTGATAAATCAGTTTGAGTTCCTGGTCTGTATTCTTTGCTTTCTAGATAGTATTACAGATCCTTTTAAAATAAACTGTCCTAATGCCACTGCAAGACTGTATGGAGGAGGGAAGAGGGCCCAGAGAGAGGCTAGAATCAGAAGTTGGAGGTATCATTGTGTTAGCCCAAATTTTGGGTTTACTATACACAAAAAATTTGATGATAAATTATTGGGCTAGTTTAAATTTGCTAAACCGTAGAAGGGGCCCTGTCTGTCATTAATAAACATTTTTTAAAGTACTAATGATATACTATGTTGAATTTCTTTCAAACATTGCACCGTAAAACACATTTGGTCTCCATTGCTGCTCTCTATCCATCAAGAATTGGGTCAAGTCAAACACTAAAATTTGAGTGCACAATGAGACATCAGACTCTCAAAAAGAGAGAGACAGAAATAAGGAAACAGGCCATTCAAAAAAGAGGAAAACCACTTCTCTGTTGATCTTGGTTTTCAATTCACTCTGTCCTTTCCTGGCTCCCACATAAATATCTCTGTAGTCACAATTTTTTTTTTTTTGAGATGGAGTCTCATTCTGTCACCCAGGCTGTAGTGCCGTGGCACAATCTTATCTCACTGTAACCTCCACCTCATGGGTTCAAGCAATTCTCTGCCTCAGCCTCCTAAGTAGCTGGGAGTACAGGCGCCCGCCACCATGCCCAGCTAATTTTTTTGTGTTTTCAGTAGAGACGGGGTTTCACCATCTTGGCCAGGTTGGTATTGAACTCCTGACCTCGTGATCCACCCGCCTCGGCCTCCCAAAGTGCTGGGATTACAGGCGTGAGCCACCACGCCCAGCCTTGTATTCACATTATTTATTTATTTTTTATTTTTTTATTTTTTGAGATGGAGTCTCGCTCCATGGCCCAGGCTGGAGTGCAGTGGCGCGATCTTGGCTTACTGCAAGCTCCACCTCCCAGGTTCACGCCATTCTCCTGCCTCAGCCTCCCGAGTAGCTGGGACTACAGGCGCCTGCCACCACGCCTGGCAAATTTTTTGTATTTTTAGTAGAGACGGAGTTTCACTGTGTTAGCCAGGATGGTCTCGATCTCCTAACCTCATGATCCACCCACCTCGGCCTCCCAAACATTATTATACTCACTTAAATTTTAGATTCCAGTTTGATCTGAGGAAGTCTTTTTTTTTTTTCTTTTTTTGGAGACGGAGTCTCGTTCTGTCGCCCAGGCTGGAGTGCAGTGGCAGGATCTTGGTTCACTGCATCCTCCGCCTCCCGGGTTCAAGGGATTCTCCTGCCTCAGCCTCCCGAGTAGCTGGGACTACAGGTGGGTGCCACCAAGCCCGGCTAATTTTTTTGTGTGTATTTTTAGCAGAGACAGGGTTTCACTGTGACTCCATCTCCTGACCTCGTGATCCACCTGCCTCGACCTCCTAAAGTGCTGGGATTACAGGTGTGAGCCACTGCACCTGGCCGAGAAAATAATTTTTTTTTTTTTGAGATAGGATCTTACTCTGTTGCCCAGGCTGGAGTTTAGTAGTGTGGTCTCGGCTTACCGCAACTTCCGCCTCTGGGCTCAAGTAATCCTCCCACCTCAGCCTCCCAAGTAACTGGGACTATAGGTGCACAGCACCATGCCTGGCTAATTTTTGTATTTTTTGTAGAGACAGGGTTTTGCCTTGTTGCCCAGGCTAGTCTCGAACTCCTCGGGCTCAAGCGATCCTCTAGCTTCTGCTTCCTAAAGTGTTGGGATCACAGGCGTGAGCCACTGCGCCCAGCCTGAGAAAGTCATTTTAAAACTATTTTTTTCTTTAGCTCCAGGTTCCATAAATGATAGTGTAGGTATCATTCTCCTCAAGAGCAGATACTAAATCTGTTACTTCCCAGGTAGAGCTTGCAGCATGTATTCTTCGTATGTAATGGGTACTCCATGAATCTCCTGACTGATGAACAGGAGGATGACACCGAGCAAATCAGCAGACTCTTCAACATGAATTGCTTCTACATAATAGTTTGTGTTGATTTAGGAACCATTATATGGCTTTGGAGAAAAAAAAAAATTGATCCTGGCTTATTTTTATTTTAATAGAGACAAAACTTTCATTTTATGTCTGAAAGAGAGAGGTCACGCTTATTACCAGTATAATCTTTGGGTTTTCTGAATGAATGGAGTCATAGAAATGAGGCTGCATCTGAGTAAATACATTAATCTGGTTCCAGGCTTAGTGTTTTGGCTAGTACAATTTCAATTGTTCATTGTTATTCCTTAAATAGGCCTCTCTGTGTAATCACAAAAACAATTTCTTAACAACCATTATCAAATAATTAAAGGGATAGGATACAGCGCCGTTGTGCTATGATACAAAGATAACACTATTATATTTATATAAAACTTTATAGTTAACAAAGTACTTTTCCATCTTATGACACCTTAATCATCTAATCTTTGTGAGTCCATGATACAGATATTATTACTATTACCACCCATTTTATAGATGAGTAAACTGAGACTTAGAGAGGTCAGGTAACTTGTGCCAAAAAAAAAAAAAAAAAAACAAGCCCTGTCCACCTAAGTCCCATCCTTTCCCCCTTGTTGGTATATTTGTCATGCCTTGATCCTTCAGTGTAATTTGGGACAATTATAATGTTTGGATGATAAGAATAAGGAAAAAAAAGTTAAAATGTCAACTGAGGAAGAAAATTAAATAAAAATATAATTTTAATTAATTTAAAGAATTTAATTAATAAACAGCTTCCTAGATGACAGTGTCTACGTAGATTTATAAAAATGATCTAAAAAGAAAAGAAAGGGATGTAAGTGTATCGAAGGGACACAGAAGCTAACCTGAACAAGCTCCCAATAGCAAAAGCTGGAATAATTTGATCAACAAAACCATATAATGGGCTCGGCATGGTGGCAGCTCACGCCTATAATCCCAGCACTTTGGGAGGTCGAGGTGGGCAAATCACTTGAGGCCAGGAGTTTGAGACCAGCCTGGCCAACATGGAGAAACCTCATCTCTACTAGAAAAAAAAAATACAAAAATTAGCCAGGCATGGTGGCACATGCCTGTAATTCCAGCTACTCGGGAGGCTGAGATGTGAGAATCACTTGAACCCAGGAAGCAGAGGTTGCAGTAAGCCGAGATTGCACCACTGCACTCCAGCCTGGGCAACACAGCTAGACTCTTCTTAAAATGATAGATAGATAGATAGATAGATAGATAGATAGATAGATAGATGATAGATAGATAGGTAGATAGATAGATAGTATTATAAGCCAAAGAATATAATAAATATCTATGAGTCCACACAGATATAAATGAAGGACTAAATAAATAAATAGGAGAAAAGGAACAATTGTTCCTTGCAGAAGAATTCCAGTTAACAGTGTAGAAAAAATGAGGGAAACAGAAAATTACAGTTAGAAAACCACAATAGTGGCTGGGTGCGGTGGCTCATGCCTGTAATCCCAGCATTTTGGGAGGCCAAGGCCGGTGGGTCACCTGAGGTCAGGAGTTCGACACCAGCCTGGCCAACATGGTGAAGCCCATCTCTACTAAAAATACAAAAATTAGCCAGGCATCGTGGTGGCTGCCTGTAATCCCAGCTACTCGTGAGGCTGAGACAGGAGAATTGCTTGAACCCAGGAGGCAGAGGTTGCAGTGAGCTGAGGTTGCACCACTGTACTCCAGCCTGGGCAACATGAGCGAAACTCCATCTCAAAAAACAAAAACAAAAACAAAAAACCAGAAAACCACAATAGTAATTGCTACAGGCAAGATCAATTGAATGTTAAAATGAGTGGATGTAGTGAAATCTAAATAGAGTACAGAGTTTATAGTTTAATGTATCAATGTTGGTTTAATAGTTGTGACAAATGTACAGGGAAGATATTAACAATAGGGGAAAATGGCTACTATGTACTATTTTTGCAACTTTTCTGTAAATCTAAAACCATTCTAAAATGAAAAGTTTATTTAGGCCAGCCCAACTTTTCTCTAAATCTAAAACTATTCTCAAACAAAAAGTTTAATTAGGGTGGGTGTGGTGGCTTATACCTGTAATCCCAGTTCTGTGGGAGGCCGAGGCAGGAGAATCACTTGAGCCCAGGAGTTCAAGACCAGATTGGGTAACATAGCAAGACCCTGTCTCTAACAGAAAGAAAAGAAAAGCAATGAAAAAAGAAAAGAAAAGATCATTTAAAAGCTGGACACAGTGGCTCACACCTGTAATCCCAGCACTTTGGGAGGCTGAGGCGGGCGGATCACGAGGTCAAGAAATCGAGACCATCCTGGCCAACATGGTGAAACCCTGTCTCTACAAAAAATACAAAAATTAGCTGGGCGTTGTGGCATACGCCTGTAGTCCCAGCTACTTGGGAGGCTGAGGCAGGAGAACCGCTTGAACCTGGGAGGCGGAGGTTGCAGTGAGCCGAGATTGCACCACTGCACTTCAGCCTGGGTGACAGAGCAAGACTCCATCTCAAAAAAAAAAAGAAAGAAAAAGAAAAGTTGGTTTAAAAAATAAAAAACTAATGGGTAAAGTGTTAAGGAGAAACCAGATATTTGCATAGCCCCAAAATATCTTCTGAAAAATATTTGTTAGTTACAAAGAAAAAATAGTAACCTTACAGTGGAGAAACCTGGCAGATACCACCTTAGCCAAACGATCGAAGTTAATAACACCAGTAATTAGACATGTCAACAGCATGTACTCCTAATAGGATGCATTGAGAAGGGCATGTTCCCTCTGTGATATTTTTTCTCCCAAATTTATAAACTTAATCTAATAATGAGAAAACATCCAGACCAACCCAAATTGAGGAAAATTCTAGCAAATTCCTGATTGGTACTATTCAAAAGTGTCAAGGTAGTTAAAGACAAGGAAAGAATGAAGAACCATCAGAAATTGAAGGAAACTAGGGAGATGTGACAACCAAACGCAATGTGGGATCCTAGATCAGATCCTGGAACAGAAAAAGAGCGTTAGTGAAAATTGGTGATATTCAAATAAAGTCTATTTTGTAGTTAATAGTATTGTACCAATGATAATTTCCTAGTTTTGATAAATGTACTATGGTTCGGTAAGATGTTAACATGTGAAATAAAGGGTATATGGGAACAGTTTATTCTATCTTTGCAACTCTTCTGTAAGCCTAAAATTATTTCAGAAATTTAAAAAATTCGGCCAGATGCGGTGGCTCATGCCTGTAATCCCAGCACTTTGGGAGGCTGAGGCGGGTGGATCACCTGAGGTCAGGAGTTCGAGACCAGTCTTGCCAACATGGCGAAACCCCGTCTCTACTAAAAATACAAAAAATTAGCTGGGCATGATAGTGGGCACCTGTAATCCCAGCTACTTGGGAGGCTGAGAAGGAGAATTGCTTGAACCCAGGAGGCGGAGGTTGCAGTGAGCTGAGATCGCGCCATTGTACTCCAGTCTGGGTGACAGAGCGACACCCTGTCAAAAAAAAAATTCATAACAAATTTAAATTGTATATAAATGATACACAAATTAAGTCTGCTTCCTATGGCTGACCTGTGCCTTCTGGAAAGTCCTATTAGGTTTTAATACTTTGTGTAGTAAAACTGAAATATGGTCCCTATGTATTAAATCATCTCTTTGGAAAGATAAATACCAGTAGACTGTAAGCTCCTTGAGGCAGAATCCACGTTTTTAAAAACAGATACGGGAGCTTGTGCTATTGCTCAGGCTGGTCTTGAACTCCCGGCCTCAAGTGATTCTCCCATCTCAGCCTTCTGAGTAGCTGGGATTATAGGCAGGAGCCATCATGCCCAGCAGAATCCATATCTTATTCATCTTTGTGTCCTTGATGCATGGACATAATAACTTAATAAATGCCTATTAAACTGAACTATGATGTGTAGATGTATATTATATATATACATATTCACACAGATATATACATAATGCATCTATAGAAAGGATGGGGGAAGCAAAAGATTACAACCATAAAGGCATAAGTGTTACTAAAATTGAAGAGCAAAATACAAAAAATGAAACATCACATGAATTAAATGAGCATGTTCTATGAACTCAGATGCTGTAAATCCTTGAGTCTTTTCCTCCCTGATAAGCTTTTGGGCCATTTGACAGAGCACTTTGCCTTTGCCACCTGGTGACAGGATTGCAGAAACAGTGAATAGGCTGACAGACTATTCACTCTTGCCCTGTGGGTCACCTTCCACAAAGTGCTCAATCAGAGTTCCCCCCGTATCCATAAAAGAGCATCTCTTTGATGGCTCCTGTGAGCTGACAGCAGCTATGGAGTCACTGAAAAGGGAAATCGTGGCACAGAAAATAGCGGACTGCCTTTTTGCACACCCACTTTGTCTTCAAACCAGCATGAATAAGGGAATAGGGAGCAAATGAATACAAGAGAGAGCATTTTGCCCAAGTTTGCAGAGTGATGGATAGGAAAGTACAGATGGTAGATGGATCAGATTGGGAGCTGTTTTCATATTTTCTTTTTCTATATCCTTTTCTTTCTGTGTGTGTTTGAATATGTATGTGTGTGTGAGAGAGACAGAATGAGAAAGAAAGAGATACAGAGATACATAGAGAAGAATTCATTTCTGAATGTGTGTAAGAGGCCATATGCAGCCACCGTTACACACAGACACTTAGAGGTGTAGATAGAATTGGAGACAAAACTCCCTGCTTGCCAATTTTACTAAATAAACATGTTCATAGATTTCATAGCATTAATGAGCTGCAAAATAACCACATATTGAAGCTGCATGCAGCTGTCTGTACTATTTGAGGATATTTTAAGTGAATATTAAGCCAATAATATAAATTAAAGAGGCAAAGTTCTGAAAGAGGCTTAAATAAGAAGCCAGTTAGCATGAATAGAGAAAGAGCACACGGTTTGGATGACAGATGTTAGATTCATGGGTATTCATTATAACTTTATGATTTACATTATACGATATGCATTTTGTGAGTTAAAAAAATATATATTCTGGGCCAGGCTTGGTGGCTCACGCCTGTAATCCCAGCACTTTGGGAGGCCGAGGCATGTGGATCACCTGAGGTCAGGAGTTTGAGACCAGTCTGGCCAACATGGTGCAACCCTGTCTCTACTAAAAATACCAAAAATCAGCCAGGCGTGGTGGCGGGCGCCTGTAATCCCAGATACTCAGGAAGCTGAGACAGGAGAATCACTTGAACCCAGGAGACGGAGGTTGCAGTGAGCCAAGATCATGCCATGCACTCCAGCCTGGGCCACAAGAGCCAAACTCCGTCTCAAAAAATATATATATACACATAAATATATATATACACACACACATATATATATATATACACACACACACACACATATATATACACACATATGCATATATATATGTGTGTGTATTTATATATATATATTCTGGGGGGATGGTAAGAAGATAATAAGAAAAACATTTTAAATTGGTTTCTAGGTGAGCACAAATGTTTAAAGTTAAAAAGATGAAGATGGCCGAATAGGAACAGCTCCGGTCTACAGCTCCCATCGTGAGCGACGCAGAAGATGGGTGATTTCTGCATTTCCATCTGAGGTACCGGGTTCATCTCACTAGGGAGTGCCAGACAGTGGGCGCAGGCCAGCGTGTGCGCGCACCGTGCGCGAGCCGAAGCAGGGCGAGGCATTGCCTCACCTGGGAAGCGCAAGGGGTCAGGGAGTTCCCTTTCCGAGTCAAAGAAAGGGGTGATGGACGCACCTGGAAAATCGGGTCACTCCCACCCGAATATTGCGCTTTTCAGACCGGCTTAAAAAACGGCGCACCACGAGACTATATCCCACACCTGGCTCAGAGGGTCCTACACCCACGGAATCTCGCTGATTGCTAGCACAGCAGTCTGAGATCAAACTGCAAGGCGGCAACGAGGCTGGGGGAGGGGCGCCCGCCATTGCCCAGGCTTGCTTAGGTAAACAAAGCAGCTGGGAAGCTCGAACTGGGTGGAGCCCACCACAGCTCAAGGAGGCCTGCCTGCCTCTGTAGGCTCCACCTCTGGGGGCAGGGCACAGACAAACAAAAAGACAGCAGTAACCTCCGCAGACTTAAGTGTCTCTGTCTGACATCTTTGAAGAGAGCAGTGGTTCTCCCAGCACGCAGCTGGAGATCTGAGAACGGGCAGACTGCCTCCTCAAGTGGGTCCCTGACCCCTGACCCCCGAGCAGCCTAACTGGGAGGCACCCCCCAGCAGGGGCACACTGACACCTCACACGGCAGGGTATTCCAACAGACCTGCAGCTGAGGGTCCTGTCTGTTAGAAGGAAAACTAACAACCAGAAAGGACATCTACACCGAAAACCCATCTGTACATCACCATCATCAAAGACCAAAAGTAGATAAAACCACAAAGATGGGGAAAAAACAGAACAGAAAAACTGGAAACTCTAAAACGCAGAGCGCCTCTCCTCCTCCAAAGGAACACAGTTCCTCACCAGCAACGGAACAAAGCTGGATGGAGAATGATTTTGACAAGCTGAGAGAAGAAGGCTTCAGACGATCAAATTACTCTGAGCTAGGGGAGGACATTCAAACCAAAGGCAAAGAAGTTGAAAACTTTGAAAAAAATTTAGAAGAATGTATAACTAGAATAACCAATACAGAGAAGTGCTTAAAGGAGCTGATGGAGCTGAAAACCAAGGCTCGAGAACTACGTGAAGAATGCAGAAGCCTCAGGAGCCGATGCGATCAACTGGAAGAAAGGGTATCAGCAATGGAAGATGAGAATGAAATGAAGCAAGAAGGGAAGTTTAGAGAAAAAAGAATAAAAAGAAATGAGCAAAGCCTCCAAGAAATATGGGACTATGTGAAAAGACCAAATCTACGTCTGATTGGTGTACCTGAAAGTGATGTGGAGAATGGAACCAAGTTGGAAAACACTCTGCAGGATATTATCCAGGAGAACTTCCCCAATCTAGCAAGGCAGGCCAACATTCAGATTCAGGAAATACAGAGAACGCCACAAAGATACTCCTCGAGAAGAGCAACTCCAAGACACATAATTGTCAGATTCACCAAAGTTGAAATGAAGGAAAAAATGTTAAGGGCAGCCAGAGAGAAAGGTCGGGTTACCCTCAAAGGAAAGCCCATCAGACTAACAGCGGATCTCTCGGCAGAAACCCTACAAGCCAGAAGAGAGTGGGGGCCAATATTCAACATTCTTAAAGAAAAGAATTTTCAACCCAGAATTTCATATCCAGCCAAACTAAGCTTCATAAGTGAAGGAGAAATAAAATACTTTATAGACAAGCAAATGCTGAGAGATTTTGTCACCACCAGGCCTGCCCTAAAAGAGCTCCTGAAGGAAGCGCTAAACATGGAAAGGAACAACCAGTACCAGCCGCTGCAAAATCATGCCAAAATGTAAAGACCATCGAGACTAGGAAGAAACTGCATCAACTAACGAGCAAAATCACCAGCTAACATCATAATGACAGGATCAAATTCACACATAACAATATTAACTTTAAATATAAATGGACTAAATTCTGCAATTAAAAGACACAGACTGGCAAGTTGGATAAAGAGTCAAGACCCATCAGTGTGCTGTATTCAGGAAACCCACCTCACGTGCAGAGACACACATAGGCTCAAAATAAAAGGATGGAGGAAGATCTACCAAGCCAATGGAAAACAAAAAAAGGCAGGGGTTGCAATCCTAGTCTCTGATAAAACAGACTTTAAACCAACAAAGATCAAAAGAGACAAAGAAGGCCATTACATAATGGTAAAGGGATCAATTCAACAAGAGGAGCTAACTATCCTAAATATTTATGCACCCAATACAGGAGCACCCAGATTCATAAAGCAAGTCCTGAGTGACCTACAAAGAGACTTAGACTCTCACACATTAATAATGGGAGACTTTAACACCCCACTGTCAACATTAGACAGATCAACGAGACAGAAAGTCAACAAGGATACCCAGGAATTGAACTCAGCTCTGCACCAAGTGGACCTAATAGACATCTACAGAACTCTCCACCCCAAATCAACAGAATATACATTTTTTTCAGCACCACACCACACCTATTCCAAAATTGACCACATACTTGGAAGTAAAGCTCTCCTCAGCAAATGTAAAAGAACAGAAATTATAACAAACTATCTCTCAGACCACAGTGCAATCAAACTAGAACTCAGGATTAAGAATCTCACTCAAAGCCTCTCAACTACATGGAAACTGAACAACCTGCTCCTGAATGACTACTGGGTACATAACGAAATGAAGGCAGAAATAAAGATGTTCTTTGAAACCAACGAGAACAAAGACACCACATACCAGAATCTCTGGGACGCATTCAAAGCAGTGTGTAGAGGGAAATTTATAGCACTAAATGCCTACAAGAGAAAGCAGGAAAGATCCAAAATTGACACCCTAACATCACAATTAAAAGAACTAGAAAAGCCAGAGCAAACACATTCAAAAGCTAGCAGAAGGCAAAAAATAACTAAAATCAGAGCAGAACTGAAGGAAATAGAGACACAAAAAACCCTTCAAAAAATCAATGAATCCAGGAGCTGGTTTTTTGAAAGGATCAACAAAATTGATAGACCGCTAGCAAGACTAATAAAGAAAAAAAGAGAGAAGAATCAAATAGACACAATAAAAAATGATAAAGGGGATATCACCACCGATCCCACAGAAATACAAACTACCATCAGAGAATACTACAAACACCTCTACGCAAATAAACTAGAAAATCTAGAAGAAATGGATACATTCCTCGACACATACACTCTCCCAAGACTAAACCAGGAAGAAGTTGAATCTCTGAATAGACCAATAACAGGCTCTGAAATTGTGGCAATAATCAATAGTTTACCAACCAAAAAGAGTCCAGGACCAGATGGATTCACAGCCGAATTCTACCAGAGGTACAAGGAGGAACTGGTACCATTCCTTCTGAAACTATTCCAATCAATAGAAAAAGAGGGAATCCTCCCTAACTCATTTTATGAGGCCAGCATCATTCTGATACCAAAGCCGGGCAGAGACACAACCAAAAAAGAGAATTTTAGACCAATATCCTTGATGAACATTGATGCAAAAATCCTCAATAAAATACTGGCAAACCGAATCCAGCAGCACATCAAAAAGCTTATCCACCATGATCAAGTGGGCTTCATCCCTGGGATGCAAGGCTGGTTCAATATATGCAAATCAATAAATGTAATCCAGCATATAAACAGAGCCAAAGACAAAAACCACATGATTATCTCAATAGATGCAGAAAAAGCCTTTGACAAAATTCAACAACCCTTCATGCTAAAAACTCTCAATAAATTAGGTATTGATGGGATGTATTTCAAAATAATAAGAGCTATCTATGACAAACCCACAGCCAATATCATACTGAATGGGCAAAAACTGGAAGCATTCCCTTTGAAAACTGGCATAAGACAGGGATGCCCTCTCTCACCGCTCCTATTCAACATAGTGTTGGAAGTTCTGGCCAGGGCAATCAGGCAGGAGAAGGAAATAAAGGGTATTCAATTAGGAAAAGAGGAAGTCAAATTGTCCCTGTTTGCAGACGACATGATTGTTTATCTAGAAAACCCCATCGTCTCAGCCCAAAATCTCCTTAAGCTGATAAGCAACTTCAGCAAAGTCTCAGGATACAAAATCAATGTACAAAAATCACAAGCATTCTTATACACCAACAACAGACAAACAGAGAGCCAAATCATGAGTGAACTCCCATTCACAATTGCTTCAAAGAGAATAAAATACCTAGGAATCCAACTTACAAGGGATGTGAAGGACCTCTTCAAGGAGAACTACAAACCACTGCTCAAGGAAATAAAAGAGGACACAAACAAATGGAAGAACATTCCATGCTCATGGGTAGGAAGAATCAATATCGTGAAAATGGCCATACTGCCCAAGGTAATTTACAGATTCAATGCCATCCCCATCAAGCTACCAATGACTTTCTTCACAGAATTGGAAAAAACTACTTTAAAGTTCATATGGAACCAAAAAAGAGCCCGCATCGCCAAGTCAATCCTAAGCCAAAAGAACAAAGCTGGAGGCATCACACTACCTGACTTCAAACTATACTACAAGGCTACAGTAACCAAAACAGCATGGTACTGATACCAAAACAGAGATAGAGATCAATGGAACAGAACAGAGCCCTCAGAAATAATGCCGCATATCTACAACTATCTGATCTTTGACAAACCTGAGAAAAACAAGCAATGGGGAAAGGATTCCCTATTTAATAAATGGTGCTGGGAAAACTGGCTAGCCATATGTAGAGAGCTGAAACTGGATCCCTTCCTTACACCTTATACAAAAATCAATTCAAGATGGATTAAAGACTTAAACGTTAGACCTAAAACCATAAAAACCCTAGAAGAAAACCTAGGCATTACCATTCAGGACATAGGCACGGGCAAGGACTTCATGTCCAAAACACCAAAAGCAATGGCAACAAAAGCCAAAATTGACAAATGGGATCTAATTAAACTAAAGAGCTTCTGCACAGCAAAAGAAACTACCATCAGAGTGAACAGGCAACCTACAACATGGGAGAAAATTTTCGCAACCTACTCATCTGACAAAGGGCTAATATCCAGAATCTACAATGAACTCAAACAAATTTACAAGAAAAAAACAAACAACCCCATCAAAAAGTGGGCGAAGGACATGAACAGATACTTCTCAAAAGAAGACATTTATGCAGCCAAAAAACACATGAAAAAATGCTCATCATCACTGGCCATCAGAGAAATGCAAATCAAAACCACTATGAGATATCATCTCACACCAGTTAGAATGGCAATCATTAAAAAGTCAGGAAACAACAGGTGCTGGAGAGGATGTGGAGAAATAGGAACACTTTTACACTGTTGGTGGGACTGTAAACTAGTTCAACTATTGTGGAAGTCAGTGTGGCGATTCCTCAGGGATCTAGAACTAGAAATACCATTTGACCCAGCCATCCCATTACTGGGTATATACCCAAATGACTATAAATCATGCTGCTATAAAGACACATGCACACGTATGCTTATTGCGGCATTATTCACAATAGCAAAGACTTGGAACCAACCCAAATGTCCAACAATGATAGACTGGATTAAGAAAATGTGGCACATATACACCATGGAATACTATGCAGCCATAAAAAATGATGAGTTCATGTCCTTTGTAGGGACATGGATGAAATTGGAAACCATCATTCTCAGTAAACTATCGCAAGAACAAAAAACCAAACACCGCATATTCTCACTCATAGGTGGGAATTGAACAATGAGATCACATGGACACAGGAAGGGGAATATCACACTCTGGGGACTGTGGTGGGGTCGGGGGAGGGGGGAGGGATAGCATTGGGAGATATACCTAATGCTAGATGACACGTTAGTGGGTGCAGCGCACCAGCATGGCACATGTATACATATGTAACTAACCTGCACAATGTGCACATGTACCCTAAAACTTAAAGTATAATAAAAAAAAAAACATTATTCCAAAAAAAAAAAAAAAATGCATTCATGTAAAGTTAAAAAGATGAGGCACAAGTTACAGTTATGATAAGTGGGTAATGATGCCCAGAGCTGACTGATACATTGTCTGCTGCATGTCATGTCATATCATGACATGTCTGATACATGTCATGATAGCTTTGACACATTTCTGAACTGGACTAAGAAATATTTATCATGATGCCAACAAACCCGTGCAGTGCTGAATTTTAACAATCCAGTCACAAGCCTGACTTTTTATTGCACTGAGCATTATAGAAACAAAACCTATACTCTGTATGATTTATAACTAATATTAAAGGAGGAGGAAGAGAAGAATAATGGTGAAATTTAAAATGTGCATCATAATTTATAAAACATTTATAAAGAATGTATTCATATACATAATTTTTACCCCAATCTCTCCCAGTTTAGATAATATGTATCTAATGTACCCCAATCTCTCCCAGTTTAGATAATATGAATTTCTGAAAATTAGGCTCTTATTATCAAAAACTTCTAGCATCTCAGACCTGCCATTGCTCCCAGTCAACTGAGAAGGGTGTAGGAAAACACGCTAGACAAGCCAAGAAAGAACAGATATAAGGACCACCATTATCAAGTTCCTTTTCTGTGCTAAGCACATTTACAAAGGTTCATTCCTCATAAAGTAATTATTTTTATCCCCATTTTACAAACTGATAAGCCTGAATTTAGGGAAGCTAATTAACTTGTGCTTATAAAAGTGACTGTCTCAATGGGAAGAAGATAGTCTCATATTTGCAATAACAAAGTTATTTTTCTTCCCTAATTTCAGTAATAAAGATGTTTCTGTTATTGTGGCCTAAAAATTGATCAAAATAGATAAAAACAAGCCTGTACCATTCTCATGTCCCACAGTAACAGAGAATGGTAGGAGTAAATTCAACCTCAAGTCTGATAGCACGGCCCATGTTTTTCCCACTATATCATGTCCTTTCAAAGTGCTATTGTCATTAAAGTTCTAAATAACTATAGTCCCACAGAAATTTAGCTGCTGAAAGTCAGCACTAGGAGAGAAAAATGAAAGTTCCACTTGACATGTTAATTCTAAAAATTATACAGAAATGCAAATAGCCAAGACCCAAACTGAAGAAGAACTGGAATGGAGCACTTGTTCTCTTGGATATAAAGACATGGTATAAAGCTATAGCAATTAAGACAGTGTGATGTCGGTACAAGGATAGACAAATAGAATGAAATGGCTCATATATTGATCAACATTTGATTCTTAACAAAGATGGTGCTGCAGAGCAGTGGAGAAAGAACAGTCTTTTCAATAAATGACACTATGATATTTGAAAAAGAATCTTGGGAAGAAAAAAAGAAACAACCTTTAACTCACATCATATATAAAAGACAATCCAATGTAGATTGTAGATCTAAATTTGAAAGGAAAAACATACAATTTCTAGAGGATAATACAGAATACCTTTATGATCTTGGTGTAGGGAAAGCATTCTAAAACAGGGAACATATTAAAAAGTTGATGAATTTGACTGTGTTATAATCAAGAATTTCTCTTCTTCAAAAGACTATATAGAGAATGAAAAGACAAGCTACAAAAAGGAGAGGAAATTTACGACATATACAACTGACCAAAGGCTTGTATCCAGAGTATACTGTATGAAGAACTACTGGAAATCAATAACAAAAAGATGAACAACTCAATTGAAAAACAGGCAAGAGACTTGAACAGGCATTTCAAAAGAGGATATCAAATAGCCAATAAACATATGAAAATTGCCCAATCTCATTAGTGATCAGGAAAATGTAAATTAAAACCACAATTGGGGCTGAGCATGGTGGCTCATGCCTGTAATCCCAGCACTGTGGGAGGCCGAGGCTGAAGGGTTGCTTCAGCCCAGGAGTTCAAGACCAGCCTGGGCAACAAGGTGAAAACCCATCTCTAAAAATAAATAAATAAATAAATAAATAAATAAAAATTAAAGGAAAATAAAAAGACCAGCCTGGGCAACATAGTCAGACTCTGTCTCTACGAAAAAAAATAAAAATTAGCCAGGTAGGGTGGCATGTACCTGCAGTGCCAGTTACTTGGGAGGCTGATGTGGGAGGCTCAATTCTGCCCAGGAGTTTGAAGCTGTAGTGAGCTGTGATCCTGCTACTGCACTCCAGCCTGGGCAACAGAGCAAGACTCTGTCTCTAAAAAAACAAAACAAAACAAACAAACAAAAACCCACAATTGGATAATACTGTATATCCCCCAGAAAAGCTAAAATTAAACAGACTACAATAATAACTGTTGGCAAGGGTGTGAAGCACTGGGAACTCTCATACACTGCTGGCAGGAGTGATACAACAACAGCTTGACTTTCTCTACTAAGGTGGAAGGTGCATACTCAGTGATCCAGCAATTCCAGCAATTCCACCCTCAGGTATCCAGTACAAAAGTCAACACATATATATCAAGAGACATATATATAAATGTTCATGGAGATGTTATTTGTAATCGTTCCAAACTGGAAATAACCTAAATATGGCATCGACAGTACAATGAATAAATATGAGGCCAGGCACAGTGGCTCATGCCTGTAATCCCAGCACTTTGGGAGGCCGAGGCGGGTGGTTCATGAGGTCAGGAGATGGTGACCATCCTGGCTAACACGGTGAAACCCTGTCTCTACTAAAAATACAAAAACTTAGCCAGGCGTGGTGGCAGGCGCCTGTAGTTCCAGCTACTCAGGAGGCTGAGGCAGGAGAATGGCTTGAACCCAGGAGGCGGAGCTTGCAGTGAGCCGAGATCACACCACTGCACTGGAGCCTGGGCCGACAGAGCGAGACCTCATCTGAAAAAAAAAAAAAAAAAAAAAAAAAAAGAACGAGTAAATACGTAGTGTGATGTGTTCATACAATGGAATGACATACAGCAATGGAAATGAGCAGGCTAAATCTATATGCAACATTATGGATGATTATGGATGAATTTTAGGTACAAATCTATTTACAACATTATGGATTCATTATAGGTGAATCTGAGATACAAAAGAACACATGCACAATTAGTGCCCTTGGACGGAGTTTCCTGATGGATCCCAGTCATCCGGAGTCAGTAGCAGCAGGGGAGCTCTTCACACGGCAATGTGTTGGGCGGGATGCTCCAGCAGGCGGCTCCTCTAGGGTAACTGCCTCTTGGATGAGCAGGTTTAGAGAACTAAGGAATTAGGGCTTCCTTTTTCTGGGGCAGGTAGAGAGGGAGAGAAAATGTGGCGGGGGGCAGGCATCTAAAAAATACTCACCTTAATCATTTTCAGCTCTGAATATTTCAAGGTTTTCTCTTCCTGTTCAGTGTTATTCCATTTGTAGTAAGTTTTAAAAACCAGGCCAGACTAACCTACAGTATTTAAGAGTATGTGTTTACAAAAGTCAAGATAATAGTTACCTTTGGGAGAACAAAGGGGATAGTGATTGAGAGAGGGTTGCTGGTAATGTTTTTATTGAGCTGAGTAATAGCTACATGGATGTTGCTTTGTGGATAATTTGTTGAGCTATACATTTTTGTATTGTGCTCTTTTCTGCCTTGCTGATTTCACAATAAAAAAGGTTTAAAAAAGATCATAATTTTAAAATTCCCATTCAATTTCACTGAAGAAAAAAAAGGTATTCAGTGCCTATGTGTTAGACATGGTAGTCTTTTTCTGAAGCCAAGGGAGAAATGAAATATGAAGATGAATGGTATGATTCCTGTCTTCAATAAGCTTACAATCTGAGAGATAAAGTATTACAAGGTAGAATTCAATAAGCAGCAAATAAAGGCACTGTTGTGTTATTTGCACAACTTGGGTTTAAAACATCACGTTATCAGCTGGGCGCAGTGGCTCATGCCTGTAATCCCAGCACTTTGGGAGGCTGAGGTGGGCGGATCACGAGGTCAGGAGTTCAAGACCAGCCTGGCCAAGATGGTGAAACCCCGTCTCTACTAAAACTACAAAAATTAGCCAGGTGCGGTAGCAGGTTCCTGTAATCCCAGCTACTAGGGAGGCTGAGGCAGGAGAATCACTTGAACTCGGGTGGCAGAGTTTGCAGTGAGCCAAGATCACACTACTGCACTCCAGCCTGGGCAAGACAGAGTGAGACTCTGTCTCAAAAAAAAAAAAAAAAAAAAACACACATTATTTAAAAATTGCATTTAAAAGTTGATGGTCTCAATGGGAAGAATTGAGATATAAGAAAAAATAATAAAGTTCTTTTTTTCAGTAATGGCAGCAATAAAGACGTTTTTGTTATTGTGGCTTAAAAATAACAGATTGGGGGCCAGGCACGGTGGCTCACGCCTATAATCCCAGCACTTTGGGAGGCTGAGGTGGGCGGATCACGAGGTCAGGAGATCGAGACTATCCTGGCTAACACGGTGAAATCCCATCTCTACTAAAAATACAAAATATTAGCCGGGCGTGGTAGCAAGCGCCTGTGGTCCCAGCTACTTGGGACGCTGAGGCAGGAGAGTGGCGTGAACCCAGGAGGCAGAGCTTGCAGTGAGCCGAGATCGCACCACTGCACCCCAGCCTGGGCGACAGAGCGAGACTCCGTCTCAAAAAATAATAATAAAAAAAATAACAGATTGGGGCCAGACACAGTGGGTCATGCCTGTAATCCCAGCACTTTGGGAGGCCGAGGAGGGTGGATCACAAGGTCAGGAGTTCAAGACCAGCCTTGCCAGATGATGAAACCCCATCTCTACTAAAAATATAAAAATTGGCTGGGCATGGTTGCACACACCTGTAATCCCAGCTACTCAGGAAGCTGAGGCAGCAGAATCGCTTGAATCCAGGAGGCGGAGGTTGCAGTCAGCCAAGATTGCACCACTGCACTCCAGTCTGGGAGACAGAGCGAGACTTCATCTCAAATAATAATGATAATAATAATAATAACAGATTGGTTGATCAAAATGAACAAAAACAAGCCTGAACCCTTCTCATGGCCCTTTAACTTCACACTCTGGAGCTTTCCCATTACTGTTATCATTTCTGGCCTTTAAGTTTTCCAAGCGCTTACATTCCAAAAAAATAACTTTTAAAATCTTATTAACATTGACTTTATTTTATTTTGAGATGGAGTCTTGCTCTCTCACCCAGGCTGGAGTGCAGTGGCATGATCTCGGCTAACTGCAATCTCTGCCTCCCAAGTTCAAGTGACTCTCCTGCCTCAGCCTCCCAAGTAGCTGGGATTACAAGAGACTGCCACCATGCCCGGCTAATTTTTTTTTTTTTCGTATTTTTAGTAGATACGGGGTTTCACTATGTTGGCCAGGCTGGTCTCGAACTGCTGACCTTGTGATCCACCTGCCTTGGCCTCCCAAAGTGCTGGGATTACAGTCGTGAGCCACTGCACCTGGCCAACATTGACTTTAATAATATGAAATCCAGACCACATTGTTCTTTATTGCCAAATAATATTCCAGTATATAGATATGCCACATTTTGTTAAATATTCAGTTAGAAAACATTTAATTTGTTTCCACCTTTTGGCTATTACGAATAATGCTGCTATGAATATTCATGTATAAGGAAACCTATTAACTCTGTAGGTGTTGAATAGCAGGGTGAGTCTGTGACCACATGCCTGTGAATATGTGAACATCCTGAACATCACTTGCAGAGCTAAGCAGTCACTGCGAAAATAACGTATTAAGTTTAGGTTAAGAACAACCTTAAGTTGTTCTTTTTCCACAACATAAAGCATATAAATTATATCAGAGGAAAGGAAAGAGCATATCAAATATACTACATTACAAAAACGCTTACCACCTTATAATATTTCTAGTGGAGACGAGAAGATGCTTACCTTTTAGCGCTCCAAATGAGAAAGAAAAAGTTATAATTGGATGTCTTCACTATCAATCTTTTTTTTTTTTTCTGGAGACAGGGTCTGGCTGTGTTGCCCAGGCTGCAGTGCAGCAGCACGATCTCAGCTCACTGCAACCTCTGCCTCCCGGTTCAAGTGATCCTCCCACCTCTGCCACCCGAGTAGGTGAGACTACAGGCACCTGCCACCACGCTCAGCTAAGTTTTTGTATTTTTAATAGATGTTGCCCAGTCTGGTCTCACTCGTGAACTCAAGTAATTCGCCTGCCTCAGACTCCCAAAATGCTGGGATTACCGGTTTGAGCCACCACGCCCAGCCTATCAATCTTCTTGATTAAACGAGAAGAAGGCAGATAACCTGGGGAGCAGGGAGCAGAAATCAGGTCAGGTCTTACTGAGACGGGCAGGGTCAATCTCTGTTTCTGGTTGGAACTTTGACAAAATTCTAGGGGCAAGATTACCAGGAGCAGATGGCTGATAAGCCAGTGCAGGAAATATCCAGTAATTACTGAATGTTACCTTGAGTGAAAAATAAGGAAACTATGTTGAAAAAGCATTCTAATTGATGTCTGCTTCTTGGAGCACTGACATTTTCACTTAGGGAACCTAATAATTAGTTTGCATCCTGGTTTTAACCCCACCACCCCCCCAATTTTTGTCTTAACACTTGCTGACTTTGTAGGCATTATTGTCCCATGGAGCACAATTTGGGAAGTGCTGGTATAGCTACCTCTGTTCTTTTGTTGGGCGGGGAGGGAGGAAAGGCAAGCCGCATCCTGGGAACCTCCCCACTCTGTTATCTCTGTTCCTCATTCCATGAGCAAATTATTTCTCATTGGATCAAAAGTTAGGATCCTCTCTTAGCAGCAATCATTTGAGACTTCATAAAACATTTAAGTACGGAACTTAACAACCTGGCCATTTCCCCATATTTAGGTCTTAGGACAATTCAGCTCATTTCTAACATAGGTCTGTGTCAAAATGACTTATAGTCTTAAAATGAGCAGTCAAACTCTTAAAATTTAAAAACTGGTCTAATTGGCCTGGCGTGGTGGCTCATGTGTATAAAAGTAAATAAATAAATAAAAATTAAAAAACAAACAAACTACCATAACAAACAAAAAACTCCACCCTGGGCTCAAGCGATCCTTCTACCTCTGCCTCCCAAGTAGCTGGGACCACAGGCATACACCACCATGCCCAGCTAATTTTTGTATTTTTAGTAGAGACAGGATTTTGCCATGTTGCCCAGGCTGGTCTCCTGACATCAAGCGATCCTCCTACCTTGGCCTCCCAAAGTCCTGGGATTACAGGTGTGAGCCACCACACCCGGCCAAGAGTGAAGTTAGAAGAGGAATTACTGCTTATTTTTTTCTGCTAGGAAGTTCCACTGAGACTACTAACCAAACTAATATTCCTCTTGGAAAAAGATTGCAAACAATCCACAATCAGGACCAGACATATTACTAGCATATCCAGGAAACTGAGGGTCAGATGCCAATGATCAAGGTACAATAGAAGTCAAATTTCAAGAGAAGACTGCTTCTTAGAAATAACTCATTCCAAATGAAGAAGTAATTAAACACTGCCTTTCACTGTTTGGGCCTCTTGCATCTTGGTCCTGTCCTTTCACCATTGTAGTCATGCTGTTGATAAGTATTGTACTACAGGAACAGTTATAAAATGACCACTAACATAGAATTAGAGAGCAACACAATGAGGGGATCACTAGGAGAAAAGGAATTAATGTTCACAGTTCATCCTTATTTGGTTTCTTCTCTTTATCTGCCTGGGTCTTGCTGTATTTCCTTGGGTTTCAAAACTTTTCCAATCTTATTACCACCATGCCTCTCCATTGCTGAGAGAGAGAGGCATAGAGCCCCAGACTGATTCTGAAAGAGCAAGGAATCACAAAAGCAACACTAATGACATTTGGGGCTAGATAATTCTTTGTTGTGCGGGGGGCGAGTGGGCAACTGTTTTGTACATTGTAGGATGTTTAGCAACATTGCTAGCCTATACCCACTAGATGTCAATAGTATCCAGACATTGCCAAAAGTCCCCTGAGGGGGAAAAGGATCTCCAAGTTAAGAACCACTGTAGCCTGATGCACTGGCACATGCCATAGTCCCAGCTACTCTGGAGGCTCAGGATGGAGGATTGCATAGGTCCAGGAGTTTGAATCCAGCTTGGGCAACATAGTGAGACCCCTGCCTCTTAAAAAAAAAAAGAAAGAAAGAAAGAAAAAGAAAAACTGTAATGGCGATATGAAAAAGTTTTTTTTCTTTCCTTTTCTTTTTTTTTTTTTTTTGAGACAGAGTCTCACTCTGTCGCCCAGGCTGGAGTGCAGTGGTGCTATCTCGGCTCACTGCAAGCTCCGCCTCCCGGGTTCACGCCATTCTCCTGCTTCAGCCTCCCAAGTAGCTGGGACTACAGGTGCCCGCCACCACGCCTGGCTAATTTTTTGTATTTTTAGTAGAGACGGGGTTTCACCGTGTTAGTTAGGATGGTCTCGATCTCCTGACCTCGTGATCCACCCACCTCGGCCTCCCAAAGTGCTGGGAATACAGGCGTGAGCCACCATGCCCAAGCGAAAAAGTTTCTTTTCTTTTCATTCAGCTGAGGGAGAAGATTTATTTAAAATAACATTATCTAAGGAAACTAAGGGAGGAAAAACAAAACACGAAAGCATAGCATTTATAGTTAGTGATGATGATTACACAATATTGTGAATGTACATAATACAACTGAATTGTACACCTAAAAATGGTTAAAATGGTAAACTTCATGTTCTGTGTATTTTACTACAATATTTTCTTTTTTGAGACTGAGTCTCACTCTGTCGCCCAGGCTAGGGTGCAGTGTTACAGTCTTGGCTCACTGCAGCCTCCGCCTCCTGGGTTCAAGCGATTCTCCTGCCTCAGCCTCCCAAGTAGCTGGGATTACAGGTGCACACCACCACACCCAGCTAATTTTTATATTTTTAGTAAAGACAGGGTTTCACCATGTTGGCCAGGCTGGTCTTGAACTCCTGACCTAGTGATCCGCCCACCTTGGCGTCCCAAAGTGCTGGAATTACAGGCGTGAGCCACCGTGCCTGGCCTTTTACTACAATTTTTAAAAAAGCATAGTGGCCAATTGTGGTGGCTTATACCTGTAATCCCAATACTTTGGGAGGCCAAGACAGGAGTATCACTTGAGGCCAAGAGTTCAAAACTAGCCTGGGCAACATATTGAGACCCTATCTCTAAATTTTTTTTTAAAAAAAACATTAACTGGGCATGGTGGTGCACACCTGTAGTCCAACCTAGTTGAGAGGCTGAGGTGGGAGGATCACTTGAGCCCAGGAGATTGAGGCTGCAGTGAGTTGTGATCACACCACTGCACTCCAGCCTGGGTGACAGAGCAAGACCCTGCCTCAAAACAACAACAACAACAAAATAGCACTGCTCATGTCTACAAATTTCTGATTCTAATTTAACCAAACTTTAATGACAGATTAGCATGGGCAGCAGTTTATCATGTACTTAAGTGTGAGGTTATTTGCCTTGCCCCATCATTGTCTAGGGGTCTCTACCTGAGAGACCCTTTCTTAGGACATAAATATTTTAATTTCTGTCTTGTTCCAGGCATGTAAGGCAAATCTCCTAGCCAGATAGGACATTAGGCTGCTTAGTTCACAATTCACCATCTGAAAGGACCATTATAGTCGAAGGGATCTTAGAGATCATCTTGTTTTACCCATAAAAAATGTTGAGGTCAAAACAAGTTGAGCAACTTGCCCAGGTTCATGGAGTTCCTTGAAGGACATGCCAACATCTAGATATCCTGCTTAGAGCTCAGTTTTCAGCCCCCAAGCCACGTGAATGACTGTACGTGGATATATATTTTTATCACAGACTGCCAGTACCTTTTGTAAATTATAGTAACTCTTAGAGAAAAATGGCTAATGGGAAGAAAATTAATGCAGATTAATGTGAGTAAAATTATCTAAATAAGTCATTGAGAAGTGATTGAGGAATAGCAATGCCTGTTCTTAGGATATAAGATATACTAGTTCTACACAATAGAATAGATGTACATTTACATTATTTTAAAACTTATTTGAAAATTGGCTTTCAAAAAACCTTGTTTCAGCCATGACAGACAAATTTCCATTCTCTAAACTTCCACAGCAATGTTTCCTGTTTCTTCATGATGTATCCTCACCTGGATGTGCCTGTCCCCCCTTGTATACCTACGAACACATTCTCTCCTTACTCAAAACTCAGATCAAATGGGCAACCTTCCCTGAACTTCAATCCCCCTGGTACCTCCAAGAAGGAATTAAGTATTTCTTTCTCCACGTTTCCATAGCAACTTACACTTACAGACATTTCTTCTACAGTGGATTTTCACATTGCAAACTAGATACAATCAGATATGTAGGGAACATGAATCACAGGGCCTAGACTGGCTACAGGTTCTATAACATCACTGTGATACAGAACTGCTGCTGCTTGTTGCACTAGGAACATAAGGTTGAATGAGAGGCTGGCAGCTCACTTGGCCTCTTGCTCATGCTTGGTGTTTGCAAACTGGGCTGGGATTTGTTTTGCATTGCATTTCACTTTTCTGTGATCTCTATTATTAAAACAGATAATAAAAGTGATAAGCAGGTATATAAGTGCTGGGTTAACAACAGTAATTTGCAGAGCTAGAAAATAAAGGCCATGACTTGTGCACAAGTCAAGAGTAATAAATTCTTTGAAAAGACTTGCATTGGCCAAGCGTGGTGGCTCACGCCTGTAATTCCAGCACTTTGGGAGGCCGAGGCGGGTGGATCTTGAGGTCAGGAGATCGAGACCATCCTGGCTAACAAGGTGAAACCCCGTCTCTACTAAAAAAAAATACAAAAAAAATTAGCCGGGCGCGGTGGCTGGCGCCTGTAGTCCCAGCTACTCGGGAGGCTGAGGCAGGAGAATGGCGTGAACCCGGGAAGCGGAGCTTGCAGTGAGCCGAGATTGCGCCACTGCAGTCCGCAGTCCGCAGTCCGGCCTGGGCGACAGAGCGAGACTCCGTCTCAAAAAAAAAAAAAAAGAAAAGACTTGCATTGGCCAAGCGTGGTGGCTCACGTCTGTAATCTCAGCACTTTGGGAGGCCAAGGCTGGCGGATCATGAGGTCAGGAGATTGAGACCATCCTGGCAAACACAGTGAAACCCCATCTCTACTAAAAACACACACACACACACACACACACACAAATTAGCCAGGCGTGGTGGCGGGCGCCTGTAATCCCAAGTACTCAGGAGGCTGAGGCAGGAGAATCGCTTGAACTCGGGAAGCGGAGGTTGCGGTGAGCCAAGATCGCGACATTGCACTCCAGCCTGGGTGACAGAGAAAGACTCTGTCTCAAAAAAAAAAAAAAAAAAATAGTAATGAAGTATTGATACATGCTAAAAACATAGATGAAGCTCAAACACATTATGCTAAGTGAAATAATCCAATCACAAAAAACCCCATATAGTATGATACCATTTATATGAAATGTCCAGAACTGGTAAATCCATAGAGTCAAAAAGTAGGCCTAGACCTAGGGGGAGGAAGAATGGAGAGTGACTGCTTATGGATTTCTTTTTGGTATAATGGAAATAATCTGGAATTAGATAGTAGCAATTGTTGCACAGCTCTGTAACTATACTAAAAATCATTGAATTATACACTTTAAATGGGTGAACATTATGGTATGTAAATTACATCTCCAGTGGCCGTGCGTGGTGGCTCACGCCTGTAATCCCAGCACTTTGGGAGGCCGAGGCAGGTGGATCACAAGGTCAGGAGATCAAGACCATCCTGGCTAACACGGTGAAACCCCTGTCTCTACTAAAAATACAAAAAAATTAGCTGGGCGTGGTGGCGGTCGCCTGTAGTCCCAGCTACTCCAGAGGCTGAGGCAGGAGAATGGCTTGAACCCAGGAGGCAGAGCTTGCAGTGGCCGAGATTGCGCCACTGCACTCCAGCCTGGGCGACAGAGTGAGACTGTCTCAAAAAAAAATAAAAATAAAAATAAATAAATAAATAAATAAACTTTTTTTGTAGAGACAGGTCTCTCTGTATTGCCCAGAATGGTCTTGAACTCCTGACCTCAGTGATCCACCTACCTTGACCTCCCAAACTGTTGGGATTACAGGCATAAGCCACTGCACCTGGCCTATACCATCATTTTTATGAGCCTCTGTTCCAGGGAAATGCTGTTTCTATGTATCCATCTAGAAAAACTCTAAGATATGTAAACTACAGTTAAAGGAGTCCTAAGTAAGAGATAGAAGTTGTAAATTCTTTGATAGGGTTTTGGGGGAACACATTTCAATGGATTTAAGTCAGATGGATCAGGTCTTACTACTTTAGCCAAAGTTATAGATAAATAATACTATAGCTAAGACATACACTTTAAAAAGTAATGTTTCAAGTTAGTAAATTCCTAGACTTAATTTGCTCTCACCCAAAAATTATCTTTGAGTGGGAGAGGAAAAGGAGGAAAGACAGTGGAGAGGTATCCTGCTTCAGCTTCGAGAATGCTCAGGAGAGCTGGCCATCAGTCTTGCTAGGATAAGTTCTTCTTGAGGAATAAAAGGCAGGCCCAGATGTGAGGAACATCAGGCATGATGAATGAACCTTTCCAGGCCCATACCTACCATTCTACTACTAGACTAAGGGAATTGTTTGTGTCTTGTTGTAAAGCTAGTTGACTAAACCCCAGTAATCTTGTTTCCTTTTTCTTTGGAATCCATATTTCTGAAGCATCAGTCATCCACCTAATACTTTCTAGAAATAAGAAACAGTCTAGACAGATGCCTGTTCCTTCAAAACGACTTCCCAGAGGGAAGAGGAGGAGGAGAAAGAGAAAGTGTAACAAAAAGTGGGGTGGTGGGGGGAACATGGAGAAAGATCACACTTTGTGAATGGATTATCAAAAATTTTTTTAGTATTTTTTTCTTACATATCCGTCACACATTGGCAGGAGGAGGTAAAAGGCATGACATGTTATTCAGTCAAGAAAATTTATTTCATTATGACAAAGGATAAAGCTAGAGGAGTAAAAATTAGCTTCATGGTTTAAGACTTAAGACAACCACAACCCCAAACAGCTCTTGAATAGAATTTGAGAGTAGAAAAGGTCTGAGGTTGTCAGATGAAGATCTTCAAGGACTTAGTGAAGTAATGTGTAATTTTTCGTTCAACTAGAAAACCTTCTGCCTTATAGAAACGACTTGTAAGCTCATCAGCTCTCCAGAGTTCCTGTTTCAGGGAATGCCCCCAGCACTGATAGAACTGTCCAAGTTAAAAACTGTTTCTGGGATGTTTCTTGGACTCTAATGTTTCTCATATGAATTGTTGCAACAGTCTCTCAACTAGCCTTCCTGCCATCTACAGACTTGCAGGCACAATCACACTTAGCTAGAAAAGTCTTCCTAAATCATAAATATTCCTAAAATCTTTTAGTGGTTTTCTCTTACTCTTGGGTAAAAAGCCAGACTCTTTAATATGAGCTCTCTATGATCTGGCCCCCACTTATCTCTTCACCTCCATTTCTCGCTACTTCTTTCACTTCTACACCGGGGATCTCAAGTGGAGTGTACAAGATCATCCTCTGGGTATAGGATAAAAATATCTGAACTTCTACTTACTGACAATAAGGGACAGAAACCAAAAGAATATCACATGTAGGAGACGAGAGCAAGCCAAGTCAAAGCTCTGTACAAGTGGAAGTTGAGAGGAAGCAAAAACTCTGAAGAAGAAGAGAAAATTGGGGAGACATGGAGATGAGAGGAGAGACAGAAGTGTCAGAAAGAGGCTGGGCGCAGTGGCTCATGCCTATAACCCCAGCACTTTGGGAGGCTGAGGCGGGCAGAACACCTGAAGTCAGGAGTTCATGACCAGCCTGAACAACATGGTGAAACCCCATCTCTACTAAAAATACAAAAATTAGCTGGGCATGGTGGCAGGTGCCTGTAATCCCAGCTACTGGGGAGGCTGAGGCAGGAAAATGGCTTGAAGCCGGGAGGTGGAGGTTGCAGTGAGCTGAGATCACACCACTGCATTCCAGCCTGGACAACAGAGCAAGACTCAGTCAGAAAAAAAAAGAAGTGTCAGAAAGAGTAGTTGGTTTATAGAGCTGTGTCCTGATAGATGGACTTCTGGTTCCAGTTTTGATCTATGGACTGAACATCCTTTAACTTGCCCTCTTGATCCTTGAGGAAATCTGAATGAGTCTTTCCTACATTTTTAAAGTATCTTGCCAGCTGGGCATGGTGGCTTATGCCTATAATCCCAGCATTTTAGGAGGCCGAGGTGGGTGGATCACCTGAGGTCAGGAGTTCGAAACCAGCCTGGCCAACATGGCGAAACCCTATGTCTACTAAAAATACAAAAATTAGCTGGGTGTCGTGGCATGCATCCCAGCTACTCGGGAGGCTGAAGCATGAGAATCGTTTGAACCCAGGAGGTAGAGGTTGCAGTGAGCCAGGATTGCACCACTGCACTCCAGCCTGGGTGACAGACTAAGACTCTCTCTAAAAATAATAATAATAAAATAAAAATAAAGTGTCTTGAGGGATGTCTTTGTTCTGGGCGACCATAAGAAGCTACCTAAAATACTTAGTGATCATCTATAGGAGATTCGTTAAATAAAGTATATAGTACATCGTTCTATGCATTGACCAAAAACGGATATGTAGCAATAAATTTATTACATGGAAAGTTGCCTGCAAGATATTGTTAAGTGAAAAAGCAGGTCACAAAACAATACACATGGTACTTTTGATATGCATTAAAAATGCATTGATGGGCCCAGGAGTGGTGGCTCATGCCTGTAATCCTGTGCTTTGGGAGGCCGAGGAGGGAGGATCACTTGACGCCAGAAGTTCAAGATCAGCCTTGGTAATATAGTGAGACCCCCATCTCTGCAAAAATAAAAATTACCTGGGCATGGTGGCATGCACCTGTGATCTCAGCTACTTGGGAGACTGAGGATGGCTTGAGCCCAGGAGTCCGAAGTTACAGTGAGTTATGGTTGTGCCACTGAACTCCAGCCTGGGTGATAAAGCAAGACTCTATCTCAAAAAAAAAAAAAAAAAAAAAAAAAAGGAAAAAGGAAAAAGTCTGGAAAGCTCTATGCTAGAATGTTAACTGTGGTTTTACTTTGGTGGATGAAACTGTTGGTGATTTTCACTGTTTGTTTTCCCATTCTGACTATCTGATTTTTTTTTTTTTTGCTCTGAGCATGTTCATAAGCATTAAAAAACATTAAATTATTTCCACTTTTAAAAAACACCCCCAAATTCATACATTCATACGAATTCAGACAATTCAACATGAAAAATTCATCTATTTTAGGATTTTCTTTATATGTGATAGAAAGACCAAGGATTAGTCAAATACCACCCAGAGGAAATAAATCATGTTCCTTTATCAAACATGATATATGTCAGCCACAGTGCTAAATGGTGGAAAGATAAGGACATAGTCCTTATCTTTAGGGATCTCACAATCTATAACAAGGTGACATATGTATAAACTAAATAGCAGTAATACACTTATAGTAAGTGTAATACCAAACATGTAAATTAGGTGTAGTAGAGGCACAAAGATGAAATTGTTTTGTAAGAGACATTCAAATAGTATCTTAAAAGACTTAGGAGAATGCAAAGGGAGTGCATTCTAGCAAAGAGAAACAGAGTGTTCCAAGGCATGGAGGCATGAAATAGCACAGTATGTACTGAGTGTGGTCTAGCTACATATCATTTGAAATAACTTACCTGGCTATGGAAATTAACAGATTTGCTTTAAAATATCCGTAGTTTGTTTGTTTGTTTGGTTGGTTTTTTTGAGACAGGGTCTTGCTCTGTCGCCCGGGCTGGAGAGCAGTGGTGTAATCACAACTCACTGCAGCCTTGACCTCCTGGGCTCAAGCGATCCTCCCACCTCAGCCTCCTGAGTACGTGGGACTACGGGCACATGACACCATGCCTGGCTAATTAAAAAAAAAAAATTTTTTTTTCTTTTTTTGAGACAGAGTATTTTGCTCGTCAGCCAGGCTGGAGTGCAACAGTGCAATCTCAGCTCACTGCAACCTCCACCTCCTGGGTTCAAGCAATTCTCCTGCCTCAGCCTCCAGAGTAGCTGGGATTATAGGCGCCTGCCACCACGCCCAGCTAATTTTTTTTTGTATTTTGAGATGGGGTTTCACCATGTTGTTCAGGCTGGTCTTGAACTCCTGACCTCAGGTGATCCACCCGCCTTGGCCTCCCAAAGTTGTTTTTTGTTTTTGTTTTTGTTTTTGAGATGGAGTCTTGTTCTGTCACCAGGCTGGAGTGCAGTTGCGCCATCTCAGCTCACTGCAACCTCTGCCTCCGGGGTTCAAGAGATTCCCCTTCCTCAGTCTCCCAAGTAGCTGGGATTACAGGCACGCACCACTACGCCTGGCTAATTTTTTGTATTTTAGTAGAGATGGTGTTTCACCATGTTGGCCAAGACGGTCTCGATCTCCTGAACTTGTGATCCTCCCGCCTTGGACTCCCAAAGTGCTAGGATTACAGGCATGAGCCACCATGCCCGGCCAAAAAAAAAATTTTTTTTAATAGAGATGGGGTCTCACTGTGTTGCCCAGGCTAGTCTTGAACTCCTGGCCTCAAATGATCCTCCCGCCTCAACCTCCCAAAGTGTTGGCATTACAGGCATGAACCACTGTGCCCAGTTAAATATCAGTAATTTGTTTTATTTTCATTTTTTGAGACATGGTCTCACTCCCATCGCCAAAGCTGGAGTACAGTGGTGTGATCATGGCTCACTGCAGCCTCATCCTCTTGCTCAAATGATCCTCCCACCTCAGCCTCCCAAGTAGCTGGGACCATAGGCATGGGCCACCATGTCCAGCAAATTTTTGTATATTTTGTAGAGATGGGTTTTACTATGTTGCTCAGGCTGGTCTCCTGGGTTCAAGCAATCTGCCTGCTTTGGAGTAATTTTTAATATGGATTTAAAATAATCCCATCAATACTCAGATGCCAAAAGAAAGCATTGTGCACACCAATATGTTAATAAGGATCAGTATTTCAAAGTTACTACATCGTCCTGCTACAAAATATGATGTTTTGCAATCGCTGCCTTCTGTTCTGGCCTTGGATGCAATGGGCTGCTTCTCTGGGATACCGACAAATCAAAACATAGCACCTGAACAGGAGCATGAAGTGAGCTCAATCCTTAATGGTGTTTACTTGATAGATATCAGGAATTGCACTACTGAAAACAACACAAACAGCATGCTGAAACTAACAGATTCAGTGAAAAACTATGTAGGTTAAAAAAGCTTCTACTTAAAGCTCAGACAATGGATACACACGAGGATCTGCTTAAAAAGCAGTAGATGACACATGACCAGCTCTGCTCACAGCTGTGTCTTCTGCCTGAAAGTCAGCACAGGAGGATTTATTGTGATGGCACACTAGCATCTGCAGCAGGTGCTGAGGAATGAAAAAAAAAAAAACTACATAAATAAAGGTTCGGAAAATTACAAGGTGGTCATCTGAAACTAGCCCCACATAAAGTCCCACTGCATCAAATGGGGCCATATTTAATTGGGTCACTCTTCAGAACAATATCTAGCAGAGAAAGCCACCATGAGCTAGAAGATTAGATGAACTGCAGGGCAGAGAACAAAAAATAGGGCAGAAACCTTGGGTTTTCTGCCAAGTGTAGAAAAAATACATTGCAGCAGACTGTGCAGAGGCATGACCATCTTTTCATTGCTTGCCAAAAATCTAAGTATGGTTTTTAAAAATTACAATGGAAATAGAAGCAAATGTTAAGGAACAAGAACCACTATATTTTGAAAAGATAGGTGAGAAGTGATGACTAATCAGTCAAAAAATATTTGAATCCCTACTATGTGCCCATTAATTCACTCAGTACATATCTGCTTAATATCATTAACTGCCAGCAGAGAAAATAAAAGTGAAAAATCTGTGCTTTCCAGAGTTTACAGCTAACTGGAGAGTCAAGTCAAACCAATGTGAAAGACTTGAGTAGCAGTGCAAGGCAGTATTATACTCTGATTATTGCCAAAATGATGCAGACAATAAATGTAGATAATATACGCAATGATGTAGACAATAATTGCAAAATTCAGATGAAAAATATGTGAGCTGAGCTGGAATTTGGAAGAAGCTCTCAGAGGGTGAGGATTTATGCTGGATCTTGAAGAAAGCTTGTATTCTCATCCTATGTCTGCCTTTGACTGGTAGAATAGAATAATTTTTTTTTTTGAGACCGAGTCTTGCTCTGTCACCAGGCTGGAGTGCAGTGGCACAATCTCAGCTCACTGCAACCTCTGCCTCCTGGGTTCAAGCGATTCTCCTGCTTCAGGCTCCTGAGTAGCTGGGACTACAGGCGCGCACCACCATGCCCAGCTAATTTTTGTATTTTTAGTAGAGACAGGGTTTCACCATGTTGGCCAGGATGGTCTCGATATCTTGACCTCCTGATCCACCTGCCTCAGCCTCCCAAAGTGCTGGGATTACAGGCGTGAGCCACCACGCCTGGCCAAATAGAATAATTTTAAATCGCAATACTTCTCTGGATTTTTATCTTCATCTATTAAATAGGAGTTTTAGACTAGGTAATCTCTAAATTCCCTTCCTGTTCTAAAATTCCATAATTCAAGGATATAAAGAAAAAAAGAATGAAATGAATAAGAGAGTATTTTAAAAATGTTTTAGGCTGGGCACGATGGCTCACGCCTGTAAATCCCAATGCTTTGGGAGGCCGAGGCGGGAGGACTGCTTGAGCCCAGGAGTTTGAGACCAGCCTGGGCAACACAGAAAGACACCGTCTCTACAAAAAATTTAAAAATTAGCCAGGTGTGGTTGTGTGTGTCTGTAGTCCCCACCTACTTGGGAGGCTGAAGCAGGAGTATTGCTTGAGCCAGGGAGGTCGAGGTTGCCGTGAGCCATGATTGTGTCACTGATCTCCAGCCTGGGTGACAGAGTGAGACACTGTCTCAAAAAAAAAGTTTCAGATAAATGGAAAAGAAAGAAGTGAGCAGGCATTGGAGAAGGGGAAAAAAAAGCCTAATGGTGTGGTGTCAAAACAAAATCACAGCCTACCTCATACTATCTTATAATGTGGTCCTGCAGAAAAACATCTACCAGCTGGGTGTGGTGGCTCACGCCTGTAATTCCAAAACTTTGGGAGGCCAAGGCGGGTGGATCACGATGTTGGGAGATCAAGACCATCATGGCCAACATGGTGAAACCCCGTCTCTACTAAAAATACAAAAAATTAGTTGGGCATGGTGGTGCGCATCTGTAGTCCCAGCTACTCAGGAGGCTAAGGCAGGAGAATTGCTTGAACCCAGGAGGCAGAGGTTGCAGTGAGCCGAGATTGTGCCACTGCACTCCAGCCTGGGCAACAGAGCAAGACTCCATCTCAAAAAAAAAAAATCTACCAAAAGTCTACTGTAGAGTCAGCAAAATAAACTGCTACAATAGAAAACTAGAGGACATCATGCAGGCACAGTAAGATAGTGGTCACTTCCATCACTTGGGAGCAGCAGGGCATGGGAGCTGTTGAAAAATGTTCTCAAGGAGGAAACTGAATACAGTGTTCCCCTGGTTGGGCACTGGTAAAGGAGGAAGAGACTGGAAGCTTCAGGAGGACCTTTCTATTTCTGCTGTATCCTCCGCACTTCCTCTCACCTACAACACTATAGATTGTCACATGGCAGGCACACAGTAAATATTTGAGTAATTAATTAATTTGTTAATTACTTAATGCATGCACCATGATATAAATCCTTGAACAAAGTAGGCTTCCAATAACAATGCCATGATGATGAATTTTTTAAAATTTCACTGAAAAGTATTACTCAGCTGGACACAGTGGCTCACATCTGTAATCCCAGCCCTTTGGTAGGCTGAGACAGGAGGATTGCTTACGGCCAGGAGTTCAAGACCAGCTTGGGCAATATAGTGAGATCCTGTCTTTACAAAAAAATATTTTTTTAAATTAGCTTGGGAGGCTGAGGCAGGAGGATCGCTTGAGCCTAAGAGTTCGAGGCTGAAGTGAGCTATGACTGCACCACTGCAGTACAGCCTGAGTGACAGAGTGAGACCCTGTTTCAAAAAAAGCCAACAAAAAATTACTGTTACAACTTCAAATTATATTAATAGTATAGTTTTGATTGTGTACCTATGTGAGAAATTTGTATCATTTTTATTAAGAATGAATTCTTGAATAACTGACAGTGAAAGAACAAAGTTAGAGAAGCATTCCAAAGGGCCAGAGACATAATATATCCTGGGAAACAGGATTATCCTAGAGCTAGGGCATAAGTGATATGAAGAAAAAATAAGGCTATGGAGGCTGGTAGAGGTGGGGTTATAGTCTTATAAAAAATGTTGTCCTGGCCGGGCGCAGTGGCTCACGCCTGTAATCGCAGCACTTTGCAGGCTGAGGCGGGCGGATCACGAGGTCAGGAGATCGAGACCATCCTGGCTAACATGGTGAAACCCTGTCTCTACTAAAAATACCAAAAATTAGCTGGGCGTGGTGGCGGGCGCCTGTAGTCCCAGCTACTCGGAAGGCTGAGGCAGGAGAATGGGGTGAACCCAGGAGGAGGGGCTTGCAGTGAGCCGAGATTGCACCACTGCACTCCAGCCTGGGCAACAGAGCGAGACTCTGTCTCCAAAAAAAAAAAAAAAAAAAAAAAGTGGTCCTATAGGCCCGAGGGCCCAAGATTACCAACTTTTTTTTTTTTTTTTTTGAGACAGAGAGTCGCTCTTGTTGCCCAGGCTGGAGTGCAGTGATGCGATCTCAGCTCATGGCAACCTCCACCTCCCAGGTTCAAGCGATTCTCCTGCCTTAGCCTCCCAAGTAGCTGGGATTACAGGCATGCACCACCATGCCTGGCTAATTTTTTTTTTTTCTTTTCCGAGACAGAGTCTCGCTCTGTCGCCCAGGCTGGAGTGCAGTGGCGCAAGCTCGGCTCACTACAAGCTCTGCCTCCCGGGTTCACGCCATTCTCCTGCCTCAGCCTCCCGAGTAGCTGGGACTACAGGCGCCCGCCACCATGCCCGGTTAATTTTTTAAAAAATATTTTTAGTAGAGACCGTGTTTCACCGTGTTAGTCAGGATGGTCTTGATCTCCTGATCTCGTGATCCTCCCGCCTCGGCCTCCCAAAGTGTTGGGATTACAGGCAGGAGCCACCGCGCCCAGCCGCTAATTTTGTATTTTAGTAGAGATGGGGTTTCTCCATATTGTTAAGGTTGGTCTCGAACTCCTGACCTCAGGTGATCCACCCACCTTGACCTCCCAAGGTGCTGGGATTACAGGCGCGAGTCACCGTACCCGGCCTCTAACCTTTTATTTTTTTAGAGATGAGTCTCACTATGTTGCCCAGGCTGGAGTGCAGTGGCTAATCACAGTGAAGATCATAGAGCACTGCAGTGTTCAACTCCTAGGCTCTGGCCATCCTTCTGCCTCAGGCTCCCAAGTAGCTGGGACTATAGGCAGTGACAATGCTCTGGGCTTAATCTTTTGATTCTACAGACTTTTTTTTTCTTTTTTTGAGACGGAGTCTCGCTCTGTCTCCAGGCCAGAGTGCAGTGGCGTGATCTCAGCTCACTGCAACCTCCGCCTCCTGGGTTCAAGCTATTCTCCTGCCTCAGCCTCCTGAGTAGCTGGGACTACAGGTACATGCTACCACGCCCAGCTAATTTTGTATTTTGAGTAGAGATGGGGTTTCACAGTGTTAACCAGGAGGGTCTTGATCTCTTGACCTTGTGATCTACCTGCCTCGGCCTCCCAAAGTGCTGGGATTACAGGTGTGAGCCACCGCGCCCAGCTCAAACTTCTTTTTTAATGTCAAAAACTGTACAGATTACCATGTGATAGTAATTATAAGTTTAGTACATATTGATTTTTTTTTTTTTTGAGACGAAGTTTGCTCTTGTTGCCCAGGCTGGAGCGCAATGGCGCGATCTCAGCTTACTGTAACCTCTGCCTCTCAGGTTCAAGCAATTCTCCTGCCTCAGCCTCCTGAGTAGCTGGGATTACAGGTGCCTGCCACCACACCCGGCTAAATTTTGTATTTTTAGTAGAGACGGGGTTTCACCATGTTGACCAGGCTCGTCTTGAACGCCTGACCTCAGGTGGTCCACCTGCCTCAGGCCTCCCAAAGTGCTGGGATTACAGGCGTGAGCCATCGCGCCCGGCCAGTATCTACTGATTTTAAAAATACACAATGAAAAAGGTTAAAGTGGATTCACTAGTAATTTTACTTAGTTTTTTTTTAGAGACAGGGTCTTGCTCTGTCTCTTATGTTAAAGTGCAGTGGCTTGATCACGGCCCACTGCAGCCTCAAACTCCTGGGCTCAAGGGATCCTCCCAACTCAGCCTCCCAAGTAACTGGGAGTACAGGCATACACCATCACACTCTGCTAATTTTTAAATTGTTTTGTAGAGATGGGGTCTTGCTATGTTGCTTAGACTGGTCTCCAACTCCCTGCCTTAAGTGATCCTCCCACCTCGGCTTCCCAAAGTGTTGGGATTACAGGCATGAGCCACTTCGCCCTGCTATTTCTTTTGAGACAGGATCTTGCCCTGTTACCCAAGCTGGAGTGCAGTAGTGTGGTCAAGGTTCACTGCAGCCTTGAACTCCTGGACTCAAGAGATCCACCAACCTCAGCCTCCCAAGTAGCTGGGACTACAGGCATGTGCTACCATACCTGGCTAATTTTTAAAATTTGTTGGTAGAGATGGGGTCTTGCTATGTTGCCCAGACCAGTCTTGAACTCCTGGCCTCAAGTGATCCTCCTGCCTTGGTGCTCCAAAGTGCTGCTATCACATGCATGAGCCACCATAACCAGCTCAATTTTAAGTAAAATTTTATTCAACACAATTTCAAACTCTTTTTTAAAGTAATGAGATTTTGTAGACATTAATTTTTCTGTACATGGACAAAAGTTAGTGAAAATATAGTGAACATTTATGACCTCCTACAAACTGAGAACCACTGCTGTAATAGTAGCCAGAGTAGCAACATTTAGTGAATACTTGATAAGTGCCAGTTCTAAACACTGTGCACTTATTAATTAATAAAACAACCATGTGAGATAGGCTTTATTATTATCCTCATAGATTTCAGAGTTGTTTTTTGGTTTTGGTTTGTCTCTTTGTACCTTTCTTCTCTTTTCCTTTACTAAAGATCTGAATTTTCAACTGGGGACACTGCTGCTCTGCTGTAGCACTGTATTTCCTTGCCTCCTTAATGTCTACGATGACTCTGTGACTAAATGAAAAATGAGTAGAAATGTGTATTTGGAGAAGTCTTCTTAAAAATTGGGGGAGGGTGTACCCTTCCTCTTTTTTTTTTTTTTTTTTTTTTGAGACAGTCTCGCTCTGTCACCAGGCTGGAGTGCAGTGGCTCGATCTTGGCTCACTGCAACCTCTGCCTCCTGGGTTCAAGAGATTCTCCTGCCTCAGTCTTCTGAGTAGCTGGGACTATAGGCGTGTGCCACCACACCCAGCCAATTTTTGTATTTTTAGTACAGACAGGGTTTCACCATGCTGGCCAGGATGGTCTCCATCTCTTGACCTTGTGATCCGCCCGCCTCAGCCTCCCAAAGTGCTGGAATTACAGGCGTGAGCCACTGTGCCTGGCCCTTTTTTGTTTTTTGAGACAGTATCTTGCTCTGTGGCCCAGGCTGGGCAGTCCTTCTCCCTCAGTCTCCCAAACAGCTTGAACTACAGGTGTGTACCACCACCCCTGCTTTTTAAATTTTTTTGTAGAGACAAGGTCTTACTATGTTGCCCAGGCTGGTCTCAAACTCCTGAGCTCAAGCAATCCTCCTGCCTCAGCCTCCCAAAGTGCTGGGATTCCAAGCATGAGACACCATGCCTGGCCCTTTCTGCTTCCTGCATCAAGAATGTCATGGCTGGAAGTGAACATGAGGGCAACACTGTAGGGATGATTGAGCAGTGAACTCAAAGGAGCCTGCCGTGTCAATCCTGAATGGCCGGCTTCTGGATTTATGTGTGAGAGAAGAAAATCCTATCTTGTTTATTTTTATTTATTTATTTTCCTGTTACATGGCACCAAACTTAATCCTAACTGATTTGCCATTTTGGAAACAAGAAAACTAAGGTTAAGTACCTTGCCCGATGTTACAAAATTAGTAAAAGTGAAGAGACGACTTTCAGCCCATGAATTCTTACTCCAGAGCCCACCTTACTCTTACAGTATATTGCCTCATGCTACACAACTATAGGAAATGGATTTGTCATAGGGAAATAACACATGTGTTCTGTTGACCAGTATTGGATGGGGGGCTGGGGTATTTCCTTTATGAAGCAGCCCTCTTTAGCTGAGGCAATTCTGAAGGTGGCTGACTGATCACTGAGAGGTGTCTGCTGACAGCACTCCCAGCAGCTGGGGGAATATGTCATTCATTCCTGAAGAGGGATCTGGGTGGCACACCACAGCATCCATTACCCATGCTGGATATCATACTCCCTTCCTGTGCCTGTGGCTGAACTATAAATCGACTACAGTTTGCTTTATCAATAAGTCCGGATATATTTTCCTAATCTTTTTTAAATGCACCAATCCAGGCATTGTTTGTTTGTTTGCTTGTTTCTGAGATGGAGTCTTGCTCTGTTGCCCAGGTTGGAGTGCAGTGGCACTATCTCGGTTCACTGAAACCTCTGCCACCCAGGTTCAAGCGATTCTCCTGCCTCAGCCTCCCGAGTAGCTGGGATAACAGGCGCCTGTCACCATGCCCAGCTGATTTTCGTATTTATAGTAGAGACGGGATTTCACCATGTTGGCCAGGCAGGTCTCGAACTCCTGACCTTGTGATCCACTCGCCTCAGCCTCCCAAAGTGTTGGGATTACAGGCGTGAGCCATCACGCCCAGCCCAGGCATTGTTACTAATTGATTGCAGTTTGGCCTTTCCCTTTCGTTATCCAAAACCTGGTTGGTGTGGGAGTATAAAGGCCTGAGCCCTTCCAACCCAGGACAATTCTGAAGGGTCACCACAGCTTCAGAGTTCTACGTGGAGCTGGCCGAAGCTTTCACTGAAACTTCCCAGCAGCCCAACTTCACCCTCTGCTCATCCTGTTTTCCTCTCTTTCTTTCCCTTCCCTTCTGCAGGTGGTGATCTCAAGAACACTCCCTAAAAAAACTTCCTATTACTAATCTCCATCTCATAGTCTGTTTTCTGGATAACCCAACCCATGACACCATGGCTTTATTCACACATTAACTGTTCCTAATTGGAAGGAAAGTACTTAATACATCTCAAGAAAAAGAAAACTCAGTTGTAATTAACGTTATTTATTTTGGTCTACCCAATACACTGTTTCATAGTAACATACTGCCCACTGGCCAGAGAGGAGTGTCCTATGCTGGGCCAATCATAAAATTTCACCTTCCTGAACACAGTAATGGGTACAAGGGGTGGGCACATGACCAGCCTTGGACAATCAAAATCCTTCCCTGAGGATTTTTGTACTGAAATCTAGAAGACAAACCTCCCTTTCTTCTCAGATCAGAGAAATGTCAAGATATTACTCTATGGATGCTGGGGCCATATTTGCTGCCTACAAGGAAAAGGACCATCTGAAGTAGTGAATAAAGCCAAGCAGAGGGGAGAAACAGAAAGAGTTAGAGGTCCTGGAAGCATCAAATCCCCTGTAGGTACTCCAGTTCCTACTGCTACACCAATAGTAGTACTGTGAACTATCCTAGTATCATTCTAATAATTTTTTTCTTTTTCTTTTTTGAGACGGAGTCTCGCTGTCACTCAGGCTGGAGTGCAGTGGTGCGATATTGGCTCACTGCAACCTCCACCTCCTGGGTTCAAGCAATTCTCCTGCCTCAGCCTCCCGAGTAGCTGGGATTACAGGCGTGTGCCACCACACCTGGCTAATTTTTGTATTTTTAATAGAGATGGCGTTTCACCATGTTGGCCAGGCTGATCTCAAGCTCCTGACCTCATGATCTGCCTGCCTCAGCCTCCCCAAGTGCTGGGATTACAGGCATGAGCCACCACACCCGGCCATAATTTCTTTTCTTAAGCTAGTTTTAAGTTAGGTTTTTTTGATTAGCAATAGAAGAAATCTTGCCTACATATCTGTGTATTTCTTATTTCTATGAGCTGCCATCTTCTCTAACCTAGTCCTACCAAATGTCCAAAATATTGAGGAACAAACTATAAAATAATCCACTTTTCTACCCAATTCCAGCATGTCAAACTTTTTATGGGTCAAAATATACTGAAGACAATGTACGTGAAATTGTGTTGTGGGCTTAAGAAAGGGGGTCAGAAGGATTATGTTAAGAGAAATACAAGACATAATTTTTGCCTTTATTTATTTATTTTTGAGACAGAGTCTCGCTTTGTCACCAGGCTGGAGTGCAGTGGTGCGGTCTCGGCTCACTGCAACCTCCACCTCCTGGGTTCAAGTGATTCTCCTGCTTCAGCCTCCTGAGTAGCTGGGACCACAGGTGCATGCCCCCATGCCTAGCTAATTTTTGTATTTTTAGTAAATATGGGGTTTCACTATGTTGGCCAGGATGGTCTCAATCTCTTGACCTCATGATCCGCCCACCTCGGCCTCCCAAAGTGCTGGGATTACAGGCGTGAGCCACTGCGCCCAGCCGATTTTTGCCTTTAAAGATGACTTCATCCAAACACAAAATTCCTACACCTGCTACCCTATAACAGATGCTTATCCCCAAACTAAATCTATATAATTATTTAATTAATGTATTTATTCTTGACACAGGGTCTCACTCCATCACCCAGGCTGGAGTGCACTGGTGCGATCACAGCTCACCAAACCTCCACCTCCCAGACTCAAATGATCCTCCCACCTCATCCTCCTGAGTAGCTGGGACACCTGGCCTCCCAATTAAACCTTAAAACATTATATGTTGGCCGGGTGCGGCGGTTCACGCCTGTAATCCCAGCACTTTGTGAGGCCGAGGTGGGTGGATCACGAGGTCAGGAGTTTGAGACCAGCCTGGCTAGCATGGTGAGACCCCCATCTCTACTAAAAAAAAACAAAACAAAAAAATACAAAAAATTAGCCGGGCATGGTGGCATGCGCCTGTAATCCCAGCTACTTGGGAGGCTGAGGCAGGAAAACTGCTTGAACCCAGGAGGCGGAGGTTGCAGTGAGGTGAGATCACGCCACTGCATTCCAGCCTGGGTGAGAGTGAGACTCCATCTCCCCTCAAAAAAAAAAAAAGAAAAGAAAAGAAAGAAAAAAAAAACCCATGATTTGTCTATGATTGGCCGGGCATGGTGGTTCATGCCTTAATCCCAGCACTTTGGGAGGCCCAGGCAGCAGGATTACCTGAACTCAGGAGTTCAGAATCAGCCTGGGCAACATGGCAAAACCCTGTCTGTACAAAAAATACAAAAATTAGCTGCACGTGGGGCGGGCACCTGTAGTCCTAGCTACTTCCGGGATCGAGGCCGGAGGATCACTTGAGCTGGGGAGGTCAAGACTGCAGTGAGCTGAGATCCGAAATCGAGCCACTGCACTCCAGCCTGGGTGACAGGGCAAGACCCCATCTTTTAAAAAACAAAATAAAACAAACAAAAAAACCACAAGAAACATTATTTATCTATGATTACACTGCCTTTACAGTTACATCATATTTATGTCTATACTTGATAACATATTCTAAAAGACAGGAATGGACTTTTTAAAAATAATTTTTTAGCAGCTTTAGATCTACAGAAAAATTGTGAAAATAGTAGAGTTCCCATATATCCCACACCGTTTCCCCTGCATTAGTATGGTGCATTTGTCACAATTAATGAATCAGTACTGATATATTATTATTAACTAACATCCATACTTTATTCAGATTTCCTTAGTTTTTACCTAATGTCCTTTTCGTGTTCCAGGATCCCATCCAGGATACATTTAATCATCATGTCTCCTTAAGCTTCTCTTGGCCATGAAAGATTTTCCAATTTTCCTTGTTTTTGATGACCTTGACAAGTTTGAGGAATACTGGTCAAGTATTTTTTAGAATGTCCTTCCACTGAGATTTGTCAGATGTTTTTCTCATGAGTAGACTAGGGTTATGAGTCTTTGTGAAGAAGACCACACAGAGTGCTACAATCATCATATTGTATCACCAATACATACTATCAACAGGACATCACTGTTGATGTTAACTTTGATTACCTGGTTTAAGGAATTGACTTTTACCTTAATTTGTTTAATGTCTAACTCAGAACTACATATGGGAGGGCACTTAAACACTGTCTTAATATCTGGTTTGTATTCAGTAGGAGGAACAGCTTGATGAGACAACCATCAAAATGGAAAAGGCCGGGCGCGGTGGCTCACGTCTGTAATCCCAGCACTTTGGGAGGCCGAGGCGGGCGGATCACGAGGTCAGGAGATCGAGCCCATCCTGGCTAACACGGTGAAACCCCGTCTTTACTAAAAATACAAAAAATTAGCCGGGCGTGGTAGCGGGCGCCTGTAGTCCCAGCTACTCGGGAGGCTGAGGCAGGAGAATGGCGTGAACCCGGGAGGCGGAGCTTGCAGTGAGCCGAGATCGCGCCACTGCACTCCAGCCTGGGCGACAGAGCGAGACTCCGTCTCAAAAAAAAAAAAAAAAAAAAAAAAAAAAAAGGAAAAAAAAATCCTCTGGGGAAGAGTGGAAAGAGGATTGGTCATCTCGGCCATTTACTACATAAATGACTTTCGGCAAGTTACCTCTGCACCTGTAAAATGGAATAATGGTACCCAATAGTTCTATTAAACATCTGTTGAGGAAATGTATGTGTATGTGTTTTGTACAATATTTATACTTTTAGATTTGCCTATGTAAAAATGAAAACACTCGTGGGAACAGTAAATCTTAAGTAGTTAACATAACTTTATAGAATAATTTTTTTTTCTCTTCAGACGGAGTCTCACTCTGTTGCCCAAGGTGGGGTGCAATGGCACGATCTCGGCTCACTGCAACCTCTGCCTCACCGATTCAAGTGATTCTCCTGCCTCAGCCTCCCGAGTAGCTGAGGCTACAGGGGTGAGCCACCGCGCCCGGCCTAGAATAATTTTCGATTGCTGGTTGAGCAGAGCAAGGCCAATATGAGTTGAGGAAAGCAGAGATGGAAAGGCTCTTTATAGTTAATGATTTCTCATTTTTGCTTTGCTTCCTTTTGCCAAAGTCGGCTTGTCATCTGAGAGTGGAGAGGATTTGTTAGATCTTATGAAGCCAGAGCTCACTTCTGATGTGAACCAAGTATTAATAATTTTGGTGGTGGTTTTCTGTACTGCATCTGAGAGAGTAATCATTGTTCTTTGAAGATGCAATAATTCTACGCTACTACGGGACTTAGGGAAATAATTTTTGAGGATAGGAAGCACAGAATAATTAAGATGACAAGTCTTCCTGCCTCAAAATCATATCACTCTGATTCGAATAAAAAATACCAAGGTTTTTCCTTCTTGAGGTTTTATACTCATGGAAGTTCTTCAACCTGAGGTCTGAAAAATAAGGCAACCCCATCCTCTCCTTAAACAGGTTAGAGCCAGTACCTTTTTATTTCTCTATGCACGGACAAAATAATTATGCAAAAAAAAAAAAGAGGCAGGTTTTGTTTTTTTTTTTGCACTACTGAAATTCACACTTAACATATAAACAATCTGCTATATGCAGACAGCACTGGTGTTTAGAGTTCAATGATCTGGATTCAAGCCTATTTAAAACCAGATAAGAGAAAGTTCCCAAACATCTATGTGTCTTGGATTCTTCATCTGTAAAATTGCGTTGTTGAGAAGATAATATGAGACTAGGCGCGCAAAACAATTTGTTAGAGCTATTATTTCTAACCCGGAATGTGTTCGCTGGCAGTAACAGTGCATTAGTTACGATTCATCGAGGGCAGCTTCTGGACTTTCTGTTTGGAAGCCCAGCTGAGGCAAAAGCAGCAGTGCGTTTAAAAATTGGAGCTCGCCACATTCTGAAATTCTTTCGGTTCGTGAAAGCAGTAACCTAGGAAACGAGACTGGCACCACCCCTTTCAGTCCTAAAGCTTGGTTTCTCCCGCTTTTCTCCATTATGTTTAGGGCATCGCTATTTTACAGTCTTTTTGTTTTTTCTTTCCACATCATTAGCACAAAAGAGAAATTCCCCTTCTACAGAAGCAAGTACAAAACCTTTCTAGTCGCTCCTTTTTGGCAGCAGCTCACCTACTATTTTTTTCTATTCCGCGGTCGCAGCCCCAGACGTCCTCAAAGACAAATATTTTCGCGAGGGCCAGTGTAGGGCAGGAACTCCCTAGGCCTTGAATCAAGGGAATCCAGTAGATAACAACAGAAAGGACTCCGACCCAGGTACCTGAGACATCTGAGACCGCCAAAATTAACACAACACCCTACGCGACAGAGAAAACTCTGGGCGGGGAGAGAGAAAGAGAGCGAGCGAGCGAGAGAGAGAGAGAGCGAGAGAGAGAGAGAGAGAGAGAGAGAGAGAGAGAGAGAGAGAGAGAAAGAGAGCGAGCGAGAGAGAGCGAGAGAGCGAGAGAGCGAGAGAGCGAGAGAGCGAGAGAGAGAGAGAGAGAGAGAGAGAGAGAGAGAGAGAGAGAGAGAGAGAGAGAGAGACGAGAGGAAGCAACGTTCTCGCGACAAGAGGGGTGTCGACGGAAACTCGGAAATGGTCCCCTAGACGACCCGGCCCCAGCTAGTGGGTGGGGCCAGGGTACATCCGCCCCTTTCCGGTTTTTTTCCCCGCCTCCCAACCGTGAGGTGTTGGGTTTGGGGGACGCTGGCAGCTGGGTTCTCCCGGTTCCCTTGGGCAGGTGCAGGGTCGGGTTCAAAGCCTCCGGAACGCGTTTTGGCCTGATTTGAGGAGGGGGGCGGGGAGGGACCTGCGGCTTGCGGCCCCGCCCCCTTCTCCGGCTCGCAGCCGACCGGTAAGCCCGCCTCCTCCCTCGGCCGGCCCTGGGGCCGTGTCCGCCGGGCAACTCCAGCCGAGGCCTGGGCTTCTGCCTGCAGGTGTCTGCGGCGAGGCCCCTAGGGTACAGCCCGATTTGGCCCCATGGTGGGTTTCGGGGCCAACCGGCGGGCTGGCCGCCTGCCCTCTCTCGTGCTGGTGGTGCTGCTGGTGGTGATCGTCGTCCTCGCCTTCAACTACTGGAGCATCTCCTCCCGCCACGTCCTGCTTCAGGAGGAGGTGGCCGAGCTGCAGGGCCAGGTCCAGCGCACCGAAGTGGCCCGCGGGCGGCTGGAAAAGCGCAATTCGGACCTCTTGCTGTTGGTGGACACGCACAAGAAACAGATCGACCAGAAGGAGGCCGACTACGGCCGCCTCAGCAGCCGGCTGCAGGCCAGAGAGGGCCTCGGGAAGAGATGCGAGGATGACAAGGTAAGGACGACCCTTTTCTCTTCAAACCCCATGGTTTCTTTTCTCCCCGGGGTCTGGGGCGGGATGTTAATCCGCTAGCTGTTGTCTTATGCCTTCCAGTATTTCAGTCCTGAAGGCTCCTTTCACCCCCAACAACCCTGTTTCTGTCAGACTTTTCCCAGTTTATCAGTGCCACGTTCTCTGGTCCCTGCCAGAAAAAAATGACTGTAAATTCTGGTTCTCAAGAGTGGACTGTGTGCAGATGCTGCCTATTCTCTAAGCTCAGCTGGTGAGTTGGCAGTAGTAATCATCTGGCCTGTGTGGCCCCCTTACCTTCAAAGACACACAAATCTGGCGACTGCCAGGTTTGGTGTGGTTATTGTCTCATTTTTATTCCGTGCACACTGATCAATATTAATTTCGTTATTTAAAGAACGAAGCCGCCTCTGACTCCTCTACTTATGGTAGTCATCATATATTTTTTAAGCTGTGTGACTTTTAAAATCTCTATAGGGTGATGTATTGAATAACTAAATAATCAGCTATGACTGCCTTTTTGTGATCAAAATGTTATGATAGATGGGCCCTCGAGCTATATGTGAGACACACTTGTGTCTTGGACATAGTTGATCCATCATTATCTACTCAATTTGAATTGTTAATGAAATCAGCCAAAAGATTAGAATCTGAAAATAAATTTTAAGCAGTGGAATGTCATGTCAGTGTCTTCATTGAAAGAAAATAGAATGAAATTTTGTATAGCTAAGTTGCTATTAGGGTTGGTGTTTTATGCAGATGGAAAACTATACAAAGTTTTAAATATAAAAAGTTTAAAATTGAACTGTAATCATACTTGCTACTAAATAATCCTTGTTTTCATTAGCTCATTGGTAACTATATTAATAGTTTATGACTTAGCAACTTCTGTAGGTATAGTAGAGTTATGAAAATTTCTGGGCAGGATAGTAGATGCCTTTCTATACACTTCTTTGGTAATCTTCACATTTTTGTGTGTAAATGCCCATTATAATTACAAGTTTTACTTTGCATATCAAAATCACTTAAGGGTAAGTCATTATGAATTAAACTGTCTGTGAGCTTCTAACTTTCCTGTTGACAGCCTCTACCTGGCTTTCTTATTTCATGAAGATTAAGGCCCTCAGCTAAGTGCTTCCCTATAACCCCCTCCTCTTCACCATAACATAGACATGCTATGATAGGGTCAAGGAATCAGTACATTTATATGTGCGCTGCATGCTTAACTCTAAAGACTGAAAAACTCTCGGGCAGAGTAGGTAGAAATCCATGAAAGTTTGGAGTATTAAAGTAAGGTCTTCCTACTTGGCATGGTTGAGCATTACAATTCACATTCTTCTCTCTGGTCTCAAAGGAAAGTCTCTTGTTGTAATTAATACTCTTGATTCCATTCTTTCATCCATTGGACTTTTTGTTGTTGTCGTTGTTGTTGTTGTTGTTGTTTTTTGAGACGGAGTTTTGTTTTTGTTGCCCAGGCAGGAGTGCAATGGCGTGATCTCAGCTCACTGCAACCTCCGCCCCCCCGGGGTTCAAGCAATTCTCCTGCTTCAGCCTCCTGAGTAGCTGGGATTACAGGCATGCACCACCACGCCTGGCTAATTTTGTATTTTTAGTAGAGAAGGGGTTTCTCAATGTTGGTCAGGCTGGTCTTGAACTACCAACCTCAGGTGATCCGCCCGCCTCAGCCTCCCAAAGTGCTGGGATTACAGGTGTGAGCCACCATGCCCAGCCTCTTTTTTTTTTTTTTTTTTTAAAGAGACAGGGTCTCATTGTGTTGCCCAGGCTGGAGTGCAGTAGCTGTTACACAGGCATGATGCACTATAGCATTGAAATCCTGAGCTCAAGTGATCCTCCTGCTTCAGCCTCTGAGTAGCTGGGACTGCAGGTGTGCACCACCTTGCCCAGCTCTACTGAACTGTCTCTTTCAGTTTGTTTCACTTTTTACCTTCAACAGTATGTGGGTGTCCCCTGTTCTCAGTAAAGGAAAAAAAATCTGTATATTCCTTTCTCCCAACCAACCCATTTGTTTTTTCACTTTCATTGCTAAAGTCAAATTATTGATGGTCTACAAATGTTCCATCTACCTATTTTTTCATAACCATCCTAATCTTAAAATGTCTGCCATCTTTCTTTCCTCCCCTTTTTTGAAACTATTCTCTTGAAGGTCACAAATGGCAGTCTTCCTAGTCAAAACCAAAGAATATTTTTATTCTTACTGTATTTGACCTCCCAGTAGTTTGATCCTGTTGATTGTCTCTAGCTATTTGGAAACTATTTTCTTTCTTGCTTCTGTTATACTGGACTCTCCAGTCTTATCTTCTTCACTATATTCTTTGCTGGATTTATTTTTTCTTTCCAGTCACCTAGTAAGGGACTCTGTTATTGAGCCTTTGCTCTCCCATAAGAGCAGTATTCCCCAAAGTAGTGTTAAACAGAATACCCTTCTTGTAATATTTCTTAGGTGGTGAGGAGAAAAAAATGAAAACCTTTTTTGGAGGGAAATGTTAGTGTATCCTCCTCTTGGAATTCATAATGCCTGCTGGAATATAAAAGCTCTGAGAAATCCATTAATAAAGAAGGCTATTCAATTTTGTTTAACTCAGTCTTGTTTAGTTTATTTGATCACAGGTTACTATTTTCATGGCCTACCTATTATGGCACAGAATAATATAGCAAAGCCCACTAGTTTGGGAAATATTGCCCTGGGTATCTTAACTACTTTTAAGTGTTTGGCTAATATTTTATGCAGCTGGCTCACAAGACTGTATCTCTTATTGAATGTCAGTTCTGTGTGTGTATATGTGTATACATACATATATATATATATATATTTTTTTTTTTTTTTAGACAGAGTCTCGCTCGGTTAAGCAGGCTGGAGTACAGTGGTGTGATCTCGGCTCACTGCAAGCTCCGCCTCCTGGGTTCACGCCATTCTCTGCTTCAGCCTCCTGAGTAGCTGGGACTACAGGCGCCCACCTCCATGCCCGGCTAATTTTTTGTATTTTTAGTAGAGATGGGGTTTCACCATGTTAGCCAAGATGGTCTCGATCTCCTGACCTCGTGATCCACCAGCCTTGGCCTCCCAAAGTGCTGAGATTACAGGCGTGAGCCACCGCACCCGGCTAGTTCTGTATATTTTTAAAAGTTTTTTCTTTTTTTAGTTTTGTAGAGATAGGGTGTTGCTATGTTGCCCAGGCTGCTTTCAAACTCCTGGCTCCAAGTGATCTTGCCTTGGGCTCACAAAGTGCTGGGATTCTAGGTGTGTGCCACAGCACTTGGTGTGCCACTTCTGTATTTTGAGCTGGCTATAACAACTTTCTTGGGCTGCTTGTGAATGTCTGTTCTTGGGGTTAATGAGGACTCTCTGAGCTGCTTAGTAGAAAGGGTAGTCTTGGTCTCTGTATTTTAAACTTAACAGTTTTTCAGGGTTTTTTTTATTGTTATTGTTGTTTGTTTGTTTTGAGACAGGGTCTTGCTCTGTCACCCAGGCTGGAGAGCAGTGGTGCGATCATAGTTTACTACAGCCTCAAACTCCTGGGCTCAAGCGATCCTCCCACCTCGGCCTCCCAAGTAGCTGGGACTATAGGTGCATGCCACCATGATGGTCTAATTTTTTATTTTTTGGTAGAGATGAGGGTCTTATTATCTTGTCCAGGCTGGTCTCCAGTTCCTGGCCTGAAGTGATCCTCCTGCCTTGGCCTTCTAAAGTGCTGGGTGTGAGCCACCATACTTGGCCACTTAACAGTTTTAGATCTGGAAAATTATTGGAAAATTAGATCTGGAAAACTAAACAAGTGATCCTCCTGCCTTGGCCTTCTAAAGTGCCAGGTGTGAGCTACCATACCTGGCCACTTAACAGTTTTAGATCTGGAAAATTATTGCAAAGATAGTACAGGGAGTTTTTATATACCCCACACCCAGTCTTCCCTATTATTAACATCTTAACATAAGTATGATGCATTTGTCACAATTAATGAACCAGTATTGATATCTTATTATGAAAGTCCGTACTTTATTCAGATTTCTTCAGTTTTCGCCTGCTGTCCTTTTTTAATTCCAGGATCTCATCCAGAGTTACGTTACATTTAGACATTATGTCTTCTGAAGCTTCTTTTCAGCCTTTCCTTGTTTTTTAGACCTTTTCTTGTTTTTGATAATCTTGACAATTTTAAGGATTACTGATTAGGTGTTTTATATAGAATGTCCCTCAATTGGGAATTGTCTGAGTCTTTTCTCAGGATTAGACTGGAGTTGTGGGTTTTCGGACAAAGACCACAGAAGTAAAGTACCAATCTCAACACATCATAACATGGGTATGTTTTTCAAAATGATTTATCACTACTTATGTTAACCTCTATCACCTGGCGTGAGATAGTGCTTGTCAGGTTTCTCCACTATAATGTACTCTTAAAAAAAATCTGTTTCCATACTGTACACTTTGGAAGAAAGTATGTTCACCCTCACTTAATGAGTGGGTAGTTATGTTTTTCCTCCTTAAGGACAGAGTATCAACATAAACTATATGGAATTCTTCTGCAAAGGAGATTTGTCTCTTCTCCCTCATTTATTAACTTAATAATTTACTTGTATCGGTATGGACTCATGGATATTTATTTTGTACTTTGGCTTATAATCCAATATTAGTTTATTTTTTTGTTGCTCAAATTGTTCTGGCTCTGGCTGTTGGAGAGCTCCTTCATTAACTCCTGTATCCCCTTCTTACTTTTATAGTGCCAGAAAGTACAGAGAATTTCCACATACCCTACACCCAGTTTCATTGTGACATACCCCTTTCTTACTTTTTGGTACTTTTAGATGCTCTAGGCCTATCTATACGTTTCCTACTCCAGCCCTAGAGTCAACCATTTCTCCAAGGAACCTTGGTTCCTTTTATTGGAGAATGGCATTAGAAACCAAGGTCTGCAGCTGGGCACGGTGGCTCACGCCTGTAGTCCCAACACTTTGGGAGGCTGAGGCTAGTGGATTTCTTGAGGTCAGGAGTTCAAGACCACCCTGACTAACATGGTGAAACCCCATCTCTACTTAAAAATACAAAAATTGGGCCAGACACGGTGGCTCACGCCTGTAATCCCAGCACTTTGGGAGGCCGAGGTGGGCAGATCACAAGGTCAGGAGTTCGAGACCAGCCTGGCTAGCATGGTGAAACTCCGTCTCTACTAAAAATACAAAAAATTAGTCGGGTATGGTGGTGCGCACCTGTAGTCCCAGCTACTTGGGAGGCTGAGGCAGGAGAATTGCTTGAACCCGGCAGGCAGAGGTTGCAGTGAGCTGAGATCACGCCATTGCACTCCAGCCTGGAGGACAGCGAGACTCCATCTCAAAAAAAAAAAAAAAAACACCACCACCACAAAAAAAAACAAAAATTAACCGGGCATGGTGGGGGGCGCCTGTAATCCCAGCTACTTGGGAGGAGTATCGTTTGAACTGGGAAGCAGAGGTTGCAGTGAGCCAAGATTGTGCCACTGCACTCCAGCCTGGGCAACAGAGTAAGACTCTGTCTCACAAAAAAAAAAAAAGAAACCAAGGTCTGCTTGGCAGATATGCTCGTTGCTACTATAAGGTTATCTTTGGAAATCAAGGAATCCTTTCTCCAGAGGAATCAGAAAGGTGATATTTGGTTTCTTTCACATTATTATGCCATTCTGTCACTTCCAGTCTGTTACCTGGGTTACTAAACACATAAATTCCTTTTTTTTTTTTTTTCTGAGATGGAGCCTCACTCTGTCACCCAGGCTGGAGCGCAGTGGCGCAGTCTCAGCTCACTTCAACCTCCACCCGCCGGGCTGAAGTGATTCTCCTGCCTCATCCTCCTGAGTAGCTGAGACTACAGGTGCATGCCACCATGCCTGGCTAATTTTTGATTTTTTAGTAGAGACAGGGTTTCACCATGTTGGCCAGGCTGGTCTTTAACTCCTGACCTCAAGTGATCTGCCCACCTTGGCCTCCCAAAGTGCTGGATTACAGGCATGACCCACCACATCCGGCCTTGAACATGGAAATTCTTTAAGGGAGCTTTAAGTTGCTCCTGTCTTGTCCAAAGAAGTGAGAAACAACCCCCACTTCTCTGAGATTCCCTCAAACTTTCTGATTTTTTAAACTTCCCTCTAAAGGGTTTCAGCCTGGAGGGGTGTATTAGTTTGCTAGGGCTGCCATAACAAAATGCCACAGACTAGGTGGCTTAAACAGCAGAAATTTATTTTCTCACATTTTTGAAGGTTGGAAGTCTAAGACCAAGGTGCCAGCAGGGTTGTTTTTCTCTGAACTTCTCTCCTTGGCTTGCAGATGGCAACCTTCTTGCTGCTTTATTGTGACATGATAGTCCCTCTGTATGCACACATCCTTGGTGTCTTTTCCTCTTCTTAAAAGGATACGAGTCATATTGGATTAGACCCACTGTAACTTAAGCACTTTAAAGACCTTGTCTCCAAATACAGTTACATTCTGAGATCCTGGAGGCTGGGACTTCAACATGTGAATTTGGGGGAAACACAGTTCATCTTAGAACAAGGGAGATCCACCACACATACACACACACACACACACACACACACACACAGACACCCTTTTATTTCCTCTTTTATCAGAAAAGTCCTTATTTCTCTTTCCTCAGTACAGGGCATGTCTCTTAACTTTGATTATTATTCTCTCTCTCTTTGTCTTTTAAAGAGATGGGGTCTTACTACATTGCCCAGGCTAGAATGCAGTAGCTATTCATAGGTGTGATCATAGCACACCACAGCCAGGAACTCCTGGTCTCAAGTGAAGGTCCTCCTGTTTAAGCCTTCTGAGTAGCTGAAACTACAGGTGTGCACCACTGTGCTTGGCTCCTAAACTTGGATTCTTGCAAACTGTAGCTCATACTAAAGCTATGTGGTCCAGCTGTGGCACGTCAAGCTCTTGATAAATAAAAGGAGCTGTTAGAATGTAGAAAAAGTCCTCAAAATTGTCGTTTTATTACACACATACACACACATACACACACATCAGTTTTGAGGTTTGAAGCTGAATAGTAAATGACCTTTTTTCCCTTTAACAACCATAATTTTCCTTGAGGCAGCCTATGCCTTTAGTTGAATGGGGAAAAGGTCATATGTCAGAAAGGAGGATGAGAAGCGTATTACAAAAAAATGCTTTTTGGGGGAAAATTTTGGAATATAATAGTAGTCTCTCTTATTCTTGAGAGGTTTGAGTAAATTGATTAAAATTCTTAAAACAGTGCCTACTACATTGTTATTCTACAGCTACTTCCTTATTTCTTTTCTGCCTTTTTTCCAGGATGGGACTCTGTCTGTGTTCCTGCCCAAGATCTGGTCCCAGCCCTAGCCTACCTGCCTCACCCTTTGCTCCTGAATGTCTGACTGTTTTTGTTATTTGCTTGTTTTCAGTTTCCTGGTTCATTTCCAGTTAGGCTTAGTTGGCTCCTCCCATAGGTGTCTTAGCTGACTCCCTAGAGCTTGCCTGTTCTTCTGTAATTTGAGTATCAACCTTCTACAGTTCTAATATGCTGCACATGATAATTCCTGCCTTTGCCTCTGCCTCACCAGCCATAATCTGGCCAACTTTTAACTGTAATTTCTACCTCAAATTATTCATAAACCAATCAAAACTGATAACTCTTCCAAACGATATCCCTTTCCTACCTTCTTGGTTCCTATAAATGATGCCCATGCAACTGTTATTTAAGACTGAGGTTAGAAATTTGGTGTTGTCTTTGATTCCTTCAGTGTATCATATTGAGTGCTTCAACATGCAGAGGAGTTACTTGATCGAATTAAAAAAAACGTCATTCTGACTGCAGAATAGAGAACTTGGCAGATCCCTAACTAGTCCCCTTTCCTTGGTCTCCATTTCTTTTTGTCAGTTCTCCTGTGAAGCCAGCCTGAACTTCCTCAAACCTTATTTTCAGAGTGGCTGTATGACTCACTGACTACATCAGGTTAGAATTCTGCTGTCTCATCTTTAAGGTCTTCCATAGAATGGCTCTAGCTACCTTTGTCTCCCACTATCTCCTGACCCAAATTGTATTTCAGGCTGATTGTTTTGCTTACTTTTGCCTTCCCACCTGCCTTTCTGTGTCATGTTAATTCCTGTTTCTGTGCCTTTGTTCCTGCTGTTTGACTCTTAGTTTCTTGCCTCTTTTCTGTATATTTATTATACCAATTTTTTTTTGTTTTTTTTTTTTTAATTGAGGCAGAGTCTTGCTCTGTCGCCCAGGCTGGAGTGCAGTGGTGTGATCTTGGCTCACTGCAAGCTCCGCCTCCCGGGTTCACACCATTCTCCTGCCTCAGCCTCCTGAGTAGCTAGGACTACAGGCACCCGCCACCAGGCCCAGCTAAATTTTTTGTATTTTGAGTAGAGAAGGGGTTTCACCATGTTAGTCAGGATGGTCTCCATCTTGATCTCCTGACCTCATGATCCACCCGCCTTGGCCTCCCAAAGTGTTGGGATTACAGGTGTGAGCCACCGCACCTGGCCTTTTTTTTTTTTTTTTTTGAGATGGAGTCTTGCTCTGTTGCCCAGGCTGCAGTACAGTGACGCAATCTTGGCTCATTGCAACCTCCGCCTCCCGGGTTTAAGCGACTCTCCTGCCTCAGCCTCCTGAGTAGCTGGGATTACAGGCACGCACCACCAGGCCTGGCTAAATTTTTTTGTATTTTTAATAGAGATGGGGTTTCACCATGTTGGCCAAGCTGGTCTCGAACTCCTGACCTTGTGAACCGTCCACCTTGACCTCCCAAAGTGCTGGGATTACAGGCATGAGCCACCACACCTGGCCTATTCTACCAATCTTTTATCCAGCTTCTGATCCATGTCCACTATGAAGCCCCCTGGGACTTCTGACCTGGAATATGCTTTTCCTTCTTTTCTTTTTCTTTTTTTTTTTTTTTGAGATGGAGTTTTGCTCTTGTCGCCCAGGTTGGAGTGCAATGGCGCGATCTCAGCTTACTGCAACCTCCGCCTCCCAGGTTCAAGTGATTCTCTAGCCTCAGCCTCCCAAGTAGCTGGGATTATAGGCACCCACCACCATGGCCGGCTAATTTTTTTTTTTTTTTTTGTATTTTTAGTAAAGATGGGGTTTTACCACATTGGCCAGGCTGGTCTCGAACTCCTAACCTCAGGTGATCCACCCACCTGGGCCTCCCAAAGTGCTGGGATTACAGGTGTGAGCCACTGCTCCCAGCCATGCTTTTCCTTCTTTATACACCATTTACATTTATTGTTTGAGCTTCATTAACTTATTTTGTTCATTTTTTACTAATAGCTTATTGTTTGTGAACTTCGTTTTCTCAACGAAATTTTAAGTTCCTTGAGGAAGGACTATGTTTTAAATTTTTTCCTGCGGGAAAAATTGTTCTTAGTGCTGTTACAAAATGTACGAGGTTGATTTGTATCCCCTAAAAGGATATATTGAAGTCTAAATCACCTGTGAATGTTATCTTAGTTTGGGAATAGGGTCTTTGCAGATGTAATCAAGTTAAAATGAGGTCATACTGGATTAGGGTGGCCCCTATTCCATTATAACTGGTATCCTTATAAGAAAAAAAAATAGAATTAGGGAGAACACCAGGTGCATGAATACACAGAGACACACAGACACATTGCAGAGACCGCATGGCAGATAAAGGCAGAGATTGGAGTTATGTTTCCACAAACCAAGGAATGCCCAGGGCTACCAGAAGCCAGAAGCCAGGAGCCTCCCCCTAGAGGCTCCAGTGGGAACAGGGCTTTGCCAACACCTTGATTTTGGACTTCTAGCCTCTGAAACCATCCTCTAGCACTGTGAGACAATACATTTCTGCTTTATGCTATTCAGTTTGTGGCACTTTGTTATATCAGCCTAGGAAACAAATACACAAATGCATACTTAAAAGTTAATTTGATTTTTTGACTAGATAATTGTTTTTGTTTTTTTTTTTTGAGACAGAGTCTCGCTCTGTCGCCCAGGCTGGAGTGCAGTGGCGCGATCTCAGCTCACTGCAACCTCCACCTCCCGAGTTCAAGTGGTTCTCCTGCTTCTTCCTTCCGAGTAGCTGGGATTACAGGCACGCACCACCACACCCAGCTAAATTTTGCATTTTTGATAGAGACAGTGTTTCACCATATTGGCCAGGCTGGTCTTGAACTCCTGACCTCAGGTGATCCGCCCGCCTCGGCCTCCCAAATTGACTAGATAACTACTCTTATATAATATATACTGTGTGGCAGTATGGTTCACTGGAAAGAACAAGGGTTTTTGGAGTCAAACAGACTTGAGTTTATAATTCTACCATTATGTTACCTCTCCTTAAGCCTGTTTCTTCACTCATAAAATGAAGAGGATTCATGAAGTAAAATATTTAGAGGCCTGTCCCATACAAAGCTTGACATTTAATAATATTGGTTCCTTTCTTTCATGGGTGCATTGGTATAGCTAATCTTGAAGAAATTTGGGGCTAGGTGTAGTGGCTCATGCCTATAATCCCAGCACTTTGGGTGGCTGAGGCAGGAGGATCATGTGAGGCCAGGAGGTTGAGGCTAGCCTGGGCAACATAGCAAAAAAAAAAAAAAAAAAAAAAAAAAAGCTGGGCATGGTGACACATGCCCATAGTCTTAATTGCTTGGGAGGTTTAAGCTGGAGGATCACTTGAGCCCAGGAGTTTGAAGCTGCAGGGAGCTATGATTGTGCCACTGTGCCCTAGCCTGACAACAGAGCAAGACCCTGTCTCAAAAAAAGAAAGAAAAGGAAAAAAGAAAAGAAGAGAGGAGAGGAGGGGAGGGGAGGAGGAAAGAGAAGGAAGGAAGGAAGGGAGGGAAGGAAGGAGGGAAGGAGAGAAAGAGGAAGAAAGAGGGAGAGGGAGAGGGAAGAAAGAAAAGAAAGGAAGAAGGGAGGGAGGAAGGAAGGAAGAAGTTTAGTCTTGTATTATTCTATTGAAACCCAAGTATATTAATTCAGTTGACAAAAATTTATTAAATATATTGGGCACTTACTGTGCTATACACTAAAATGATCTTTGAAACAAGTTTTCACTTTTCTTTGTCTCCCTTTCTTATTTTTGTATTTCTCTGTTTTTTCTTACTCTCCTGATAAAGGACTGAGTAATCTCAGGAGGTTCCATGAAGATCATAAAACAAGCTGCTTTTTGAAAAATGATGACTAGGATTTAGTTGTGCAGAAAAAAGGTAAAAGGACATTCAAGGAGCTCCCTTTTACTTACTCCATAGAGGCAAACAAACAGTTCTTATAGTGTGGCATGTAACATCTGTCTCCTGAAGTGACAGGGAGTACCTTTTGACTTATGACCTCATTAAACAGGAGGAACTAGTCCTTACAATTTTTGGTTGAAGACCTTAAAGTTCCCCATGTTAGCCTCTTCCTCAAAAGAGAGTTAAAGTTTCCTTGAATTCAAAGTCCAGGCTTTTTTCTAGGGACAGACTGGGCATGCAGTAATTTCAGTTTCTCACAGTGCTTCAAGGCTCTCTTTCTTGTTCTTAATTAACTTTATCTAATTTTCTTACACTGTTTCTGGCCAGGTAGTTCCTCTTTTGAACAATGTTGCCACAGAGCTTTTGCTCAGATGCTTTTAATGTCTGATTCTTTCTCTTTTCCAAACTACACTTTTTCCCTGAGGATGACTTCAAAACTTACATCCACGAAGCTTTTTCTATTTAATATAAAATGATTTGCTTTCCTTTTACAATTTCAATTTTCTATATCCAATTTAAGTTCAACTTAGGGGAACATTTTTTCTCATTTGATGATTAACAAAGGCCTCTCATAGCTCACTGCAGCCTCAGACTCCTGGCCTCAAGTGATCCTCCCGCCTCAGCATCTCAAAGTGCTGGGATTACAGGCATGAGCCACCATGCCTGGCTACATTTTCACTCTTAAACTTGACTCTCTATAGCATTTTATACTGATGATCTCTCCTTTCTCTCCTTTTTGAAACTTCTTCCCTTTAGCTTTAATAATACCCATTTATCTTGGTTATCCTATCATTTTCCCACTCAATGTTTACATATGCTGTGCTTCCATCTTTAACCCCATTTTAATTTCTTTATTGAACAAATATGTTCAAGTTTCTATTTTGGATCAGTTACTATGCTGCATGCATATCACATAGTGAATGAGTGAACAAGACAGATATGGTATACATTGACTATGGAACTTACCCTTGAGCAGGGGCTATGAGGGGAAGACCTAACCTATTTTAGAGGCTTAGGGATGACATTCTTGAGAGTTTTAGTTGAGTCCTAAAAAAAAGATCAGGATTTAATGAGGCAAAGATTGAGTGAGAGGTTTGAGATAAGAGGCTCAGGAGAGATGAAAAGAGGGTTCCAGATGTAGAATGTTGCATATTTTATTTTATTGCATATTTTAAAGCACAGGATATCAGCCGGGTATGGTGCCACATGCCTATAATCCCATTTACTCGGGAGGTTGAGGCAGGAGAATTACTTGAATCCAGGAGGCAGAGGTTGCAGTGAGCCAAGATCATGCCAAGTGCACTCCATCCTGGGCTACAGAGGGAGACCCTCTCTCAAAAAAAAAAAAAAACTTAGGAGCCAAGGTCATGGCACCACTGTACTCCAGGCTGGGCAACAGAGTGAGATCCTATCTCAAAAAAAAAAGTTCACCATGTGGAATGAGGGAGCTAGAATGAGTGTGATAATATTTGATGTTGCACTACAAGACTGGATTCAGATTGTGAAAAGATTTGTGAGTCATGTTAAGGGCAATAGGAAGCCATTGATTGACTCTCTTTTTTACATTTAATTTTTTTTTTTTTTTTGAGATGGAGTCTTACTCTGTTGCCCAGGCTGGAGTGCAGTGTCACGATCTTGGCTCACTGCAACCTCTGTCTCATGGGTTCAAGCGATTCTCCTGCCTCAGCCTCCCAAGTAGCTGGGACTACATGCACATGCCACCACACCCAGCTAATTTTTGTATTTTTAGTAAAGACAGGGTTTTGCCATGTTGACGAGGCTGGTCTCAAACTCCTGGCCTCAAGTGATCTGTTCACCTCGGCCTCCCAAAGTGCTGGGATTATAGGCATGAGCCACCACGCCTAGTGGTTCTAGTTTTTTTCTTGTCTTCCAATGATATATTGTGAATTTTCTTTCTTTCCTATTTTTTTTGAGATGGGGTCTCACTCTGTTGCCCAGGCTATAGTGCAGTGTCACCATCTCAGCTCACTGCAACCTCCACCTCCTAGATTCAATCGAGCTTCCTGCCTCAGCCTCCCAGGTAGCTGGGACTACAGGTGCACAGTACCACACCCAGCTAATTTTTATTTTTTTTGTAGAGATGGGGTTTCATTGTGTTGCCCAGGCTGGTCTTGAACTCCAGGACTTAAGTGATCTGCCGGCCTTGGCCTCCCAAAGTGTTGGGATTACAAGCATGAGCCACCATATCCAGCCTGTGAATTTCTTGACTATAAAAATATAGTCTAGGCTGGGCGCAGTGGCTTACACCTGTAATCCCAGCGCTTTAGGAAGCTGAGGTGGGCGTATCACGAGGTCCAGAGGTCAACACCATCCTGGCCAACATGGTGAAACCCCGTCTCTACTAAAAATACAAAAATTAGCCGGGCGTAGTGGCGGACGCCTGTAGTCCCAGCTACTTGGGAGGCTGAGGCAGGAGAATCAATTGAACCTGGGAGGCAGAGGTTGCAGTGAGTGGAGATCGCGCCACTGCACTCTAGCCTGGGCGACAGAGCAATACTCCATCTCAATAAATAAATAAATAAATAAATAAATAAATAAATAAATAGTCTAAATCTAGTATAAATCTAACACTTAATATTTCATACTATTCCCTATGTCTGGACTCAGTAAATATTTGATGATTGATTTAGCAATTTGTATTGCTTCTTGAACCAACGGGTGCATAAATATGTACTAGGGCTACCACAGATATTATCCACATATCTGATTGCACTACCTTTTCTGGAAGACATAACTAAAATATTCAGATGTAAAACTACTGCTTGTCAACTCATCTTTCTAGTATACATAGAATATATCTTTTATTTGAAACGTGTTATAGTAGATCTAGAATAATATTTTATTCATTTAGAAACTCAAAAATATTTTTCTGATTCAATTTAGTGTTTAAGTGAAGAGAACAAAACCTTGGGATTAGCTTCATGGGGATATAATGAAAAAAAGTTTGAGTTATAAGCATAGCTTGGATTTTTGTTTGTTTTTTTTGGTGACAGGGTCTCATTCTGTCACCCAGGCTAAACTGCAGTGGCATGATCATGGCTCACTGCAGCCTTGACCTTCTGGACTCAAGCAATCCTCCTGCCTCAGCATCTGGAGCAGCTAGGACTACAAACTTGTGCCATCACACCTGGCTAATTTTTTTTTTTTTTTTTTTTTTGAGACAGAGTCTCGCCCTGTCACCAGGCTGGAGTGCAGTGGTGTGATCTCAGCTCAACGCAACTTCCACCTCCCAGGTTCAAGCAATTCTCGTGCCTTAGCCTCCTGAGTAGCTGGGATTACAGACATGCACCACCAGGCCTGGCTGATTTTTGTATTTCAGTAGAGACAGGGTTTTGTTGGCCAAGTAGGTCTCAAACTCCTGACCTTAAGTGATCCGCCTGACTCGGCCTTCCAAAGTGCTAGGATTACAGGTGTGAACCACGGTGCCTGGCCACACCTGGCTAATTTTAAAATTTTGTAGAGATGTGGTCTTGCTATGTTCCCCAGGGCTGGTCTTGAACTCCTGGCCTCAAGTAATCCTCCCACCTCAACCTCCCAAAGTCCTGGGATTACAGGCATAAACCACCATGCCTGGCCTATTCAAGTTTTATCATGAGATTGCAGTAATTCAGTCACGTCTTCAGGCTCCACTTCTTTTTTTTTTTTTTTTTTTTTTTTTTTTTGAGACAGAGTTTCACTCTTGTGTCAAGGCTGGAGTGCAATGGCATGATCTCGGCTCACTGCAGCCTCCGCCTCACAGGTTCAAGCAATTCTCTTGTCTCAGCCTCCTGAGTAGCTGGGATTACAGGCGCCCACCACCACACCTGGCTAATTTTTGTACTTTTAGTAGAGACAGGGTTTCACCAGGTTGGCCAGGCTGGTCTCAAACTCCTGACCTCAAGTGATCTGCCCTCCTCAGCCTCCCAAAGTGCTGGGACTACAGGCATAAGCCATCGCTCCCAGCCCTCCAGGCTCTACTTCTATTTCTAGTTCTCTCTCTTTCTCTCTTACTCAGTCACTTAGGCTGAATGCAGTGGTGCAATCACAGCTCACTGTAGCCTCAACCTCCTGGGGTCAAGCAATTCTCCCACCTCAGCCTCCTGAGTAGCTGGGCCACAGGCCTGAGCCATCACTCCTGGCTAATTTTTAAAAAATGGTTTGTAGACCAGGGTCTTGCTATGTTGCCCAGGCTGGTTTCAAACTCCCATACTCAAGTGATCCTCCTGCCCTGGCTTCCCAAAGTACTGGGATTACAGGCATAAGCCACCGTGCCTAGCCTAATTCTAGGTCTCTTGCTATTTGTACCACATCTGCAGTTACTTCCTCCACTGAAGTCTTGAATCCCCTCAAAATCATTCATGAGAGTTGGAATCAACTTATTCCAAACTCATGTTCCTGTTAATATTTTAGCCTTCTTCTATGAATCACAAATGTTCTTTTTTTTGAGGCACAGTCTCTGTTGCCCAGGCTGGAGTACAGTGGCACAATTCATGGCTCACTGCAGCCTTGACCTCCCTGGACTCAGGTGATCCTCCTATCTCAGCCTTCCGAGTAGCTGGGACTACAGGCACATGCCACCATACCTGGCTAATTTTGTATTTTTTGTAGAGGTGGAGTTTTGCCATGTTATCCAGGCTGGTCTCAAAATCCTAGGCCCAAGCAATTTGCCTGCCTTGGCCTCCCAAAGTGATGGAATTAATGGCCACTGTGCCCAGCCACAAATTATTATAATTTTTTTTTTGAGACAGAGTCTTGATCTGTCACTTAGGCTGGAGTGCAGTGGTGCGATCTCGGCTCACTACAACCTCTACCCCCTGAGCTCAAGTGATCCTCCCACTTCAGCCTCCGAGTAGCTGGGACCACAGGTATGGGCCTCTACACCTGGCTAATTTTTCTATTTTTAGTAGAGACAGGGTCTCCCCATGTTGCCCAGGCCCGTCTTGAACTCCTGAGCCCAAGTGTCCACCCGCCTCTGTCTCTCAAAGTGCTGAGATTATAGACGTGAGCCACTGCACCCAGCCTCTACAAATGTTCTTAATGGCATCTAGATTGGTGAATTCTTTCTAGAAGACTTTCAATTTATTTTGCCCAGATCCATCAGAGGAATTACATCATGGTAGGTATAGCCTTATGAAAGGTATTTGTTAAATAATAAGATTTGAAAGTAGAAATTACTCCTTGCTCCATGGGTTGCTGTTAGCAGACATGAAAAGATTAATGTCCTTGTAAATCTTCATCAGAGATCTTGGGTGACCAGGGACATTGTCAGTGAGCACTAGTATTTTGAAAGGAATCTTTTTTTTAAGTAGTATATCTCAACAGTGAACTGAAAATATTCAGTAAACCATGCTGTAAACAGATGTGCTATCATACAGGCTTTGTTGTTCCATTTATAGAGCGCAGATAAAACAGATTTAGCACAATTCTTAAAAGCTAGGATTTTAGGAATGGTAAGTGAGCGTTGGCTTCCACTTAAAGTCACCAGCTGTCCCTAACAGGAGAATCAGCCTGTCCTTTGAAGCTTTGAAACCAGATATTGACTTCTCTGCAGCTATGAAAGTTCTAGATGGCATCTTCTTCCAATAGAAGGCTGTTTCATTTACATGGAAAATGTGTTGTTTAGTGTAGCCACCTTCAGTGATCTTAGCTAGATTTTCTGGATAACTTGCTGCAGCTTTTTCATCAGCACTTGCCACTTCCCCTTGCACCTTTATGTTATGGAGATTGCTTTTTTTTTTTAAACTTCATGAACCAACCTCTGCTGGCTTCCGACTTTTCTTGTACAGCTTCTTTACCCTTCACCCTTCATAGAATTGAAGAGAGTTAAGTCCTTGCTCTGGATTAGGCTTTGGTTTAAGGGAATATTGTGGTTAGTTTGACCTATCTGGACCATGGAAACTTTCTCCATATCAGCAACAGTAAGGCTGTTTTGCCTTCTCGTTATTCATGTGTTCACTAAAGTAACACTTTGAATTTCCTTAAAGAATTTTTCCTTTGCATTCACAATTTGGCTGTTTGGCACAAGAGGCCTAGCTTTTGGCCTGTCTATGTTCTTGACGTGCCCTTTTCACTAAGCTTAATTATGTTTAGCTTTTGATTTAAAGTGAGAGACATACAACTCTTTTACTTGAACACTTAGAGGTCATTGTAGTATCGTTTTGTCTCAGGAAATAGGGAAGCCTGAGGAGAGGAAGAGAGATGGGGGAATGGTTATTCCATGGTAACTCCCGTTATCGTCTCCCCAACCCTTGGCAACCTCTATTCTACTTTCTGTTTCTATAAAGTTGTTTATTCTATTTACACACACAACATTTATTGATTAAACTCACTGTCCTCTATGAGTGCAGTTTGTGGTGCCCCCAATTATAATAATATTGAAGGTCACAGATCACAGATCACCATGACAGATGTAATAAAGAAAATTTTGAAATATTTTGAGAATTATCAAAATGTGACATAGGGACATGAAGTGAGCACATGTTATTGGAAAAATTGTGCCAATACATTTGCTCGATGCAGGGTTATAAGAAACGCATAAAGCAAGGTACAATAAGACAAGGTATGCCTGTATCCAAGTTATACTGCTTATCATCAGGGACTTGTCTCATAAGCTGGAAACTAACATGATACTAATTCTTTTTTTTTTTTTTTTTTGAGACAGAGTCTGGCTCTGTGGCCCAGGCTGAAGTGCAGTGGTACGATCTCCGCTCACTGTAAGCTCTGCCTCCCAGGTTCACGCCATTCTCCTGCCTCAGCCTCCCGAATAGCTGGGACTACAGGAGCCTACCACCACGCCTGGCTAATTTTCTGTATTTTTAGTAGAGATGGGGTTTCACAGTGTTAGCCAGGATGGTCTCTATCTCCTGACCTCGTGATCCGCCCACCTTGGCCTCCCAAAGTACTGGGATTACAGGCGTGAGCCACCGTGTTCAGCCCACATGATACTAATTCTCAATGGGCAGAATGAAATAAAACCATTTATTGATATAGTGCTTTATGATTGTTCAAAGTTTATTATATGCATAAGTCATTTATTTGGGAAAGTTGAATACCATGTGGTATGTGATAGGGATAGAAAGATAGTAAGATTCCCGTTCTTTGAAGAAGTGAGGGAGGCACACATAGAAAAATAATCCATAATGCATGATTAAATGCTATAGTAAAGCTGCTTACAAAGGGGTTTGAGAATACAGAGGAATAACTGATTAACTTCCTCAGGAAGTCAAGAGCGAAATAATTCACTGAAAAGGTGATCTTTAGTAATTTAACAAAATGAGAAAGGGATAAGGACAGGAGGAACATAAATGAGGCCAGGAAAGCTGGAAAGTATGTTGTACCTTCACAGAAGGTCAAGCAGTAGAATAGGAGAGTGTAATATAAGGTACATGGTATTGAGAAGTAGGGGAAATTATGTCTGAGTTAAAGCTATTTGGGGCCAGAATAATGATGATTATTGTTATTACTATTTTATTGTGGTAAAACATCTATAACAAAATTTACTATTTTTACCATTTTAAGTGTATAATTTAGTGGCATTAAGTACATTCACAATGTTGTGTAACCATGATTACTACCATCTATTTCTAGAACTTTTTCACGATCCCAAACCAAACAAAACCTCTACCCATTAAGCAGTAATTCCCATTGCCCTTCCCTCCAGCCTGTGGTAACCTCTATTCTAGTTTCTGTGTCTATGAATTTGTCTATTCTAGATACCTCATATAGGAGGATTATACAATATTTGTCCTTTTTTATCTGGCTTATTTCACCTAGCATAATGTTTTCAAGATTCATTTATGTTGTAGCATGTATCAGAACTTCATTCCTCTTTATGGCTGATAATATTTTATTATGTGTATATACCATGTTTTGCTTTTCATTCATCTGTTGATGAACACTTGAGTTCTTCCCCTCTTTCAGTTATTGTGAGTAATGCCTCTATAAACGGTGGTGTACAAGTATCTGTTTGAGTCCCTGGTTTCACTTCTTTTATGTCTAGCAGTGGAAATGCTGGGCCATATTCTATATTTAACTTTTTTTTTTAGAGACAAGGTCTCTTTCTGTCACCTAGGCTGGGTACAGTGGCATGACTGTGGCTCACTGCAGCTTTGACCCACCTCAAGCGATTCTCCCACCTCAGACTCCTGAATAGCCGGGACTGCAGGTGTGTGCACCAAAAGCACAGGCAACAAAACTAAAAATTGACAAATGGGATTACATCAAATTGAAAAGCTCCTGTACAGCAAAAGAAAACTATCAACAGAGTCAAAAGGTACCTACAGAGTAGGAGAAGATATTTGGAAATCATATATCTGATAAGGGTTAATATCCAAAATATATAAGGAACTTATACAATGTAATAACAATGAACAACCTGTTTTAAAAATGGGCAAAGGACTGGAATAGACATTTCTTGAAAGAAGACATACAAGTGGCCAACAGGTACAGTCATATGGAAAAATGTTCAACATTATTAATCATCAGGGAAATGCAAATCAAAACTACAGTGAGATACTATCTCACACCTGCTAGAATGATTATTGTCAGAAAGGTGAAAGATAACAAATGTTGGTGAGGATGTGGAGAAAGGGGAACCCTTGAACATTGTTGGTGGGAATGTAAATAGCCATATGGAAAACAGTATGTAGTTTCCTCAGAAGTTAAAAATAGAACTATATTATGATCTGGCAATCCCACTTCTGAGCATATATTTAAAGGAAGGCTACCAGGGACTAGGGGAAGGGGCAAATGGGATGTTGGTCAAGGGGTACATAGTTTCAGTTATGCAAGATGAGTAAGTTCTGGAGATCAATGTATATAAGCATATCAAATCATCAAATTGTGTACCTTAAATATATACAATCTTTAATTGTCAAATATCCCTTAATAAAAAAGTAATTGAGAAAAAAGTAAATAAAATAAAAAAATTCTATGAGATTCCCAATTTATTGTTTTAGCTAAAAAGGCTAAAAGCTAAAGACTTTTTTTTCTTTTGTGTTGTTTTTAAGCCAGTCAAATTTAGCAGTGGGACTTTGTAGAAATAGTAAAGAAGACATTCTACTCCTTTACATAGTAATAGCTAATGTTTATTAAGCCCTTACCATGTGCCAGCCAGTGTTGTTAACACTTTATCTCTGGCATAAACTTTTTGACAATGCTATGAGTCAGATAATATTTTCTCATTTTATAGATAAAAGAACTGAAACAGAGAAGGTAAACAGTATGTCCAAGGAAATAGAGCTAACAAGTAGTGAATTCAGAATTCAGACTCAGGCAATCTAATTTTAGAGGCCCCACCCCCTCACCAGCTTTTGGTTTTTTTTTTGATACGGAGTTTCACTCTGTTGCCCAGGCTGGAGTGCAGTGGCATGATCTTGGCTCACTGCAACCTCCGCCTCCTGGGTTCAAGTGATTCTCATGCCTCAGCCTCCTGAGTAGCTGGAACTACAGGCAAATGCCACCATGCCTGGCTAATTTTTGTATTTTTTGTAGAGACTGGGTTTTGCAATGTTGGCCAAGCTGGTCTGAAACTCCTGACCTCAAGCGATCTGCTTGCCGTGGCCTCCCAAAGTACTGGGATTACGGGCGTGAGCTGCTGCACCCAGCCAGAGCCCCTTCTTTTAAGCACTATGCTATTGGGTTTCTGCATAGTCACAGTCTTAATTTACTTTGTGCAGCATTAATTACATGATGCAAGTTTAAGAATTATCCAGAGAAGAGCAATTAAAATCACCAAGGGATGAAAGGGTACTCACAAGAGAACCAACTAAAAAGACTTGGAAAGGCTGGGAGGCCAAGGCGGGAATCTCTCTGAGATTAGGAGTTCGAGACCAGCTTGGGCAACATAGTGAGAGTCTCTCTTTCTCTCTCTCTCTCTCTATATATATATATATGTATATATATATATATATATACACACACACACCCACACACACACACACACACACACATACATATTCAGATAGCCAGGTGTGGTGATGCACACCTATAATCCCAGCTACCTGAGAGATTGAGGTAGGATCCCAGGAGTTGGGATCAAACTCCTTTGATCCCAGGAATTTGAGGCTGCAGTGAGCTATGATTGTGCCACTGTACTCCAGCCTGGATGACAGTACAAGACCCTGTCTCAATCAATCAATCAGTCAATTAAAAAATACATAGGCCAGGCACAGTGGCTCACGCCTGTAATCCCAGCCCTTTGGGAGGCCAAGGCGGGCGGATCACGAGGTCAGGAATTTGAGACCAGCCTGACCAACGTGGTGAAACCCCATATCTACTAAAAATACAAAAATTAGCTGGGCATGGTGGCACACACCTGTAATCCCACTTATTCGGGAGGCTGAGGCAGGAGAATCGCTTGAACCCGGGAGGCGGAGGTTGCAGTGAGCCGAGATTGTGCCACTTCACTCCAGCCTGGGCGACAGAGTGAGACTTCATTTCAAACAACAACAACAACAAAACGAACAAGCAAAAAACAAACATACATACATACCTGGAAAAGTTCTTAAAAGAACATATGACTAAAGAATATGGATATAAACTTTCCATACCAAATCCTGCAAGGTAGTTTTATACTTATACATGTTCTACTTATAAATGACCCATTCTTATAGATTATGCCACTGCCTTGATGCTACATGTGGTATTTCTTACCTTAACTGAAAAAGAGAAAACTATTTTAGAGCTTAGTGGGGAAAGTTTCTTAACAGGTTTTACTTCCCTAAATGGTTCCCCTCCCTAAGAGGAAAAACATTTTTCCCCAAAAATGTTGGGGAAATGCCTCCAATTAAAGAGGCATTCCAGGCACCATAACTTTAATGTGAATTAATGGCATAGTGCCTGTATTTTTCAAATGAAATTCAGGACATGATGTCTGAAAAAGATTGCTTTTCTTTTTTTTTTTATTATTGTGGTAAGTGTGTATGTGGTAAAAAACACATACCTTCAAAGGAGTGGGGAGAGACAGTCCTTCGAAGGGCCTGGGATGAGAACTAGAAATATTTGCCAATGTTAATGAACTATCAAAAGTCTTGATTATTAATTCATTCTAACATAAACCTAATATAGGATTGCTTTTGTGTGTGTGTGTGTGTGATGGAGTCTCTCCCTGTCACCCAGGCTGGAGTGCAATGGCACGATCTTGGCTCACTGCAACCTCTGCCTCCCGGGTTCAAGCGATTCTCCTGCCTCAGCCTCCCAAGTAGCTGGGATTACAGGTGCCCACCACCATGCCTGGCTAATTTTTGTATTTTTAGTATAGATGGGGTTTCACCATGTTGGCCAGAGAGATCTCGAACTCCTGACCTCAGGTGATCCACCTGCCTCGGTCTCCCAAAGTGCTGGGATTACAGGTTTGAGCCACCATGCCAAGTCGTTAACATAGGATTTCAAATCCTTGAAATTTAAAGTTTGTGAACTTCAAACTTGCATGTTCTTGGGAGAATGTAACAAGAAAGAGATTAAAACCGCTGAATAAACCATAATTGTTCTCCAACTTTATCTGGACCTCTAATCTATTACCTCTTCCTTTCTAGCAGCCCTATGTATTCTTTACTTTCCTCCCTATCCAGCTGAGATTTTGTTTCAATTTAGTTTCTTGCCATTACCCTCTCTTTTACATGCCAATTTCAAGCACAGCTGCAGAAAATCATATAACCAGATTTGCAGGAATTTATGATCAGCAAACTCAACTGGGTTTTCAGTAACACGTTACATATTATATTTCTCCAGGCAACACACCCTTTCCAACAGCTTTCAGATCTTTGCCCTCCTTAGGCCCATTTAAACTTTTTTTCTCCTTTCTCAAGCTTAGTAGGTGATCTTGTCTCCTGCTTGACCAAGAATTGGACTGATAAAACTTTAACTACCAAATCTGTAGGAATACCTACATCTGTACCCATCTGTCTTTCCTCTTTGTTAAAATAAAAGAAGGTTCATCCATTCTCCAGGGCCAGCCTCTCTACCTGTTCTCTGGATCCAATGTCTTCCATCTTTTCAAAGACTTTGTAGAATTAGTAATCCAGTCCTCCTCTTATATTCACCCTCTCAGTCTATGCTTGCTCCTCAGCATTTAAAAAATAGTTGTCTGGCCTGGCGCGGTGGCTCATGCCTATAATCCCAGCACTTTGGGAGGCCAAAGCAGGCAGATCACTTGAGGTCAGGAGTTCGAGACCAGCCTGGCCAACCTGGTGAAACCCCGTCTCTACTAAAAAATACAACAATGGCTGGGTGCGGTGGCTCACGCCTGTAATCCCAGCACTTTGGGAGGCCGAGGCAGGCGGATCACGAGGTCAGCAGATAGAGACCATCTTGGCCAACATGGTGAAACCCCATCTCTACTAAAATACAAAAAATTAGCTGGGCGTGGTGGCGTGCTCCTGTAATCCCAGCTACTTGGGAGGCCGAGACAGGAGAATCATTTGAACTCAGGAGGCGGAGGTTGTAGTGAGCTGAGATCATGCCATTGCACTCCAGCCTGGGCGACGGAGCAAGACTCCATCTCAAAAAAAAAAAAATACAAAAATTAGCCTGGTGTGGTGGTGGGCACCTGTAATCCCAGCTACTTGGGAGGCTGAGGCAGGAGAATTGCTTGAACCCAGTAGGTGGAGGCTGCAGTGAGCCAAAATTGTGCCACTCACTGCACTCCAGCCTGGGCTACAGAGTGAAACTCCATATCAAAAATAAAAAATATTTGTCTTACTTCCCCTTTCCAGGAAAATTTCTTGAAAAGACATTTTATCTCTGCATTTTCTGCTTTCATCTGCATTTTCTCCTCCTACTCCTGATAATCTCAGCATCTTTTCCCCAGCATTCTATGTTCTTGGCTTCTTATCTCTCAGTTTACTTCTTAGTCTCCTTTGCTGACTTCACCTGTATTCATTATTAAATGTTATAGTTCATAGTTTTGTGTCTGTAATCTTCTCATTCTACTCTCTTACTACGTCATCATACTCACTTATAAAACTTGTTACACTTTATGTGCTAATGACTCCAAATCTGTATCCTTTATCCAGACTTCTCTCTTGTTTCTTATATATTGCTGTATCTTTAGGCTTTACACAGTGTCTTTCACTTAGCAGGTGTTCAATAAATGTTTCTTTGTGACTGGCTGACTGACTAAATAAGTAAACTTTATAGTAATTCTTTGTGATTCTTCTTAACAGACCAAGATCAAATCCTTTGTATCCCTAGGTCTAGCACATAGTGGGTACTCACTAAGTGCTTTATAAATGACTGATTGAATAAATAATGAATAAGCACCACAATAAAATAAAATTTCTTAATAAGATGAATGAGTGAATGAAAAAAAACTTTGTGCTGTTCATTATAGCCAGTCAAGACCAAAGACCTTGTTTATTCTCTTTGAAAATGTAACTGGGGGCCAGGCGCAGTGGCTCATGCCTGTAATCCCAACACTTTGGGAGGTCGAGGTGGGCAGATCACAAGGTCAGGAGATTGAGACCATCTTGGCTAACACAGTGAAACCCCGTCTCTACTAAAAATACAAAAAATTAGCCGGGTGTTGTGGCGGGCGCCTGTAGTCCCAGCTACTTGGGAGGCTGAGGCAGGAGAATGGCATGAACCCAGGAGGCGGAGCTTGCAGTGAGCTGAGATCGCGCCACTGCACTGCAGCCTGGGCAACAGAGCAAAACTCCGTCTCAAAAAAAAAAAAAGAAAAGAAAAGAAAATGTAACTGGGTAGGCCGGGTGCGGTGGCTCACACCTGTAATCCCAGCATTTTGGGAGGCCAAGGCAGGTGGATCACCTGAGGTCAGGAGTTCGAGACCATCCTGGCCAACATGGTGAAACCCCATCTCTACTAAAAATACAGAAATTAGCTGGGCATGGTGGTGTATGCCTGTAATCCCACCAACTCAGTAGGCTGAGGTGGGAGAATTGCTTGAACCTGGGAGGCGGAGGTTGCAGTGAGCCAAGATCGCACCACTGCATTCCACTCTGGGCAATAAGAGTGAAACTCCATCTCAAAAAAAAAAAAAAAATGTAACTGATAACTGGATATAAATTATACTAAAACTTGGTTTAAGAAGACAGTAATTCATTAACAGATAAGTAAAAGTTGCAGATGTGATTGGAATGTTGACTGCATACTCTGTGTGAACTATGAGTAGTGAGAATAAAAAATGTTAATCACCTACCAGGTCTAGTATATACACAGTAGTCACAGACACAGACTCTGGACGGGGTCTATTTGAGAAAGTATTCAAAACCTCCTGTAGGTATATGACTGAGGACACAGTTTCCTCATTTGTGAAATGGGGAAAAATAACTATGCCCACTTTCATAGGGAGGTTGTGAGAATTAAATGAGATAATGCTTGTAAAGCACTTAGCCTAGGACCTGGCACAAAAATAATCATTTAATACCCGCTTGTTATTATTAATGCTATTCCATTTTGATCCAGCTGGTATAGGTGTTAACCATGCTATAGATGAATAATTGCCAAACCTGGCTGCTTATCAGAATCACGTAAGATTTTTAAAATTAAAATTCCTGGGCCTTTCCCAGACTACTGAATCAGACTGGAAGTAGAATATGTCTTTTTTAAAGCTCCCCAGGTGATTCTGAGCATCAGCCAGGTTTGGCAGTTATGTTACAGAAGATAGACTTGTCTCTAGAAATCATCTGAGTATGAAATATAATCAAGAAAAATATTTCTGGTGTGGAGAAAAAGGAGTCAAGAATGACATCTGTAGTAAGCCAATTGTATATAACCTTTGGAATAAATGGTCATAGTTGTGCTGATTGCCCAAGAACAGACCGTAATGAAAGGAAAGCAGGCACAGCTGAGCCATTTTCAAGGTTCCCCCAAATGGAAAGAGAAGCAGAGCAACTGAGCTGTTAAGAGCTGCCAAAATTAATTTAGAGAAGCCACGTAGGATGGGGAAACATGAAAAGAACTTCAGAAGAGAGCTGGTAGAAAAATAAAAATGAAGTTTTTGATATTGCAGGAAGAAAGATTAAGGGAAAATAAATGAAGTAGCTGGGGATGAACAAGAAGTACTATAGGGAAGTATCAGGAAAAAAGAATTCTTGCTGAGGAAAACAAATAAAGAGCATAAACAAAGAACATAAAACTCAGGAGAGAGGTCTCAGGAAGGACAGTAAACACATTTTAAGAGATTCACAGGGAAAAGGCCAAACAGAGCAAGGATAATTGGCCTATTATAGATGGACTCAAAATCCCAAAGAAACAAGTATTACAAAAAGAGAGGGATAAGGTAAAGCCTAAAGGCAATGACGGCGATAACAAGGGGAAATAAATGAAGGCGCTCAAAAGAAACCTTGAAGAATAATTAAAATTGTGCAAATATGGATAAAGTATAACTTAAGGTAGGAGAGTGTGTAGTACAAAGAGTATGGGACATAAAAGTCTAGGGGATCATTGAGCAAACATTTATTCAGTGTTTATGGGTATCAGGAAGTTTATGTGCTGTTACCTGTGTGGAATATATTTAGAAAAAAAGTGAAAATATTCTGGAAGCATGATCAGTTCAACAGAGAATATGTGTGGCAAAATGAAGATAATCTCTTTTTCTAGTCATGTAATAGTAAGAACTCCAATTAATTTCTCAACAGCAGGGACGTTTTGGCAGTCATTTAGAAGATAAGCATATTCCTAATGACCACAAGGAAATTAAAACTGTGAGGAGAGAGCTGGGTGTGGTGGCCTGAGCCTGTTGTCACAGCTACTGAGTTCGAGTTCAGCCTGGGCAACACAGTGAGACTCCATCTCTAAAAAAAATGAAAAAACAGTGAACTATGAGAAGGAATAGTTAGAAGGGAAGTTAAGCTTTCTTTTGAAGGTGAGGGGATGGTGGTGGAGATATTAAATGAAGGCTCTCAGAGGAAGGGTTAAAGCCAAAGGAGTTAAAGAGCTGGCCCGGCGCGGTGGCTCACGCCTGTAATCCCAGCACTTTGGGAGGCCGAGGCAGCCAAATCACGAGGTCAGGAGTTCCAGACCAGCCTGGCCAACAGGGTGAAACCCCGTCTCTACTAAAAATACAAAAACTTAGCTGGGCGTGGTGGCAGGCGCCTGTAATCCCAGCTGCCCAGGAGGCTGAGGCAGGAGAATGGCATGAACCCGGGAGGTGGAGGTTGCAGTGAGCCGAGATTGTGCCACTGCACTCCAGGCTGGGCAACAGAGTGAGACTCTGTCTCAAAAAAAAAAAAAACAAAAAAGAGCTAAAAGACCAGACTGGGCAACATGGCAAAACCCTGTCTGTACCAAAAATACAAAAATTTAGCCAGGAGTGGTCATCTGTGCCTGTGGTCCCAGCTACTCGGGAGGCTAAGGTGGGAGGATCACATGGGCTTGGGAGGCAGAGGTTACAATGAACTGAGATTGTGCTACTACACTCCACCCTGGGTGACAGAGGGACCCAGGCTGAATATATATATTCAACTATAGATTGAATTTCCCCACCTCCATTAGAATTTTTTTCCAATGTATAAGAATATGAAAGAGACAGTTCAGGGAAGCTGAAGCCACTCACAGCCTAATATTTAAGAAGAGCATACCTCTACCAATTTCAGAAGCAGATTTAAAATGGAGTACAGAGAACCTGGCATAGCATCATAAAAATTGATTTAAAAAAGTGAGACCCCCCCATCTCTACAAAAGACAAAAAAAATTATCTGGGCGTGGTAGCACATGCCTGTGGTCCCAGCTACTTGGGAGGCTGAGGTGGGAGGATCTTTTGGGCCTGAGAAATCAAGGTTGCAGTGAGCTGTGGTCATGCCACTGCACTCTAGCCTGGGCAGTAGGGCAAGACCCTGTCTCAAAAAAAGTGTTTTTTTAAATAAAAAACCAAAGTGTTGAAAATGAATACAAAGGAAGATGATGTTCTTGGAAGGGCAACAAGTACAAAAAGAGATTAGGTTCTGCAAATGAAGGAATTGGGAAACAAAGTAAAATACAGGCTAATTGGAAGTTATTACGGAGCAGTTCTGAGTGAGCAAACTGATCAAATACTGTAGTTGTTGGTGTCAGGTTTTTTTTGCTTCCCCTGTAGCTTTCCCTCAGTGATCTCATTCCTATGACCTGGATTACCATTTGAATGTGAATGGCTCTCTGGTCGTCGCCCGAGCTCCATATGTCCAACTGCCTACTGAAGATCTCTTCTTGGATATGTCACAGATGCCTCAAAATCAATAGGTCAAAATCTCAAAAAATCATTTCCCCAATTCTCTCCCTGACCCCAAGTCTGTTCCTCTTCCTGTGTTTCCCTATTACAGAAAATTATATTCTTACTCATCTAGTCACCCCGATTAGAAATCTAAGCATCATACTTGATGTTTCTCCTTTTACGCCTGTATATAATCAATTCCACAAGACTATTCTTCCCCTTTAATATCTCACATGTATTTACCTCTCTTTTCTGATTCTATTAGTTTAGACCAGAAATTGAAAAGACCTTTTCTGTAAAAGTCCAGATAGTAAATACTTTAGGCTTTGCAGGCCATATAGTCTCTGCCACAACCACTGTAGCTCAAAAGCAGCCACATACAATATGTAAACAAATTAGTGTGGCTATTTTCCCATAAAACTTTATTTGTAGACACTGAAGTTTCATTTTCATGTAATTCATATATCATAAAATCTTCTTTTGATTTTTTCCTTCAGCTATTTAAAAAAAAATGTAACAGTCATCCTTAGCTTCCTTCCCTACAAAAACAGGCTCACAGGCCATAGTTTGCCCACCTCTGACTTAGACCAACATTCTCACCTATGATATGGCAGTAGTACTTGGTCTCCCTCCTTCTCATCTTGCCCACTCTGGTCTACTCTTCATGTTGCAGCCAGATTGACTTTTTAAAATTGCAAATTGGGACTGGGTGTGCGTGGCTTACGCCCATAATCCCAGCACTTTGGGAGGCCGAGGTGGGTGGATCGCCTGAAGTCAGGAGTTTGAGACCAGCCTGATCAATGTGGTGAAACCCTGTCTCTACTAAAAATACAAAAATTAGCTGTGTGTGGTGGTATGTGCCTGTAGTCCAAGCTACTTGGGAGGCTAAGGCAGGAGAACGACTTGAACCTGGGACGTGGAGGTTGCAGCGAGCAGAGATTGGGTCGCTGCACTCCAGCCTGGGCAACAGACCGACACTCTGTCTCAAAAAAAAAAAAAAAAAATTGGAAGTTGAATTTTACTACCTTGTTAAAAGAACTTTAAAGATTGACCATAGCTTACAGGATGAATCCATGTTTCTTGGAAGACCCTTCATAATTGTGAACCTTACTTACCTTTCTAGCCATATTTCTTACCAGTTCTCCCTAATTCTCTGTTGCAGCTACTGGGAATTGTTTATAATTCCTAGAATGTTAAGTGTTTTTCATATCTAAGTTTTGACACGTGCCTTGAATGCCTTTCTTCCTTATCTTCTCCCTACTTATACCTGGTTCCTGCAGGACTCATATCAGTCATCATCATCATCTCCAGAAGCCTTCTCTCACTCCATGAAGGCTGTATTAAATCCTTCTATTAAGTTCGCCCATCATGTCTGTAGAACCGAATGATAGCATTTATTTTACGGTATTATGATTGCCTATTTACTTGACTCCCCTCCTAAATAGTAAGCTCCTTGAGTACATAGTGTTTGTCTGTTGTGTTATCCTCAGTTTCCATTTTTCTTTTTTTGAGATGGGGTCTTGCTCCGTTGCCCAGACTGAAGTGCAGTGGCTTGATTATGGCTCATTGCACTCCTGACTTCTGGGCTCAAGTGATCTTCCCACCTCAGCCTCCCAAGTAGCTGGGACTATAGGCATATGCCACCATGCTCGACTAATCTGTTTATTTATTTATTTTTTATTAGAGATGAGATCTCACTGTGTTTCCAGGCTGGTCTTGAATTCCTGAGTTTGAATGATCCTCCTGCCTCAGCCTCCAAAATGCTGGGATTATAGGCATGAGCCACCACGCCTGGCCTTCCAGTTTCCTGTATGATACCCCATAGTAATGTGTGAGTGGGGTTTTTGTTTGTTTGGTTGGTTTTGTTTTCATTTTTGTTTTTGAGACAGGGTCTCGCTCTGCCACCTAGGGTAGGAGTGCCGTGGTGCAGTCACAGCTCACTGCAACCTCAACCTTTAGGGCTCAATCAGTCCTCCCACCTCAGCCTCTCAAGTATCCGGGCCTATAGGCATGCACCACTGTGCCTGGCTAAGTTTTTGTATTTTTTGTAGAGAGGGGATTTTGCCATGTTGCCCAGAGTAGTCTCAAACTCCTGGCCTCAGGTGATCTGCCTGCCTCAGCCTCCCAAAGTGTTGGGATTACAGGCGTGAGCCACTGCACCTGGCCATTTTTGTTTGTTTTACATTTTAAAAATTGACGTATAATTCATGTACCATAAAATTTATCCTGTTCAAGTGTACAATTTAGTGCATTTTACTATATCTAAAATGTTGAGCAACTATCACCATGGTCTAATTCCAGAACGTTTTCATCACCCCCAAAAGAAACCTTGTGCTCAACAAAAAGTCACTCCTCATTCCTTCCTGCCCCCAGCCCCTGGCAGCCACTAATCTACTTTCTTTCTTTATGGCTTTACCTATTCTGTACATTTCATATCAATGCTATCAGATAATATTTGAACTTTTGTGACTGTCTTTTTTCATTTAGCATATGTAATGTTTTCCAAGCTCATCCATATTTTATCATGTTCTAGTACTTTATTCCTTTTTTCTTACTGAATATCAACATTATATTTCATTATTTATTTATTTTTTGAGATAGGGTCTTGCTCTGTCTCCCAGGCTGGAGTACACTGGTGCAATCCTAGCTCACTGCAGCCTCAAACTCCTGGGCTCAAGTGATCCTCCTACCTCAGTCACCTAAGTAGCTAGGACTACAGACATGTTCCACCATGCCTGGCTAATTTCATTTTTTATTTTCTTTAGTTTTTGTAGGTCTCACTGTGTTGGCCAGGCTGGTCTTGAACTGCTGGCCTCAAGTGATCCTCTTGCTTTGGCCTTCCAAACTACTGGGATTCTAGGCATAAACCACTGTGTCCGACCTAGCTGTATATTTTAAACTTCATTCTTCAAAGCACCCAGGACTCGGGGGGGTGAAAAAGAGGGACCCCCTAGACTCCTTCTCTTGCTTCACCTAGAACATTTATATTTTCATCTATTTATGGACAAACTTTTATTTTAAATTTGAAAGTCGTGGGCTCTCAGATTGAAGAATACACTCTACCTGGGACTGAAAGATACTCCATGGTCTTTTTACTCCATCTTTCTTTCCAACTCTTCTTTTCATGTGCTCCAGTCAGACAGTATGTTGGTGGAGTCTTGAGGTATACCTCATGCTTTCTTGCCACTGTATCTTTTCTTATACCATCTCCTCCATCTGAAATGCCCCTTTCCCATCTGTTTAAATTTTTACCTAACTTTCAATGCCTAATACAGATATAATCAATTCCATGAAGTTTTCCCGGATCTCTGGATTCTTGTAGTAATTATACTGCTTTAGATGGTGCCTTGTCTAATTTCTTGAGACTACTCTCATGTTTTCTTAGTTGTTTTATACTTTCCCATTGAGTGGCTGGACATGGGATGGTGGGGGACTGGGGGTTGGGGGTGACTATAACAGATTGCATGGGCCAGGCATTGTGCCTCACTCCTGTAATCCCAGCACTTTGGGAGACCAAGGCAAGAGGATTGCTTAAGCCCGGGAGTTCAAGAACAGCCTGGACAACATAGCAAGACCTCATCTCTACTAAAAATAAAAAAATTAACCTGGCATGGTGGCAAATGCCTGTAGTCCCAGCTATCAGGAGGCTGAGGTGGAAGGATCGCTTGAGCCCTGCAGATGGAGACTGCAGGGAGCTGTTTTGCCACTGCACTCCAGCCTGGTCTGCAGAGTGAGAACATGTCTCAAAAAAAAAAAAAAAAAGGGGGGGTGGGGGGATAGCATGAGGGAGATCTTTGTGATGATAAAAGTATTCTGCATCTTGATTGTGATGGTAGTTATACAAATCTGCACATATTTTAAAATGACATAGAGCTATACATTCATATTGTACCAATGTCAGTTTCCTGGTTTTGATGTTGTACTGTAGTTACATAAGATGCACCCATTGTGGGAAATTATGTGAATTGTGTGAAGGTTACCTGGGACCTCTCTTTGCTATCTTTGCAATTTCCTGTGAATCTGTAATTAATTTTAAAATAAAAAGTTTAGGTTGGCCATGGTGGTTCATGCATGTAGTCCCAGCACTTTGGGAGGCCAGCAGGAGAATCACTTGAGTCCAAGAGTTCAAGACCAGCCTGGGCAACATAGCAAGACCCCGTCTCTGCAAAAAAATATATTTTTAAAAATTAACTGGGTATTATGATACATACCTGTAGTCTCAGCTACTTGAGAGCCTGAGATAGGAGGATAGACTTGGGCCCTGGAGGTCAAGGCTGCAGTGAACCGTGATTGCATCACTGTACTCCAGCCTGGTTGACAAAGCAAGACTCTGAAAAAAAAAAGTTTAAAAATATATTCTTCAGGCCAGGCGTGGTGGCTCATGCCTGTAATCCCAGCACTTTGGGAGGCAGAGGCCGGCAGACCACTTGAAGTCAGGAGTTCGAGACCAGCCTGGCCAACATGGTAAAACCCCATCTCTACTAAAAATACAAAGATTAGCTGGGTGTGGTGGTGCGCACCTGCAGTCCCAGCTACTTGGGGGCTGAGGCAGCAGAATATCTTGAACCTGGGAGGTGGAGGTTGCAGTGAGCTGAGATCGCACCACTGCACCGCAGCCTGGGCGACAGAGTGAGACTCAGTATAAAAAAACAAATCATTTTTCCATGGTGCTACTTCTGATTAATGTGAATCTGCCTGTGCCTTCCAAAGTAAAGTTACTTTGGGGTAGACAAGAGATGTATTTTTAGTGATATTTTAGTTACATTTTACAATTAGAACAAACTTGTCTAAAGCAATAACTGAGACAGAGTGGTTAGTTCCCTGTCTACGAGGTCCTGGCTTATCCAAGGTCTTATTTTAATTTTTAAGTTGACTGGTAAGCCTTTGAGTCATGTTTTCGTATACTTTTAAGTTCTTAGTATTCTTATGTACTGGCTCCTAGAAGACAGTGACCATAGCTCTGAGTTTTAGAAAAAAATCATTATGTGATGTTCAGTTCAAACTTTAAAACTTTTAAAGTTGTTACATTGTTTATCAATTGAAATGAATTTTCTTGTGCAAATTTAAAGTAAGCATTACAAGATCAGAATTATTGCTGATTTTTTTTGGAAAGAGGTAGAGTATAAATAAATAACCAGAGTTTTTTGTTTGCATTTATGATCAAGCTCAAAGTGAATATGAACCAAAAAAATGAACAAAACTACATATTTTTTAGTAAAATGAGAACTTAATTTTTTTTCAGGTTAAACTACAGAACAACATATCGTATCAGATGGCAGACATACATCATTTAAAGGGTAAGAACCTTAATTCCAGATTAAAGATAAACCAAGGTCACTAAATGCCTAAAATTGTGAAGAATTAAGAAATAGTAAATTAGCCTAGTGAAATACAATTTTCTGAACAAACTCCTCTGATGGTAAAACATTTATCCTTTTGCCTTAAGATATAATAAATTATTTAATGATGCTTTATATATGATAAATCCAAGTTAAAATTTGAGATCTGTGTCTTAACCTTGAGCTACAGACAGGGTTATGCAATGAAATGTTCTTAAGAGAATACTCAAAAAAAAATTGAGCTGTAGCTTCAGAAGCCATCAAATTTCTAGGGAAAAGGTGAGAAGTGTTCCCTCTGTACTGTGTCCAATCTGCTAAATTAATTCATTCAGGTCTAGGGATGCTTTGGATAGAGCCTCCAAGCTTAAGGTTTTAGATACCCTGGGAACAGAAAGAAACCTGGAAAATAGATAAATATATAATAAATAAATAATAATAAATATAAAAATACACACACATATTTTTACTTGGATGAAGTGATAAAGAGGTACTACAGCTTTTATGGAGAAAAAAAAAAAGCCCTGCAATCTGCTTATGTTACTTCATGCCATAGCTGTTAGCCTTTGAAGTTTGGGTTCTGAGGAACAATCCTCATCTCCCTCACACCCTTTGGTTATAATACTGTATTTTAAAATTTTGCATGCATTGTCTCTAGGTTTATGTATGTGGGTAGTACATGCTCTCTAGCTTCAAAAATATCCTTTATTCTATTATCCTTTTGAGCCTCTTTGGATATACTTAGATAATCTATTTTTATTGTCCTCTCGAAGTAGCCAACCTTAGCTGGCTTTGTAATGTAGTAAAATTTTTCTCCTTACCTAGCACAATCAATAGGAAGTGTTTTTGTGTGTTGTAACCCTAAAATAAGTTGTTGATTTCCTATTATCCATGATTTAGAACAGCTTTGATTTTCTGTTAGAAATGCTTTCTGGGTCATCACATGGGTTTTTGTTGCATCTGTGTCCATGTTCTCTTTTTGACTCACCAAAATATATTAGGATGACACAGAAGATGCCACAGTGTCAGTGCTGCTTCCAACTTGCAATTTTTACAAATGCTTTCACTTGTCATCAAAGTATACTTCTTATTAAATGTTAAGAAATACTATTAGGGCTTATTAAAGCAGTAACTTAATGCTTATTAACTGTTTATTAAATAGATCAGTTGAATAAGAAGTCCTGTGGCTTCTGTTAGTATGTGTCAACAAAAATGACAACCTGTGTTACTGAGTAAAAATCTTTATTGTACCATATGTGTTGGAGTAGATCTTGAGATATTTTGAAATTGTGTATGATACTCTTCAGCAGAGAAAAAGGTCTTGATTTGTATGTATAGCTATACAACTTTTGGTTTTGAAGCTTGGGCTCTTAAATTTGAATTTAAAAATTTAAAATTGAAATTCAATAATGTGACTTTTGCAACTGGAATGATTTCTACTGAAACAAACTTCTTGAAAACTTGCCTTTTATAGGCAAGTTTTCTTTGAAATTAATATCTGCTATAGTAGAATTAATAGACACTAAGACACTTGAGATGGTTTATATTTTCTTGGAAATAAAGGAAAGTTGGTTTTTTCAATCATTGAGGTAATAAATTGACATTCTACTATCAGATTTATTTTGATTAGCTTACCTTGTTTTTATGCCTGTTACTGAAAGAAAGTTCAAAGTCAAAGTTTTCTAGAAGTAATTTTCTTTTTTTTTTTAAAGCTGGCCCCAGGCAACCCATTTCTTACCTATCCCTAATCTTTTGAAGTTAAACTAAGGGAGTACAGCCATGTCTTTCTATAACATAACTGGTGTTGCTTTCAAAGATAGAGCGTCCTGTACAATCAACCTGACTCGTGTTAACTTACTCTAAGAGTTCTGCTACGGTGACCTGGAGCAGCCACGCTAGACAGAATATCTCTGGGTTCATATAAAGAAAACACATGCCAATCAGTCAAAAGTAAAATTGATTTTTTTTAACCTTTATTTAAGTTCAGGGGTACATGTGCAGGATGTGCAGGTTTGTTACATAGGTAAACATGTGTCATGGGGCTTCATTATACAGATTATTTCATCTCCCAGGTATTAAGCCTAGTATCCATCAGTTATTTTTCCTGATCCTCTTTCTTCTTTGTTTTGCTTTCTGGTCTTCTTACTTTTCCCCTTGCAAATCTCTGTTTTGACCCACTGGAAATCACCAATTACCTCCCTGCTTTATGATCTTTCTCTGTATTCAAATAGGAAATAATCATATTTTACATGGGCTAAAACTCATATTAATGTTTTATTTTTCTTTGTCAATTGTATTTTAAGTCTTTTATCTTCAATTACAAAGGAAAATTTTATTTCCTGATAGATGAATTTCAAATACCATCAATGGGAAGCTTTGTGGGGGGACAGAGAAGCCATCCAAGAATCTTAAAATCATACTAAGCCTCAGGTTCATTCTGAAGCTATTTCAGGTATTTTACAGCATAGCCTGAATCAGAAGGGACTGTAATCTTTTTGTTCCCTTTTTCCCGAGGAGAATGAGTCCGAAAGATCACCAATTGAAGTCTCTTTCTGGTAGTTGTTAAGTTTTGTTTGTTTTTTAGTTACAGTTTTTAAATTTAGCTTTCAGTTCTAGAAACTATCCAGCCTGAGCACAGGTTTACTGAACTAGCTAGTTTGATCCCTTAGCCACAAGGCTTTTTGCTACTGCTTCCTACTGTGATCTCATTGTCTCTATAGAATCAGCATTCATAGCTGGGGCCAGGGTTTCTGGTACCTCTGGCCTGCTGTATCTTAGGAGATGGAGACAGGGATCAGGCAACAAGCTGAAAGGGTTTTTTATGGCTACCTGGCCACCACAGATCCATCACTTTTATTTGAGATGGGGGGTAAATCAACCATGTTTACATATTGGAGAATTAATATTATAAAAAGAGAAATTTGGCTGGGCACGGTGGCTCACGCTTGTAATCCCAGCACTTTGGGAGGCTGAGGCGGGCAGATCACAAGGTCAGGAGTTCGAGACCAGCCTGGCCAACACAGTGAAACCCTGTCTCTACTAAAAATACAAAAATTAGCTGGGCACGGTGGTGGGTGCCTGTAATCCCAGCAACTCAGGAGGCTGAGGCAGGAGAATCGCTTGAACCTGGGAGGCAGAGGTTACAGTGAGCTGAGATCGCACCACTGCACTCCATCCTGGGCAACAGAGCTAGAGACTCTGTCTCAAAAAAAAAAAAAAAAAGAAAGAAATTTAAAATGTGGCTTGAATATGCAAAGATAATGATTAACTACAAATATTTTATATGAATCATTGATTTTTTCATACTTGATTATTATACAATAGTTATTATGCATATTGTTAAGCATTATGTGTCTCAGCAGATGTTTATGTGACTTAAATTTTTATTCTTCGTTATTGCCACAGTTATAATTCCACAATAAAATTTAGAAAGTGTAGAAAAAAAGTATATGTTCAAAATCCTACTGTCAGACACATTCACTGATAGCACTTTGATATATTTTTATTCTAGTCTTTTTTTTTGCATGGATGCAATTATATGTTTACATCTGCTGTTTAAAAACATCTGCTTTTTATTTTTATTTTTTTATTTATAGTTTTTTTTTTTTTTTGAGACGGATTCTCGCTCTGTTGTCCAGGCTGGAGTGCAGTGGCATGATCTCGGTTTGCTGTAACCTCCGCCACTCGGGTTCAAGTGAGTCTCCTGCCTCAGCTTCCTGAGTAGCTGGGATTACAGGCATGCGCCACCACACCTGGCTAATTTTTGTATTTTTAGTGGAGATGGGATTTCAGCTTGTTGGCGAGGCTGGTCTCGAACTCCTGGCCTCATGTGATCCACCCTTCTCGGCCCCCCAAAGTGCTGGTATTACAGGTGTGAGCCACCGTGCCCAGCCAACATCTGCTTTTTTTTTTTTTTGTCTCGCTCTGTCACTCAGGCTAGAGTGCACAGTGGCGTAATCTCGGCTCACTGTAAGCTCCACCTTCTGAGTTCAAGTGATTCTCTTGCCTCAGCCTCCCAAGTAGCTGGGATTACAGGCTCAGACCACCATGCTTAGTTAATTTTTGTATTTTTAGTAGAGACATGGTTTTACCATGTTGGCCAGGCTGGTCTCGAACTCCTGACCTCAGGCGATCCACCCGCCTCCACCTCCCAAAGTGTTGGGATTACAGGCATGAGCCACCACGCCCAGCCCCAACATCTGCTTTTTAAAAACAGCCAGGCATGGTGGCTCACGTCTGTAATCCCAGCACTTTGGGAGATTTAGGCAGAAGGATCGCTTGAGCTCAGGAGTTCGAGACCAGCCTGGGCAAAATAGTGAGACCATCTCTATAAATACACGTATATATCTATATCTCCCTTTTTACTCAGGAAAGTGGCTGTATATATATCTCCCAAGTATTTTTGGAGTGCTTTTAGAGGAATAAGACTAATTCTGTAACCCTTCTGTAAAAAATAGATGTTATAGTATTGGTACATTATGGCTAGATGTTATATTTTAATCTTAATAGCTGTTGCTTATACAGTATAGGCCCCTGTTTTCATTTCTAAAAATTATCTTAATACTACTTTTGCTTAACTGCTAAGGCTGTTAGCTGTTTTTAAAATCACCTATCTGTGAAATTAACATTCACTCTTTTCCGCCTGCATTTCTTTTGTCTGTAGGCTTAGATCATGAGGGAATGAAATCTAGAACATGTGTGGCTGGTGATTATGGATTAAACATTTACAAACAAGTGTTTGGCCAGGTTATAATTTACTATCCAGTTTGGAATTTCACATGATTCATTTCCACTAAAAAAATTCAGTCCTAGTCCAGAAATTATGAGCTTTGAAAATGGAATTTTGGGATATGTAGAGCTACCATCCATAGCCGAACTAGAAATGTATCTAAAGTGATTGGCACCTATGTTGGTAGTCGAATGTGATTTAAAATGAGAAAGAAAACTTAAAATTTGTACCCATAGTACTTTTTTCCTACTTTAATAAAGCAGATAGATTTGAAGAGATAGGTAGTTTTTTGTATTGTCTCCACAGCTTAGCATGTGTCTATACAAAGTGTAACAATGTGTAATTTAAAGAATATTTTGGGTTGATGTGAAAGCCACTGAAGCTATATTTTTTAAAAAATAAATGTTGCCGGTCAGGCATGGTGGCTTATGCCTTTAATCCCAGCACTTTGGGAGGCTGTGGTGGCCAGATTGCTTGAGCCCACAAGTTTGAGACCAGCCTGGGCAACATGGCTAACCCATATCTACTAAAAATACAAAAATTAGCCGGATGTGGTGTTGCACACCTGTAGTCTCAGCTGTCTGGGAGGTTGAGGTGAGAGAATCACTTGAGCTCAGGAGGTGCAGGTTGCAGTGAGCCAAGATTGCACCACTGCACTCTAACCTGAGTGACAGAGCAAGACCCTATCTCAAATAAATAAATGAATAAATTTTATTGACCATGAATGTGTTACAAAAGGATATTAAATGTGGTGTTTGTTATATAATTTAATTTCCTGGGAGTATTACTAAAGAAATTGAGAATTATGTATAATTAAAAAAACATCCCATAGCTTCTGAATAGGAAGCATTACAATGAGTGAACTTGATTCCTTTGGTTCTTACCTTGGGTGGATAGAGCAACTTGCTGAGCTTCGTCAGGAATTTCTTCGACAAGAAGACCAGCTTCAGGACTATAGGAAGAACAATACTTACCTTGTGAAGAGGTTAGAATATGAAAGGTAAGATGTTACATGCAACATATGTTTATGAATCTAAAATATTTGTCCAGCTTTTGGACTCAGTTCATTTCTTTCTCTCTGACTTTTGTTTCCCTTTTTTTCTCTTCTTTCATTTTGTTAAGCCTTTTAAATTCCTTTTCTATTATCTTTCTTTAGCTCTTTGAAATCCAGACTCTTTTATTTTGATAAATTAAACAGCATGAAGTATCTCTTAGAGGGCATGTTGAGTTTGTGTATGTTGTAGAATTCATTGTGAGAGAAAATCTTACAAGCTCTGAGTTTTATTAGATGTGGCAAAGATGGAAAGAAGATTTGTGATTCTTTTTGACGGACATCCAGAAGATGAAACCAGCACTGGGAGATGTTCCCAGAAGAGCTGAGGGACTGAGTGCCGGCTGCTCTTCCTGCTCTGCATGTCAGCCCTCTTGCTGATACCTCTACACTTGGTGATGAGGTTGGGGATCCTCTTACAGGCCTTTCTAGCAATCACGCCTTAAAACTTTTATTATATTTGTAATCAATTTTATGGTAAAAGATATTTTTTAGATTTGTACACCAAAAGTTAGAAAGATTTGCCATATTTTAAAGCATTTTGTGTCCATTTCTGACTTCTTACTCTTGTAGGTTATCATTGTACATTTACTTAAATATATGTATTTTAACGTAACAGTATTCAGTATTTTTCTGCATGTCTATAGGATTAAAGATTTAACGTATGTACAGGTAATATATTATTCTAGCATATTAATGTACCAAAACTTCTTTAGTCTCTTCCAATTGTGGGACCACAGTAGGAGTTTTCCTTTTCTCACTTTAAGACTATCACAGGCTAGGTTATGGTGGTTCACACCTGTAATCCTAACACTTTGGGAGGCTGAGACTGGAGAATCATCTGAGCCCAGAAGTTAAAAGACCAGCCTAGGCAACATAGTGAGACCTCTGTCTCTGAAAAAAATTTTTAAAAATTAGCTGGGCATGATGGCGTATGCCTGTAGTCCTAGCTGCTTGGGAGGCTGAGGTGGGAGGATTGCTTGAGTCCAGGAGATTGAGGCTGCAGTGAGCCATGATGATGCCACTACACTGTAGTCTGGGCAACAGGGTGAGAACTTGTCTTTTTTTTTTTTTTTTTTGAGATGGAGTCTCTCACGTCTCTCGCTCTGTCGCCCAGGCTGGAATGCAGTGGCGCGATCTTGGCTCACTGCAAGCTCTGCCTCCCGGGTTCACACCATTCTCCTGCCTCAGCCTCCCGAGTAGCTGGGACCACAGGTGCCCGCCACCACGCCCGGCTAATTTTTTGTATTTTTAGTAGAGACGGGCTTTCACCGTATTAGCCAGGATGGTCTCGATCTCCTGACCTCGTGATCCACCCGCCTCGGCCTCCCAAAGTGCTGGGATTACAGGTGTGAAGAACTTGTCTCTTTAAAAAAAAAAAAAAAAAAAAAAAGCTGAGTGCAGTGGCTCACGCCTGTAATCCCAACACTTTGGGAGGCTGAGGCGGGTGGATCACCTGAGGTCGGGAGTTCAAGACCAGCCTGACCAACATGGAGAAACCCCATTTCTACTAAAAATAGAAAAAATTAGCTGGGCCTGATGGTGCATGCCTGTAATCCCAGCTACTTGGGAGGCTGAGCAGGAGAATTGCTTGAACCTGGGAGGCAGAGGTTGTAGTGAGCCGAGATCGCGCCATTGCACTCCAGCCAGGGTGACAAGAGCGAAACTCCATCTGGAAAAAAAAAAAAAAAAAAAAGACTATCACAGCTATAAAAATGTCTATGCAAAAAAGATTTCCCAAAACTAGCTGGGTATGCTGGCATACACCTGTGGTCCCAGCTACTTGGGAGGCAGAAGTGGGAGGATTGCTTGAGCCCAGGAGGTTGAGGCTACAGTGAACCATAATCATGCCTGCACTCCAGTCTGGGCAACAGAATGAAACCTTGTCTCAAAAATAAATAAAAAAATAAAGATTTCCCCTCCCCTTGTTATTTCAGTAGTATATTTTCTCAAATGTAGAATTCCTCTAAAAGAATGATTTACCAGTTTTGTTGCTTTTACAGCATAGATGAAAGGTTGCTTTCTAAAATGATTGTACTCATTTATAATGTAGACATTTCCCCATAGCCCTACCAAATTTGGTTTTAATTCTAATTTAATTTTGTTAGTATAGGAATAAGATACTACTATATATATATACATATAGGAAGTTGGTGGGTTTTTTTGTTTTGTGTTTTGTGTTTTTCTTTTTTTGAGACTGAGTCTGTTTCTGACGCCCAGGCTGGGAGTGCAGTGGCACAATCTCAGCTCACTGCAACCTCCACCTCCTGGGTTTAAGCTATTCTCATGCCTCAGCCTCCTGAGTAGCTGGGACCACAGGCACGTACCACCATGCCTGGCTATATTTTTTGTATCTTTAGTAGAGACAGGGTGTCATTGTGTTGGCCAGACTGATCTCAAACTCCTGGCCTCCAGTGATCTGCTTGCCTCAGCCTCCCAAAGTGCTGGGATTGCAGGTGTGAGCCACCCTGCCTAGCCACATATAAGAAGTTTAATTTGCATTTTATAATGGTGAAAGTTAACATTTTTCTATATGTGTGTTAACTGTTTCTTTTTGCATGATTGGTGTATGTGTATCCTTTGACTACTTGGCTAGCAGAAAGTCACCATCTTTATCTGTTTTGCTGCTGTTCACTTTCTCCTGATGGCACCAGTCTATCTTCTTTATTAGTTTCTTTCGTTCCTAGTATTCTATGGTTTAGCCTTTTATTACAGTGTTAAACTACTATTGGATGAATCTTCTGCTGCCACTTCTTATCAGCTCTCATAATTCTAGCTTTCCTCATCTGTTACTATAAATTGGTCTCACAGTTTTCTCTTCTATAGTATTTTTCTCTTCTGTGATTGAAGTTGGTTTTGAAAGTTTTTTTTTAATAGATGCAATTTATGGAAATAATAGGAAAAGAATTGTTTTTATCTTTGTAATTTCTGTTTTCTCAATTAGCTTTATCAGTATTATCTACCTCCTATTACAAGTTCAAGTATTTTAAAAGTTTTGATTGTGAGCTATTTGTATGCTCTGTTTTTTCCAGCCCACTCTCCCCTGCTAACTGAGTGTTTTATCTTTCTTATGTATGTGTCAACTTCTGGACAACTTTGAGAATCCAATCCAAGATAATATAATCTAAAAGAATGACTTTGTAATTTAGTTTTCAGTGTGGACAGCAGATGAAGGAATTGAGAGCACAGCATGAAGAAAATATTAAAAAGTTAGCAGACCAGTTTTTAGAGGAACAAAAGGTAAATTTTAAAAATATACTTAAATCCAAATATTTTTATTATAAATCATGGTAATTTAGAAATTAAAATTATAATTTTGTCACAAAACACTATATTTTAAGTTTTCCAGCCAGCCTAATTCCAAAAGTGATTTACAATGGCTTTATTTCTGAGTAAATTAAACATTTGCAAAAATATAATCTTAATTCTTAAAACTGGTCGGGCACGGTGGTTCACGCCTGTAATCCCAGCACTTTGGGAGGCTGAGGCGGGCGGCTCACTCGAGGTCAGGAGTTCAAGATCACCCTGGCCAACATGGGGAAACCCCATCTCTACTAAAAATACAAAATATAGCCAGGCTTGGTGGTGTATGCCTGTAATCTCAGCTACTCAGGAGGCTGAGGCAGGAGAACCGCTTGAGCCTGGGAGACGGAGGAGGTTACAATGAGCCAAGATCACACCACTGCACTCCAGTCTGGGCAACAGAGTGAGACTCCGTTTCAAAAAAAAAAAAAATTTAAATTAATTTTGAACCAAAATATCCATCTTTTTAAAAAAATAATTTTTGTTGTTAATATATTTCTCAGATTGTAAAGTGGGCAACTTTTTTACTGAAAATCAACTACTTCCTTTTTTATACATTTGAGAAATAGAAAAAAAAGAAACACTTTTTCCTTTATCATCAGTCTCTGTTATTCTGACACCCTTTCCTAAAGCACAGAAATGAGACACTAGCCACTACAACCAATTTGATTCATACTTTTTTTGGGGGGGGCAAATTCTTTTATTAATTCATTTTAAGTTAATATGTATTATGAAGATTCTTTTAGCAATAGAGGAAATTGTCTGAAGATTACTAATTATTAAGGACATGATTCATTTTTTTTTGTGTGTGTGATGGAGTCTCGCTCTGTCGCCCAGCTAGAGTGCAGTGGCGTGATCTCGGCTCACTGCCAGCCCCGCCTCCTGGGTTCACGCCATTCTCCTGCCTCAGCCTCCCGAGTAGCTCGGACTACAGGCGCCTGCCACCACGCCCGGCTAATTTTTTGTATTTTTAGTAGAGACAGGGTTTCACCATGTTAGCCAGGATGGTCTCGATCTCTTGACCTTGTGATCCGCCCACCTCGGCCTTCCAAAGTGCTGAGATTACAGGCATGAGCCACCGCGCACAGCCAATTCATTTTTTTATACCTTGTAATCTTACCTAACCAGGCATGATTTTTATGAACTCTTGTGATTTAAAGGAAAAAAAGATTTAATAGTGAAAAGTATTTGTTTTGCTCTTTGGTAGCATCTCAACTAAAGGACTAGAAGTTAAGGATATCAGGTTTTCATTCTTAGCTTTTTCACAATTTTATAGTAGGATATAGAGGGTGTCATTTCTTTCTCCATTTCATTTTTTGAATCTACAAAGTGGAATACCTGCTGCCTATCTGCAGTCTACTTTGAAGAGGTGTTTAAGGATGGATTGGTGGACGAAGGCAGGCCTGAGTGAGCTACCATAGTAGAGGCATTGAGGGCAACCAAAAGGTATTATTGAGACACTGGAGGGTCAAAAGAACATAATGGAACACAAAAGGAAGGGGAAGAGAGGTTTGCTGTTGCAATTGTGTCATTATAAGCGTAGTATATAAATAATGGGATAAGTTTGCTCTCTTCTATTCTCTTTTTTTTTTTGAGATGGCGTCTCACTCTGTCACCCAGGCTGGAGTGCAGTGGCGTGATCTCAGCTCACTGCAAGTTCCGCCTCCCAGGTTCACACATTCTCCTGCCTCAGCCTTCCGAGTAGCTGGGACTACAGGCACCTGCCACCACGCCCAGCTAATTTTTTGTATTTTTAGTAGAGACGGGGTTTCACCATGTTAGCCAGGATGGTCTCGATCTCCCGACCTCGTGATCTGCCCGCCTCAGCCTCCCAAAGTGCTGGGATTACAGGCGTGAGGCACCACGCCCGGCCGCTCTCTTCTATTCTCTTAAGGAATACAGATGAGAGCTTTCCCTTTTTTTCCAAGCCAGTGTAATTCTCTTTCTGTTCTTCTATACTAGGCTATTTTTATGTTATTAATTAACTAATGCTTCTCCAATTCTTCCTTGCCATTATCCTACCCTAAATGGAACAAGGCATGGCAGGAATTGAGGTGCCCAGAGAACTTCTCCTTTCTGGGTAGCACATCAGCCCTTACCCTCTAGATCAGCTACCTAATTCTACTCCCCACCCTTCATTTCCTGTACTTTAACTACTATGGCAAGTTGGTTCTGTGCAATTTGAGTTTTCATAGAGACAAATCCAATGTTAGCTATATGAAATAAGCATAAATTGTATTCAGGGATTTATCTTTTTGTTTTATTAATTTTAAAATTAATTAACCAGCCACATGTCTATCATAGAAATGACTCTGGAAAAGAAGTCAGCAAACTATAGCCCGCAGGCTGAATTCAGCTTGCTGCCTGCTTTCGTACTGTTTAGAGGCCAAAAGTGGTTTTCACATTTTCAAATGGTTGAAAAAAATCAAGAAAAAATTATCTTAGTACTTGGGAAAATTATAAGAAATTTATATTTTGGTGTTCATACATAAAATTTTATTGAGACACAGCCATGCTTATTTGTTTACTGCGTTCATGCTGTAAGGGCAGAGAAACTCTCATAGCCCAGAGAAGACTAAGGAGACTAAGGACTTAAATGCAGTGTAGTAGCTGGGGGCGGTGGCTCACACCTGTAATCCCACCATTTTGGGAGGCCAAGGTGGGTGGATCATGAGGTCAGGAGTTCGAGACCAACCTGGCCAACATGGTGAAACCCCATCTCTACTAAAAATACAAAAAGTTATCCGGGCATGGTGGCTGGCACCTGTAATCCCGGCTACTCAGGAGGCTGAGGCAGGAGAATCCTTTGAACTGGGGATATGGGGGTTGCAGTGAGCCAGTACTGCACCACTGCACTCCAGCCTGACAGCAGAACGAGACTACATCTCAAAAATTAAAAAATTAAAAAATTAAAATAAATGCAGTGTAGTATCCTGAATTGGATCCTGAAACAGAAAAAGGACTTAGTGGAAAAACTGGTGAAATCTAAGTAAGTCTGGAGTTTAGGTAGTAATAATATACTGATTTTCTTTTTTAGTTTTGCAAATGTATCATGGTAATTATGGATGGTAGGTTAACAGGATTTTAACATTAGGGAAAACTGAGTAAGGGGTGATTACTTTTCTGTAAATCTAGAATTATTTCAGAATAAGAAGTTTATTTTAAAAACAATCAGGAGGCCCACTAACCAAATCACAAACATTACATCTAGAAAAGCATCTTATTTTATTAATATTAATATTGTCCATTCATAGAAAGGTACTGTCAATAGTACATTAAAGATACAACATCTTTGTTAACTATTTTCAATGGAAAAGTATTTTTGAACAGTAGCTTGTTGACTTTTAATTTTGTTCAATATTTTTCTTATCCATATCTGGAAAAGAGTGAAGAGTACTATAGCAATAGCCTTATGAGATAGCATTATAGTGAAGATGCACAGACATGCAAGCTGGCTGCTCAGGTTGTACCTCATGGATTTTCTCACCCTTGGTGTTTATATTGACATGTTCAAAAATTTCAGTTTATCATTTCATTCATCAATGATTAAACTATCAGAATTGATTATAGCTTACCAACTTACAGGAAATGTGGGATTTGGAGTCAGAAAGACTGTGGTTAGAATTCCTTCTTCACAATTCTCTAGTTTTGTGACTTTGGACAAACTGCTTTTTTTTTTTTTTTTTTTTCTGAGACAGAGTCTTGCTTTGTCACCCAGGCTGGAGTACAGTGGCCCGATCTCGGCTCACTGCAACCTCTGCCTCCCGGGTTCAAGCGATTCTCCTGCCTCAGCCTTCTGAGTAGCTGGGATTACAAGCATGCGCCACCATGCCCGACTAATTTTTGTATTTTTAGTAGAGACGGGGTTTCGCCATGTTGGTCCGGCTGATTTTGAACTCCTGACTTCATGATCCACCCGCCTCTGCCTCCCAAAGTGGTGGGATTACAGGCATGAACCACCGTGCCTGGCCCAAACTACTTAACTTTTTCTATTTAATGGAGTGTTGCACTGTTGCCCAGGCTGGAGTGCAGTGGTGCCATCTTGGCTCACTGCAAGCTCCGCCTCCCGGGTTTACGCCATTCTCCTGCCTCAGGCTCCCAAGTAACTAGGACTACAGGCACCCGCCACCACACCCGGCTAATTTTTTGTATTTTTTAGTAGAGTCGGGGTTTTACTGTGTTAGCCAGGATGGTCTCTATCTCCTGACCTCGTGATCCGCCCACCTCGGCCTCCCGAAGTGCTGGGATTACAGGCATGAGCCGCCGTGCCTGGCCCAAACTGCTTAAGTTTTTAATACCTCAGTTTTGTTTTTCTCAAAACTATTAATTTTATTTCTACTAGAGGACAGCTATGAAGGCAATTTGGAAACTATGAGACACGATGCAAATATTTATTGTTGATTTTACTTGCCAGGACACTGGAATACCTACACCTAATTGTCAGAGTACTCTTTCTCCTTTATTGTGACACACTCTTAAGATTTGGCTGTTGTGGCCGGGTACGGTGGCTCACGCCTGTAATCCCAGCACTTTGGGAGGCCGAGGTTGGCAGATGACGAGGTCAGGAGATCGAGACCATCCTGGCTAACACAGTGAAACCCCGTCTCTACTAAAAATACAAAAAATTAGCCGGGTGTGGTGGTGGGCACCTGTAGTCCCAGTTACTCGGGAGGCTAAGGCAGGAGAATGGCATGAACCTGGGAGGCGGAGCTTGGAGTGAGCCGAGATCGCGCCACTGCACTCCAGCCTGGGCGACAAAGCAAGACTCCGTCTCAGAAATAAATAATAATAAAAAAAAATATTTGGCTCTTGTTTTTCTAGATTCCATATAGATTTTTCGTACTATTTTTATAACATTACTAAGAATTATATTTCATACTGCATTAGAGTTTACAAAGCATTTATAGATGCATTAAATGTTGACTAGAGGAACCTGTATATGGCATCCCAAGCTTGTGTACTTGAATCCTTGCTGCTCCCAATTTTCCATGGAGGCAAACTTAATACTGGTCCACCAAGAGAATTGAGTTAGGCCTAACCATGTACCTGAAGATTCACATTTCCAAGAAGATGCTAGGTTAGGAACAGGTTAGAGGAAGCACTGACCTGTTTATTGTCCTGCCACTACTTGCTGTGTTTCGGTGGCCAGCACACTTAGGAAGAAGATTGCCTGTTTTTCACCCTTGCTCTTGAAGAGGCACCTGTGTACCAGTCTCCTCCTTACTGCCATCCTGCTTGGTTCTAACATATGCTTACAGAGAACCCACCCTGCCCATAGCACCCAGGAAGATGCCCAATTTTAGGCCATTAGGGTAACCTAGAGTATTCAGCAGGCTGTCTTGCAGAATCACACACCTCAGCATAGCCAAGCAGAGTCACCTCTGCCTACCAAATCATTCATTTACTGTAGCTAGAGATTTTCAAAAGTGTTATTCTTTGACTTTTTATCAGGTATAAAAATCACACAGAAAATAATGTATCCTGCATCTCCAATTGTTCATTATTTGAACCCATGGTATATGTTTTACAAGATGAACTGTTTCAGAACATTTAATTAATAGTTGTGTCGGTGGTTTAACAATTTGAACTGAAAAATATTATTACCAAATTTTGTCTAACAGCAAGAGACCCAAAAGATTCAATCAAATGATGGAAAGGAATTGGATATAAACAATCAAGTAGTACCTAAAAATATTCCAAAAGTAGCTGAGAATGTTGCAGATAAGAATGAAGAACCCTCAAGCAATCATATTCCACATGGGAAAGGTATTATTGTTATTATTCTTTTGTTTTGTATTAATAGGATATTGACTTTTTCTTCCCATTTTGAAGTGGATATTTTCAATCATAAAGAAAATTGTTTGATTTTAGTTCACACATGATTAAGTGTCTGCATTGTTTCAAATTTGGATTGTTTGATAGAAGAGAAAAAAGAGTAAGTTATTTTAGAGTTACAGCTATGTCCAAAGCAAGAGGTAAAGATGTTCAGTTGATGTAGCCTATTACTTTTAGAAACTGATTGTTACATTCCTTCAAAACATTTTCAAATTATGTAAGAAAAACGATAGAATTCTATCTTTTTGTTACTTGGGCAGAACAAATCAAAAGAGGTGGTGATGCAGGGATGCCTGGAATAGAAGAGAATGACCTAGCAAAAGTTGATGATCTTCCCCCTGGTAAGTAAAAATTGTTAGAGAATTCGACTAAAGTGATGATAATACATTTCATGTGACCCCATTCTCTTTTTCGGTAACACTTGGAAAAGTCACAGATATCTGGATGATCGATATTTCTACTTAATTAAGTACCCATTAATTGCCAGGACTTTTTTTGGATCCAACTTTTATAAAATTTTTTGCTAAGATGTATAAAATACTTGTTTTTGCCTTGATAAGAATCACCTATATTTGAATCTTTTCTTTGCGACTCTGAGTTTTTGCTTATGACAGTTGTACTATATAGAGTCATTTATGTTTACTAAAAGTATGCATGGCTCTTTTCTTTCCCACCAAATGTGCCCAGATTCCTGTGTTGTTGGTGTGCTTTAATATGGCATAGTAATACCCTAATAAGAGTTATTTAATTATTTAGTTTTGAGGGCTTGGCTTGTCCTTTTAGTGAATTACCCCACACTTTTGGATAGTTTGTTTAACATTTTTTTTCTTCTTTTCTGGCCACTTCTGTTCATTGTATGTCTCTTTCCTCCTTAATGTGTCTGCTGCTTATCCATTTTCACTTGAAGGCCTGCTCCCACTTGCTGCTATTCTAATCCCCTTCATTTTTTTCCTTCATGTCTCTTCTTTGTTTTTCTTGCCATATCTATGTTTCTTGGCTATTAATGGTACTCCTCCCTGCTGACTCCAATTTATTAGGGTAGAAAAATAAGAAATTAACAGCATGCCTCTACTGCTTTTGGCTGATTTTATTTCTTCTCAGTCTCAGTAATTACTTCTGTGATTATAGCTAGTTGTACATGACTGAAATTGCTGAATGTTTAGATCAAATAAATGAAATATTTGTCCTTTCATTTATATAGTTTTATTGTCTTCTCAAATTCTTATGGGTTTCCAATTCATAGTGATTTCCCCTAAAATAAAGGTAAGGACAAAAGCAATAACATGAATTTGAAAATAAAGAATCAGAATTAGCAAGCTTTGTTTGTAAGACAATGAAGTAATCCAGTGATTTTTTAAAATTAATTAATTAATTAATTTTGAGATACAGTCTCTCTCTGTTGCCCAGGCTGGAGTGCGGTGGCGTGATCTTGTTTCACTGCAACCTCAGCTTCCCAGGTTCAAGCATTTCTCCTGCCTCATCCTCCTGAGTAGCTGGGATTACAGGTGTGTGCCACCAAGCTCAGCTAATTTTTGTATTTTCAGTAGAGACGAGGTTTCACCATGTTGGCCAGCTGGTCTCGAACTCCTAACCTCAAGTGATTCTCCCACCTTGGCTTCCCAAAGTGCTGGGATTACAAGCATGAGCCACCAAGCCCGGCCTCTTTTTAAAATTTTGAGACAGGGTCTCACTCTGTCACCCATGCTGGAGTGCAGTGGTGCAGTCATGGCTCACTGCAGTTTTGATCTCCTGGGCGCAAGCTATCCATCCACCTCAGCTTCCTGAATAACTGAGACTACAGGTGTGTGCCATCATGCCCAGCTAATTTTATTTTTTATTTTCTTTATTTTTTTATTTTTGTGATATGGGATCTCGCTCTGTCACCCAGGCCAGAGTGCAGTGGCATGATCACAGCTCACTGCAGCCTCGATCTCCCGGGCATAAGCGATCTTCCCACCTCAGCCTCCTGAGTAGCAGGAACTACAGGCATGTGCCACCACACCTGACTAATTTTTATAGTTTTTTTGTAGAGATAAGTTTTCACCGTGTTGCCCAAGCTGGTCTCGAACTCCTAGCCTTAAGCAATCTGCCTGCCTTGGCCTCCCAAAATGCAGGGATTACAAGCATCAGCTACCATGCCCAGCCTATTTTCTTTATTTTTTTGTAGAGACAAGGTCTCACCATGTTGCCCAGGCTGATCTCAAACTCCTGGGCTTACGTGATCCTCCCAAAGTGCTAGGATTACAAACATGGGTCACTGCACCCAGCCAAAAAATATAGAGAGAGAGAGCCAAAAATTACATATATTTTTTTCAGAGACAGGGTCTCATTCTGTTGCCCAGGCTAGAGTGCAGTGATCATAGTTGATGGTGGCCTCAAACTCCTAGGCTCAAGCCATCCTCCCACCTCAGCCTTCTAGGACTACAGGCACACACCACCACACCTGGCTAATATTTTTATTTCTGTAGAGACGGTGCCTCACTGTTGCCCAGGCTACTCTTTAACTCCAGTCTTCAAGCGATAGTCCCGCCTCAGCCTCTCAAAGCACTGGGATTATAGGCGGGAGCTGTGGTGCCTAGCTGTAATTCGGTGATTTTTAAAGTGTGGTCTTTGGATCAGCAGTGTCAGCATTACCCAGGAACCTGTTAGACATGCAAATTCTTAGGTCTCATTCCAGACCTACTTAATCAGAAATTTTGGAATGGAGCCCAGCAATTTGTTTTAAAAAGCTCTCCTAGTGATTTTGATCTATGCTAAAATTTGAGAACCACTGACTTAGATGTTAATTTAAAGAAATGTTCAGAGCAGGAACTCTGTATTCTTCCAAATTTTTGTAGCACTTACTCTAGTCCTAGGCACAGTTGAGTTTTAGGTTGATTAATCTATTTTACATTGCGGTTGTGTATTTTAAAAACTATACCCAAAGTTTTGTCAAGGACATACTGCTGGTTTCTGATACATAGAAGCACTCTATTCAGATATGAGCAACAGTTGGCTACCTGCATACATTAATTTTTCATGTAATATACCTGAAAAATGTATTATTTGTGTTTAAATATATATAATTTTTGACCTCTATTATTTATTTCCACATACTTTTCTCTTTTTTTTTTTTTTTTTTTGAGACAGAGTCTCACTCTGTAGCCCAGGCTGGAGTGCAGTGATGCGATCTTGGCTCACTGCAAGCTTTGCCTCCCAGGTTCATGCCATTCTCCTGCCTCAGCCTCCCGAGTAGCTGGGACTACAGATGCCCACCACCACGTCCAGCTAATTTTTTGTATTTCTAGCAGAGACGGGGTTTCACCATGTTAGCCAGGATGGTCTCGATCTCCCAACCTTGTGATCCGCCTGCCTCAGCCTCCCAAAGTGCTGGGATTACAGGCGTGAGCCACCACGCCTGGCATATTTCCACATACTTTTCAAGTTAAAATTTTATCATTATTACTCTAAATGTGTAATGTCTCCATTTATTTTCTCATTGGTCATAATTTATTACCCAGCCACCAGGAAATTCCAGTGTTTAGGGTAAAATGAAATGGGAATACAAGAGATCTTAGAGATCTTGTCTTGACCATTATTAGGTATATTGTCCTATCAGACAGTGGTTTTCAAATGTCTTTCATATATGAACCACTCCAGCAGGATAGAAATCTTATCTTGCCGCTTCTGCTTTCTTAATAATAATTTTTAAAAAGTACACAACAATTTTATTAGATTTTTTTTTTTTTTTTTTTTTTTGAGACCGAGTTTCACTCTGTCGTCCAGCCTGGAGTGCAGTCGTGCGATCTTGGCTCACTGCATCCTCGGCCTCCCGGGTTTAAGCAGTTCTCTGCCTCAGCCTCCTGAGTAGCTGGGATTACAGCGCCCACCACCACGCCCGGCTAATTTTTTTTGTATTTTTAGTAGAGACGGGGTTTCACTATCTTGGTCAGGCTGATCCTGAACTCCTGACCTCGTGATCCACCTGCCTCAGCCTCCCAAAGTGCTGGGATTACAGGCGTGAGCCACCGCGCCTGGCCAATTTTATTAGATTTTATAAGAATGAATAGCGCTACTTTTGATGAGATGCCAACAAATTCATATCTGATTTTTACAATGTGAACTTGCCATATGCAACTTACATGGTTGCAGCACTATAATTTGGAACTGGGAAAAACACCACGTGTATTAACATTTTGTGTAAATTGATCGTTAATGTAAAAAATGTCACCATATGCAGACATTTTCTACATTGTCATGGCATATTAAAGGCCTTCCTCTGGATTGTTTTTTTTTTTACTTTTATTTTTATTTATTTATATTTTTTGGGACAGGGTCTTGCTCTGTCACCTAGGCTGGAGTGCAGTGGCATGATCATGGCTCACTGCAGCCTTGACCTCCTGGGCTCAAGTGGTACTCCCACATCGGCTCCCGAGTAGCTGGGACTACAGGCATGTGCCACCACATCCAGCTAATTTTATTGTTGTTGTTTGTAGAGACAGGGTGTCGTTATGTTATCCAGGCTGGTCTCAAACTCCTAGGCTCAAGCAGTCCTCCCACCTTAGCCTCCCAAAGCACTGCAACTACAGGTGTGAGCCACCATGCCTGGCCTGGATTAATATTTGAAGCTCTTTAAACTATTGGTGCTTTGCTTTGATAATCATTTTTCATAGCAATTATCCTTAATTATTTGAGGAAGTATTTTGAGTGTAAAGATTATTTTGAAATGGTAACTGGTAGAAGGAAACTTTGAGCTCTGTGATCATTCGGATGCAAACACGAAGGAAAGCCATTTCATATCTTTGTATCTGGAGCTCCCTACATGCTGCCTTGCATATAGCAGGGTCCCAGTAAATGTGTATGGTTGAATTATCAGGCTATCTTTAATGGTGAGACAATGGTCTCTGGAGTCAAATTGCCTAGATTCAAACCTTTGGCTCTTATCTTTTAACAATTATGTGACAATTTTTTGCCCTTATATGTAAAATAGAATAATAACAATTCCAGCCTGACAGGAATGTTGTGAAATTTAAATGTAAAACACTTAGAACAGTGCCTGGCACATAGCAAGTGCTATATATATCTTAGTTTCTATTGGCCGGGTGCAGTGGCTCATGCCTGTAATCTCAGCACTTTGGGAGGCTGAGGCAGGCAGATCACTTGAGGTCAGGAGTTCAAGACCCCCTGGCCAACATGGTGAAACCCCATCTCTGCTAAAAATACAAAAATTAGCTGGGTGTGGTGGTGGGCACCTGTAATCCCAGCTACTCGGGAGGCTGAGGCAGGAGAATCGCTAGAATCCAGAAGGCAGAGGTTGCAGTGAGCGAAGATCATGCCTCTGCACTCCAACCTGGAAGACAGAAAAAAAAAAAAAAACCAACTTAGTTGTTGTTGTTATTATTATTTCATGTAATTGTAGCCCCATTTTTAATCTCTTTGCCACTCCTTTTTCTCAGTTTTGTCTTTTCTTCCTGAAGTAGAGTATGCCAAAATTCTTAATGTCAATGTAAGTTCTGGTGTATATGTGGTGTCCTATTAGCTATAGAGGCAGTAACCCCAAAGAGGAAGCAGAGAAAAGAACATATCCTGGCTGGGCATAGTGGCTCATACCTGTAATCCCAGCACTTTAGGAGGCTGAGGCGGGCGGATCACTTGAGGCCAGGAGTTTGAGACCAGCCTGGCCAACATGGTGAAACCCCGTCTGTACTAAAAATACAAAATTAGCTGGGCATGGTGGCACACACCTGTAATTCCAGCTACTTGGGAGGCTGAGGCAGGAGAATCCCTTGAGCCCAGGAGGCAGAGCTGCAGTGAACTGAGATCGCGCCACTACACTCCAGCCTGAACAACAGAGTGAGACTCTGTCTCAAAAAAAAAAAAAAAGAAAAAAATATATATCCTTGTAATTTAAAAATGGACTGTTATATATACTGACAGTTTTGTTTAAGATAGCTAGGACCATACTAGAAATTATGGTAGAGCAATGGGAAACTATCTTTAAATATACCTCTGAGGCCGGGCACAGTGGCTCACGTCTGTAATCTTAGCTGAGATTACAGCTGGATAGGCTGAGGCGGGAGGGTCGCTTGAACCCAGGAGTTTGAGACCAGCCTGAGCAACATGATGAAACCCTGTGTCTACAAGAAATAGAAAAATTAGCCAGTCATGGTGGCACACGCCTGTAGTCTCAGCTACTCAGGAGGCTAAAGTGAGAGAACTGCTTGAGCCCAGGAGGCGGAGGCTTCAGTGAGCAGAGATCACACCACTGCACTCCAGCCTGGTGTCAGAGCGAGACCCTGTCTCAAAAAAAAAAAAAAATGTATATGTGTGTGTATATATATATATATATATATATACCTCTGAAATAGTCAAGGGTTATAGAGCATGTGCCTAGGGTTAGCATTTTGTTTCAGCTTCTCAGCTCCCAAAGCCATACAGTGAACCCTTACTGGGTTTTGTTTGTTTTTAATGCTTGATTTGGAACTAATCGCCAAGACTTTACAGGAACTTTATGATTTAATGAATTACCTTCTTGACCTGGATACTTACCTATATGCTGATTTAGATAACTGTAATGTTAGGCAGTTACATATTTATATCAGTAGTTTTTAAACTTTTAAAATCTTTTTGTTATTTATTATTTTTTATTTTTAGAGACAGGATCTTATTCTGTCATCCAGGCTAGAGTACAGTGGCATGGTCATAGCTTACTGCAGCCTCAAACTCCTAGACCCAAGCAATCCTTCTGCCTTACCTTCTAGAGGGGCTGCGATTACAGGCTTGTGCCACCACATGCAAAACTTATTTATTTATTTATTTAATTAATTTTTTTTTTTTTTTGAGTCGGAGTCTCGTTCTGTCGCCCAGGCTGGAGTGCAGTGGCGCAATCTTGGCTCACTGCAAGCTCTGCCTCCTGGGTTCGCGCCATTCTCTTGCCTCAGCCTCCTGAGTAGCTGGGACTACAGGCACCCGCCACAAGTAGCTGGGACTACAGGCACCCGCCACCATGCCTGGCTAATTTTTTCTTTTTTTTTTTTAATACAGACGGGGTTTCACCATGTTAGCCAGGATGGTCTCGATCTCCTGACCTCGTGATCCGCCTGCCTCGGCCTCCCAAAGTGCTGGAATTACAGGCGTGAGCCACCGCGCCTGGCCTATTTTTTTATTTTTTGAGATGGAGTTTCGCTCTTGTAGCCAAGGCTGGAGTGCAATGGTGCGATCTCAGCTCACTGCAACTGCCGCCTCCCAGGTTCAAGCAATTCTCCTGCCTCAGCCTCCTGAGTAGCTGGGATTACAGGTGCCCGCCACCACATCCAGCTAATTTTTTTTTTTTTTGAGACAGAGTCTCGCTGTGTCGCCCAGGCTGGAGTGCAGTGGCACGATCTCGGCTCACGGCAAGCTCCGCCTCCCGGGTTCATGCCAGCCTCTGAGTAGCTGGGACTACAGGTGCCCGCCACCACGCCCAGCTAATTTTTTGTATTTTAGTAGAGACGGGGTTTCAACTGTATTGCCCAGGCTGGTCTCGAACTCCTGAGCTCAGGTAATCCGTCCGCCTCGGCCTCCCAAAGTGCTAGGATTACAGGTGTAAGGCACTGTGCCCAGCCTTTCTTCTTGATATTTAGGAGTTCTTTAACAGTATGCAATGCAAATATCTTCTCTGTATTATACCTATAAACAAAGAGGAAAATCGTATTTCTTTCTTGGAAACTCTTTTTTAGCTTTAAAAATCCAATCAGTCCCAGTAAAAATGTAAAAATTACCCCTACTGACTTACTTTGGGGGAAACCCTCTATAGGTATAAAGATATTTAAGTACCTGAGCAATTGAAAGTTATTTTCCTAATTAATAACTTGGAAAGAAAAAAATTACTCCCTTGGTTCTTATTTTTCTTTATTTTTATTTTTATTTTCTATCAACAGCATCCAGGAAAAGCTTTTAGGTTTTGTGTGTGTGTGTGTGTGTGTGTGACAGAGTCTCGCTCTGTTGTCCAGGCTGAAGTATAGTAGCGTGATCTTGGCTCACTGCAACCTGCGCCTCCTGGGTTCAAGCAATTCTTCTGTCTCAGCCTCCCAAGTAGCTGAGATTACAGGCGCCTGCCACCATGCCTGGCTAATTTTTTGTATTTTTAGTAGAGATGGGGTTTCACCATGTTGGCCAGGCTGGTCTTGAACTCCTGACCTCAGGTGATCCACCCGCCTCGGCCTCCCAAAGTTCTGGGATTACAGGTGTGAGCCGCAGCACCTGGCCAGGCTTTTAGTTTTTAAATATTAGGTAGAGGTAATCTATTTGTAAGATAACAGATTTTCTAGAACAGAGGCTTCGAATGGTGGTTGCATATTGGAATCTCTGGGGAGCTTGAAAAAAAAAAAGATACTGATGCCTAAATTCCATTCCAGAGATTTTGTTATATTTGTTCTGGGGTTTGACTTGGGCATTGAAGGTTTAAATGGTCACTAGGTGATTACATTATGTAGCTAAGGCAGAAAAACCTTTACTCTAGACAGATTCTCTAGATCTATACTGTATTAATGCAGTAGCCATTGGTCACATGTGGCTATTTACATTTAAATTCATTACATTTAGGTGAAATTAAATTCAGTTTCTTAGTCAAACTAGCTACACTTAAAGTGCTTACTTAGTAGTTACCTGTGGCTAAAGGCAACTGTGTTGGACAGCACCAATGCAGAACATTTTCATTATTGTAGAAAGTTCTGTTGGACAGTACTGCTCTAGATTGAAACCAGTAATAGTGGTTTTATGGGGAAGAAGATTAGGACAGGGATGAAAAGGTGACTTGCTTTTCATTATATAATCTTCTGAACTTTTAAATTTTTGTATAATACTAATAAACTACCTATTCAAAAAAATCATTATTTAAAAAAATTAAAGAGAGGCTAGGTGTAGTGGCTTACGCCTGTAATCCCAACACTTTGGGAAGCCTAGGCAAGAGGATTGCTTGAGGCCAGGAGTTCGAGGCTTGGGCAACATAACAAGACCTCATATCTTAGGAAAAAAAAAAATGGCTAGGCATAGTGGCACACACCTGTAGTCCTAGCTACTTGGGAAGCTGAGGTGGGAGGATCACATGAGCCCAGGAGTTCGAGATTGCAGTGAACTGTGATTGCACCACTGTACTCCAGTCTGGGTGACAGAGAGAGACCCTGTCTAAACAAAAAAGAGAGAGAGAGAGAGAGAGAGGAGGCAGAGTGAGATAACTGAATAGAAGCCTCCACTGATTGTCCTCCCTGCAGTAGCACCAAATTTGACAACTGTCTACACAGAAAAGTACCTTCATGAGAGCCAAAAATCAGGTGAGCAATCACAGTACCTGGTTTTAACTTAATATTGTTAAAAGGGGCATGGAAGGAGTAGGAAAGACAGTCTTGAATTGAAGACACCACCCCCCAACCCCTGCAGTGGCCTTGTGGCATGGAGAGAGAATCTATACACTTCCAGGAGTGAGAGTGCAGTAATTGTGAGACTTTGCACTGGAACTTAGTGCTGCCAACACTGAGCAGAACTCAGCCAATGCCCACAGAGGAAGCCTGTGGACTAACCCTAGTCAGAGGGGAAATTTTCTCTCCCAGCAGGCAGAACTTGAGTTTGGCTAGCCTTGCCACCGCGAGCTAGAGTGCTTTGGGGTCTTAAATGAACTAGAAAAGCAGTCTAGGCTAGAAGGACTGCAACCCCCAGGCAAGTACTAGAGTAGTGCTGGGATCAGAGCCAGTGGTCTTGCGGGGGCACACAACCTAGTGAGACAGCAGCCAGGGTGACTAAGGAAGTGCTTGTGTCACCCCTTCCACACAGTGCCAGCCAGTGCATCTTGCCAGTACAAAAGAGACCCCTTCCTTCTGTTTGCGGACAGGAAAGGGAAGAGTAAAGAGGACTTCATTTTGCAACTTGAATACCAGCTCAGCCACAGGCATCTAGGGTACCAAGTAGAGTTGTGAGACCCCTATTCCAGGCCCTAGATGCCTATAGTGTCTAGACACAGTCAGCGCCAGAAGGGAACCTCCTGCCTTGAAGGGAAGGACCTAGACCTGGCAAGATTCATCACCTGCTAACTAAAGAGCCCTTGGGCCCTGAATAATCAGCACTGGTAACCAGATAGGAGATGCCATGGCCTTGAGTGAGACTCTGAGACATGCTGGCTTCAGGTATGACCCAGCAGTAGCGACTGCAAGTAAAGACTCTGCTTAACAAAAGGAGAGGGAAGAATAAAGGAGATTAGGTCTTGCAGTGTAGATTTGAACTTGGTCATAGTTGGGAAGAGTACCAAATGGGCTCTTAGGGTCCCTAATTCCAGGCCTTAGCTCCTGGATGGTAGTTCTGGACCTACACTATGCTAGAAGGGAGCCTGTTGCTCTGAAGGGTGAGTCCCAGGCCTGAGTGTTCACAAGATGACTGAAGAGCCCTTGGGCCTTAAGTGAACACTGTCGATACCCTGGCCTCCCCATGGGAGGCCACAGTACTCCCCATGGGCCTGTGGTAGTGGTGGACACAGGGAGAGACTGAGACTCTGTTTTGGTGCCAAACTTACTGCAGTAGAAAGAATACCAGGTAGATTTCTGACATTTCCAATTCTAGGCCCTGGTTCCCAGACATCATCTCTGAACCTGCTGGGGGAATTTGCCACCCTGAAAGGAAGGACACAAGCCCAGCTGGCTTCATCATCTGCTGATTGTGGAGCTCTAGGGCCTTGAGCAAACATATGTGGTAGCCAGGTAGTGGTTACAGCAGGCCTTGGTAAGACCCAGTGCTGTATTGGCTTCAGGTCTAACCCAGCACAGTTCTAATGGTGGTGCCACAGTGGTACATGCCTATAGTCCCAGCTACTCCAGAAGCTGAGGTGGGAAGATCACTTGAGCCTGGGAGATTGAGGCTGCAGTGAGCTGAGATCATGCCATTGCACTCCAGCTTGGGCACCAGAGCAAGACCTTGTCTCAAAAAAAGAAAAAAAAAAATTAAGACCCAACAATCTGTTGCCTACAAGAAACACACTCACCTGTAAAGACACACATAGGCCGGGTGCAGTGGCTCACACCTGTAATCCCAGCACTTTGGGAGGCAAAGGCAGGCGGATCACCTGAGGTCGGGAGTTTGAGACCAGCCTGACCAACATGGAGAAACCCCGTCTCTACTAAAAATACAAAATTAGTGGGACGTGGTGGTGCATGCCTGTAATCCCAGCTACTCGGGAGGCTGAGGCAGGAGAATCGCTTGAACCCGGGATGCAGAGGTTGCGGTGAGCTGAGATCGCGCCATTGCACTACAGCCTGGGCAACAAGAGTGAAACTCCGTCTCAAAAAAAAAAAAAAAAACCACACAAAGACTGAAAATAAAGGGATGAGAAAAGATGTTCCATGCAAGTAGAAACCAAAAAAAAGAGCAGAAGTAGCTATGCTTAAACAAAATGGATTTCAGGACAAAAACTAAGAGACAAAGAAGGTCATTATATATAAAAGGGTCAATTCAGCAATGGGATATAACAGTTATACATATATATGCACCCAGCATTGGAACACCCTGATACATAAAGCAAATATTAGAGCTAAAGAGAAAGATAAATTTCAATACAATAATAGCTGAAGACTTCAACACCCCACTTTCAGCATTGGACAGATCATCCAGACAGAAAATCAACAAAGAAACATCAGACTTCATCTACACTATAGACCAAATGGACCTAATAGATATTTACAGAACATTTCATCCAGTGGCTGCAGAATACACATTCTTCTCCTCAGTACATGCATCATTCTCAAGGGTAGAGGCCATATGTTAGACCACCAAACAAGTCTTAAAACATTCAAAAAATTGACGTTATATCAAGTATCTTCTCTGAACCACAATGGAATAAAATTATAAATCAATAACAAGAGGCATTTTGGGAACTATACAAACACATGGAAATTAAACAATATGCTCCTGAGTCACTAGTGGGTCGATGAAGAGATTAAGAAGGAAATTGAAAAATATCTTGAAACAAACATAATGGAAACACAATATACCAAATCCTGTGGGATACAGCGAAAGCAGAACTAAGAGGGAAGTTTATAGCTATAAGCTCCTACATCAAAAAAGAAGAAAAACTTCAAATAAACAACCTAACAATGCATCCTAAAGAACTAGAAAAGCAAGAGTAAACCAAACCTAATGTTAGTAGAAGGAAAAATAAAGATCAGAGCAGACATAAATGAAATTGAAATGAAGAAAACAATACAAAAGATCAAGGAAAGAAAAAGTTGGTGTTTTGAAAACATAAAACTGACAAACTTTTAGCCAGACTAAGAAAAAAAGAAGACCCAAATAAAGTCAGAAATGAAAAAGGAGATATTGCAATAGATACTGCAGAAATTCAAAGGATCACTAGAGGGTACTATGAGCAACTATATGCCAGTAATTTGGAAAACCTAGAAGAAAGGGTTAAATTCCTAGACACATACAGTCTACTAAGATAGAACCATGAGGTAATATAAAACTTGAACAGACTGACAACAAGTAACAAGTTGAAGCTGTAATAAAAAGTCTTCCAGCAAAGAAAAGCCCGGGACCCAATGGCTTCACTGTTGAACTCTACCAAACACTTAAAGAAAAACTAAAACCAATCCTATTGAGACTATTCTGAAAAATAGAGGAGGAGGGAATACTTCCAAACTCATTCTAGGAGACGAGTAATAGCCTGATACCAACACCAGTTAAAGACACATCAAGGAAAAAGAAAACCACAGACCAATATCTCTGATGGACATTGGTGCAAAAATCCTTAACAAAACACTATCAAACCGAATTAAGGAACATATTAAAAAGATCATGTATCATTGAACAAGTGGGTTTTATCCCAGGGATGAAAGGATGCTTCAGTATACATGACTCAATTAATGTGGTATGTCGTATCAACAGAATGAAGGACAGAAACCATATGGTCATTTCAATTGATGCTGAGAAAGCATCTGATAAAATTTAACATCTCTTCATGATAAAAATCCTCAAAAAACTGGATGTAGAAAGAAGAACATACCTCAACATAATAAAAGCCATATGTGGCAGACCCACAGCTAGTATCATACTGAAGAGGGAAAACTGAAAGCCTTTTCTCTAAGATCTAGAACACGAAGTGGATGCCCACTTTCACCACTGTCATTTGATCTAGTACTGTTATTTGACCTAGACTTCCAGTACTAGTACTGGAAGACCTAGCTAGAGCAATAAGAAAAGAGAAAGAAATAAAGGACATCCAAATCAGAAAGGAAGGTGAAAGGATTCCCACTTTAAGCACTGCTATTTAACCTAGTACTGGAAGTCCTAGCTAGAGCAATCAGACGAAAGAAAGAAAGGTGGCCAGGTGTGGTGGCTCACGCCTGTAATCCCAGCACTTTGGGAGGCCGAGTTGGGTGGATCACGAGGTCAGGAGATAGAGACCATCCTGGCTAACATGGTGAAGCCCCGTCTCTACTAAAAATAACAAAAAATTAGCCGGGCGTGGTGGCGGGTGCCTATAGTCCCAGCTACTCAGGAGGATGAGGCAGGAGAATGGCGTGAACCCGGGAGGCACAGCTTGCAGTGAGCTGAGATTGCGCCGCTACACTCCAGCCTGGGCAACAAAGCAAGACTCTGTCTCAAAAAAAAAAAAAAAAAAAAAACACAGACAAACAAAGAACATCAAAATCGGAAAGGAAGAAGTCAAATTATCCTTGTTTGCAGGTGATGTTATATTTGGAAAAACCTAAAGACTCCACCAAAAAACTATTAGAACTGATAAATTCAGTAAAGTTGCAGCATACTAAATCAACATACAGAAATCAGTAGCATTTCTATATGCCAACAGCGAATAATCTGAAAAAGAAATCAGGAACATAATCCCATTTACAATAGCTACAAATAAAATACCTAGGAATTAACTTTACCAAAGAAATGAAAGATCTTTACAATGAAAACTGTAAAACATTGGTGAAAGAAATTGAAGAGGACACACACACAAAAAGGAAAGATATTCCATGTTCATAGATTGGAAGAATCAATATTGTTAAAATGTTCATACTACCCAAAGCAGTCACAGATTCAATGCAATCCCTATCAAAATATGACATTCTTCCCAGAAATGGAAAAAACAATCCTAAAATTTATATGAAATCATAAAAGGCCTAGAATAGCCAAAGCTATCCTGAGAAAAAAGAACAAAATAGGAGGAATCACATAACCTGACTTCAAATTATACTACAGAGCCGTAGTAACCAAAACAGCATGGTACTGGCATAAAAACAGACACATAGACCAATGAAACAGAATAGAGAACCTAGAAACAGTTCATACATCTACAGTGAACTCATTTTTGACAAAGGTGCCAAGAATATGCACTGGGGAAAGGACAGTCTCTTCATTAGATGGTGCTGGGGAAGCTGAATATCCATACACAGAAGATCGAAACTAGCTCCCTGTCTCTCACCACATACAAAAGCCATATCAAAATGAATTTACGACTCAAATCTAAGACCTGAACTATGAAACTACTAAAAACAACATTGGGGAAACTCCCTGGGACATCAGACTGGGCAAAGATTTCTTGAGTAAAACCCCACAAACACAGGCAACCAAAGAAAAGATGGACGGATGGGATGACATCAAGTTAAAAAAGCTCTGCACAACAGAGGAAACAATCAGAAAAGTGAAGAGTAGCCAGGTGCAGTGGCTGACACCTTTAATCCTAGTACTTTGGGAGGCCGGCAGATCACCTGAGGTCAGAAGTTCGAGACCAGCCTGGCCAACATGGTGAAACCCCGTCTCTACTAAAAATACAAAAATTACCTGGGCATAGTGGCAGGCACCTGTAATCCCAACTACTCAGGAGGCTGAGGCAGGAGAATCGCTTGGACCTGGGAGGCAGAGGTTGCAGTGAGCCCAGATCGCGCCATTTTAGTCCAGCCTGGGCAATAAGAGCAAAACTCCATCTCAAAAAAAAAAAAAGAAAAGAAAAGAAAAGTGAAGAGGCAACCCACAGAATGGGAGAAGATATTTGCAAACTATCTATCTGACAAGAGATAAATAATCAGACTATATAAGGAGCTCAAACAACCATATAAGAAAAAAAATCTTATAATTCAGTTAGAAAATAGACAAAAGGTCTGAATAGACATATGTCAAAAGAAGACGTACAAATGGCAAAGCAGATATATGAAAAAGTGCTCAATATCATTGGTCATCAAAGAACCATAAATCAAAACTATAATGAGATATGACTTTAGCCTGTTTAAAATGGATTGTATCCAAAAGACAGGCAATAACAAATGCTAACAAGGATATGGAGAAAAGCGAACCCTCATACACCATTGGTGGGAATGTGAATTAGTTCAGCCACTATGAAGAACAGTTTGGAGTTCCTCAAGAAACTAAAAATAGAGCTACCATATGATCTAGCCATTCCACTGCTAGGTATGTACTTAAGAGAAAGGATATGACCTGGCATTCATATGCAGAAAAATATATATATAGAAAGGAAATCAGTATATTAAAGAGATATTTGCACTCTCTTGTTTATTGCACTATTCGCAGTAGCCAGGATTTGGAAGCAACCTAAGTGCTCATCAGCAGATGATGGATAAGGAAAATGTGGTATATATACACATTGGAGTACTATTTAGCCTTAAAAAAGAATGAGATCCTGTCATTTGTAACAACATGGATGGAACTATGGTCATTATGTTAGGTGAAATAAGCCAGACACAGAAAGACAAACTTCACGTATCCTCACTTATTTGTGGTGGGAACTAAAAATTAAAATAGTTGAACTCATGGGAATAGAGAGTAGAATAATGGTTACCAGAGGCTGTGAAGCTTATTGGGGAAGGGTAAGGGGGAAGTGGGGATGGTTAATTGGTACAAAAAATAGAAAGAATGAACAAGGTCTGGTATTTGATAGAACAGCAGAGTGACTAAATAATAGTTTAATTCTATGTTTTTAAACACCTGAAAGAGTATAATTGGGTTTTAACACAAAAGATAATGCTTGAGGTGATGGATGCCCCATTTACCCTGGTGTGATTATTACACGTTGTATGCCTGTATCAGAATATCTCCTGTACCTCATAAATATATACACCTACCATGTACCCACAAAAATTAGAAGAAGAAAATGTAAGTAATGCATTTCCTCAAAAAATTATAGGTAATTAGTATTAATCCACTGTATGTAATTGACATCTATTAACCACTTCATCCAACAACAGCAGGGACTCATTCTTCTCAAGCTGTCACAGAACACTCACCAAGATAGACCATAAAACGGGAATTGAACAATGAGAACACATGGACACAGGAAGGGGAACATCACACACCAGGGCCTGTTGTGTAGTGGGGGGAGGGGGGAGGGATAGCATTAGGAGATATACCTAATGCTAAATGACAAGTTAATGGGTGCAGCACACCAACATGGCACATGTATACATATGTAACAAACCTGCACGTTGTGCACATATACCCTAAAACTTAAAGTATAATAATAATAAAATAAAAATAAATAAATAAAATAAAATAAAATGAGACAGCAACCACACACAAAAAAATACTTATAAAACAGATTTTAAAAAATATTAATCACATAATGTCTACTCTCAGACCTCAGTGGAATTAAACTGAAAATCAATAGAGAAAGATAGGCTCTCTGTTCCTTCTGTGTGATAAAGGACACAGCAGCAGCCATGCAGCAGCAGCCATGCAGCAGCAGCCATGTCCCTGAGACAGTTGGTGAAATTGAAGGTTGTAGTAAACACATTTGGCTGTACTGGGCATCTGGTCAACTGGGCTGCTTTTAACTCTGGCAAAGTGGATATTGTCATCATCAGTGACCCCTTCACTGACTCCAGCTACATGGTCTACATGTTCCAGTATGATTCCACCAGTGGCAAGCTCCACAGCACTGTCAAGGCTGAGAATCACAAGTTTGTCATCAGTGGAAATCCTATCTCCATCTTCCAGGAGCAAGATACCACCAAAATCAAATGCAGTGATGCTGGCACTGGTTGTGTTGTGGAGTCAACTGGTGTCTTCACTATCTTGTATATGGCTGGGGCACACTTAGAGGAGAGAGCCAAAGAGTCATCATCTCTGCTGCCTTTGACCCCCTGTTTGATGGGCATGAACCATGAGAAGTACGAAAGCAACCTCACAATCATCAGCATTGCCTCCTGCACCACCAACTGCTTAGCATTCTCTGACCAAGATCATCCATGATAGCTCTGGCATCATGGAGGGACTCCTGACCACAGTCCCTGCTATCACTGCCACCCAGGAGACCTATGGATGGCTTTTCTGGGAAACTGTGACGTCATGGTTGTGGAGCTCTGCAGAACATTATTCCTGCATCTACTGGAACTTCCATGGCTGTGGGCAAGGACATCCCTGAGCTGAATGGGGAGATCACTGGCATGGCCTTCCTCGTCCCTACCACCAATGTGTCAGTTGTGGACCTGACCTGCTGTCTGGAGTAACCTGCCAAATATGATGGCTTCAAGAAGATGGTGAAGCAGGCATCGGAAGGCCCTTCGAGGGCACACTGGGCTACACTGAACACCAAGTTGTCCCCTGTGACTTTAACGGTGACACTCCCTCTTCCACTTTTAATTCTGGGGCTAGCATTGCCCTCAGCAACCATTTTGTGAAGTTAATTTCCTGGTATGACAATTAGTTTTGCTACAGCAACGGGGTGGTGGACCTCATGGTCCACATGGCCTCCAAGGAATAACAGCCCTCCGGACTACCAGCCCTAGTGAGAGCACGAGAGAAAAAGAGAGGCTCTCAGCTGCTGAGGAGTCCCTGCCTCACTCCGTCCCCCACCACACCAAGAAGCTCCCCTCCACCACAGTTTTCATGCCATATCCCCTGAAGAATGGGAGGGGTCTAGAGAGCCCCCACCTTGTCATGTACCGTCAATAAAGTCTTCTGTACTCAGCCAAAAATAAAATAAAATAATAGAAAGATAACTGGAAAATCCCAAAATATGTGGAGATTAAACAACTATTTCTGAATAATGCATGGATCAAAGAAGAAATCTCAGGAGAAATTTAAAAATATTTTGAACTAAATGAAAATGAAAACACTACTTATCAAAATTTATAGGATGCAGTGAAAGTCATGCTTAGAGGGAAATGTATAGCAGTGAATGCATATGTTAGAAAAGTAGAAAGGTCTAAAATCAGTCATTTAAGTTTCCACCTTAGGAAATTGAAAAAAAAAAGGCAAATTAAATCCAAAGTAAGCAAAATAAAAGACATAATAAAAAATTAGAACAGAAGTCAATAAAATTAAAAACAGGAAATCATTAGAGAAAATCAATGAAACCAATAGCTGGTTCTTTGACAGTATTAATAAAAATGCATAAGCCTCTAGCAAGGCTAAGAGAAAAAGAGAGAGGACACAGATTACTTCTGTCAGAAATGAAAGAGGGTTATCACTACAGATCCCATGGACATTAAAAGGAAAATAAAGGAATACTATGAACAACTCTGTGCCTACCAATTTGATAACCTAGATGAACTAGACCACTTCCTTGATAGACACAGTCTGCCAGCTCTACAAAAAGATAATCTGAACAGGTTTATATGTATTAAATAAATTGAATCAATAATAACCTTCCAAAGCAGGAAGCACCAGGTACAGATGGGTTTGCCGGTGAATTCTACCAAATATTTAAGAAGAAACTATACCCCTTATCTACAGTCTCTTTCAGAAGATAGAAGCAGAGGGAATACTTCCTAATTCATTCTATGATGCCATTGTTATGCCAGTACCAAAACCAGAGAAAGACACTACTACAGACCAATGTCTCTCATGATCTTAGATGAGACAAAACTACAGACCAATATCTCTCTTGATCTTATATGCAAAAATTCTCAATGAAATATTAGCAAGTTGAATTCAACAATGTATACAAGAATTATAGGCCAGGCACAGTGGCTCATGCCTGTAATCCTAGCACTTTGGGAGGCCAAGGTGGGCAAATTGCTTGAGCTCAGGAGTTCAAGACCAGTCTGAGCAACATGGCAAAAACCCATCTCTATAAAAAAATACAAAAACTAGCCAGGTGTGGTGGCACACCCCTGTGGTCCCAGCTACTCAGGAGGTTGAGATGGGAGGATTGCTTGAGCCCAGGAGATGGAGGCTGCAGTAAGCCAAGATCACATCATTGCCTAGGTGACAGCAAGACCCTGTCCCCACCACCACCCGCCCCCCAAAAAAAAGAAAAAGAAAAAAGTGTATCACAAGCAAGTGGGATTTATCCCAGGTATGCAAATCTGGTTTAATATTAAAAAATCAAGTAACATAATTCATCGTATTAGCAGGCTAAAAAAAAAATCACATGATTATATCAGTGAATACAGAAAAAGCATTTGGCAAAATCCAAAACTCATTCATGATAAAAACACAGTTAACTAGGAATACAGGGAAACTTTCTCAACTTGATACAGAATATCTACAAAAAAATCTACAAGTAACAACATACCTAGTGATGAGAAACTAGAAGTTTTCCTAACATCATGAACAAGGCAAGGATGTGCCTTCTCACCACTCCTTTTTAATATTATACTGGAAGTCTTAGCTAGTGTAATAAGGCAAAAAGGGAAACAAAAGGTAAACACATTGGGAAGGAAGAAATAAAACTCTCTTTGTTCACAGATGTCATTATCTTATATGTAGAAGACCCAAGAGAACTGACAAAAACGCTCCTGGAACTAGTAAGTGATTATAGAAAGGTTGCAGGATATAAGGTTAATATACAAAAGTTAATCACTTTTCCATATACCAGCAGTCAACAAATAGAATTTGGAATTAAAAATACAATACCATTTATAGTAGTACTCTCAAAATTCAATTATTTAGGTATAAATTTAATAAAATGTGTGAAAGGTCTATATAAGGAAAACTACAGAACTCTAAGGAATGAAATCAAAGAAGAATTAAATAAATGGAGAGCTATTGAGTTTCATGGATAGGAAGACTCAGTATTGTCAAAATGTCAGTTCCTCGGAGTATGATTTATAGATTGATATGATCCAAGTCAAAATCCCAGGAAGTTATTTTGTGGATATTGACAAACTGATTCCAAAGTTTATATAGAGAGGCATGCCAGGCACCATGGCTCAAGCCTGTAATCCCAGCACTTTGGGAGGCCAAGGCAGGCAGATCACCTGAGGCCAGGAGTTTGAGACCAGCCTGGCCAACATGGCAAAACCCTGTCTCTACTGAAAATACAAAAATTAGTTGGGTGTGGTGGCGCACATCCGTAATCCCAGCTACTCAGAAGGCTAAGGCATGAGAGTCACTTGAACCCAGGAGGCGGAGGTTGCAGTGAGCCAAGAGCACTTCATGCACTCCAGCCTGGGTGACAGAGCGAGACTCTGTCTCAAAGAAACAAAACAAAATAAAGTTTATATAGAGAAGCAAAACATTCAGAATAGCCAACACAATATTGAAGTCAAAAGTTGGACGACTGATGCTACTCGACCTCGAGACTTAATATTAGAGCTACAGTAATCAAGACAGTATGGTATTGGTCAACAAACAGAGAAATAGACCAATGAAACAGAACAGAGAGTCCAGAGATAGACACACATAAATATAGTCAACTGGTCTTTGACAAAGAAGCAAAGGCAATACAATGGGGTAGACAGTATTTTCAAAAAATGGTGCTGACAACTAGATTTTTAAAAAATGAATCTAGACATAGACGTTATACCCTCCACAAAAATTAACTCAAAATAGATCATAGACCTAAATAGAAAATGCAAAAGTATAAAACTAGAAGACAACAAGAGAAAACCTGGATTACCTTGGGTATGGCAATGACTTTTTGGATACAACACCAAAGTAGCGATCCATGAAAGAAATAATTGATGAGCTGGACTTCATTAAGATTTAGAAACTTCTGGCCGGGCACGGTGGCTCACGCCTGTAATGCCAGCACTTTGGGAGGCTGAGGCAGGCAGATCACGAGGTCAGGAGATCGAGACCATCCTGGCTAACATGGTGAAACCCCATCGCCACTAAAAATACAAAAAAATTAGCTGGGCGTGGTGCCGGGCGCCTCAGCTACTAGGGAGGCTGAGGCAGGAGAATGGCGTGAACCAGGGAGGCGGAGGTTGCAGTGAGCTGAGATCGCGCCAATGCACTCCAGCCTGGGTGACAGAGCGAGACTCTGTCTCAAAAAATAATAATAATAATAAAGAAAAAGATTTAGAAACTTCTGTGAGTGAAAATGTCAAGAGAAGACAAGACTGGGAGAAAAATTTTGTAAAAGACATATCTGATAAAAGATCTATGCAAAATATACAAAGAACTCTTAAAACTTAACAATTAGAGGCCAGGCGCAGTGGCTCATGCCTGTAATCCCAGCACTTTGGGAGGCTGAGGTGGGCGGATCACGAGTTCAGGAGATCGAGACCATCCTGGCCAACACAGTGAAACCCCGTCTCTACTAAAAATACAAAAAAATTAGCCAGGCATGGTGGCAGGCACCTGTAGTCTCAGCTACTTGGGAGGCTGAGGCAGGAGAATGGGTTGAACCCGGGAGGCAGAGCTTGCAGTGAGCTGAGATTGCACCACTGCACTCCAGCCTGGGCAACAGAGCGAGACTCCGTCTCAAAAACAAACAAACAAACAAACAAACAAGCAAAACACTCTGCAGGATATTATCCAGGAGAACTTCCCCAATCTGGCAAGGCAGGCCAACATTCAGATTCAGGAAATACAGAGAATGCCACAAAGATACTCCTCGAGAAGAGCAACTCCAAGACACATAATTGTCAGATTCACCAAAGTTGAAATGAAGGAAAAAATATTAAGGGCAGCCAGAGAGAAAGGTCGGGTTACCCACAAAGGGAAGCCCATCAGACTAACAGCGGATCTCTCGGGAGAAACTCGATAAGCCAGAAGAGAGTGGGGGCCAATATTCAACATTCTTAAAGAAAAGAATTTTCAACCCAGAATTTCATATCCAGCCAAACTAAGCTTCATAAGTGAAGGAGAAATAAAATACTTTACAGACAAGCAAATGCTGAGAGATTTTGTCACCACCAGGCCTGCCCTAAAAGAGCTCCTGAAGGAAGCACTAAACATGGAAAGGAACAACCACTACCAGCCGCTGCAAAATCATGCCAAAATGTAAAGACCATCAAGACTAGGAAGAAACTGCATCAACTAACGAGCAAAATAACCAGCTAACATCATAATGACAGGTTCAAATTCACACATAACAATATTAACTTTAAATGTAAATGGACTAAATGCTCCAATTAAAAGACACAGACTGGCAAATTGGATAAAGAGTCAAGACCCATCAGTGTGTTGTATTCAGGAAACCCATCTCACATGCAGAGACACACATAGGCTCAAAATAGAAGCATGGAGAAAGATCTACCAAGCAAATGGAAAACAAAAAAAGGCAGGGGTTGCAATCCTAGTCTCTGATAAAACAGACTTTAAACCAACAAAGATCAAAAGAGACAAAGAAGGCCATTACATAATGGTAAAGGGATCGATTCAACAAGAAGAGCTAACTATCCTAAATATATATGCACCCAGTACAGGAGCACCCAGATTCATAAAGCAAGTCCTGAGTGACCTACAAAGAGACTTAGACTCCCACACATTAATAATGGGTGACTTTAATGGGTGACTGTCAACATTAGACAGATCAACGAGACAGAAAGTCAACAAGGATACCCAGGAATTGAACTCAGCTCTGCACCAAGTGGACCTAATAGACATCTACAGAACTCTCCACCCCAAATCAACAGAATATACATTTTTTTCAGCACCACACCGTACCTATTCCAAAATTGACCACATAGTTGGAAGTAAAGCTCTCCTCAGCAAATGTAAAAGAACAGAAATTATAACAAACTATCTCTCAGACCACAGTGCAATCAAGCTAGAACTCAGGATTAAGAAACTCACTCAAAACCGCTCAACTACATGGAAACTGAACAACCTGCTCCTGAATGACTACTGGGTACATAATGAAATGAAGGCAGAAATAAAGATGTTCTTTGAAACCAACGAGAACAAAGACACAACATACCAGAATCTCTGGGACACATTCAAAGCAGTGTGTAGAGGGAAATTTATAGCACTAAATGCCCACAAGAGAAAGCAGGAAAGATCCAAAATTGACACCCTAACATCACAATTAAAAGAACTAGAAAAGCAAGAGCAAACACATTCAAAAGCTAGCAGAAGGCAAGAAATAACTAAAATCAGAGCAGAACTGAAGGAAAAAGAGACACAAAAAACCCTTCAAAAAATTAATGAATCGAGCTGGTTTTTTGAAAAGATCAACAAGCTAGACCGCTAGCAAGACTAATAAAGAAAAAAGAGAGAAGAATCAAATAGATGCAATAAAAAATGATAAAGGGGATATCACCACCGATCCCACAGAAATACAAACTATCATCAGAGAATACTACAAACACCTCTATGCAAATAAACTAGAAAATCTAGAAGAAATGGATAAATTCCTCGACACATACACTCTCCCAAGACTAAACCAGGAAGAAGTTGAATCTCTGAATAGACCAATAACAGGAGCTGAAATTGTGGCAATAATCAATAGCTTACCAACGAAAAAGAGTCCAGGACCAGATGGATTCACAGCCGAATTCTACCAGAGGTACAAGGAGGAACTGGTACCATTCCTTCTGAAACTATTCCAATCAATAGAAAAAGAGGGAATCCTCCCTAACTCATTTTATGAGGCCAGCATCATCCTGATACCAAAGCCAGGCAGAGACACAACCAAAAAAGAGAATTTTAGACCAATATCCTTGCTGAACATCGATGCAAAAATCCTCAAAATACTGGCAAACCGAATCCAGCAGCACATCAAAAAGCTTATCCGCCATGATCAAGTGGGCTTCATCCCTGGGATGCAAGGCTGGTTCAATATACGCAAATCAATAAATGTAATCCAGCATATAAACAGAGCCAAAGACAAAAACCACGTGATTATCTCGATAGATGCAGAAAAGGCCTTTGACAAAATTCAACAACCCTTCATGCTAAAAGCTCTCAATAAATTAGGTATTGATGGAACATATCTCAAAATAATAAGAGCTATCTATGACAAACCCACAGCCAATATCATACTGAATGGGCAAAAACTGGAAGCATTCCCTTTGAAAACTGGCACAAGACAGGGATGCCCTCTCTCACCACTCCTATTCAACATAGTGTTGGAAGTTCTGGCCAGGGCAATTAGGCAGGAGAAGGAAATAAAGGGTATTCAATTAGGAAAAGAGGAAGTCAAATTGTCCCTGTTTGCAGACAACATGATTGTATATCTAGAAAACCCCATTGTCTCAGCCCAAAATCTCCTTAAGCTGATAAGCAACTTCAGCAGTCTCAGGATACAAAATCAATGTACAAAAATCACAAGCATTCTTATACACCAATAACAGACAAACAGAGAGCCAAATCATGAGTGAACTCCCATTCACAATTGCTTCAAAGAGAATAAAATACCTAGGAATCCAACTTACAAGGGACGTGAAGGACCTCTTCAAGGAGAACTACAAACCACTGCTCAATGAAATAAAAGAGGATACAAAGAAATGGAAGAACATTCCATGCTCATGGGTAGGAAGAATCGATATCATGAAAATGGCCATACTGCCCAAGGTAATTTATAGATTCAATGCCATCCCCATCAAACTACCAATGACTTTCTTCACAGAATTGGAAAAAACTACTTTAAAGTTCATATGGAACCAAAAAAGAGCCCGCATCGCCAAGTCAATCCTAAGCCAAAAGAACAAAGCTAGAGGCATCATGCTACCTGACTTCAAACTATACTGCAAGGCTACAGTAACCAAAACAGCATGGTACTGATACCAAAACAGAGATAGAGATCAATGGAACAGAACAGAGCCCTCAGAAATAACGCCGCATATCTACAGCTATCTGATCTTTGACAAACCTGAGAAAAACAAGCAATGGGGAAAGGATTCCCTATTTAATAAATGATGCTGGGAAAACTGGCTAGCCATATGTAGAAAGCTGAAGCTGGATCCCTTCCTTACACCTTATACAAAAATCAATTCAAGATGGATTAAAGACTTAAACGTTAGACCTAAAACCATAAAAACCCTAGAAGAAAACCTAGGCATTACCATTCAGGACATAGGCACGGGCAAGGACTTCATGTCTAAAACACCAAAAGCAATGGCAACAAAAGCCAAAATTGACAAATGGGATCTAGTTAAACTAAAGAGCTTCTGCACAGCAAAAGAAACTACCATCAGAGTGAACAGGCAACCCACAAAATGGGAAAAAATTTTTGCAACCTGCTCATCTGACAAAGGGCTAATATCCAGAATCTACAATGAACTCAAACAAATTTACAAGAAAAAAACAAACAACCCCATCAAAAAGTGGGCGAAGGACATGAACAGACACTTCTCAAAAGAAGCCATTTATGCAGCCAAAAAACACATGGAAAAATGCTCACCATCACTGGCCATCAGAGAAATGCAAATCAAAACCACAATGAGATATCATCTCACACCAGTTAGAATGGCAGTCATTAAGAAGTCAGGAAACAACAGGTGCTGGAGAGGATGTGGAGAAATAGGAACACTTTTACACTGTTGGTGGGACTGTAAACTAGTTCAACCATTGTGGAAGCAGTGTGGCGATTCCTCAGGGATCTAGAACTAGAAATACCATTTGACCCAGCCATCCCATTACTGGGTATATACCCAAAGGACTATAAATCATGCTGCTATAAAGACACATGCACACGTATGTTTATTGCAGCACTATTCACAATAGCAAAGACTTGGAACCAACCCAAATGTCCAACAATGATAGACTGGATTAAGAAAATGTGGCACATATACACCATGGAATACTATGCAGCCATAAAAAATGATGAGTTCATGTCCTTTGTAGGGACATGGATGAAACTGGAAATAATCATTCTCAGTAAACTATCGCAAGAACAAAAAACCAAACACCGCATATTCTCACTCATAGGTGGGAATTGAACAATGAGAACACATGGACACAGGAAGGGGAACATCACACTCTGGGGACTGTTGTGGGGTGGGGGGAGCGGGGAGGGATAGCATTGGGAGATATACCTAATGCTAGTTGACGAGTTAGTGGGTGCCGCGCACCAGCATGTCACATGTATATGTATGTAACTAACCTGCACATTGTGCACATGTACCCTAAAACTTAAAAGTATAATAAAAATAAATAAATAAATAAAAACACACACTTAACACTTAGAAAACAAGCTCGGTATGGTGGCTCACATCTGTAATCTCAGCACTTTGGGAGGCTGAGGCAGGTGGATTGCTTGAGCCTAGGAGTTTGAGACCAGCCTGGGCAATATGACAAAACCCCATCTCTACCCAAAATACAAAAAAATTGGACAGGTGTGGCCGGGCGCGGTGGCTCACGCCTGTAATCCCAGCACTTTGGGAGGCTGAGGCAGGAGAATGGCATGAACCCGGGAGGCGGAGCTTGCAGTGAGCCGAGATCGCGCCACTGCACTCTAGCCTGGGTGACAGCGCAAGACTCCATCTCAAAAAAAAAACTGGACAAGTGCGGTGGACCATGCCTGTGTTCCCAGCTACTCGGAATGCTGAGGTGGTAGGATTGCTTGAGCCCAGAAAGCAGAGATTGCAGTGAGCCATGATTACACCACTGCACTCCAGCCTGGGGAAAAGAGTGAGATCCTGTCTCAAAAAAAAAAGAAGAGAAAAGAAAACAACTTGATTAAAAAATGGACTGAAAACCTAAACAGACACCTCACCAAAGAAGGCATAAAAATGGCAAACATATGAAAAGATGCTTCATATCATGTGTTATCAGGGAAATCTACTACAGTAGATTTTGGACCATTCTAATAGGCCAAGTTCCAGCACACTGAAAACACCAAATGCTGGCAAGGACGTGGAACAAAAGCAATTTTTATGTGTTGCTGGTGAGAATGCAAAATTGTCAACTACTTGGGAAGGTAGTTGGGCAGTTTCTTACAAAATTAAACTTACTTTGACCGTATGATCCTGAAATCTTACTCCTTGGTATCTATCAAAAAGAGTTAAAAACTTGTATCCACACAGTAGCCTGCACATAAATGTTTATAGAAGCTTTATTCGTAATTGCCAAAACTTGAAAACAACCAAGATATTCTTCAGTAGGTGAGTGGATAAACTGTGGTACCTTTGGACAATGGAATATTATTTACCACTGAAAGGAAATGAGATATTAAGACATGAAAAGACTTGGAGAAAGCTGGGTGTGGTAATTCACACCTGCAGTCCCAGCACATTGGGAGGCCAAAGTTGACAGATCGCTTGAGCCCAGGAGTTCAAGATCAGCCTTGGCAACACAGTGAAACCCCATCTCTACAGAGAATACAAAAATTAGCTGGGTGTGGTGGTGTGTGACTGTAATCTCAGCTACCCAGGACGCTGAGGTGAGATAATCACCTGAGCCTGGGAAGTTGAGGCTGCAGTGAGCTGTGACTGCACTCCAGCCTGGACAATGGAGTAAGAACCTGTGTCAAAAACAAAAAAGACTTGAAAAAAATTAAATGCATATTACTAAATGAAAAAAGCCAATCTGAAAAGGCTACATACTGTATAATTACAACTATAGATATTCCGGAATAGGAAAAACTGTGGAGACACTAAAATGCAATTAAAAAATTAGTAGTTGCAAGGGGATGGGGTAGAGAGAGAGAGGATGAATAGGCAGAGCACAGAGGATTTTTAGGGCAGTGAAATGCTCTGATACTATAATGGGGAGACATGTCATTATACATTTGTCCAAACCCATAGAATGTACAACACCAAGAATGAACCCTAATGTAAACTAGGGACCTTGGGTGATTACAGTGTGCCAGTGTAAGTTCATCAGTTTTAACAAATGTACCACTTTGGTAGGGGATGTTAATAATCGGGGAGGCTATCCATGGCCATGTATGGGAGCAGGAGATATTTGGGATATTTTTCTATCTTCCTGTCAGTTTTGTTGTGAACTTAAAACTGCTCTAAGTCTTGGCCGAGCGCGGTGGCTCACGCCTGTAATCCCAGCACTTTGGGAGGCCGAGGTGGGTGGATCACGAGGTCAGGAGATCGCGACCACCCTGGCTAACACAGTGAAACCCCATCTCTAGTAAAAATACAAAAAATTAGCTGGGCGTGGTGGCGGGCGCCTGTAGTCCCAGCTACTTGGGAGACTGAGGCAGGAGAATGGCGTGAACCCAGGAGGCGGAGCTTGCAGTGAGCAGAGATCACGCCGCTGCACTCCAGCCTGGGCAACAGAGCGAGACTCCGTCTCAAAAAAAAAAAAAAAAAACAAAACAAACAAACCACAAAACTGCTCTAAGTCTTAAAAAACAATTAAAGAGAGGCCAGGCTCATACCTGTAATCCCAGCAGTTTGGGAGGCTAAGGCAGGAGGATCGCTTGAGTCCAGGAGTTTGAGACCAGTCTGGACAACATAATATGAGACAGAAAAATACCACAATTAGCCATGCATGGTGGCATACGCCTGTAGTCCCAGCTACTTGGGAGGCTGAAGTGGGAGGATCACTTGAGCACAGGGGATTGAGGCTGCAGTGAACCATGATGACGCCATTGCACTCCAACTTGGTCAACAGAACGCGACCCTGTCTCAAAAATAAAAATTAAAATTAAAGAGAAGTAATTACAGTGATGTGTGAGAGGAGGAAAAAAGATAGGAAGATTATGTCTTAAGGCCAGGTGCAGTGGCTCACGCCTGTAATCCGAACAGTTTGGGATGCCGAGGTGGGAGTATTGCTTGAGGCCAGGAATTCAAGGTTACAGTTCACTATAATCATGCTACCCGTACTCCATTCTGGGCAACAGAACAAGACCCTGTCAAAGAAAAAAACAAAAACGTTATGTTTTAAGGAAGCATTGTGGTTAATAATTTATATTTTTGGTAGAGATTATTTTTCTAAAAGCACTCTCAGAGGAAAAAATTAAGCTATAAAAATTTAAAAATCCTAACAAATTGCCAGTCTTGATATTAAAATTATAATTAAAAATTTTTCTTAGATATCTTATAAAACAGACATTGGCAAACTACCAGGTGGCCATTTGTTTTAATAAATAAAATTTTACTGAAACATAGACATACTCATTTGTTTATATATTGCCTATGGTTGCTTTTCTGCTAGAACAGCAGAATTGAGTAAGGCCCACAGCCTGAAACACTTACTGTCTGGCCCTTTTTTTTTTTTTTTTTCTGTCTGGCCCTTTAAGAAAAAGTTTTTAGATCCCTGTTTTAAAGGACACAAATTTGAATCCTTCCTATAGATTAAAATTTCTACTTTGATTATCATTTCCCTTCAGCCTGAAGAACTTCCTTTAGCATTTCTTGAAGTGCAGGTCTTCTAGCAGTGAATTTTTCAACTTTTATCTGAAAGTATCTTTATTTTATTCTCATTTTTGAAGGTTATTTTTGCCAGATATAGAAATCTGGGCTGATACGTTGAGGGCATTCATTTAGCATGTTAAAAGATGCAGTTCCGGCGGGGCGCAGTGGCTCATGCCTGTAATCCCAGCACTTTGGGAGGCTGAGGTGGGTGGATCATGAGGTCAAGAGATCCAAGACCATCCTGGCCAACATGGTGAAACCCCATCTCTACTAAAAATACAAAAATTAGTTGGGCCTGGTGGCGTGGGCCTGCAGTCCCAGCTACTCGTGAGGCTTGGGCAGGAGAATTGCTTGAACCCAGGAGGTGGAGGTTGCAGTGAGCCGAGACCACGCCACTGCATGCCAGCCTGGCGACGGAGACTCTGTCTCAAAAAAAAAAAAAAAAGATGCAGTTCCAACTGTCTTCTGGCCTTCATTGTTTCTAAGTCAGCCATCTTTCTTTTGTTGTTCTCTTTTATTGTGTGTTTTTTCTCTAGATGCTTTTAAGATTTTCCCTTTATCTTTAATTGTTATCAATTTGACCAAGATATGCCTTAGTATGGGGTTTTATTTTGTATTTATCCTGCTTAGGGTTCTCTGAGGTTCTTAGATTTGTGGGTTGATGTTTTTCACCAAATTTGGGGAAATTTCAGCATTTATTCAGATCAAATATGCAAATTTTACAATGCTATCTTTTTTTAATCCTTCTAGGACTCAAGTTTCATACATTTTTAAAATTTATTTATTTATTTATTTAAGATGGAGTCTCGCTTTGTCACCCAGGCTGGAGTGCAGTGGCATGATATCGGCTCATTGCAACCTTCACCTCCCGGGTTCAGTCGATCCTCCCACCTAAAACTCCCAAGTAGCTGGGATTACAGGCATGCACCACCACGCCCAGCTATTTTTTTTTTTTTTTTTTTTGTACTTTTATTAGAGACGGGGTTTCACCATGTTGGTCAGGCTGGTCTTGAACTCCTAACCTCAAGTGAGCCACCATGCTCGGCCGAGTTACATACATTTCAGACTGCTTGATATTATCCCAAACATCACTGAAGTTTTGTTTAGATTTTTGTAATACCTTTTCTCCTTCAGTTTGTTTAATGTCTTTGATTTACCTTCAAGTTCATTGACCCCTTTTTTTCTGTAATGTTTAGTCTGCTGTTAAGCCCAGTCAGCATATATTTCACTTTAGATGTCGTACTTTCAATTCCAGAATTTCCATTTGGTTCTTTTTTACTCCCCATTCTTTACCAGATGTTCCCACATTTTCCTTTAAATCCTTGAACATATATATACGCACACACATATATATACACATATACACACATATATATACATATACATATACATATATATATAAACAGTTGTTTATAAGTTCTTGTCTGCTAATTTTCACAAGTGGATCACCTCTCCGTTTGTTTCTGTTGATTCCTTTTTTTCTTGATTGTGGGTCATTCTCTGCTTTTTTGTATGTCTAGTAATTTTATTGTATACTTTATGAGTATTACATTGAGGAGTTTGGATTTTGTTGCCTTCTTTTAAAGTGTGTCTTCTTTTAAAGGGTGTTGAATTTTGTTCTGGCAGACAAATTACTGGAGGAGCCTGCGTTAGGGTTCCCTAGAGGTACAGAACTAATAGGAGATATATACATATAATAGGATATATTATATATATATATATATATATATATATATATATATATATATATATATATACCCGGCTACCACACCCGGCCACCTCTGTTATTTCTGTTCAGCTCTCAGCCCTATATCATTTTAGATATGTGTGTGTATATATATATATATGTGTGTGTGTGTGTGTGTGTGTGTGTGTTTGTATGTGTGTATATATATGTATATATGTACATATACATTCTTAGATTTGTGGATTGATGTTTTTCACCAAATGATTCTTCCTCAAAAATGCCTCCCCTGACCAAACTATCTAAAATAGAGCCTCCCACCACTCTCTATCACATCTCCCTGTTTTAATTTATACACAGCACTCTGACATTTATATTATGTTCTATAACTTTTGTTTATTTATTGTTATCTCCCCAACAAGAATGTAAGCTTCGTAGGACAATAACTTGGTCTGTTTTGTTCACTGCTGAATCTCCAGCTGTTTAAAACAGTTCTTGGCAGGGCACAGTGGCTCACGCCTGTAATCCCAGCACTTTGGAAGGCCAAGGCGGGCGGATCGAGAGATCAGGAGTTTGAGACCAGCCTGTATGTATATATATACATATACAGCCTGTATATGTATATATATACACACATATATATATGCATACACACACACACACACACACACACACACACATATATATATAAAGGGGAGTTTATTAAGTATTAATAAAGCCTGGATGACAAAGCAAGACTCCATCTTAAATAAATAAATAAAATTTAAAATGTGTGTAACTTGAGTCCTAGAAGGATAAAAAAAGATAGAATTTTAAAATTTGAATAATATATGATCTGAATAAAGGGGAGTTTATTAAGTATTAACTCATACGATCACAAGGTCCCACATTAGGTTGTCTGCGAGCTTGAGGAGCAAGGAGAGCCAGTCCAAGTCTCAAAACTAAAGAATTTGGAGTCTGATGTTTGAGGGCAGGAAGCATCCAGCACGAGAGAAAGATGTAGGCTGTTAAGCTAGGCCAGTCTCACCTTTTCTCGTTTTTCTGCCTGTTTTATATTCGCTGGTAGTTGATTAGAATTTGCCCATCAGATTAAGGGTGGGTCTGCCTTCCCCAGCCCACTGACTCAAATGTTAATCTCCTTTGGCAACACCCTCACAGACATATCCAGGATCAATACTTAAAGTATCTTTCAGTCCAGTGAAGTTGACACTCAATACTAACCATCACAGAGCCTGTTGATTCTGTCAGGCTTGTTTATGCTTTGGTTTTTTGCTTCATTAGAGCAAGTTAGTTTTTATTTTGTTTTTAGTCTCAGAGCATGGCCTTTAACTCTAGAGTGTGGCCTAAAAATGATAATAATCATAAGTAATTAGTCTAGTGTGGTGATGTGCTCCTATAGTCCCAACTACTCAGAAGGGTGAGGTGGGAGGATCATTTGAGCTCAGGAGATTGAGACTGCAGTGAGCTATGATCATGCCACAGCACTTCAGCCTGGGCACTAGAACAAACCCCAACTCTAAGAGCGTGGTCCCTACTCTTAAACTATGGCCTTGTAGCAACTCATCTGAATACCGAAGATGGTTGGTGCTCCATGACCTCTGTTATTTCCTTTATTTTTTATTTTTAATAGGGAAGACGGGGAGAATTTTAGCCTTTTTTGTGTATGTGTGCAGTGGTGTGATTGTAGCTCACTGAAGCATCTACTTCTTGGGCTCAAGCTCTCCTCCCACCTTTGCCTCTGAGTATCTGGGACTACAAGTGTGTGCCAGCATGCCCACCTAATTTTTTTAATTTTTAGTAGACACGAAGTCTCACTATGTTTTACAGGCTGGTCTCAAATTCCTGAGCTCAAGTGATCTCCCACCTTGGCCTCCCAAAGCACTGGGATTGCAGGGATGAGCTACCACACCCAACCACCTCTGTTATTTCTGTTCAGCTCTCAGCCCTATAGGAGGAGCTGTCTGTTAGACCCCATGAAGTCTCACCCTGTGCATACACAACCTGGGGCTTGGCCAAAGACCTAAGAGGAAATCCCCATATAGATTTCTGCTCTCCGTTTCATCCCCCACAGGTTCCTCCTCTGTAATATCCTTTCCTGCAAATTCTAGCCACCTCAGCAGGCCAAACTCTGATGATCTCTGTCTCCTCTGCTCACAAAGACTGCCTATTCATATATATCCCTTCTTTTAAGGACCATGGTCTTGTGCTGATGGTTGTACAGTGCTTACAAACAGCTGCCTCATGTATTTTTCCTGCCTTTATAATTGTTTAGGGTAGAGGAAACCCAATACTGGTTAGTATGTCATTGCTAGCAGTGGAAGTTCATGTTGTCCTTTTTAAATTAAATAAATCCATCTCTAAGTTTAAAGGAAACTCATTACTCACAGACCATGTCTCAGGAGCCATATGAGAACATAATTTTAAGTAGTACATGTAGACATTTACCTATATTTCATGGAGGGCTGAGATAGTCCCACTAACCAGTATTTGAGCAAATTTCAAGTGTGTTGTATCTGTTCATATACACAAAGCAAAGAAAGAATGTTATATCGTTGTTTTGTATTTAATGTTTATGTTTCAGAATGATTAATATTACTTCATCTCTTTCTAGGAGTTTTTATGGTCAATTGCTGATCTGAGTTTCAGTAACTTTCCAAAACATTACTATAAGTAAATATTCATCAGGACTCTGAAGTGCAAGTCAACTATATAATCAGGAGGCTCAGAAAATTGATCACAGCCGGTCAATAAATTGATTAGTTTTACATGTAAATTGTAAAACTAATCAGATTTTCTCAATCTAAATCTTAGATTCTCTTTCATTCTAAGGATAAATACATTACTTTGACAACTCTAAATACTCCAGTATGTATTAATCACCAACTATTTGCTAGGCTTGTCTCATAATCCAGAGGAAAATATTCTCACTTAGTCCCCACATTGATCATGCAGGGTAAATGGCATCATCTTTATTTTATAGATGAGGGTTGAGGCTTAGAAAAATTAGGAACTAATCCAAAGTCATGCAGTTAATAAATTACAGAGCCATGATTTGACTCTCTAAAAGAGAAAATCTGGTCTAACTCCAAAGCTCATGTATTTTATTCTTTTATTCTCTTGGCTGTGCAGTAGAACCACCTTTGGAGCTTTCAGTAAATATAGAAACCCATGCCCCATTCCCATGTTCAGTACGTCTGTGGTAGTGTCTGTAATATTAGAATGCAGCCAGAGTTGAGGACCACTGCTTATCAGTGCCATACTCCTTCTCTATAGCCATAGGCACTGGATCATGAAGTCCTGTTAGTCAGGAAATTGGAAGTCTAGACAGTTTTGAGATTATAGCCCTGCTGTTAGAGTAAGAAAATGGGAGGAAAAGGCAGGATCAGTTCTTTTTTTGCCTCTCAGAGTAGGGGCTGCAACTGAAGCCTAAAAGAGAAGTAGAGGACGATTAATCCTAAACCACCTGTCATCTTTGTAAGCATCTTACCAGTTTCTTTAGAAATGTTTACTCTGAATTTTTAAGTCAAGTGAGAGGTATGTCTTATCTCTACTGTCATGAGCTTTTTGTTTCCTCACCTTTGAAAAAGGGATATCTATCTAATTTAGAGGTAAGGGTGACATGAGACTAGTGCCTGGTTATTGCCTCCTTAGGAGCTACCAGATACAGTCCCAGCCCCCAGTTACCTCTGCCACCTAGCCACCTATTCTTAAAGTTTTTACTATTGTGTCTCTAATATGGCCCCTTCTTTCCTGTCTCCCTCATTTCTAACACTTTTTCCTCACTCCTTAGCTTCTCCTCAAATATGCTGCGCATGCTCCTGTCTCAAGGCCTTTGTACTTGCTCGTCTTTGTTTGAATGTTCTTCCTCCAAGTTTCATTCATACCTCTGCTCAAATGATTCCTCCTCAAAAATGCCTCCCCTGACCAAACTATCTAAAATAGAGCCTCCCACCACTCTCTATCACATCTCCCTGTTTTAATTTATACACAGAACTCTGACATTTATATTATGTTCTATAACTTTTGTTTATTTATTCTTATCTCCCCAACAAGAATGTAAGCTTCATAGGACAATAACTTGGTCTATTTTGTTCACTGCTGAATCTCCAGCTGTTTAAAACAGTTCTGGGCGGCCGGGCACGGTGGCTCACGCCTGTAATCCCAGCACTTTGGGAGGCCGAGGCGGGCGAATCACGAGGTCAGGAGATGGAGACCATCCTGGCTAACACGGTGAAACCCCGTCTCTACTAAAAATACAAAAAATTAGCCGGGCGCAGTGGCGGGCGCCTGTAGTCCCAGCTACTCGGGAGGCTGAGGCAGGAGAATGGCGTGAACCCGGGAGGCGGAGCTTGCAGTGAGCCGAGTTCGTGCCACTGCACTCCAGCCTGGGCGACAGAGCGAGACTCCGTCTCAAAAAAAAAACAGTTTTGGCAGGGCACAGTGGCTCGCACCTGTAATCCCAGCACTTTGGAAGGCCGAGGCAGGCGAATCAAGAGATCAGGAGTTTGAGACCAGCCTAGCCAACATGGTGAAACCCTGTCTCTACTAAAAATACAAAAATTAGCCGGGCGCGGTGGCGGGCGCCTGTAATTCCAGCTTCTCAGGAGGTTAAGGCAAGAGAATTGCTTGAACCCAGGAGGTGGAGGTTGCAGTGAGCCGAGATCGTGCCACTGCACTCCAACCTGGCTGACACAGCAAGACTCCATCTTGAAAAAACAAAACAAAACAAAAAAACAGATCTTGGCATATAGTAGATACTAAATATTATCCAATTGGCTGGGTGCGATGGCTCACACCTATAATCCCAGCACTTTGGGAGGCTAAGATGGGCGAATCACTTGAGGTCAGGAATTCGAGACCAGCCTGGCCAACATGGTGAAACCCTGTTTCTACTAAAAATGCAAAAATTAGCTGGGCATGGTGGTGCACACCTGTAATCCCAGCTACTTGGGAGGCTGAGGCACAAGAATTGCTTGAACCCACGGGGCTGAGGTTGCAGGGAGCTGAGATCACGTCACTTCATTCTAGCCTGGGCAACAGAGCAAGACTCAGTCTCAAAAATAAATAAATAAATATATAAATAAATATTGTCAAATGATTAAATTTCTACACTGATAACTCTGCTTTATAAATAATACAAAAATCAGTGATAGGATAAAAACTATATGCTCTAATGGCTTTGGTGGCCTGTATTTTCTCTTTGTGATAAATACATTTTATTATTTTATCTTTGATACTTTTCCTTAATAATGGCTTTATCAATGATATATGTTTTAGCAGCTGTAGTGGTCGGATCTTGCATTGCTATAAAGAATTACCTGAGGCCAGGCACGATGGTTCACGCCTGTAATCCCAGCACTTTCCAAGGTCAAGGTGGGAGGATCACTTGAGCTCAAGAGTTCAAGACCAGCCTGGGCAATATAGTGAGACCCCATCTTTGTTTTTGTTTTAAATGTTTAAAAGAAAAAAAAAATTACCAGAGACTGGGTAATTTATAAAGAAAGAGGTTTAATCAGCTCATGGTTCTGCGGGCTGTACAGGCATCTGCTTCTGAGGAGGCCTCAGGACACTTGCAATCATGGCATAAGGCGAAGGGGAAGCAAGCACATCTTCACATGGCCGGAGAAGGAGGAAGAAAGCAAAGGGGAAGGTGCCATACACTTTTAAACAACTAGATCCTGTGAGAACTCTATCACGAGACAGCACTATGGGGATGGTGCTAAACCATTAGAAACCACCTCCATGATCCAGTCACCTCTCACCAGGCCCCACCTCCGACACTGGGGATTACAATTCAGCATGAGATTTGGGTGGGGATACAGAGCTAAACCATATCAGCAGCCTAGCTATTAATGGTATTTTCTGATAGCAGCATGATATTCCCTGTTGACTTGTATATTTTTCCCCTGGCTCTCTGGTCTTCAATGAAGAGGACCGGGTTAAAATATAAAGAGAGCTGCTTTATTTATTTATATTTATTTATTTATTTTTGAGACAGAGTCTCCCTCCATTGCCCAGGCTAGAGTGCAGTGGTGCTATCTCGGCTCACTGCAACCTCCTCCACCTCCTGGGTTCAAGCGATTCTCCTGCCTCAGCCTCCTGAATAGCTGGGATTACAGGCACACACCATTATACCCGGCTAATTTTTGTATTGTTAGTAGAGACGGGGTTTCGCCATGTTGGCCAGGCTGGTTTCAAACTCCTGACCTCGTGATCCGCCCACCTCAGCCTCCCAAAGTGCTGAGATTACACGCATGAGCCACCCCACCTGACCGAGAGTTGCTTTGATATCAATCATTGTCATGATATTGTTTGCAGTCTACTCTGCATCTAATTTTCCCCAAACTTTCATTGTTTTTAAGCTCACATTTGTTACAGGTTTTTTCTTAATTTGTTTGAGAAGTATTCTTAATTTGTTTGACTTAGTACTTTCTTATCTGAAGATTTATAGGCTGGGCACAGTGGCTCATGCCTATAATCCCAGCACTTTGGGAGGCCAGGACAGGAAGATGGCTGGAGCCTGGGAGTTCCAAGACCAGTCTGGACAACATAGTGAGACCTCCTCTCTACAAAAAAAAATTTTTTAATTAGCCAGGTGTAGTGTTGCATGCCTGTAGTCCCAGCTAGTCAGGAGGTTGAGGTGGGAGGACTGCTTGAGCCCCGGAGGTCGGGGCTCCAGTCAGCTGTGATCACACTGGTGCACTCCAGCCTGAGTAACACAGCAAGACTTCTCAAAAAAATTAAAAAAATGAATGCTTATCATAAATGGTTTATAATGATAAATTAAAAACCATGGAAATCTTATAGGGAGGGTTCATTAAATTTGTTATATCCATAAAAGTGTAATATGTAGCCACTAAAAAGGATGATGCTGAGCTATATTTATTGGCATACAAAGATATATATGTTGGGCCGGATGTGGTGGCTCACGCCTGTAATCCCAGCACTTTGGGAGGCCGAGGTGGGCGGATCACCTGAGGTCAGGAGTTCGAGACCAGTCTGACCCACATGGAGAAACCCCATCTCTACTAAAAATACAAAATTAGCTGGGCTTGGCGCATGCCTATAATCCCAGCTACTTGGGACGGCTGAGGCAGGAGAATCGCTTGAACCGGGGAGGCGGAGGTTGTGGTGAGCCGAGATCGCGCCATTGCACTCCAGCCTGGGCAACAAGAGCAAAACTCCGTCTCAAAAAACAAAACAAAACAAAACAAAAAACAAAGATACCTATGTTGTTTCTTGTTTTTAAGACAGTGTTTCCCTCTGTCACCCAGGCTGGAGTGCAGTGGTGGCTCACTGCAGCCCTAGCCTCCTGGGCTCAAGTGATCCTCCCATCTCAGCCTCCTGAGTAGCTGGATTACAGATGTGTGCCACCCCACCCAGCTAATTGTATTTACTTTTAGTAGAGACAGAGTCTTGCTAGGTACCCCTGGGCTCAAATGATCTTCCTGCCTTGGCCTCCTAAAATATTGGGATTACAGACATGAGACACTGTGCTCAATCTGTATCTGTGATTTTTTAAATTAAAAAGAAAACAGGTTACAAGAAAACAAGTATAACATAATCTCATTTTTGTGGAGGAAAAAAATAGATACTTGTATATGTATACACAAGTATCTCCTATACAAAATTGGAGGGTAAGGTTAGCACTCTTAATTGTCTCCAAGTCAGCTAGCATTTTTCTAGATCATCGTTTGTTTCAGTACGACTAACTATAATAATTACCTCTTTTTTTAATTTTTAATTTTTTAGGTATATAGTAGGTGTGGGGCTTATAACTATTACTTCTGGCCTCTGGGAAGCCCTCTAACTATTCTATCCTAGGTATAAATAAATACCTTTCTCCTTAGTTCAACAAAACCAAGGCTGGGGTTTTCTAAAAGGAATTTTTCAAGAAAACAAAAAAAGGAAAGTAAACAAAAGGCAAAATAAAAGCATAGAAATCAAAGTGTTTACAGGATACACACTGCTTTTTCTTATGTCAGTAAAAGTCTATCCACCAACTAGTTAAGTTGTTACAGTTTATGGGGCTCTAAAGTTTTTGGGAGCTGGGCATGATGGCTCACGTCTATAATCCCAGCAGTTTGGGAGGCCAAGGTGGGACAATTGCTTGAGGCCAGGAGTTTGAGACCAGCCCGGACCACATAGTAAGACCTCGTCTCTACAAAAAATAAAATATTAGCCAAGTGTAGTAGTGCAAGCCTGTGGTCCCAGCTACTTGGGAGGCTGAGCTGGGAGGATCACTTGAGCCCAGGAAGTTGAAGTTGCAGTGAGTGATGATTTTGCCATTGCCTTCCAGCTTGGGCAACAGAACAAAACCCTGTCTCAGAAAATAAAAAATAAAAATAATCCTTGTGACTCTGCAACCCAGGCTGGAGTGCAGTGCCGCGGCCTTGGCTCATTGCAACCTCCACCTCCCAGGTTCTAGCAATTCTGGTGCCTCAGGCCCCCAAGTAGCTGGGGTTACAGGCGTGTGCCACCACGCCAGGCTGAATTTTTTGTATTTTTTAGTAGAGATGGGGTTTTGCTGTTTTGGCCAGGCTGGTCTCAAACTTCTGGCCACAAGTGACTCACATGCCTCGGTCTTTCAAAGTGCTGGAATTACAGGCGTGAGCCACCTTTCCTGGCCCCTTGTGGCAATTTTTTACCCAGATCTCTCTAGCCAAAACTATAAAATTGAGAGTTTTGATTCAGCACTATCATTTGGTAATAATGTAGAGAAAAATGGAATGACGTGGAAAATATGTGTAAAATACAAATAAAAAAGATTATAAGATAGTATATATGATATAACCCTAATTTTAAGGTATACAGTATAATGTACAGAAATAAAAAAAAACCCACCAGAGAGATACTCTTCAGATGATAACAGTGGTTATCTTTAAGTTGTAGTACTACAGTTAAAGTTTAATTTCTTTGTGCTTTTCTATTTTTCCAAGTTTTCTATAGGAACATGTTATTAAGAAGTATATATATATATTTTTTAAATTATTTATTTATTTATTTATTTATTTATTTTTTTGAGACGGAGTCTTGCTCTGTCACCCAGGCTGGAGTGCAGTGGTGTGACCTCGGCTCACTGCAAGCTCTGCGTCCCGGGTTCACGCCATTCTCCTGCCTCAGCCTCCCAAGTAGCTGGGACTACAGGTGCCCGCCACCACGCCCGGCTAATTTTTATTTTTTTGTATTTTTAATAGAGACGGGGTTTCACGATGTTAGCCAGGTTGGTTTCGATTTCCTGACCTCGTGAGCCGCCCGCCTCGGCTGCCCAAAGTGCTGGAATTATAGGCGTGAGCCACCGCGCCAGGACTTTTTTTTTTTTTTTTTTTGAGATAGAGTTTTCACTCTTATCGCCCAGGCCGCAGTGCAGTGGCCTGATCTCAGCTCACTGCAACCTCCACCTCCCAGGTTCAAGAGATTCTTCTGTCTCAGCCTCCTAAGTAGCTGGGATTACAGACACGCACCACCATGCCCGGCTAATTTTTTGTATTTTTAGTAGAGATGGGGTTTCACCTTGTTGGCCAAGCTGGGCGACAGAGCAAGACTCTGTCTCAAAATAAGTAAATAAAAGAAAAGAAAAGAAAATTTGAGCAACTAAAAATAACATATTCTTAATACCTTACCTAACTTGTGTCAATTTTTATTTGTGCTATGCATATAAAAAGGTCTCACTGTTGAAGATCACTGTATCTGAAGAGATTCATTTTATTTATTTATTTATTTGAGATGAAGTCTCTGTCACCCAGGTTGCAGTGCAATGGCGCGATCTCAGCTCACTGCAACTTCCGCCTCCCAGATTCAAGTGATTCTCCTATCTCAGCCTCCTAAGTAGCTGGGATTATAGACACGCACCACCACGCCCGGCTAATTTTTTGTATTTTTAGTAGAGATGGGGTTTCACCTTGTTGGCCAAGCTGATCTTGAACTCCTGACCTTGTGATCTGCCCACCTCAACTTCCCAAAGTGCTGGGATTACAGGCGTGAGCCACTGCGCCCAGTCCATTTTATTAATTCATCAAATCTTTGTTGAACTTCTCTTACATGCTAGGCATGTTCTAGATGTTGGGGATATAGTGGTGACGAAGACAGTTTGTACTGTCATGGAGCTTATATTCTGGGCAGATTTATTGGTCAAAAAAATCTGTGATGGGGCCGGGCGCGGCGGCTCACACCTATAATCCCAGCACTTTGGGAGGCTGAGGGAAGCAGATCACCTGAGATCCAGGGTTCGAGACCAGCCTGGCCAACATGGCGAAACCCCATCTCTACTGAAAATAAAAAACTTACCCGGGCGTGGTGGCGAGCGCCTATAATCCTAGCTATTACGGAGGCTGAGGCAGGGAGAATCGCTGGAACGCGGGAGGCAGAGGTTGCAGTGAGTTGAGATCATGCCATTGCACTCCAGCCTGGGAGACAGGGCAAGACTCTGTCCCCCCACCAAAAAAAAAAATTCTGTGATGAATGGTACAGTGTATCAATTAGTAACTGTAAATAAATTAGCATACCAACTATAAGGATTACAAAATTAGAATAAACATCATAGAATTAGTGCAATGTAAATTGATTCACGGTGGTTTTTTTTTTTTTTTTTTTTAGAAATCATAGTATCAATGGGAATAATATGGATTTATTTTTTTTCTTCTAGCTTTAAGGAAGCCTCCTATTTCAGTTTCTCAACATGAAAGTCATCAAGCAATCTCCCATCTTCCAACTGGACAACCTCTCTCCCCAAATATGCCTCCAGGTATGAAGGCTTATGCTTATAATTCCATTTGAAACCAACTTACTAGTCATGTACAGTTATATAGTGTATAAAATATATCACTTAGCAGTATAGTGAAATAGCATTTATTCTTTGAGGTAATGTTATTTTTTTTTAGACTAGTAAAAGCAGAGAGAAATAATAATCTGAAACTCCACTTTATCTGGTGGATTGTTAGTCTTTTTCTTAAGAACAGAAGAATTATTTATTATGCCACTCTGAGCTACATTCCCTTTCCTCTCTGCCTGCTATACAGGTTTAGCTTCTTCAAAATGTGTTCAAATTTATCTCATAGAGGCCTTCTATAAATTACAGTGCCCACCTATATTAAAATCTTCGTACTTATGAATGTATTTGTTTATTTTCTAAACACTCATTCCATTTTATAGAACATTTCCCTGAAATGAGAGTAGATATGATTGAAGAGACCTGCTTAAGGGAGATGATGGAAAGGAAAAAGGTCAGAGTGGAATAGGATGTTTTGGGATCCAAAATTAAAGTCATTGATGAGGATAAAAAGGGAGGTGGGGAAAGAGAGGTGGTATCCAGTAGATAATGCTAAGAAAGAATCAAGAGTCAACACTTGTGAGTCACTGTATAGTGAAGATGACTTAGAGAGTAGAAATTTCAAAAGCCTTACTGGATTTTGGAGATTTCTGATAGTGATATGGAATTTGGAGGGAGGAAAAGATATGAGTATCATTGCTATATTAATCTATGGATTTCTACTGTATATCTTTTTGGTGAATAAGTTTATGGCCATTAGTGGAGATACTCACCTGGGAATGATCAGTAAACTTCCCACAGCTAAAATCACATTGGTTATAATACTTGATTAAAGAAATGAGAATAAACCTTTAAAAAAAAAAAAAAAAGCTTTGTGGCTACCCAATGTTAAACAATAGTGTGTCTTAGCTTTCTAAAGCAGATCTTGTGAAATTCATCTTTAAAAGATTAAATTAAATTATATTCTTTTAATTTGATGTTTTTATGCCACAGATTCACACATAAACCACAATGGAAACCCCGGTACTTCAAAACAGAATCCTTCCAGTCCTCTTCAGCGTTTAATTCCAGGCTCAAACTTGGACAGTGAACCCAGAATTCAAACAGATATACTAAAGCAGGCTACCAAGGACAGAGTCAGTGATTTCCATAAATTGAAGCAAAGTAAGAATCAATTGATGAATATTATGCTAAAAATATTTCTTTAAATGTAATATGAATTAAGGTCTTCATTATTCTGCTCTCTAATAAATGTATAGTGAAGTTATATATATTTAAAGAGAAGGTATGAAAGTGTCAAAATTTAAAGGAAATACAGGTTTTAAATGGATAGATACGATTTTAAAGAAAACTTTAAAAAGGTTCTCATGTTCTCCATTGTTAAATAATAAATTTCAGGTGAGTTGACTTTTTTTAAAAATACAATTAGTTCTTATGAATATAAACTTTTTTGGAGAAATGAGAAAAATATATTTTGATAGGCTTACAAATGAAAACTTTGATTAGGGAGGAGAGAAAATAAATAGTTTTGAAAAATGGAACATTCTGGGAGAAACATACACTCTGGGGGATTGCCTTAGTAGATTGCTCAATACTGCTTCCTCCTCCATTCCCTGCAATTGCATTTTCCTCATTTAGATGTTAGAAGTATAAGAAAAAATTCTAGTAGTAGAATTTGAGGCAGGAGAGTGTCCCTTAGATCAGCTTCCTTAAACTGTGCTTTTCACTGGTTCTGCTTTTCATGGCATCTTCTTACCTTCAATTCTGAATAGACAGAATCTCTAAAAGCTTCAGTTTGTCTTTGGTTTATTTATTTATTTTTAATTTTTATCAGTCACCAGGAGTAAGATCAAGTCTTTGGTTTTTATGATGGCTTCTGTCTATGGCAGCAACTGTGCAGAGCACTGGTTAGGCAGTTATTTGTACAAAGATTGCGTGTAAGCTAATAATTGAACAATGTTATATTTGTGAATTTATTCAAGGTATTTTATTTTATTTCTTTATTTTTATTTATTTATTTTTAGAGACGGGGGTCTCGCTTTGTTGCCCAGGCTGGTCTTGAACTCCTGGGCTGAAGTGATCCTCCCGCCTTAGCCTCACAAAGTGCTGGGATTACAGGCGTGATTCACTGTGCCCAGCCTATTCAAGGTATTTTTGTTGATCTTGTAACAGTTATTCAAATTTATTCATATATGTGAATGTATAGTTTGCATTAATTTAATTGGCTTTCCTTTCTTTTTTCTTTTTTTCTGTTTTCTTCAAATAGGAAATTCCTTGATATTTTAAAGCATATCTGTGTATCTTGACCAAAGTATTGTGTGAAAAACATTTTTATTACAAAGATTTAGCTAACATTTTAAATATAATGAAAAAATATTTCCTCAAAATTGGGTTGGGGGATTGGCCTGAAAACTTACATCTCAACAAGAAGAGGTGTACAGTAAGAGCATAACAAATAAAATATCTTAATTTGATCACTTAAGATTTTCTTCTTTTTTTTTTAAATTTTTTTTGAGATGGAGTCTCACTCTGTCACCCAGGCCAGGAGTGCAGTGGCAGGCAGGAGTGCAGTGGTGCAATCTCAGCTCACTGCAACCTCCGCCTCCCAGGTTCAAGCGATTCTTCTGCCTCATCTTCCTGAGCAGCTGGGATTACAGGTCCACATCACCATGCCTGGCTAATTTTTGTATTTTTAGTAGAGATAGGGTTTCACCGTGTTGGCCAGGCTAGTCTCGATCTTCTGACCTCAGGTGATCCGCCCGCCTCGGCCTCCCAAAGTGCTGGGATTACAGTCATGAACTACTGCTCCCGGCCAAGATTTTCTTCTAAACTTATATTTATTCTATACATTTTTTTAATTGTTGCCTTACCTGTATATATTTTTTTAACTGATATTTGGGTAAAGAAGGTGGTTGGAAATAATTGCTCGGAAATTATTACTCTCTACAATAATTTTGAAAAGAGCCTAGGCATGGTGGTACACAACTGTAGTCCCAGCTACTTGAGAGGCTGAGGCAGGAGAATCACTTGAACCCGGGAGGCGAAGTTTGCAGTGAGCCAAGATTGTGCCACTGCACTCCAGCCTGGGCAACAGAGCGAGACTCTGTCAAAAAAAAAAAAAAAAAAGAAAAGAGCCTATTGAGTTTTAAACCCTCACTCCATATTATTTTCCATTTATCATTAATGTATATGGAGAGTTGAAATCAATGCATGCACAATTTTGTGATTTACTTTGACATTATTTCTTACATTCCTTTTTACTTAATTTAAATTTTTATTAATATATACACATATATTCTGTATATATTATATACATATACAGAATATATGTATACATATACATATATTCTATTGTGCTTAGGCAATAATAACAGTTTACTTAGGTCTCCTCTCATTGTTTAGATCATTTCGTATTTTCTCATTGTAGCTGTCATGATTGTTACTATCATTTTTTTTCTCCAGTTATTTCCTGTTCTTCCTACTTTGCGTGTTCCTTTAAAAGTATAGTCCTCAGAACGAAATTACTGGGTCAAAGCACTTGACTAGCTTTATAGCACTTGTTAAATAGTGTCAGATTGTTCTCTAGAACAGTTTTAAAGTGTCACTGGAGTTATTTAAGTTTAGGGGTTTCTCTGTGGCCTGGCCACATTGATTTTTATCGTTTTTATAAGGTATTTAGAATATAACGTTTCCTTAAAAATGTTTTAATAATCATTTATTCTGGTGGCCTATATTTATGTGAGTAATTTTATTATAATTATTTCTTGGTATATAATCTGTGCATCAGTTTTGACCACTTAGCCTGAAAACTTTGTAGATTTGTTCTATTTATTTGTATCAACTCTTTTCTTTTTCTTTTTTTCTTTTTTTTTTTTTTTTTTGAGACAACGTCTCACTCTATCACCCAGGCTTGGAGTGCAGTGGTGCAGTTGTGGCTCACTGCAGCCTTGACTTCCTGGGTTCAAATGATCCTCCCTTCTCACCTTCCTCAGTAGCTGAGACCACAGGCATGTGCCATCACACCTGGCTAATTTTTAAAATTTTTAAACAAAAATGAGGTCTCGTTCTGTTGTCCAGACTGGTATTGAACTCCTGTGCTCATGTGATCCTCCCATCTCAGCCTCCCAAAATGCTGGGATTACAAGCGTGAGCCACCATTGCCCAGCCCCGTATCAAATCTTTATAGATAATTCAGATTTATCACAGTTTTCCTCTTATATTGTCGTTCCTGATATAAGACTTTCTTATGCTTTATCATGCAAAAGTTTTTTTAATTAAAAATAATTTTTTGTTTTGGTAAGTTACACGTAAAATTCACCAAAATGTACAATTCAGTGGCATTTAGTGCATTCACAAAGTTGTACAAACTATCACCACTCTAGTTCCAGAATATTTTCATCACCCTGAAACAAAACTCTGTACTCTCCTACCCTCAGCACCTGGCAACCGCTAATTTGCTTTTTTCTCTCTGTCTATGGAGTCACCAATTCTGGATATTTCATATAAAAGGAATCATACGGCCAGGCGCGGTGGCTCATGCCTGTAATCTCAGTACTTTGGAAGGCTGAGGTGGGTGGATCACAAGGTCAGGAGATCGAGACCATCCTGGCCAACATGGTGAAATCCCATCTCTACTAAAAGTACAAAAATTAGGCCGGGCACGGTGACTCAAGCCTGTAATCCCAGCACTTTGGGAGGCTGAGGCGGGCAGATCACGAGGTCAGGAGTTTGAGACCATCCTGGCTAACATACTGAAACCCTGTCTCTACTAAAAATACAAAAAAATTAGCCGGGCGTGGTGGCGGGCGCCTGTAGTCCCAGCTACTTGGGAGGCTGAGGCAGGAGAATGGTGTGAACCCAGGAGGCAGAGCTTGCAGTGAGCCAAGATCGCGCCACTGCACTCCAGCCTGGGCGACAGAGCGAGACTCCATCTCAAAAAAAAAAAAATTAGCTGGGCGTGGTGGCGCATGCCTGTAATCCAAGCTACTTGGGAGGGTGAGGCAGGAGAATCACTTGAACCAGGGAGTTGGAGGTTGCAGTGAGCTGAGGTCACGCCACTGCACTCCAGCCTGGCAACAGAGCGAGACTGCATCTTAAAAAAAAAAAAAAAAATCATACAGTATGTGACCTTTTGTGTCTGGCTTCTTTTATTTAGCATAATTTTTCTGAAGTTCGACCATGCTGTAGCATGTAGCATCTATCAGTATTTTATTTCTTTTTATGGCTGGATAATATTCAGTTGTATGGATACATTTTGTTTATTCATCTGTTGATGTATATATGGGTTGTTTCTATATTTTGGCTATCGAATAGTGCTTCTATGAACATTTATGTACAAGTTTTTTTGAACATCTGTTTTTAATTCTTTGGGTATGTACCTAGATGTGAAACTGCTGAGTCATATGATAGTTCTATGTTTAGCTTTTTGAGGAACTGCCAAACCATTTTCCACAATAGCTGTACCATTTTACATTCCCACCAGCAACGTATAAGAGTTCCAATTTCTCCACATCCCCTCCCTCCCTCCCTTCCTCCCTCCCTCCCTCCCTTCCTCCCTTCCTTCCTTCCCCCCGCCACTTTCATTCATTCCTTCTACCATGTAGTACATATGAAGTGATGTTTCCTTGTGGTTTTTATTTGCATTTCACTAATGACATTGAGCACCTTTTCTGTGTACTTTCTGGCCATTTGTATATCATCTTTGGAGAATTGTTCTTTCAAGACCTTTGTCCTTTTTTAAAATTTACTTTTAGAGACAGAATCTAGCTTTGTCACCCAGGCCAGAGTGCAGTGGCACAGTCATAGCTCACTGCAGCCTCAAACTCCTAGGCTCAAGTAATCCTCCTGCCTCAGCCTCAGTAGTAGCTATGGCTACAGGCATACCCTACCATGTCTGGCTAGTGTATGTATTTATTTTTTAGCTTTTGTGGAGATGGGGTCTTGCTGTCTTGCCCTGGCTGGTCTCCAACTCCTGGCCTCAAACAATCCTCCCATCTTGGCCTCCCAAAAGCACTGGGATTATAGGTATGAGCCACTGGGCCTGGCCCTTTGCCCATTTTTATGTTGGGTTATTTGTCTTGGTTGTTGAGTTTTAAGAGGTTTTTGAAAAGGTATTCTGGTTACTAGACCCTAATCAGGTGTATGATTTGCAAATATTTTTGCACAGTCTATGGGTTGTCTTTTCATTCTTGATAGTGTCCTTTCATGCACGAAAGTTTTTAATTTTGATGAGGTCCAATTTATCTATTTTTTGTTTTTGTTCATACTTTGAGTATCATATCTAAGAAACCAGTGCCAAAATCATGGTAATGAAGATTTCCCCCTGTGTTTTCTTCTAAGACTTTCATAGGTTTAGCTGTTATATTTAGGTCTTTCATCCATTTAAAGTTAGTTTTTGTATATGGTTTGAGGTAAGGTCTAACATAATCCTTTTGTGTGTGGATACCAGTTGTCCCAGCAACATTTATTGAAAAGACTCTTCATTTCCCATTGAACAATCTTGGTATCCTTGTCAAAAATCTATTGACCACAGATATATGGGTTTATTTCTGAATTATAAGTTCTGTTACATTTATCTATATGTCTCTCCTTATGCCAGTATCATACTGTTTTCATTGCTATAACTTTGTAGTAAGTTTTGAAATTGTGAATTATGAGTCCTTCAACTTTGTTCATCTTTAAGATTATTTTAGCTCTTCATGATCCCTTGTAATTTTATTGTAGGATCTGCTTTTCCATTTCTACTAAAAAGGCAGCGATATTTTAAAAGGAATTGTGGCTAGGCACAGTAGCTCACACCTATAATTCCAGCATTTTGTGGGGCCAAGGCAGGAGGATCACATGAGGCCAGGAGTTCAAGACCAGCCTGGGCAACGTAGCAAGACCCTATCTCTAAAAAAAATTTAAAAATTAGCCAGGCATGGTGGCACAAGCCTGTAGCCTCTGCTACTGTGGATGCTGAGGTGGGAGGATTGCTTGAGCCCAGGAGTTCAAGGTTATGGTGAGCTATGATTGTTCCACTGCACTCCAGCTTGGGTGACAAAGTGAGCCCTGTCTCTGAAAAAATAAAATTAAAAAATTGGCCGAGTGCGGTGGCTCATGCCTGTAATCCCAGCACTTTGGGAGGCCGAGGCAGGCAGATCACTGGAGCCCAGGAGTTTGATACCAGCCTGGGCAACATGGCAAAACCCTGTCTCTACAAAAAATACAAAAACTACCCACATATGGTGGCATGCACCTGTAGTCCCCGTTACTTGGGAAGCTGAGGTGGGAGGATCACTTGAGCCCAGGAGGCAGAGGCTGCAGGGAGCTGAGATTCTGAGATTGTGCCATTGCATTCCAGATTGGGCAGCAGAGCAAGACCTTGTCTGGAAAAAAAAAAAAAAAAAAAAAGGAATTGCACTGAATCTGTAGATCACTTTGGAGAGCACTGCCATCTTAACAATATGAGGTCTTTCAATCCATAAATATGGGATGTCTTTCCATTTATTTAGGTCATCTTTAATTCCTTTCAGCAATGTTTTGTAGCTTTTAGTGCACAAGTCTTGTGCTGCCTTGGTTAAATTTATTCCTAAGCATTTTATTGTTTTGATGTCATTGTAAATCGAACTGTTTTCTTAATTTTCCTTTTAGACTTCTTGCTAGTGCATATAAATATGACTGATTTTTGGCCTGGCCTGATGGCTCATGCCTGTAATCCCAGCATTTTCGGAGACCGAGGTGGGTGGATCATCTGAGGTCAGGAGTTCGACACCAGCCTGGCCAACATGGTGAAACCCCATCTCTACTAAAATACAAAAATTAGCCGGGTGCAGTGGCAAATGCCTGTAATCCCAGCTACTTGGGAGGCTGAGACATGAAAATCGCTTGCACCAGGAGGTGGAGGTTGCAGTGAGCCAAGATCGCGATACTGTACTCCAGCCTGGGTGACAGAATGAGACACTCTCTCAAGGAAAAAAAAAAAAAGAAATAAGACTGATTTTTGTGTGTGTTGATCTTGTATCATGCAGCTTTATACAACTTGACACAAAAGGTCTTTATTTGTATATATTCAAGCATATTGATCTAGACTCTTATGATGATTTTCATTTCTCTTATAGAAGATCATTTCTTTTATAAAAATCATTTCTTTTATTCTATCTGGACATAAATATACTGTTCTTTTTTTTGTTTTTGAGACGGAGTCTTGCTCTGTTGGCCAGGCTGGAGTGCAGTGGCGCAATCTCAGCTGACTAGAACCTCTGCCTCCTGGGTTCAAGTGATTCTCCCACCTGGCCAATATGGTAAAACCCCATCTCTACTAAAAATACAAAAATTAGCTGGGCTTGTTGGTGCATGCCTGTAATTCCAGCTACTCGGGAGGCTGAGGCACAATAATCTTGAACCTGGGAGGCGGAGGTTGCAGTAAGCCAAGATTGCGCCACTGTACTCCAGCCTGGGCAACAGAGCAAGACCCTGTCTCAAAAAAAAAAAAAAAAAAATCGTTAGTATTCTTGTGTTTATTCAGCTTTGCTTTCCATAGAGTAAAAACTATTTAGTTATAAGAAAAATTTATTTTATTTTAGTTATTTAAGAGACAGGTGGCCTGGCACAGTGGCCCATGCCTGTAATCCTAACACTGGGAGGCCGAGGCAGATGGATCACTTGAGCCCAGGAGTTCAAGACCAGCCTAGGCAACATGGTGAAACCCCGTCTCTACAAAAGATACAAAAATTAGCTGGGCATGGAGGCGTGCTCCTGTAGCCCCACCTCCTTGGGTGGCTGAGTTAGCAGGATTCTTTAAGCCCAGGAGTTAGAGGCTGCAGTAAGCCATGATCGTGCCACTGCACTCCAGCCTGGGCAACAAAGCAAGACCTTGTCTCAAAAGAAAAAAAGAGAGAGGGAGAGAGACAGGGTCTTGCTGTGCTGCCGGGCTGGATTCAAACTCCTGGGCTCAAATCATCCTCCTGCCTTAGCCTCTTGAGTAGCTGGGATTTATAGGCATGCATCACTGAGCCCAATGAAAATTCATTTTTTTTTTTTTAGACGGAGTCTCGGTCTGTCGCCCGTGCTGGAGTGCAGTGGCGTGATCTTGGCTCACTGCAAGCTCCGCCTCCCGGGTTCACGCCATTCTCCTGCCTCAGCCTCCCAAGTAGCTGGGACTACAGACGCCTGCCACCACGCCCGGCTAATTTTTTGTATTTTTTTAGTAGAGACGGGGTTTCACTATGTTAGCCAGGATAGTCTTGATCTCCTGACCTCGTGATCTGCCTGCCTCGGCCTCCCAAAATGCTGAGATTACAGGCGTGAGCCACCACGTCCAGCTTGAAAATTCATTTTTAAGTACAGTTTTGCTTTATAGTTTTCTTCTTTTTTGACTTACAATTTTTTTCTTTCATTTAACACTTGTCAAATCATTATTTGTATCTAAATCATTATTCTCAAAAATTTCATTGTGGCCGGGCACAGTGGCACACGCCTGTAATCCCAGCACTTTTGGAGGCTGAGGCAGGTGGATCACTTGAGGCCAGGAGTTCGAGAGCAGCCTGGCCAACATGGCAGAACCCTGTCTCTACTGAAAATACAAAATTACCCAGGTGTGGTGGTACACGCCTGCAGTCTCAGCTACTCAGGAGGCTGAGTGGGAGGATTGCTTCAATCTGGGAAGCAGAGGTTGCAGTGAGCCATGATCACGCCACTGCACTCCAGCTTAGACAACAGAGTGAGACCCTGTCTCAAATAAATAAATAAGTAAATAAAAAATAAAAGCACTTGATACTCTGTAGGTACAAAATAACATGCTGTTAGAAAAAAGTTGAAAATTTTATTGAAAACACTATTAGAAAAGGAGGGGAAGTCCTTAGACTTTATATAGTTATCACCACAATTTTTGTTTTGTTTTGTTTTTTGAGACAGGGTCTCACTCTCTCACCCAGGTTGTACTGCATTAGCACGTTCATAGCTCACTACAACCTTGACCTCCTTGGGCTCAAGGGATCATCCTACCTCAGCCTCCTGAATAGCTGGGACTACAGGTGTGTGCCACCATGCCTGGCTAATTTTTGTATTTTTGCAGAGACAGTTTCACCATGTTGCTCAGGCTGGTTTCAAACTCCTGAGCTCAAGCAGTCCTCCCACCTCAGTGTCCCAAAGTGCTGGGACTACAGGCATGAGCCACCATTCCTGACCTCACTACAAATTTTTTGGCAGCTTTAACTTTAGTATTTTTGTTTTATAGCTTAATATATCATACTTATATTGATATATTTATAAAGAGCTGCATATTTTTGTAAATTTAATTTTGTATTACCACATCATGCAAAAGTGGCTAGAACATTTTGGGGTATATTTCACCATATTTGGAAGATGTATTTGGGTTAGTTTAATTTAAACTTTAGAATGTAGGCTATGTGGTGACACAAAATATAGTTTAGGGATACTTCAAAGAAACAGACATCTTCCAAAATAGTTGAAACTGAAAATCCAGGCGAGGCCTACATGTTTGCCAGCTAGGAGGGACATACCATTTGTATTTAGATGCTTTGAATAGAGATAAGAATTTACTTCAAATGTCAGCTCCCATATGGAAAGTCATGAGGGTGGTTACTCCAAACAGTAGGGAGTGATTGTTGATCAAATTGCTTCTCATATTGGCTTTTCTGTATAGCAGCAGGGTTTCATTTATTTAACAGTGGTTATTAATCATTCTCCCAAGGAACACTGGAGAGGCAAGCTAGTGTATCACAGAATACCTGATCTTCCTTTACATATAGAATTTTTTTTTTTTTTTTTGAGATGGAGTTTCACTCTTGTTGCCCAGGCTGGAGTGCAATGGCACGATCTCGGCTCACCCACCGCAACCTCCACCTCCCAGGTTCAAGTGATTCTCCTGCCTCAGCCTCCCAAGTAACTGGGATTACAGGCATGCACCACCACGCCCGGCTAATGTTATATTTTTAGTAGAGACGGGGTTTCTCCATGTTGGTCGGGCTGGTCTCGTACTCCTAACCTCAGGTGATCCGCCCGCCTCAGCCTCCCAAAGTGCTGGGATTACAGGCATGAGCCACCATGCTCAGCCCCCTTTTCTAAGGTCCCTCATCCCATTTATAAGAGTGGAGCCCTAATGGCCTAATCACCTCCCAAAGGCCCCATCTCTTAATATCACCACAGTAGGGATTAAGCTGCAACATGAATTTTGGAGAGGACACATTCAAACTGTGGCAATTATTAGTTACCTAAATTGGCTCATGAAGATTTGAAAACTTGAATAAACCAATAATCATTAAATAAGTTGAATAGGTATCAAAAGTTCCCCCCTTCCCTCAAAAGAGACTGGTAAAAGTTAATGAGAGTTTAGCTTGATTACTAATTCAGGGTCACTGTATGAAATCAAGCAAACCAAAAACTGGTTCTTTGAAAAGGCAAGTGAAATTGGAAAGACCAGCCAGGTGTGGTGGCTCACACCTGTAATCCCAGCACTTTGGGAGGCTGAGGCGGGCAGATCACGAGGTCGGGAGATCGAGACCATCCTGGCTAACACGGTGAAGCCCCGTCTCTACTAAAAAAAATACAAAAAATTAGCCGGTCGTGGTGGCGGGCGCCTGTAGTCCCAGCTACTTGGGAGGCTGAGGCAGGAGAATGGCGTGAACCCGGGAGGTGGAGGTTGCAGTGAGCCAAGATTGCGCCACTGTACTCCAGCCTGGGCGACAAAGTGAGACTCCATCTCAAAAAAAAAAAAAGAAATTGGAAAGATCGTCAGCACACATTAAGACAGGAAGAGATGACACAAATTCTCAATAACAAAAATGAAAAAAAAAGAACATCAATATAGATCCTACAAATAATATTAAAGGACACATGATAAGAGGTATTATTAATTTAATGCCAAAACATTTGCAAAGTTAGATGAAATGGCCAATGTCCTAGAAAAACACTTCTATACAAAACTGACAGAAAAAGATAGGGAAAATCTGAATAGTTCCATGTCTATTAACATATTGAATCTGTAAGTTAATATTTTGGTACCTAAATGGTTTCATTGATGAATTCTTTATTTTTTATTTATTTATTTATTTTTGAGATGGAGTTTTGCTCTTGTTGCCCAGGCTGGAGTGCAATGGCACAATCTCAGCTCACCGCAACCTCTGCCTCCCAGGTTCAAGCTATTCTCCTGCCTCAGCCTCCCGAGTAGCTGGGATTACAGGCACGTGCCACCATGCCCTGCTAATTTTGTATTTTTAGTAGAGACAGGGTTTCTCCATGTTGGTCAGGCTGGTCTTGAACTCCCAACCTCAGGTGATGCTCCTGGCTTGGCCTCCCAAAGTGCTGGGATTACAGGTGTGAGCCACCGCACCCAGCTGGTGAATTCTTTCAAACATGAAAGAATACAACCAATGTAACATAAACTTTCAGAGAATTGAAAAGGAAAAAAACACTCCCCAACCCATTTTATGAGACCAGCATAAGTTGGACAGCAAAACTAAGAATATTATGAGAAAGAAAAATTATAGCAGTTTCTCTTATTAATATAGATATAAAAATCCTAAACAAGGCCAGGCACGTAGCTCACGCCTGTAAATCCCAGCACTTTGGGAGGCCAAGGCAGGTGGATCACCTGAGGTCAGGAGTTTGAGACCAGCCTGGTCAACATGGTGAAACCCTGTCTCTACTAAAAATACAAAAATTAGCTGGGTGCGGTGGTGCGCACATATAGTACCAGCTACTTAGGAGGCTGAGGCTGGAGAATCGCTTGAACCCGGGAGGCGGAGGTTGCAGTGAGCCAAGATTGTGCCACTGCACTCCAGCCTGGTGACAAAGCGAGACTCGGTCTCAAAAAAAAAAAAAAAAATTCTGAACAAAACATTAGCAAGTCAAATCCAGAGATAGATAAAAATTATATACATGATGACCATGTTGGATTTAATCTGAAAATTCAAGATTGTTTAATATTTGAAAAGCGATCTATGTAATTTACCACATTAACAAAATATATGAGGAAAATCATCTCAAAAGATGTAAAGTGAGCATTTGAGGAAATTCATGCATTTATGATAAAACAACCAATTTTAAGCAAAGTAGGGTTAGAAAGTAATTTCCTTAACTCGATAGAGTATTTTAAGCATCCTATGACAAATATCAAATTTAATGATTAATTCTCAAAAACCTTCCCTTGAGATCTAGAAAAGGATACCCACCATCATCACTTCTATTCCGCTTTTCACTGTAGATTCTAATCAATGAAATAAAGCACAGAAAAGGAAATAAAGAGTATAGAGATTGGAAAGGAAGAAATATAACTGATAAGCTGATATTATTTGTAGACAATATGATTTTATATGTAGAAAACTCAAAACAATTTATAAACAAATGTATTTAGCAAAGTTATTACATGCAAGATTTATATACAAATTATATTTCTGTATATAGCAGCAGTAAACATAGTGAAACTTTTAAAAAGAAACTTTTTAATAGCATAAAAAGACATCAGATACCTTGAAAAGTTCTTACAAAGATTTACAAGAACCTCTATAAGCTACAAAATATTGTTCACAGAAATTAATTAATATATAAATAAATCCATATCCATGGATTGGAATGCTCAATGTTGTAATTATGTCAATTCCTCCCATATTAATCTAGAACTTCATTGCCATCCCAATTATAATCCCAGCAGAGTTTGGGGGTTTTGGGTGGAATCTGATAAGCTGACTCTAAAATGTGTATGGAAACTGCAAAGGAATAAGAATAGCCAAGACAATTTATAAAAGGAATAAAGTGTAAAGACTTCCACTATCAGATATGAAGATTTATTATAATGCTCTTTTTTTGTTTGTTTGTTTGTTTGTTTTGAGACACAGTCTCGCTGTATTGCCTAAGCTGGAATGCAGTGGCGTGATCTCAGCTCACTGCAGCCTCTGCCTCCCACATTCAAGCGTTTGTCGCCCAGGCTGGAGTGCAGTGGCGCAATCTTGGCTCACTGCAATCTCCACCTCACAGGTTCAAATGATTCTCCTCCCTCAGCCTCCTGAGTAGCTGAGATTACAGGTGCATGCCACAACACCCAGCTAGTTTTTGTATTTTTAGTTAGAGATGAGGTTTCACTATGTTGGCCAGGCTGGTCTCAAACTCCTGACCTCAAGTGATCCACCCGCCTCAGCCTCCCAAAGTGCTAGGATTACAGGCATGAGCCACCGTGCCCGACCTACTGTGCTATTTTATACAAGGGACTTTAACATCTGTGGATTTTGGTATCTGCTGGGGTCCTGGAACAAGTTCTCAGTGGATACTGAGGGAGGAACAACTCTATTCACCATAAATCACTTTGTAGGATAAATTGACCTCATCAGACTGGTACATAATGGCTCAGGCCTCAGGCATACAAAAACATTTATAAAGCAGAATATTTCATGGGCTCAGAGGTTATCTCTCAGAATCCAGCCAAGGGCCAGTCCTGAAAACAAAGCTTTCTTTGGAATGTACAGGGTTTGAGCAACCACGGAATACATTGCATCACAACAGGGGATACATTCTGAGAAAGGTGGTTTTTAGTTGATTTCATCATTGCGAACATCATAGAGTGTATCTACACAAATCTAGATAGTATAGGTTTGCCTTGGAAACGGGGAGATGGTAAGGTTGTTCAGATGCTGTTTGCCATAAATTCTAGCTACCATGCTTCTTTCATTTCCTTTATTTCTCTTTACCTTCCACAAGTCCAGTCCATCAGTGAATAGATTGCTTCCTGTGCCTACTATATGCAGGGCCTATATCCCTTGAGATAGAAATGTGGTCTTTTTGCCCTAATATGTTCCTGATAATGAAATCAATTCAAAAGCCAGTCAATAGTTTTCCTACAATTGTTTTGTGAAGAAAGCCTGCAGTAACATTTTTGTTACAGTTTGTACACCCCAACCTCCCACCTCTCATGATTATAACTCATATCTCAACAGATTATAAGTCATCACGTGTCATTTACCTTCAGGGTACTTGAAATAGTCACAACTCTAGGTATTAAATTGAATAATGCAAGATCAGTTGAATGTGTTAACTACCAAATGAATAAATGAAAGTGAATACTGCCAATAGATGAAGGCTAGAAAAAAGAGGCTGCCTTCCTTAAACTTTCCTTTTCATTCTCTCTAGGTTTATTGTAACTAGCTCTAATAGTTTCATTTTGCTTACAATAGTGGTAATATATTACATTAATGACATAAAAATATAAACTTTTTTTTTTTTTTGAGACGGAGTCTCGCTCTGTTGCCCAGGCCAGAGTGCAGTGGTGCAATCTTGGCTCACTGCAACCTCCACCTCCCAGGTTCACGCCATTCTTCTGCCTCAGCCTCTCCAAGGAGCTGGGACTACAGGCGCCCGCCACCACGCCCGGCTAATTTTTTTTTTTTTTTTCTGTTTTTAGTAGAGACAGGGTTTCACTGTGGTCTCGATTTCCTGACCTCGTGATCCGCCCGCCTCAGCCTCCCAAAGTGCTGGTATTACAAGCGTGAGCCACTGCGCCCGGCCAAAATATAAACTTTTAAAAATAAAATAGTTGAGAAATTGAAACCCGTAAACGAACATCAGACTAATGCAGCAAAAGTGACTCATCTTGGTGTTTCCTTTGACTTATAGTACAGAATTAAAATATACGGCCTAGTTTTTCTTGATTGAAATACCCTCTTGTGATTAAGAAATGTTATTCTCTTATTTTCTACTGGTTTTTTTTTTTGAACGTGTTTCTATTTTATTTTACCAACAATTTAAAACTATCTTTAGGGCCGGGTGCGGTGGCTAATGCCTGTAATTCTAGCACTTTGGGAGGCCAAGGCGGGCGAATCACAAGGTCAAAAGATCAAGACCATCCTGGCCAACATGATGAAACCCCGTCTCTCCTAAAAATGCAAAAATCAGCTGGGTGTGGTGGTACGCGCCTGTAGTCCCACCTACTCAGGAGGCTGAGGCAGGAGAATCGCTTGAACCCAGGAGGCAGAAGTTGCAGTGAGCTGAGATCACGCTACTGCACTCCAGCCTGGCGATAGAACAAGACTCCGTCTCAAAAATATAATAAAATAAAATAAAAAATAAAGCTATCTTTATTTACCAAAGATTGCCAAATTCATATGAACTTGAAAAGCATGCAGGCTAGTTATTTAATTTATAAGTGTTCATTTATTTATAGGTCAGTGATACCATGTAGACAATATACAAACATACATGTATACCTGTACACATAATACAGACAGACAAAAGTAAAGACTTTATAACTTTATTTTAAAATTTTAGCCATGAGGCCAGGTGTGGTGGCTCATGACTGTAATCCCAGCACTTTGGGAGGCCGAGGTGGGCAGATCATTTGAAGTCAGGAGTTCGAGACCAGCCTGGCCAACATGGCGAAACCCCGTCTCTACTAAAAATGCAAAAAAAATTACATGGGTGTTGTGGTAAACCCCTGTAATCCCAGCTACTGGAGAGGCTGAGGCAGAAGAATCACTTGAACCCAGGAAATGGAGGTTGTGGTGAGCCGAGATTGCAACACTGCACTCCAGCCTGGGCAACAGAGTGAGACTCCATCAAAAAAAAAAATTTTTTTTTAATAAAACATAAAATTTTAGCCACGAGAAATGGCTACATTTGCTTTCTCATTTAACATTTGCTTTCTCATACCTTCCCAATAAAACTCACTAGTTTAAAAGGATAGTTGTATTCAAACTATGCCTTTGTAAATGGAAAAGGTTAAAGTTTATCTATTCCACATGACCAAAGCCCTTACTCATTTTTTTCTCTACTAGTTTCTGAAGTTTGTAGTCTGATATTTGAGATGTCTTACAGAATGTCTAGCATTCTGTTTGAAGTTTTATTGTGTTGTTTAGCGTGAATTGAAAAGCGCGTTAAATGCCTAATTAGGTGATGTGGAGCATATGAAGTTAGACCATGTGGTATATGAATTAAAGTAAAATGTATGAAAAATTACTTCATATACATGCCATACATGCTTATTACATATTTAATAGACTTTAGCTCACTTAGCCCAGAAAAGGAATTTAAATATGGAAAATAATCTGTTACAATTTTTCAAACTTGATACAACTCAAAGACTTTCAATAGCTAGTGGGTGTGTTGTTTCTTTGTGTTCTCATGTTTAAACTATTGGGATGAAGCTATATTGTTGCTGATAATCAAATCATTTTCAGCTGGCCACCAGAGTGAAAATAATATTCAAGCGCACAATTGAATTTTGCAACAATATAAGGAAATCTAGGATCCAAAGTAAATATAATTACTTTATTACTCCCCTAGCTGGGCACAGATTTAACAGTTTTGTTACGGAGCAGCAGAACTGTATTAAAGGTTGTAAAAAGTTGAAATGCCTCAGAGATGAAGTCTACTATTTAATTCCTGTTAATACACATCATAGGCCAGGTGTGGTGGCTCACCCCTGGAATCCCAGCACTTTGGGAGGCCGAGGCAGGCCGATCACGAGGTCAGGAGATCAAGATCATCCTGGCTAACACGGTGAAACCCCATCTCTACTAAAAATACAAAAAATTAGCCGGGCTTGGTGGTGGGCGCCTGTAGTCCCAGCTACTCAGGAGGCTGAGGCAGGAGAATGGCATGAACCTGGGAGGCGGAGCTTGCAGTGAGCTGAGATCGCACCACTGCACTCCAGCCTGGGTGACAGAGCGAGACTCCGTCTCAAAAAAAAAAAAAAAAAAAAAAAACAAAACCACACACACACACACACACACACATCATAGATTTATACCATCAAATGATAACTTTGCCCTCATTACTTCTTTTTTCTCTTCTTAAATATTGTCATTCCCCAAGATCACTTCTTTGACTTATAGCTGTTTTCTGTAAATATTTATTTCCTAAAATTATATTCTGATAGTTTAACCAATCACCTTGAAATTTATGAGTTTTAAATCTACATGTTTAGCCCTCACTTTGCACCTACATTCTAGATCCATATAGCTATGTGTCTATAAAACATTTTCATCTGGATGTCATACTGTAGTTCCAAATTCAGTTTATCTAAAGCAACATTTGCTTTCTCATACCTTCCCAATTTGGGATATAGGTAGCATTAATTATAGTTTCCAGGCTAGGATTTGGAATCATCCTTTGACTCTTTCTGCTCCATTATGACATATATTCATTTTGTCATTTTCAAATGTATCTGATTCATCAGTTTCTAACATTTCCTCTGTCTTCCTAGTGTAAGTCCTCATAGCTTCTTACCTAAATAGATACTGGAGATACTGTAGGGCATAAGGCAGATCAGATTTCAGTTCTCAGGGAGCTTAAAAGAAATCTTGACTACTGGTTATTGCCTCCTACATAATGTTCAAACTCACTCTATCAAAAGGAAGCCAACTGAAGCCATGTTCAGTTGTCTCCATGTTCAGATGTTACTTTCTAGAGCAGTGTGCAATAGCACACGTACTATCACTTCCTAATTTGTTTACTTATCTGTTTTCCTTACTAAGTTATAGGAGATGAAGATAGGATGTTATTTTTGCTTTCTGTTTTTATTTTTGAGGCAGAGTCTCATCCTGTCACCCAGGCTGGAATGCAGTGGTATGATCATAGCTTACTGCAGCCTTAAACTCCTAGGCTGAAGCCTCCTGAGTAGCTGAGACTACAGGTGTGTGCCACCATGCCCAACTGTAGATTTATGATTTATTTTTGTATCACAGTGCATAGTGCAATACCTATCACATACATCAGTGAACCATGGATGGATGAAAGCATTGTAGATACTTCCATTATACTTTGTCATTGGATTTAAACAGTGACCACAAGTGAATATAGGAGATTCTATATACTTTGTCATTGGATTTAAACAATGAACACAAGTGAATATAGGAGCCTTTTTTTTTTTTTTTTTTTTTTTTGAGACAAGAGTTTCACTCTTGTTGCCCAGGCTGGAGTGCAAATAGAGCAATCTCAGCTCACTGCAACCTCCACCTCCCGGGTTCAAGCGATTCTCCTGCCACAGCCTCCCAAGTAGCTGGGATTACAGCCACCCACCACCACAGCCAGCTAATTTTTTGTATTTTTAATAAAGATGGGGTTTCTCCATGTTGGCCAGGCTGGTCTCAAACTCCTTACCTCTGGTGATCCACCCACCTCGGCCTCCCAAAATTCTGGGATTACAGGCGTGAGCCACCATGCCTGGCCCCGTAATTATCTGTAATTTGCTTGTTCAAACTTACTCTAACTTTCTCATATAAATCCAGTCAAATTAATCTCTTTACTATCTTCTAAATACCCCATCTTTGTTCTTACCTGTTCTTTCAGTGCTTCTTTCTTTCCCTGTCATAGTCTAATATAATTGTCTTCTTTTTGAACTTTCCCTTTTCTCACATTGACATGTGGCTCTTAAATGTTGAATAATTTAGCAGTCCCTTATATTGATCAGTATTATGCATTTTTGTCTGTACCGTTATATTCATTCAATGTTTAATGCAAAGTTTGTCTGATCTCCTTAACTTGATTGGCAACTCTGTGTAAGTTGGTTCTGTGTTTTTCAACTTTTGTTGTCTGTGAAATGTTGGAAGCCCAGTATTAAAGGTTAGCTATAAATATTTCTCCAAACGTGATAATTCTGTATATATAATAGCACAGATCACTGTTTAACAAAGGGCAATTGTGTCATTATTCATTCTTGTTGATATTTTTATTATCTGAGTATCTATGTAATTATAGTATTAAAATTTTGACTTAATTTAGGCTAGTCAGATCATCAAACACCTAAAAAAAGGAAATTTTAAATTGTTCTGTTGGAATATTATAACAGGTACAAGTGGGACATTTCTTTATTCCATGTCTGACAATATTAGTAAATGATATATATTTTTTAGTACCTTGTCTTAGCCTAATGTTTTGAGTCTTCTGTATTTCATAACTCTGATTTAAAAATGAAGGCCGAGCGTGGTGTCTCACGCCTGTAATCCCAGCACTTTGGGAGGCCGAGGCGGGCGGATCACCTGAGGTCAGGAGTTCAAGACCAGCCTGGCCAACATGGTGAAATCCCGTCTGTACTAAAAACACAAAAATTAGCCGGGCATGGTGGTAGGCGCCTGTAATCCCAGCTACTCAGGAGGCTGAAGCAGGAGAATTGCTTGAACCCAGGAGGTGGAGGTTGCAGTGAGCTGATATCAGGCCACTGCACTCCAGCCACTCAGTCTCAAAAAGAAAAAAAAAAAAAGAAAATATAGATTTCTGTAAATCTCTTTTTACTGCCTATATTGACATCATTTATTTTATTATTCAAAAAGAAAGATAATAAAGCCCATCAAAATGCTTGATTTATAATTAGGAGACACTGTTTTCTTACAAATAGCCTACCTATTCTCTTGTATGTTTCTTTTCTCTAACTCTATTTCATCAACTTTTCTATTTATTTATTTATTTATATATTGTACATATCCAAGCTTATACTAGAATAGTTTTAAGATGAATTCATGCTCTTTTTCTTGGCCCCAGTTACTCCAGTTACTTCAGTCTCCTGTTGTCCCCACACCCTCCCTTCTTTTTTTTTTCTTTGAGACAGAGTTTGGCTTTTGTTGCCCAGGCTGGAGTGCAATGGTGCAATCTCAGTGAGCCGCAACCTCCGCCTCCCGGGTTCCAGTGATTCTCCTGCCTCAGCCTCCCAAGTAGCTGGATTACAGGCATGCGCCACCATGCCTGCCTAATTTTGTATTTTTAGTAGACACAGGGTTTCTCCATGTTGGTCAGGCTGGTCTTGAACTCCCAACCTCAGGCCATCTGCCCGCCTTGCCGCCTTTTTTTTTTTTTTTTTTTTTTTTTTTAGTCTTGCTCTGTCACCCAGGCTGGAGTACAGTGGCGCAATCTCAGCTCCCTGCAAGCTCTGCCTCCTGGGTTCACACCATTCTCCTGCCTCAGCCTCCCGAGTAGCTGGGACTACAGGCGCCTGCCACCACACCGGGCTAATTTTTTGTATTTTTAGTAGAGATGGGGTTTCACCATGTTAGCCAGGATGGTCTTGATCTCCTGACCTTCTGATCGCCCGCCTTGGCCTCCCAAAGTGCTGGGATTACGGGCGTGAGCCACCACGCCTGGCCACACCCGCCCTTCTTTAAAAGCCTCTGTAAGTGCAATTTGTTCTTTAACGATTTTTCCTGATGGACTCTTTACCCAACAATTAGAAATACATTGGCTTGATGATGTGATGAACCATCTGTAGAATTGACCAGTACCCCCAGAATTCTATTTGTACTTAACCTTTCTTTCCAAGCAAAGGAAGCTGTTTATTTTTTTTCCTGAGTGTTCCATTGCAATGTAAATTTTATTTATTTATTTATCTATGTATTTATCTTCAGAGATAGAGTCTTGCTGTTGCGTAGGCTGGGGTGCAGTGGCACAATCTTAGCTCACTATAACCTCAAACTCCTGACCTCAAATGATCCTCCTGCATTAGCCTCCCAAGTAGATGAGACTACAGACCCCTGGCTAATTTTTTTTTTTTTTAAGAGACGAGGTCTCACTCTGTCACCCAGGCTGAAGTACAGTGGCAATATCCTAACTCACTGTAGCCTTGGACTCCTGGGCTTAAGCAATCCTTCTACCTCAGCCTCCTGAGTATCTGAGACTATAGGTGTGGACCACCATACCCAGCTAATTTTTGTATTTTTTGTAGAGATGTTACCCAGGCTGGTCTCAAACTCCTGGGCGTAAGCAGTCCTCCCACCTTGGCCTCCCAAAGTACTGCTATGACAGGCATATGCCACTGCACCCAGCCTGCAATATAAATTTTTGAAATATATTTTTAAAAATTTAGACCTATCACAGAAAGTTGTTAAATTTCTAAGTCTTAAAGTCTTGCATTATTAGGAAGTTAATTTTATGGATTAAAATAAATCTACTTTTATGCTAAGTTAAACTTAATGTCTAAATATAGTTTTAGTTGTATTGCATTTCTAAATCAGATCCTAGTGTGCCTAACATTTTTATTTTCAATGTCTAATTGTTGAATAGTTTTCTACAGTAGGTATTATGTCTATTTATCTTCTTGATTTCTTTTTTTTTTTTTTTTTGAGATGGAGTCTCACTTTTGTCACTCAGGCTGGAGTGCAATGGTGTGATCTCGGATCACTACAACCTCTGCCTCCCGGGCTCAAGCAATTCTCCTGCCTCAGCCTCCTGTGTAGCTGGGATTACAGGCATCTGCCACCACGCCTGGCTAATTTCTGTATTTTTAATAGAGATGGGGTTTCACCATGTTTGCCGGGCTGGTCTCGAACTACTGACCTCAGGTGATCTGCCCACCTCGGCCTCCCAAAGTGCTGGGATTACAGGTGTGAGCCACTGCACCAGGCCTGTCTTCTTCATTTCTAATGGTTATGAATGTGTATAATATACTGGCCTGTTATAGGTCAGTTTTCTTAAGATTCCATTGTCTTTTTAAAAATCTGTCTTAGGAAATGAGAAGAGATACACCAGAATTACTTGGGATTTTTTTTTTTTAAACCACTAGGGATTCTGATGGCTTACCTTCTTTGTCATCCCTTTTTGGAAATCCAAAATGCACACCACCATACCCAGTTAATTTTTGTATTTTTTGTAGAGAAAGGGTTTTACCATGTTTCCCAGGCTGGTCTCAAACTCTTGAGCTCAAGCAATCCACCTACCTCAGCCTCCCAAAGTTCTGGGATTACAAGTGTGGGCCACTGCACCAGGCCTAGATTTTCAAATTTTAAATATGTATCATATCTAGTAATAAAATAATTTATTCTCCTAAAGTGTTAATTTAGTCATACTTATATTAGAGAAGTCATTGGTTATTAGGAAAACATTCCTAAAAATGGTGCCCATTTCTTTAAGAAATCATTCAAATTTTAAGTGGCAAGCACTAAAATTAACACAAAAGAGAAATTCTTAATAAAAATTACATATTTTCAGAGTCTTCCCTCTTATATACTTTTGTCTTGGATAACCTTCACAAAATGTATCCTTTTATATCCAGTACCCCAAAAGTTGCCAGCTTTCACTTGTTTACTTTCTGGTCTGCCTTCCGTATAGATTCCTTCTTTTCTTCTCTCTTTACTCTTGAATTAATCCTCTACCTACTTCACAGGCCGATTCTTTGATGAAAATGAATCCCCTGTTGATCCGCAGCATGGCTCTAAACTGGCGGATTATAATGGGGATGATGGTAACGTAGGTGAGTATGAGGCAGACAAGCAGGCTGAGCTGGCTTACAATGAGGAAGAAGATGGTGATGGTGGAGAGGAAGACGTCCAAGGTGAGCGTGGGCCTGGCCTCCATGCTATAACCATGAAACCCACCTCTAAGTTTTTTGGTTGAATTTGTGTAGAATTTCCCCCACTTATTAGTGGCAGTGTAACCTAAATTTTTTGTTTTTTCTTTGTGACGGAATTTCGCTTTTGTTGCCCAGGCTGGAGTCCAATGGTGCGATCTTGGCTCACCGCAACCTCCACCTCCCGGGTTCAAGCGATTCTCCTGCCTCAGCCTCCCAAGTAGCTGGGATTACAGGCATGCACCACCACGCCTGGCTAATTTTGTATATTTAGTAGAGACGGGGTTTCTCCATGTTGGTCAGGCTGGTCTCAAACTCCCGACCTCAGGTGATCTGCTCACCTCAGGCTCCCAAAGTGCTGGGATTACAGGCATGAGCCACTGCGCCCAGCCAACCTCAGTATTAATACAAAGAGGTTCTGTGGAGTTTTTCAGTTTTATTTTGAAAACTTTTATAATAGTGGAATTTGTAAATCTGTAAATTATTTTAATTTTTAAAAATTTTGGTTATCTTATGTGTATTATTGATACAGCTATGATTTAAAACTTAGAATCTTCAGAAATTTTAGAATTAAATTGTTTAAAATGACTCTAGACTTTACCTAAGGCAAATGCTTCTAGAAAATACACTTTTCCAATTTCTCATCTAAAAACATTTTGTTATTTCAGGTACAAATATTGCCCAGGTAGCTTTTTCGTTATAAGGAAAGCCACAAAGGGAATGGTTTTCTCCACACTGAAGATAAGATTATTTCACCACTGACATAGCAGAGGAAGGCTATTTTTGAATTTTTTCTGAGAGGCTTAAAATTTATATTTAACAATCAATATGTGAAGAGTTTTTTTTATATTTATTACACAGATTCAACATATTTTTCTTATTCACTGTGTTACTTCTGCTGAGCATTTAACTTAGTGAAAGTTCAGAATCTACCTGTGTGCATGCAGCCCTACCCATGCATGCATATCAGAGTGTTTTACTCTATTACAAGTTTTTAGGCTAGTTTTCTGCCTGCTTATATTGTTTAGTAGTATTTGTGGAGCTATTTCTCTTTTCTATAAAAGTTGATTGTGACCTTAGTGTGTGATACATTACATTTTTATGTGATACATGGAAATTTTTCATCATAACATGCTTTGATTTCTTCCTTAGCTGTTTTTAAAGTAATTAAATTTTTATTTAGGCTCATGACAAGCATTGTTTTTATAAAACCCAGAAGAAAATGTAGTTGTTCTAGAAAATTATATGGTTTGTAGAAAAAAGGGAAACTAGAGACTGACTTTTACCTAGGCACTGTTTTCATAGTTCATTTTAGTTTAGGAAAATTATGATTATTGGGGATAGAAAAGAGATTCATATGTGCTAGGAGTTATATAAGGTTATATTTATAAGAATTTTTCAAACACTTTTTGGTAATATTGATATTGATATAAATATAACCTTACAATATTATGTACTTTTTCTATAATCTCATCCTTTTTTCATAAATTTTATCATTTTTTCTCATTGCTTTTGTGATTTGTTTGGATTATATTTATTTGCAATTATTTATAACGTTTTAAGGCTTTTTCATGCATGTATATCATATCACCAATTAGATTGTAAGCTCTTGGAGGGCAGGAATTTTTATTTATTTTGCCTTCCATTTTGTTTGTATCCTTTTCTACCTTTATACCCACCCCCCACAGTACTTTGCACATCACCCACCCGCCACAGTACTTTGCACATTGTCTTTAACTGATAATTGCATGCTTTTCTCGTTGAGCATTTATTCTTATAACTGTGACTAGGGTAATAACTCTTTAACTTCTGGTATTACAAGGTTGCTTGGTTTACACTTTCAATATTCTCTAATTTTTGTAAGGGCTTTTTCATCTCATTGGATAATTTTGAGGTTTTTATTATAGTGGTTTATCTCAATCTTTGTTGTCAATCATTTCTTATATCTTAAAGGTGATAATTGTCAGAAAATTTTGATTTAATATTTGTATGGATTTCAATCTATTGTAAGTAGATTTATTTTCAGTGCCTTCTCTCTCCCTTTCTTGTACTCTTCTCCTTCTTCCTCCCCTGGTTCTTACTGCCACCTTCTACTTCAAGTCCCCAAGACCCTCATGTTGCCCTCCCATTCCTTTCACAAGAAAATAAATTCACCGATACTAAGGAATATAAGGAAATGACAAAAGATGATGTCCTCAGTGAAGTAGAGAAGGGGCTGTTACATTTTTGGATTTCCCTATTTGCAAGTTAATCTTACGTGAGCTGAGTGTTGCCATTTAACATTTCTTGTCTCATTCTGGCATTCTCTAGATGATAGTGGCAGGATAGGGCACCTACAAAGGGGACCAAGAACAAAAAGATGCAGGAACATCAGCTCCAACAAATAAAGAGGGATAAGTTTGGGTGAACTGACTAAAAAGGAATACTGAGGAGACCTAAATAATTGTTAACATGTTTCCAGGGATCCTTTTTTTTAATTGAGACAGAGTCTTGCTCTGTCACCCAGGCTGAAGCTGAATCTTCCTGTTGTAGAGTTGATTTTTGTGTGTTTTTTTGCTTTTTTTTTTGAGACGGAGTCTCACTCTGTCTCACCCAGGCTAGAGTGCAGTGGTGCGATCTCAGCTCACTGCAACCTCTGCTTCCTAGGTTCAAGCGATTCTCCTGCCTCAGCCTCCTGAGTAGCTGAGACTACAGCCGTGCACCACCACGTCCAGCTAAGTTTTGTATTTTTAGTAGAGATGGGGGTTTCACCATGTTGGTCAGGCTGGCCTCGAACTCCTGACCTCAAGTGATCCACCCGCCTCAGCCTCCCAAAGTGCTGGGATTACAGGCATGAGCCACCACACCTGGCCATCCAGGGATTCTTTAGGTATATTATTAACTGTCCAAAAAGTAGGGAGAGGTAATTATGGCTGTTCCCTAATTTATCAACAAGTTGGATTCCAAATGTTCATTACTGTGCCAATGTGGAAGTAATGGTTGGGTTCCCAGTATGGTTTGCACTTGTAGCCAAAGCAGGCAGAACATAGAGTAGAAAAAAACATTAGTCAGCCAGGCGCAGTGGCTCACACCTGTAATCCCAGAACTTTGGGAGGCCAAGGCAGGCGGATCACCTGAGGTCAGGATTTCGAGACCAGCCTGGCCAACCTCTCTACTAAAAAATACAAAAATTAGCTGGGTGTGGTGGCAGGCGCCTGTAGTCCCAGCTACTTGGGAGGCTGAGGCAGGAGAATTGCTTGAACCCGGGAGGCAGACGTGTGGTAAGCCGAGATTGCACCATTGCACTCCAGCCTAGGTAGCAGAACGAGACTCTGTCTCAAAAAAAGAAAGAAAAAAAGAAAAAAACATTAGTCTAGAATCAAGAGATAGTCTGTGTATTGCTTTTCAAGTCACTTAAACTCTCTGGGCCACAATTTCTTCATCTGTATGAAGACTGCTGAATTAGAATAAATGATCTTTCTCAGTTTTAAAATTCTGTGGCCACATTCAAGTTGGAATCATTATATATAACACAAGTATTATGAGAAAATATGTTTCAGATTTCAGGATGTCTGAAACAGATCTATTCCCAAATCCATGAAAGAAAGTAGAAACTTTATTGCCACTATTGTGACTCTACAGTGAAAGATAACAAAAAATGAAGCACACACTTAATGCTCAATCAATAGGGGCTCTTCTCTGCTCTCTAGTAGTAGGAGTAGTTTCTTAAGTTGTGAGGTCCCTAGGATTAGAGATTCCAGCTGCAGGATAAGATTCTGGCTTCACCTAAATATACTTTGGCTTTGGTCTCCAAAATTGTGTATTATGAATTGAGGCTTTGGCAGCATATCTGCCAGTAGGGAGCTGAAGCATTCCAGCCTTTTATCTGATACCTGTTCATTTCATATTAATCATTGGGGTCAGCACTACTTGTAGAGTGTTTTGTAGAATTGAGGCCTATTTTTCCTGTGTTTACAATTATTTATATATGTAAGTATATATATAAATTATATATAAACAATATATAAAATATATTCTATTTTAATAAAAATGTTTGCATATTTATAATATATTTATATAGATATATAAATGGTTATATATTTATAATATATTTCTATTATATATTTATAACATATTTCTATTATATATATTTATATTTATATTATATATTTAATATATTTATATTATAATTTATGATATATTTATATTATATATTTATATATATATATTTTTTGGAGACAGGGTGTCCCTCTGTCACCCAGGCTGGAGTGCAGTGGCATGATCATGGCTTACTGCAGCCTCGACCTCCTGGGGTCAAGTGATCCTCCCACCTCAGCCTCCTGAGTATCTGGGACTACAGGCATGCACCACCACGGCTGGCTAGTTTTTTGTATTTTTTGTAGTGGCAGGATTTAGCCATGTTTCCCATGTTTCCCAGGCTGGTCTTAAACTCCTGGACTCAAGCAATCAGGCCACCTCGGTCTCCCAAAGTGTTCGGATTATAGGCATGAGCCGCTGCACCTGGCTCCTCACTGGCTTTTTGCCCCGAATTCTTGCTTTTTTTTTAAATTTTTTTTATTTTCTAAGATGGGGTCTTGCTATATTGCCCAGGCTGGTTTCAAACTCCTGAGCTCAAGCTATCCACTTCCCTCAGCCTCCCAAAGTGTTGGGATCACAGGCGTGAGCCACTGCACCCAGGCGATAGAGCTTTCTTTCTTTTATCTTTTTTTTTTTTTTTTGTCGCCCAGGCTGGAGTACAATGGCGTAATCTCAGCTCACTGCAACCTCCCCCTCCCAGGTTCAAGCAATTCTCTTGCCTCAGCTTCCTGAGTAGCTGGGATTACAGGCGTCCACCATCACGTCCAGCTGATTTTTGTATTTTTACAAGAGACAGGGTTTCACCATGTTGGCCAGGCTGGTCTTGAACTCCTGACCTCATGATCTGCCCGCCTCAGCCTCCCAAAGTGCTGGGATTACGGCGTGAGCAACCACACCCAGCCATGGTAGCGCTTTCTTTAATGGAGGTGGCCTTTCTTGACTTCAGAGGGAATTTAGGAATTATTTAATAAACTATGGATATCTTTAAAATATTCCTTTAATATTCATTTTACCTTGATGAACTATTTAAAATTTTGCTGCTTCCTAAAAGGAACTAAAATATTAGTTCTTATAATTATATTTAGTGGTTATCTGTTATTCTACATTAGATTTGGTTAGGTGATTTCATAATCATGTACTACTGCTTTACAGATAAATGCAAAGAGGTTGTTGGTAGAAACTTGAATTCTGGGTAGAATAGCTACACTGAATATGAACTCCAGTTAATTTAAAAGTCCTATGAAATTCTGAAAACAATGTGAAGATACCATATTAAAACTTTGCTAACAGGTATAAATTAACAAAAAAATACTTCATATTTATTGAGGACATTGCAAGTAATGACTGCCTTCATGTATATTATTTTGAGGTAGGAAACACAGTTGTTATCTCTATTTTCCTGAGAAGATAATTACAGGTCCAAATAATTTTAGGAACTAGATCATGTTTGTTAAGTACGTGAGCTGGGAGTACATTTGTTTTTCTGTTCCTAGACATTTGCTCTTATCCTGATTTCGCTTTTTATTTGTTCACTTAAAAATTCCAAAAAGGGCCAGGCGCGGTGGTTCACTCCTGTAATCCCAGCATTTTGGGAGGCCAAGGAGGGCAGATCACACCCTCCTGGCTAAGATGGTGAAACCCCGTCTCTACTAAAAATACAAAAAAAATTCAGCCCGGAGTGGCGGCGGGAGCCTGTAGTCCCAGCTACTGGGGAGCCTGAGGCAGGAGAATGGTGTGAACCTAGGAGGCGGAGCTTGCAGTGAGCCGAGATCGCCTACTGCACTCCAGCCTGGGCAACAGAGCGAGACTACGTCTCAAAACAAACAAGCAAACAAACAAATCCCAAAAAGGACGGGCACGGTGGCTCATGCCTGTAATCCCAGCACTTTGGGAGGCTGAGGCAGCTGGATCACGAGGTCAGGAGATCGAGACCATCTTGGCTAACAAGGTGAAACCCCATCTCTACTCTCTACTAAAAATACAAAAAATTAGCCGGGCGTGATGGCGGGCACCCGTAGTCCCAGCTACTCGGGAGGCTGAGGCAGGAGAATGGCGTGAACCCGGGAGGCAGAGCTTGCAGTGAGCCAAGATCGCGCCACTGCACTCCAGCTTGAGCGACAGAGCAAGACTCCGTCTCAAAAAAAAAAAGCCCAAAAAGTGGCTGGGCGCGGTGGGTCATGCCTGTAATCTAGCACTTTGGGAGGCCGAGGCGGGTGGATCGCCTGAGGTCAGGAGTTCGAGACCAGTCTGGCCAACATGGGGAAAACCTGTTTCTACTAAAAATACAAAAAAATTAGCTGGGCGTGATGGCGGGCCCCTGTAATCTCAGCAACTCGGGAGGCTGCGGCAGGAGAATTGCTGGAACCTGGGAGGCGGAGGTTGCAGTGAGCCGAGATCTCGCCATTGCACTAACAGGCTCGGCTACAACAGCAAGACCCTCTCTCTCAAAAAAAAAAAAAAAAAAAAAAAAAAAAAAAAAATGCTGGGCGCTGTGCCTCACGCCTGTAATACCAGCACTTTGGGAGGCCGAGCCAGGTGTATCACGAGGTCAGGAGTTCGAGACCAGCCTAACCAACATGGTAAAACCCCGTCTCTACTAAAAAAAAAAAAAATACAAAAATTATCCGGGCATGGTGGCGCACGCCTGTAATCCCAGCTACTCAAGAGGCTGAGGCAGGAGAATCGCTTGAACCCGGGAGGCGGAGGTTGCAATGAGCCGAATTCGTGCCACTGCACTCCAGCCTGGGCAACAGAGCAAGACTTCGTCTAAAAAAAAAAAAAAAAAATCCCAAAAAGTAAAGACACCTTTTCCTTTCAATAACTTTCCTATTAAATTTCTAGAAAATTATCCACTGCTACATGATGATTAAGTCTTATCTTAATTTAATCATTATATTAAAGTCCTAAAAGATGTGTTTATAGCCATAAGGTGAGGTTCTATAATGTGGATCCTAAGGAGAGCTTTCTGGAGAGGTACCCGTGATTATTTTCCCTTTTAAAAACAAAGATAGGCTGGGCGCGGTGTCTCATGCCTGTAATCCCAGCACTTTGGGAGGCCGAGGCGGGCGGATTACGAGGTCAGAAGTTCGAGACCATCCTGGCTAACACGGTGAAACCCCGTCTCTACTAAAAAAATACAAAAAAATTAGCTGGGCGTGGTGGCGGGCGCCTGTACTCGGGAGGCTGAGGCAGGAGAATGGCGCGAACCTGGGAGGCGGAGCTTGCAGTGAGCTGAGATCGCGCCACTGCGCTCCAGCCTGGGCGACCCAGTGAGACTCCGTCTCAAAAATATATACATAATTTTTTTTAAGTAAAGAGTTCATTGATAATTGATTAGCATGTATATAAAGTAAAAGTGTGAAATGGATATAATTTCAGGCTTTAACACATATTAAGACAGATTTGGGATTATCATACCTAGTGGATTATACTATTTAAAGATAGATCATTTGTTAAGAATATGGGGTAGGCTGGGTGCAGTGGTCACAGCTGTAATTCCAGCACTTCGGGAGGCTAAGGTGGGCAGATCGCTTGAACCCAGGAGTTAAAGGCCAGCCTGGGCAACATGGTGAAACCCTGTCTCTACAAAAAAAAAAAAAAGGAAAAATTAGCTGGGCATGTGGTGTGTGCCTGTAGTCCTAGCTACTCAGAAAGTTGAAGTGGGAGGATCCCTTGAGCCCTGGGAAGTTGAGGCTGCAGTGAGCCGAGATTGTGCCACTGTACTCCAACCTGAGTGATGGGACTGAGACCCTGTATCAAAAAAAAAAAAAAAAAAAAGGTGCAAAATGGTTACCTGAAATTCTAGAAATGAAAATTTCTGTAAGTTTAACAGGAAAGTTGTTGAAAAAGAAAGTTGGTTTGTTTGACTTTTTTTTTTTTTTTTTTTTTTTTTTGAGATAGGGTTTAACTCTGTTACCCAGGCTGGAGTGCAGTGGTGTGATCTCTGCTTACTGCAACCTCCACCTCCCAGGCTCAAGCAATCCTCCTACCTCAGCCTCCTGAGTAGCTGGGACTACAGGTACACACAACCATGCCTGGCTAAATTTTGTATTTTTAGTAGAGACTGGGTTTCAGCATGTTGCCCAGGCTGGTCTCAAACTCCTGAGCTCAAGTGATCTGCCTGCCTCTGCCTCCCAAAGTGCTGGGATTGCAAGCTTGGACAACCATGCCTGGCCTGTTTTGCATTTTTGAAAGAAGAAAGTTTTAGAGTGTTAAAACCTCTCATACCTAAAGTAATAGTTTTTAGAAAACTATAGTATACATATGAATTTAGATTCCAATGTATGACTTTCTTTAAATTATATTAACAAAAATTAAGCTATTGGGTAATAGTATGTGACCCAGAATGTAAGAAAAGTGATTTTTTAAGTCTGCAGAGAAGCCAAAAGATATCATAAAAATCCATGTACTCTACGCCAGGCGCGGTGGCTTATGCCTGTAATCCCAGTACTTTGGGTGGCTGAGGCAGGTAGATCACAAGGCCAGGAGTTTGAGACCGGCCTGGCCAACATGGTGAAACTAAAAATACAAAAATTAGCTGGGTGCGGTGGCAAGCGCCTTTAGTCCCAGCCACTCAGGAGGCTGAGGCAGGAGATTCCCTTGAACCCAGGAGACAGAGGTTGCATTGAGCTGAGATCATGCAACTGCACTCCAGCCTGGGCGACAGAATGAGACTGCATCTCAAAAAAAAAAAAAAAAAAAATCCATGTACTCCAAAGGGACTCTCCAAGGCTCTCATCAAAATACTTTTCATTCTTGTTCTAATATAATTTTAATACTCTTGGCTGAGGCCGGTGGATCACTTGAGCCCAGGAGTTCCAGACTAGCCTGGGCAAATGGCAAAACCCTGTCTTTACAAAAAATACAAAATGTAGCCTGGTGTGGTGGCGTGCACCTGTGGTCCCAGCTACCTGGGAGGTTGAGGTGGGAGGATTACTTGAGGCCGGGAGGTTGAGACTGCAAGTGAGCCATGATAATACCACTACACTTGAGCCTGGCCAACAGAGCAAGATTCTGTCTCAGAAAAACAAACAAACAAACAAACAAAAAAACCTCTTCAGCAGTCTCATTTCAAAACCTGTAATTTGCAGCAAAATTAGAAAAGAAGGATTGCTATTGGCAGGTAAATTGACAAGAAGGCAAAGTGATCACAACTCATAGCCAAGAAAGAGCCAGAAAAATCTGTAATAGCCAAATAAATCAAACTCCATAGCACTATTTGGAGTAATTTAATACAGCCACTCAAAGAGGCTTTGAGGATTTTAGTAACAGTAATCTTTTTTTTCTGTTTAGTTAAGAAAAGGTTAAACTTTGGTTGTTATACCCCATTTAGGAAGCCAAGAGGAAGCTACTTTTGCAGAGACGTAAAGAAATTCACTAAAATGTTAAATGTTGGGATTATGAGTGACTTTTATTTTTCTGTCTTTTATAATTTTAAAAATACTAATATTGGATACTTTTATAATTTAGAAAAAAAAATTGATGTTTAAAAGCCTGAAAATGTGTACAGAAATGTTTCTACCAAAGCTTTAATTTAAAGGACTAAATATCATCTATATAGAAATAATATATTTAGGCTGGGCACTGTGGCTCACGCCTGTAATCCCAGCACTTTAGGAGGCCGAGGTGGGCAGATCACCTGAGGTGAAGAGTTTGAGACCAGCCTGGCCAACATGGTAAAACCCCGTCTCTACTAAAAATACAGAAATTAGCCAGGCATGGTGACAGGTGCCTGTAGTGCCAGCTACTTGGGAGGCTGAGGTAGGAGAATCGCTTGATCCTGGGAGACAGAGGTTGCAGTGAGCCAAGATCGCACCACTGCACTCCAGCCTAGGCAACGGAGTGAGAGTCGGTCTCAAAAAAAAAAAAAAGACTACATTTATATAAAAATATTAACTCCTCAATATTTGTGCGTTCCTAAAGTTTTACTAGTTATGTCTATCTGGCTCTATTTCTGTTTGTCTGTCATCTATGTCTATTTTCTAAAGATTTGTTAAAATTAATCTTGCAAAATAGTTCCACATACTTTTCACTCTTTAGCCAAGCAACTAAGAAATAGAACACTATTTGTACTAGGTGTAAAATAACAAGCAGGAAACTACCTTAAGGCTATGAAAAACTGAGACATTAATTGGATTTCTGCAGTGATTTAAAAAATAATATGTTGATACAAAATTATTTTACTTACAGATGATGAAGAACGAGAGCTTCAAATGGATCCTGCAGACTATGGAAAGCAACATTTCAATGATGTCCTTTAAGTCCTAAAGGAATGCTTCAGAAAACCTAAAGTGCTGTAAAATGAAATCATTCTACTTTGTCCTTTCTGACTTTTGTTGTAAAGACGAATTGTATCAGTTGTAAAGATACATTGAGATAGAATTAAGGAAAAACTTTAATGAAGGAATGTACCCATGTACATATGTGAACTTTTTCATATTGTATTATCAAGGTATAGACTTTTTTGGTTATGATACAGTTAAGCCAAAAACAGCTAATCTTTGCATCTAAAGCAAACTAATGTATATTTCACATTTTATTGAGCCGACTTATTTCCACAAATAGATAAACAGGACAAAATAGTTGTACAGGTTATATGTGGCATAGCATAACCACAGTAAGAACAGAACAGATATTCAGCAGAAAACTTTTTATACTCTAATTCTTTTTTTTTTTTTTTTTGAGACAGAGTTTTAGTCTTGTTTCCCAGGCTGGAGTGCAATGGCACAATCTTGGCTCACTGCAACCTCCGCCTCCTGGGTTCAGGCAATTTTCCTGCCTCAGCCTCCCAAGTAGCTGGGATTACAGGCACCCACCACCATGCCCAGCTAATTTTTGTATTTTTAATAGAGAGCTAATAATTGTATATTTAATAAAGACGGGTTTCACCATGTTGGCCAGGCTGGTCTTGAACTCCTGACCTCAGGTGATCCTCCTGCATTGGCCTCCCAAAGTGCTGGAATTCCAGGCATGAGCCACTGCGCCCAGTCTACACACTAATTCTTGTTAGCCCAACAGCTGTTCTGTTCTATCTACCCCTCATTTCACGCTCAAGGAGTCATACCTAGAATAGTTACACACAAGAGGGAAACTGGAAGCCAAACACTGTACAGTATTGTGTAGAAAGTCACCTCCCTACTCCTTTTATTTTACATGAGTGCTGATGTGTTTTGGCAGATGAGCTTTCAGCTGAGGCCTGATGGAAATTGAGATAACCTGCAAAGACATAACAGTATTTATGAGTTATATCTTAGTTCTTGAAATTGTGGAATGCATGATTGACAATATATTTTTAATTTTTATTTTTTCAAGTAATACCAGTACTGTTTAACTATAGCCAGAACTGGCTAAAATTTTTATATTTTCAGAGTTGAAGTTGGTGAAGACATTCATGATTTAAACACCAGATCCTGAAAGGGGTTAAATCTACTTTGAAATGAATCTGCAATCAGTATTTCAAAGCTTTTCTGGTAATTTTAGTGATCTTATTTGATTAGACTTTTTCAGAAGTACTAAATAAGGAATTTTAACAGGTTTTTATTAATGCACAGATAAATAGAAGTACAGTGAGGTCTATAGCCATTTTATTAAAATAGCTTAAAAGTTTGTAAAAAAATGAATCTTTGTAATTACTTAATATGTTAGTTAAGAACCCGTCAAGCTTATATTTGCTAGACTTACAAATTATTTTAAATGCATTTATCTTTTTTGACACTATTCAGTGGAATGTGTAAGCTAGCTAATTCTTGTTTTCTGATTTAAAGCACTTTTAAATCTTATCCTGCCCCCTAAAAACAAAAGGTTTTGATCACAAGGGGAAATTTAAGATTGTTAACCCTGTTTTTCAGAAGGGCTACTGTTAATTGCACATAAACATGAAATGTGTTTTCCCCTGTGTACTAACACATTCTAGGCAAAATTCAAACTTATAGTGGTAAAGAAACAGGTTGTTCACTTGCTGAGGTGCAAAAATTCTTAAGACTTCTGTTTGAAATTGCTCAATGACTAGGAAAAGATGTAGTAGTTTACTAAAATTGTTTTTCTACCATATCAAATTAAACAATTCATGCCTTTATAGGGTCAGGCCTACAATGAATAGGTATGGTGGTTTCACAGAATTTTAAAATAGAGTTAAAGGGAAGTGATGTACATTTCGGGGGCATTAGGGTAGGGAGATGAATCAAAAAATACCCCTAGTAATGCTTTATATTTTAATACTGCAAAAGCTTTACAAATGGAAACCATGCAATTACCTGCCTTAGTTCTTTTGTCATAAAAACAATCACTTGGTTGGTTGTATTGTAGCTATTACTTATACAGCAACATTTCTTCAATTAGCAGTCTAGACATTTTATAAACAGAAATCTTGGACCAATTGATAATATTTCTGACTGTATTAATATTTTAGTGCTATAAAATACTATGTGAATCTCTTAAAAATCTGACATTTTACAGTCTGTATTAGACATACTGTTTTTATAATGTTTTACTTCTGCCTTAAGATTTAGGTTTTTTAAATGTATTTTTGCCCTGAATTAAGTGTTAATTTGATGGAAACTCTGCTTTTAAAATCATCATTTACTGGGTTCTAATAAATTAAAAATTAAACTTGTTTCACTGTTTTGCTGATTCTAATACATACACAAACATCACACCCATGATGTAAATACATTTTAACACTAAAATCTGAGTAAGTTTAGCACTCATTTTAAGTTAAGCTAAACTAAAAAACCAAATTTTTTTTTTTGAAACGGAGTCTCACTCTGTTGCCCAGGCTGGAGTGCAGTGGCGCATCTCAGCTCACTGCAACTTCTGTCTCCCGGATTCAAGCAATTCTCCTGCCTCAGCCTCCCAAGTAGCTGGGATTACAGGCACGTGCCACCACACCTGGCTAATTTTTGTATTTTTGGTAGAGACAGGGTTTCACCATGTTGGCCAGGCTGGTCTCAAACTCCTGACCTCAGGTGATCCACCTGCCTTGACCTCCCAAAGTGCTGGGATTACAGGCATGAGCTACCATACCCGTCCTGAAAACCAAATATTTTTACACCAGGGCTCTTTACTGTAGGTCTAGTTTATTCAACAAATATTGAATGCCTATTATGTGCCCAGCATTGTTCTAGGTATTAAGATAAGTGGATAAGATAGACAAGGTCTCTGTTCGCATGGAGCGTACATTCAAGTGGGGGCAGTCAGACAATACACAAGTAAACAAATGAACAAGACAACTTTAAATAGTGTTAAAGAGCTATTAAAAATAAAAGTCCTGGCTGGGCGCAGTGGCTCACTCCTATAATCCCAGCACTTTGGGAGGCTGAGGCGGGCAGATCACCAGGTCAAGAGTTCGAGACCAGCCTGACCAACATGGTGAAACCGTGTCTCTACTAAAAAGACAAAAATTAGCTGGAGGTGGTGGCGTGCGCCTGTAATCCCAGCTACTCAGGAGGCTGAGGCAGGAGAATCGCTTGAACCCGGGAGGCGAAGGTCACAGTAAGCCAAGATCACCACTGCACTCCAGCCTGGGTGACAGAGCAAGACTCTGTCTCAAATAAATCAATGAATGAATGAATGTTCTAAGGGTCCAAACAATTAGATTTTACTGAACTAAAACATTACAGTTATTTGGCTGGAATGGAATATGCAAGGGAGAGAGAAATGAGGCTGAAGAAGTATGGAGGGGTCAAGATAGGGAGAGCCTTGTAAGTTTAGGTATTGCTACTGACCCATAAATAAAATGAAGCAAATATACATGGAAAGATGATTTTAGAAGAAAAGTGAATATGACTTCAAAATCATTTCTAAAATATGACACAGTTTGAAGAAATCTTAAGATTGTGTCTTTTGGGCTTCTCATTCCTGTAATCATGTAACAACAAAATTTGCTTGAATATGAGGACAGAGAATTTGTTTTTAAAAAAAGCAACAACAAGACAGGTGTGGTGGCTCACGCCTGTAATCCCAGCACTTTGGGAGGCTGAGGCAGGCGGATCACAAGGTCAGGAGTTCGAGACCAGCCTGGCCAACATGGTGAAACCCTGTCTCTATTAAAAAAACACAAAAATTAGCCGGGCTTGGTGGCGTGCGCCTGTAATCCCAGCTACTTGGGAGGCTGAGGCAGGAGAATCGCTTGAACCCAGGAGGCGGAGGTTGCAGTGAGCCAAGATCGAGCCACTGCACTCCAGCCTGGGCGACAGAGCTAGACTCCGTCTCAGAAAAAAAGCAACAACATACTTACGAGGAAGTGTATTAGACTGTTTTCACACTGCTATAAAGGTACTACCTGAGACTCGGTAATTTATACAGGAAAGAGGTTTAATGACTCACAGTTCCGCATGGCTGGGGAGGCCTCAGGAAACTTACAGTCATGGCAGAAGGCAAAAGGGAAGCAAGGCACATTTTACATGGTGGCAGGAGAGAAAGTGTGCACACAGGAAACTGCCATTTTTAAAACCATTGGATCTTGTGAGAACTCACTCACTATCACGAGAACAGCATGGGGGAAACCCTCGCCATTAACCAGTCACCTCTCACCAGGTCCCTGCCTCTACACAGGAGGATTACAATTCGAGATGAGATTTGGGTGGGGACACAGAGCCAAACTGTATCAGGAAGGTAGTCACTTTCCATAATGGGGCTGACCTTAGAAACACCTATTCTCTCATGTGCGGCATATGGTTTCAATGGGACAGTGTGTCATTAATACATTTTCAGTCTAGGTTATAGAGTTTTCACATCACATGTGGGCCATCGACATTCAGTTCTAATTTTTTTGTTTTGTTTTGTTTTGTTTTGTTTTGAAACGGAGTCTAGCTCTGTCACCAGGCTGGAGTGCAGTGGTGCGATCTCGGCTCACTGCAACCTCTGCCTCCCGGGTTCAAGCGATTCTCATGCCTCAGCCTCCCGAGTAGCTGGGACTACAGGCATGTGCCACCACGCCCAGCTAATTTTTGTATTTTTAGTAGAGACGGGGTTTCACCATGTTGGCCAGGATGGTCTCAATCTCTTGACCTCGTGATCCACCTCGGCCTCCCAAAGCGCTGGGATTACAGGCATGAGCCACCGCACCCTACCCAGTTTCTTTTAAAACTCTCTTCACTAAGAGTTCCAAGTGAAAATTCAACCAACTAACCCAGAAAAAGGGGGGAAATGTAATGGTTCATGTAAGAAAAGTGCATAAAGAATAGGAATCCCCTGGACTTAAAGACAACTGAAACAAGGACTGGAATGCTGCCAGGACTTTGTTTCACCAACTCCCATTTCTACTTCCCTCTACTTACTACCTTGTCTCAAACTAGCTCCCTCCTCAAAGTTCTAACTGTGGCTTCTAACAGATCATATTTTCTTAGTTTTGCTACCTGGGAGGGGCTTCTCCTCTTCCCTTAGTTTCACTTCAAAAATCTGAGGGAGGCCAGGCACAGTGGCTCGTGCCTGTAATCCCAGCACTTTGAGAGGCCAAGGTGGACAGATTCCTTAAGCCCAGGAGTTCAAGACCAACTTGGGCATCATGGTGAAACTCTTGTCTCTACAAAAAATACAAAAATTAGCCAGGTATATGCCTGTAGTGGTGTATGCCTATAGTTCCAGCTGTCTGGGATGCTGAGGTGGGAGGACACTTGAGCCCAGGAGGTCAAGGCTGCAGTGAGCCATGACCATACTACTCTATTCCAACCTGGGTGACAGAGTGAGACTCTGACTAAAGAAAAAAGTCTGAGGTAAGGAAAGGGAGACTTCTGCTTCTGGCTATGTTGGAGTAACTTGACTAGCCCTCTTGGATTAGTAGCACCTATAAAACTCGACAAGATGTATTAGGCAACTATTTCCATCCAGCACAAGACTACTATCCCTGAGAGAAGGGAAACTTAGGCAGTGAGCCCCACAATCATTCCACTTTTTGTGGTGTAAAGAGGCTGGGAGTAAGAGCAGAGGACAGTGGGTCTGCTGAACTGAGAAGGCAGAGATCATAGGGAGCAGCTGAGACATTTGGAATCTGTTGGGTGGGACACCAGAGAATAGGGAGCTGTTCACAGAGGCAGCCCCAGAAATCCATATAGAGGTCCCCACAAGTCCATGGCCAAGGACTGGGCTATACATGCTCAGAAAAAAGACCATCTAATGCTTACAGATAGCGGTTGCTACAGGGCTGAGAACAGAATAGAGATACCAGAGGCCAAGAAGTTTTGGCACAAAAGCAGTGCTAAGGGACATTGGATTTCTGGGCCTGCCAAGGTGAACATCTTTAACAATTGCAGCAACAGGCTGAGCGGGTGGCTCATGCCTGTAATCCCAACACTGGGAGGCCAAGGCAGGTGGATCACCTGAGGTCGGGAGTTTGAGACCAGCCTGGCCAACATGGCGAAACCCCATCTCTACTAAAAAAAACACAAAAATTAGCTGGGTGTGGTGGCACATGCCTGTAATTCCAGCTACTCGGGAGGCTGAGGCACGAGAATCGCTTGAACCCAGGAGGCAGAGGTTGCAGTGAGCCAAGATCATGCCCTGTACTTCAGCCTGGGCAACAGAGGGAAACTCTGTCTCAAAAAAAAAAAAAAAATTGCAGCAACAGCTGAAACATTAGAAAGGCTGCACATTAGGAGTAAACTCCATCCCCTACAGTAAGACCTACTCTAGATCTGCCTTATCAAAGCCTAAAGTCAAGCCTTGACAAGATTAGCAGGGGAAACAGAGTATGGAGCTTGTGTCCTGCCAACGTAGGGCTTGCAAGTCTCCTTAGGCTTTCCATAGATGTGAACTAACAAAGTATAAATAAAACCAAGCATCAACAAGTTTAGGTGACCACTCAGTAACTGAAGTGCCTGCTAAAACAAGAATCATCACTTTTCAGGGAAGATAACAGAATCTAGAGTCTCTAAAACATTATTATTCATAATGTCCAGTGTTCCCGAAAAAATGACTAGACCTACAAAGAGACGAGAAAATGTGGTCCATAGTTTTTTAAAATTGGGGTGGACTTTGTTATTTGTTTTGTTTTGGAGACAGTCTTTTCTTTTTTCTTTTTTTTTTTTTTTGAGATGGAGTCTCACTCTGTCACCCAGGCTGGAGTGCAGTGGCTCGATCTCTGCTCACTGCAAGCTCTGCCTCCCGGGTTCACACCATTCTCCTGCCTCAGCCTCCCGAGTAGCTGGAACTACAGGCGCCCACCACTACGCCCGGCTAATTTTTTGTATTTTTAGTAGAGATGGGGTTTCACCGTGTTAGCCAGGATGGTCTCGATCTCCTGACCTCATGATCTGCCCGCCTCGGCCTCCCAAAGTGCTGGGATTACAGGTGTGAGCCATCGCACCCGGCCTGGAGACAGTCTTGCTCTGTCGCCCAGGAGGGAGTGCAGTGGCACGACCTTGGCTCACTGCAACCTCCACCTCCCAGGTTTAAGCAATTCTCGTGCCTCATCCTCCTGAGTAGCTGGGAAGGACTACAGGCACGCAACACCACACCCAGCTAATTTTTGTGTATTTTAGTGGAGACAGGGTTTCACCACGTTGCCCAGGCTGGTCTTGAATTCCTGAGCTCAGGCAATCCACCCGTCTCGGCTTCCCAAAGTGCTAGGACTACAGGCATGAATCACTGCACCCAGCCTTTATTGTATTTGTTAATGGAGCTATTATAAATATGTTTAAAGAATTAAATGAAAATATGTTAATGAAAGAACAGATAGGGAATCTCAGCACAGACACGGAAATTATAAAAATCCTAATGAGATTCTAGAACTGCAAAGAACAATAACTGAAATGAAAAATTCATCAGATGGGTTTAATAGCAGATTGGAGATGGCAGAAAAATGAACTTGAAGACATACAAAGTAACATGTCCAAGTATTTGGAAACACAGGGTTGACATGTTGAGAGACTCAGAAATTTGAATTTTTGATTTATTCGTCAAAATTAACGTACAGCCCTTAAGACACTATCCATCCAACTCTCTAACACGGGATTTTATCATGGCAGAACAATGACCATTCTGCAACTATGTATTGAATACCTAATACGTGTACAGAACTGTTCAGAGTACTGGGGATACAGCCGTGACAAAATCCCCGCTTTCATGGAACTACATATTAGAGGGAGAGACAAAATTATTTTATATGCTTATTATATGACCAGTAGTGATAAATGCTGAGAAAAAGAAGCCAGAATAAAGTGAGTAATAGGCCGGTAGGCCAGGCCCGGTGGCTCAGGCCTGTAATCCCAGCACTTTGGGAGGCCGAGTTGGGCGGATCATGAGGTCAGGAGTACGAGACCAGCCTGACCAACATGGTGAAACCCCATCTCTACTAAAAATACAAAAAAATTAGCCGAGCGTGGTGGCATGCGCCTATAATCTCAGCTACTCGCTGAGGCAGGAGAATAGCTTGAACCTGGGAGGCAGAGGTTGCAGTGAGCCCAGATCGCGCCATTGCACTCCAGCCTCGGCGACAGAGTGAGACTCTGTCTCAAAAATAAATAAATAAATAAATAATAGGCCAGCCCGGTGGCTCATGCCTGTAATGCCAGCACTTTGGGAGGCCGAGTCAGGCAAATCACCTGAGGTCAGAAGTGCGAGACCAGCCTGGCCAACATGGTGAAACCCCATCTCTGCTAAAAATACAAAAATAGCAGGGCATGGTGGCATGTGCCTGTAGTCCCAGCTACTCAGGAGGCTGAGGCAGGAGAATCACTTGAACCCTGGAGGCAGAGGTTGCAGTGAGCTGAGATCACACCAGTGCACTCCAGCCTGGGCAACAGAGCAAGACTCAGCCTCAAAAATCAAAAACAAACAAAAAATAAAATGAATAGTGATGGAGGGGTGCTATTTTAGATAGGACGATCAGGGAAGGCCTTTCTGAAGAGGTGGTGGTAAAACATGCAATGTAAATATCCTGTATAGCACTATTCAATTGAAATATTGAAACCACCTATATATTTTTAAATTTTCTAGTAGCCACATTTTTTTTTTTTTTTGAGACAGAGTCCCGCTCTGTCGCCCAGGCTGGAGGGCAGTGGCACGATCTCGGCTCACTGCAAGCTCTGCCTCCCGAGTTCACGCCATTCTCCTGCCTCAGCCTCCCAAGTAGCTGGGACTACAGGCGCCCGCCACCATGCCCGGCTAATTTTTTGCATTTTTTAGTAGAGATGGGGTTTCACCATGTTAGCCAGGATGGTCTCGATCTCCTGACCTTGTGATCCACCCACCTCGGCCTCCCAAAGTGCTGGGATTACAGGCGTGAGCCACGGTGCCCGGCCCACATTTTTTAAAAAAAGGGTGAGATTTTGATATTTTACTTAACCAATATACGCAACATGTATTAAATACAGAATACTATTAATGAGATTTTTTTTTTTTTGAGATGGAGTTTCGCTCTTCCACCCAGGCTGGAGTGTCGTGGAGCGATCTCGGCTCACTGCAACCTCCACCTTCTGATTTCAAGTGATTCTCTTGCCTCAGCCTCCCCAGTAGCTGGGATTACAGGCGCCCGCCACCATGCCCAGCTCATTTTTGTATTTTTGGGGTTTCATCATGTTGGCCAGGCTGGTCTCGATCTCATGACCTCACGAACTGCCTGCCTCGGCCTCCCAAAGTGCTGGGATTACAGGCATGAGCCACTGCGCCCGGCCATGAGGCAGAGGTTGCAGTGAGCCAAGATTGAGCCATTCCAGCCTGGGCGACAAGAGCAAGACTCTGTATTTAAAAATAAAAACAAAAACAAAAATTAGCCAGGGGTGGTAGTGCACGCCTGTAATCCCAGCTACCTGGGAGGCTGAGGCAGGTGAATCACTTGAACCCAGGAGGTGGAGGTTGCAATGAGCCGAGATTGTGCCACTGCACTCCAGCCTGGGCAATAGAGCAAGACTCTGTCTCAAAAAAAAAACAAAACAAAAAACTGGCTGCTGTGTTGAAAAGATTGAAGGGGTTCAAGAGTGAAACAGAAAGACTTTAAAGGCTGTTATAGCATTCCAAGTTAAAGATGATGGTTATTGAACTAGAGAAGCAGTTGAGGTGATGAGAAGGGTTTCGATTCAGAATTGATTTTGAAAGTTTATTGTACTTTAAAATTGGACATTGGGTATGAGAAAGAAAAACTGCATTCAGTAAGGCAGAGAATACTTAAGGAGGTGCAGGTTTGAGAGAAAATTAAAAATTTAGTTTTGACCACATTAAGTTTCAGATGACCATTGCCATCAAGTAATTGCAACAGTGGAGCAAAATAACAGTTCTGGTATTTCAATATTTAATATATTACTGCCTTACTGAGTTGCAATAAGTGACAAAAACATATACATCATAGAATTAACATAAGAATGAACTGTGAAGAACAAATGCCTTATATTTCAGGTAAAAGGTAAATATATTCCATATACTCTGGAATAAGGACCTACTGAAAGACTGCTGAGGATTTGAGGTATTTGTATTACATTACTTTTTTTTTTTTTTTTTTTTCTGAGACAGAGTCTTGCCCGGTTTCCCAGGCTGGAGTGCAATGGCCTGATCTCGGCTCACTGCAACCTCCGCCTCCCAAGTTCAAGGGATTCTCCTGCCTCAGCCTCCCAAGTAGCTGGGATTACAGGCGCGTGCCACCACACCCAGCTAATTTTTTGCATCCTTAGTAGAGACGAGGTTTCACCATGTTGGCCAGGCTGTTCTCGAACTCCTGACTTCGTGATCCACCCACCTCTGCCTCCCAAAGTGCTGGGATTACAGGCGTGAGCCACCGTGCCCAGCCTACATTTTTTTTTTTTTTTTTTTTTGAGATGGAATCTCATTCTGTCCCCCAGGCTGGAGTGCAGTAGCATTATCTTGGCCCGCTGCAACATCTACCTCCCGGGTTCAAGCAATTCTCCTGACTCAGACTCCTGAGTAGCTGAGATTACAGGCACGTGCCACCATAACCAGCTAATTTTTGTATTTTTAGTACATATGGGGTTTCGCCATGTTGGCCAGGCTGGTCTCAACTCCTGACCTCATGTGATCTGCCCACCTTGGCCTCCCAAAGTGTTGGGATTACAGGCGTGAGCCACCGCGCCTGACCCTATTACATTACTTAATGAACACTCTACTTCATTAGTGTCTTCATATAGCAGTAGTTTTGAATAGTTTAAAAAGCATTCAAGCTGGGTATGGTGGCATGTGCCTGTAGTTCCAGCTACTCAGGAGGCTGAGGTGAGAGGATCACTTGAGCCCAAGAGTTTGAGTCCAGCCTGGGCCGCCTGGGCAATATAGCAAGACTCCACCTCTTAAAAAAAAAAAAAAAAAAAAAACAGAAAGCAAAAATACCTGCTACTAGCTTTTTGCATTAATTACACTTTTTTCCTGTGGCCACTGCTTTACATTTAAAAATACTTCATACTTTTTTAAGTTCATATTTTTAGACCATTATTTTATTCTAAAATTTTGGACTAGATTGTTACGGAAGCTTCAAGACATTAACTACTACCATTTAAGGTAGTAGTTAACTACTACCTACTAAGTAGTTAATTACTACTTTAAGTAGTAATTAACTACTACCATTTAAGGAGCAAGGAAAGCATCTTGCTAAGTGCTTTCGTAAATAATCTAATTTGATCTTCACAACAATTCACTTAGATATTGCAGAAAAGGAGGCTAGGAGAGAGACCATGGGATATAAATTAAGGTAAAAAGCAGAACATAACAATTATCCCTTGTGAAAAAATGGTGTTAAAATGTTAAAAATTGCAAATGGACTTAGGCTTACTATCAGCAACCTTTCTAAACTTATTTTTTTTTTAATAGAGATAAGGTCTCACTATGTTGCCAAGGCTGGTCTTGAACCTGAGATACAATGATCCTCCCACCTCACCCTACCAAAGTGCTGTGATTATGGCCTGGCCCTAAACTTACCAAATGTAACAATGGTAATAATATTGCCATAAGAGGTGGTATAATGAGCAGAATAGGGGCTTGAGTCTCTATTATATTTCTTACTAGATGATTGTGACTGTCTTTGGATATGGCATGTTTTTCTTCTTTTTTCAAATTTCAGTGTCTTCAACTGAAAGGCAGGGAACAAATACCACCTATTTTACCTACCTCATAGGGTTGTTAGAGAATCAAAATGCATATAAAAGTGCTCTTTGGAAATAGCGTATTTTACTTAAGTTTTAGGAACGTGAAGGTTTGAAATAACGATTTCTTGGAAATTTTTTCCCCCAGAAATATTTCTAATTTTTACCTGATTTAAAAATAACTTTATTAGCCAGTCCTCGGTACTGGGAGGCTGAGGTGGGAGGATCACTTGAGCCCAGGTGTTTAAGGATGCAGTGAGTTATGATCATGCCACTGCACTCAAGCCAGGGGTACAGAGGAAGTCCTTGTCTCTAAACAAAAAGCAAAACAAAACTTTAGGGGCTGTGTGCAGTAGCTCAGGCCCGTAATCCCAGCACTTTGGGAGGCCAAGGCAGGAAGATGGCTTGAACCATGGATTTTGAGGTTGCAATGAGCTTTAATTACTTCAGCCTGGGGAATGGAGTGAGACCCTGTCTCTAAAAATAAATAAATAAATAAAATAAACTTTAGTAATAATGGGGTAACTGTTTAGTTGGTATTTTACTGCTTTCCATGATACACTCTGGATAAACTAATTATTTGTTGGATTCCATTGAACTTTTCAGGAATCTATTTTTGTGTGTGTGGACTGTTACTATTAATAGTTCTGTGCTGTGTATACCACCAGCTCCCAATAAATGTCGCATTCAGAGCATTTTTGCACTAGGAAGATTTAGGGTGCAAATGAACTCTGACAGAAGAATCTGTAGTATACAAGGTTTTCAGAAGACAACCCACCTGCTCCATACTTCGAAATAATGAGATTCACAACGGTATGTTATTTCTGCTTACTTCTCAGCCTCTCTTGCCATCTTCCCCCTGCCCTCCCATCCTCTTTTCTTAGCGCACAGAACTACTTCTCCAATGGCTCAACACAGTCTCATCTTTGGACTTTTCCGTCTGTTGTTTCCTTTACCCAGACACTCTTCCCCTGCAACACACACTCCTCCTTTTTGTCTCAGATGTTATCTTACGAAACCTTCCCAGACCCCCTCGCCGGCACTCTCATGTGTTTTACAACGCCTATCATGCCATCCTTGTATTCGCTTTATCAGTTTTTAAATTCTGTTTACTTGGGTGTCTTCTTCAATAGATTATGATCTTTGGCCGGGCGCGGTGGCTCACGCCTGTAATACCAGCACTTTGGGAGGCCGAAGCGGGCGGATCACGAGGTCAGGAGTACGAGACCAGCCTGACCAACGTGGTGAAACCCCGTCTCTACTAAAAATACAAAAATTAGCCGGTCGTGGTGGCGCGCGCCTGTAATCCCAGCTTCTCGGGGGGCTGAGGCAGAAGAATCGCTTGAACCCGGGAGGTGGAGGTTTGAGCCGAGATCGCGCCACTGCACTCCATCCTGGGCGACAGAGTGAAGACTCCGTCTCGAAAAAAAAAAAAAATCATTACCTTTGGGGAAGGCAGTATCCGTGTCTGCCTGGCTCACTGTTTTACCCGTCGCACCTAGTTATTTTTTCAATAAATATTTCTTGATTGAATAAGGAGAGTGGCTTGGAGTTTCAGTGAAAAATGTTCTTCCAAACACTAGGCTTGGTTTTCCGATACCCCACTAGAACTGGATTCTCTGGACTGATACATTTTCACTCTGTGGAGCTGACCGTCCTTTGACCTAGGGTCGCAGGTGGGAGCCCACTGGCCTGAAAGATCCGAGTTTTCAACCTGCAGAATCACCGCCAACATAGGGTTGAGTCGAAGGGCATGAATATTTATGATCCAAAAGCGACTGCTACGCCCTCTAGGCAATGAGCTGGAAAGGGAACCTTCAAGGGCCACCGAAATCCCAGGAAAGGCGCCAGATTCGCTTTCTCCCGGCCTCAGGCAGCTCTCCCTACGAACTACCTCCTCCAGCGCGCCAAGCCGTTAGTCCCGCCTTATCCCCTCAGCTCCACCTACCCAGCGCGCCCACAGTTACTAAACCCTAGCCGCCAGGGTGCACTACGCGTTCCTAAGCCCCGCCTCCGGGGCAAGGGCGCGCTCCCCCTCCCAGCTCTGCCCAAGCAGTTCCGTTAGGAGCGGGAGGAAAAACCGTCCTTCGGGTCCCCGCCTCTCCACTCCTAACGCTTTACTCCCTACTCCCCCTGCGACCACTACACAGCCGGCTACGGAGGCCCCTAATGTACAAATATCCCCCAGGCCCTTGCTCATCCTGATAGGTTTTGTCCTTTCTTAATCGACCCAGTACTAAGGCCTTGTGTTCAGTTTTTCTCCAGGATTCAGACTAGAGAGTTTCTTCCGGCGTAAGGAACTTCAACGCTCTTCACGGAAGTAAAAGTGTTTTTTTGGTTGTTGTTGCCGTTGTGGCTGCCCGCATTCCTTCCCTCCCACCTCGCGGAATTGTGGCGGGAGGGGGAGGAGGAAGTCAGGGCGCCTGCGCGGAGAGGCCGCTTTCCATCCGGGTCCCTGTCCGTGCGGTGCAGCAGGTCGGTAGGCGGGAAATGGCGACTGGCTGAAGGAGCTGGTTCTGTTGCTGCTGCGGGGTAAGCGGGAAAGACACCACACATTGCGCAGTCGGGACCATCGCCGGAGCCTGAGGACACTTCTCTGTCGTCACAGTTAGGTAATCCCCTTCGTCCAGACGCCGCCGCTGCTTCCAATCTCAGTCCTCCTCCTCTTCCAGGGCCGTCTGCCGGGATCTCCTCCCCTTCTAAACCTGGTCCTCCAGCGGCTCTGGCGCCTTGGTAGGCATGCACTCTTTGGCGCCTCGTACGTCCACTGTGCGGAGCCGCTCCTGTCTGGACTTTCCCCTGGGAACAGAAAGGGAGCTCACTTCCCGCCAGCTTCACCTCTTAGGTTGCGGCCTGCGTTGTGATTTCTGGGGTTAGATTTCACTTTGCTACCCACCCCCACTCCGATCTCAAGTTCCTAGTCCCCAACCTCTGGGTAATTAAGTTAGAAGTTTAGCTTTTTTTAACCTTTTTGGCCCACCTCATGTTTTCAGCATTTCATTCTTTGGAGTAGGGTGCTTTTAGGGGGGCGTTGCTCTTATCTCAGTTCTTATAAACACCTTTTCAGAATCTGGAAGAAGGGATTTGACTAAGTTCTGTTTATCTTTTGTACTGTTAAAATCTCGAGTTGACATTGTTACTTTTTCAAATCGGGAGTGGTAGTAAAGAACAGTCCATGTGGAAGGCGTCTGGTTTCCACAGTGGTCAGTTAAAGAGTGAACCTTATTATCCTTAATATTCTCTGCTTTCTTTGGATTTTAAATGTCTGTATGGGTGTTTACTTTTGCATTCTTGACCAGAGTTCTGTGGTAAATAATTGCATAAGTAAATCTTGTTTATTTACTTCTCACCCTAGTGGTGGCTGGATGTGTGAATGATGTTAAACACTTCAGCGTACCTTAGGGAAACCTAAAGAGATCTAAGAGCTCGTAAACTTACCTGAGATCCTGAAATGAAACGTACTCAGTAGATGTTCCTCCGAGGCAGGGATTTATCTTCCTAATGCTGGTAACGCAGTACCAAGATGAATTTCTTCAGTGGGTATACAAATTAGTGACTTGAAATGATGGATTTATCTGTGTAATTTTCAAATTGTAGATTGCTTTGTCTCCCCATTCTTCGCCCAGTTTTAAATTTTCGTTCCTGGTCCATTTTTTATTCTTAGAAAAGGGAAATGGCGTGTTAAAGCTAGTTTTACTATATTTCTTTACTTTTTCTTTCCTTTTTTTTAAATTACATTGCAGACCAATTGTTCATAAAGAGAAGTAATAAGGAGGCTGTTGGTGTTTTCGGAATTTATTAATCATGTTGAATTTGGGATCTTTGTAGGTTTTTTTGTTTTCACTAATCAAATTAAAATTTTAAAAACTGTTCACATTGAATATCAGTTGATATTTATAACTCAGGTTTTCAGTTCTGGATAGGTCCAGTTTAGAGAATTTCACTATTGTTTGCACGATGTTATGGTTAATTTTCAATAATAAACAGGAACACACAAACATTATTATAATCCTCATTTGGTAGACTTTGCCCAAGGTCATAAAGAAAGTCAAGGCAAAAGGTAGCTCTTATGTGAAGGAGTTTTTTAGGATTAAGTTGAGCTTCATACTTTCCTAAGGCGAATAGAATAGTGGAGGTACAGGCACGTTAACTACTTGCCGAGTCAGTTTATTTAAAAAATGGAGCCAAATATGCAACTTAAAGGGATCTTAAATCATTGGTCTAGTGTGTAGGTTTTGTCTGTATTTTAATGACCTTTTTGGGTAGTTAATAGCGTTAATGTTTTTAATAAAAATTAGTTTGCAGCTAGCTGAGTGAGCATTGTAGACCTTGTTTTCAAGAGTTCTCCTAAATTGTTTAGTACTACGTGCATTCAGTACTTGCACTCTTTTAATGCTTTCTCAGAGTTGAAAGAACGTATAAGCTGGCTGGGTGGGGTGGCTCACGCCTGTAATCCCAGCACTTTGGGAGGCCAAGGCAGGCGGATCACAAGATCAGGAGTTCGAGAACAGCCTGGCCAACATAGTGAAACTCCATCTCTACTAAAAATACAAAAATTAGCCGGGCATGGTGGTGCACACCTGTAGTCCCAGCTACTCGGGAGGCTGAGACAGGAGAATCGCTTGAACCCAGGAGGCGGAGGCTGCAGTGAGCTGAAGACCACCCCACTGTACTCCAGCCTGGTGACAGAGCGAGACTCCGTCTCAAAAAAAAAGAATGTAAAAGCTATAAATGATGTAGTCCTTAACCTTTGTGGACTTGTAGCTATATAGAAAATCTAAATAGGATTGCATAGGAATGTCAGGGTTTGTATGTTTCACAAGATTCCATTCTACATAGTGTCTCTTGTGCATTTAACTTGAGCTGGTAATGTTACTGTTTTCCCACTGTTAAGAAATTAAGAATTGGGGAAGTCTTTTCTTTTCAGATTCATCTAGCTGATCTCAAGTTTGTGATTTCTGCTTAAGTGGTTTTTCATGAGATTATTATATAACAGAGTCCATCTAATTCTGGTTAAAGAAACTTGGACCTGTTGTTCACCAAGGATGTACTAGATTCTGGATTTGTAGCTATAGATTTTATTGTCAGTTGAGTAAAATGGCATTTATTTTTATTTTTATTTTTTAGAGATGGGGGTCTCTCTTTGTGGCCCAGGTTGGAGTGCAGTAGTGAACCCCTGGGCCTATGCAGTCCTCCTGCTTCAGCCTCCCAAGTAGCTGGGACTGCAGGCACATGCTACCACACCTGGCTAATTTTTTTAGTTTTTTGTAGAGATGGGGTCTCCCTATGTTGCCCAGGCTGCTTTGCAACTCCTGGCTACAAGCAATCGTCCTGCCTCAGCCTCCCAAAGTGCTGGGAAGACGGGTATTTGCCACCAAGCCGAGTCCAAAATAGTATTAATTTATCCTAGTCATAGGAGACTGTGCTTTAGATTGATGAGATAATGAATAAAATGGTTTGCCAGAATTTGGAAAAAGCAATATCTAATTGTAACTTACCAGGTTGTGAAAGCATAAAGTAGAAAAGACACTTTAAGTCACAAATATCAAGTGTGCTGAGAGTTTATTTGTGTTGTGCTCTAAGTAATTTTTCTGGTTAAAAGTAAGCTAAAAAGTACCTGATTGTTTTAAGTAAATTGGCTACAGGGGGTCATTTGCTACTTTTTTTTTTGTTTTTTTGAGACGGAGTTTCGCTCTTATTGCCCAGGCTGGAGTGGAATGGTGTGATCTTGGCTCAGTGCAGACTCCACCTCCTGGGTTCAAGTAATTATCCTGCCTCAGCCTCCTGAGTAGCTGGGACTACAGGCACGCGCCACCACACCTGGCTAATTTTTGCATTTTTAGTAGAGATGGGGTTTCTCTATGTTGGCCAGGCTGGTCTTGAACTCCTGACCTCAGTTGATCCACCCACCTCGGCCTCCCAAAGTGCTGGGATTACAGATGTGAGCCACCGCATCTGGCCCACTTTTTTTTTTTTTTTTAATGGAGACGGGGTCTCGCTGTGTCACCCAGACTGGTCTCAAACTCCTAGGCTCAAGTGATTCTCCCTCCTTAAGCCTCCCAAAGTGCTGGGCTTACCGGCATGAGCCACTGCACCCGGCTCATGATGAGGAGCCTTGACAGATATGGAACCCATGTTAAAACCGTTTAATTGCAGCTTTAGTTTTCACTTACTTGGCATTTGCCAGGAGGCATATATCTAAGCCAGACATATATTCACTAGTGTTTGTATGACTACATTAATTTTTTAATTTGAACTATATTAAATTGTAATTGGACGTGCATTACAAATAGGTAGACTAGGTAGTTGACTGTGTGGTATAATTTGAGAATTGCCAATGCCTAACTTTATTTATATCTCTCCAGTGTTTTTCTAAATGTCCTGTTTAAAAATCACAAATTCTCTGAAAGAGGAAACTTTAAAAATTGTCTTTTGTTGACAATATTAGCACAGATTGACTATCAAATAAGCTTATTGGTACCACACACAGGTTGAGGGTTCAGAGATAAGGAAACATAGGAGAGTTAAGTTTTTTGTTTGTTTGTTTGTTTGTTTGTTTTTTTTTTTTTTTTTTTGAGACAGAGTTTCGCTCTTGTTCCCCAGCCTGGAGTGCAGTGGTGCGATCTCAGCTTACTGGAACCTCTGCCTCCTGGGTCAAGCCATTCTCCTGCCTCAGCCTCCCAAGCAGCTGGGATTACAGGCGCCCACCACGACGGCCGGCTAACTTTGTATTTTTTTTCTTTAGTAGAGATGAGGTTTCACCATGTTGGTCAGGCTGGTCACGAGCTCCTGACCTGAAGTGATCCACCCGCCTCAGCCTCCCAAAGTGCTGGGATTACAGGTGTGAGCCACCGCGCCTGGCCAGGAGAGTTAAGTTTTTATGCACTGGCTGTGATTAGAAGGGGTGTAGAATATAGGAGCATTGTCTCGGAAAGATGACAGGCATGGTGGGGATAGAATTGTGGTGGGAAGCTTTGGCTGCTTGGAGTCCTTTGGGATCCTGACAGTAAGGAATAGTGAGACTGAGTGTGGCCCCAAGAAGAATTGTAAGACCTTAAAGACAAATATTTTAATGAAGGTCACAATAGGCCAGTTGACTGTACTAGGGACTATGTATTTTGTGATATCCATATGTTCCTATATTATTATTTTATTATTATTATTATTATTATTATTTGAGATGAAGTCTTGCTCTGTCGCCCAGGCTGGAGTGCAGTGGGGCAATCTTGGCTCAATGCAACCTCCGCCTCCCGGGTTCAAGCAATTCTCCCGCTTCAGCCTCCCAGGTAGCTAGGATTATAGGCACACGCCACCATGCTCGGCTAATTTTTGTATTTTTTTAGTAGACATGGGGTTTCACCATGTTGGCCAGGCTGTTCTCGAACTCCTGACCTTGTGATCCGCCCACTTTGGCGTCCCAAAGTGCTGGGATTAGAGGCGTGAGCCACTGTGCCCGGCCTATTATTATTATTTTTTTGAAACAGAGTCTCGCTCTGTCTCCCAGGCTGCAGTGCAGTGGCGCCATCTCAGCTCAGTGCAACCTCTGCCTCCCAGATTCAAGTGATTCTCCTGTCTCAGTCCCCCGAATAGCTGGCATTACAGGTGCCCGCTATCACGCCTGGCTAATTTTTTATATTTTTAGTAGAGATAGGGTTTCACCATGTTGGCCAGGCTGGTCTCGAACTGCTGACCTCAGGATGATCCACCTGCCTCGGTCTCCCAAAGTGCTGGGATTACAGGTGTGAGCCACCGCACCTGGCCGATTCCTGTGTTAGATTGAAGAAAAAAGAGAAAGTCTATATTGAACATGAATGATCAACATGGGATTCTAGCATGGAAATGTGTTTGTGGATTTGATTAAAACAACACAACAGGCTGGGCTTGGTGGCTCATGATTGTAATCCCAGCACTTGGGAGGCTGAGGCAGGCGGATCCCCTGAGCTTAGGAGTTCGAGACCAGCCTGGGCAACATGGCGAAACCCTGTCTCTACCTAAAATACAAAAATTAGCTGGGCATGGTGACTCACATCTATAGTCCCAGCCACTAGCGGGGCTGAGTAGGGGGAATTGCTTGAGCCCAGGAGGTTGAGGCTGCAGTGAGCCGTGAGGGTGCCATCCATTGCACTCCAGTCTTCCAGCCTGGGTAACAGAGCAAGACCCTGTCTCAAAGAAAAAAAAAAAAAAAAAAAGGACAAAAAACAGCCGAAACAGTGTACTAGTAGAACATACTTGGGATTACAAGTGTGAGCCACTGCGCTCAGCCTAAGTAGGGATTTAAATGTTTTATATACATATATATACACACACACACACACACACACACACACTTTTTTTTCTCTTGAGATGGACTCTCACTCTGTTGCCCGGGCTGGAGTGCAGTGGCACGATCTCAGCTCACTGCAACCTCCGCCTCCCTGGTTCAAGTGATTGTCCTGCCTCAGCCTCCTGAGTAGCTAGGACTACAGGTGTTTGCCACCACGCCTGGCTAATTTTTGTATTTTTTCTGTTTGTTTTTGTTTTTGTTTTTTGAGACGGAGTCTCGCTCTGTCACCCAGGCTGGAGTGCAGTGGCATGAGTTGAGGAGTTCGAGACCAGCCTGACCAACATGGTAAAACCCCGTCTCTACTAAAAATACAAAAAAAATTAGCTGGGCATGGTGGTGTATGCCTGTAATCCCATCTACTTGGGAGGCTAAGGCAGGAGAATCGCTTGAACCCAGGAGATGGAGGTTGCAGTGAATCGAGATTGCGCCACTGCACTCCAGCCTGGGCAACAGAGCAAGACTCTCGTCTCAAAAAAAAAAAAAATCAGTGTATATTTTAAGAGTGTGTTTTAGTCATCAGTAATCTAACAACCCATATATTGCTTCTCTAGAGAAAACAGATTGATAATGGTTTTAGAAAAATCATTGTTATTTATTTATTTATTTATTTATTTTTTTCTTAAGAGATAGGGTCTTGACTGGGCGTGGTGGCTCACGCTTGTAATCCCAGCACTTTGGGAGGCCAAGATGGGCAGATCATGAGGTCCAGAGATCGAGATCATCCTGGCCAACATGGCGAAACCCCATCTCTACTAAAAATACAAAAATTAGCTGGGCATGGTGGCGCATGCCTGTAGTCCCAGCTACTCAGGAGGCTGAAGCAGGAGAATTGCTTGAACCTGGGAGGAGGAGGTTGCAGTGAGCTGAGATCGTGCCACTGCACTGCAGCCTGACGGCAGAGCAAGACTCAGTCTCAAGAAAAAAAAAGAAGACAGAGTCTTACTCTCTCACCTAGGCTGGAGTACAATGGCACAGTCACAGTTTACTGCAGCCTTCACCTCCTGGGCTCAAGCGATCCTCCTGCCGCAGCCTCCCAAGTAGTTGGAACTACAGGTGTGCACCACCACGCCTGGCCAAGTTTTAAAATTTTTAAATAAAGGCAGGGTCTCACTGTTGCCTAGGCTGGTCTTGAACTCTTAGTCTCAAGTGACCTCTTCCTAGGTGGGCCTTCCAAAGTGCTGAGATTACAGGTGTGAGTGAGTCACTGTGCCCGGCCAAAAACACATTCTTTTCTTTCTTATTTATTGAAGAAAACTTTAAGTCAGAGAAAACCCTATAATTTTATCAGCCTAACTCAGTTGTTTTATTTTTTGTATAGTTCTGTATTTTGCCAAATGTTTTTGATAAGTTTATTATATTTAGTAGTTTTTAAATAATTTTATAATATTAGCTAAATGGAAAAGCAGAGAAGACCATATATCAGAAATATTGATGATCCAGAAAGACCACCTGTCTTTATCACACACTTTGTTGTGAATAGGATTAAAATAACCTTCGACCAGACACAGTGGCGCACGCCTGTAATCCCAGCACTTTCGGAGGCCAAGGCAGGCGGATTACAAGGTCAGGAGTTTGAGACCAGCCTGACCAACATGGTGAAACCCTGTCTCTACTAAAAATACAAAAATTAGCTGGGCGCGGTGGTGTGCACCTGTAATCCCAGCCACGGGGGCTGAGGCAGGAGAATTGCATGAACCCGGGAGGCAGAGGTTACAGTGAGCCGAGATCACGCCACTGTGCCCTAGCCTGGGCGACAGAGTGAGACTCCGTCTCAAAAAAAAAAAAAAAAAAAAAGAATCCTTCTAACTGTGCGCAATGGCTCACGCGTGTAATCCCACCACTCTGGGAGGCCAAGGCAGGTGGATCACCTTAGGTCAGGAGTTCAAGACCAGCTTGGCCAACATGGCGAAACCCCGTCTCTACCAAAAATACAAAAATTAGGCGGGCATGGTAGCGCATGCCTGTAATCCCAGCTACTCGGGAGGCTGAGACAGGGAATTGCTTGAACCCTGGAGGCGGAGGTTGCAGTGAGCTGAGATCGCGCCATCGCAGTCCAGCCTGGGCAAGGAGAGAAACTCTGTCTCAAAACCAAAAAAAAAAAGAGAATCTTCCTGTTGTAGAGTTGTTTTTTTTTTTTTTTTGAGGCGGAGTCTCGCTCTGTCACCCAATCTGGAGCGCAGTGGCGCAATCTGAGCTCACTGCAACCTCTGCCTCCCGGGTTCAAGCGATTCTCCTGCCTCAGCCTCTTGAGTAGCTGGGATTACAGGTGTGCACCACCACGCCTGGCTAATTTTTGTGCTTTTAGTAGAGACGGGGTTTCGCCATGTTGGCCAGGCTGGTCTCGAACTCCAGACCTCAAGTGGTCCACCCGCCTCGGCCTCCCAAAGTGCTGGGATTACAGGTGTGAGCCATCGCACCTGGCCAAGTTGATATTTTATATAATGCTCCTATACTTAGTCCTTCTTCCCTAGTTGTCTTGATTTTTTTTCTTAGGTGACGGAGAAATCTGTTTTTTCCCCAAGTCCTCCTCCTCCTTTTATAATGAAGGCTTATGGAAGTAGTGGAGAGTAAAGGTGGACAGTTGTAATACCTGAAACTTGATTTCAGATTAGTCAGGCTAGAAATGTAGACTAAGTGGAAACATGCTGCTACTTTTGAAAATGTCATTTGGTGTCAAAGAGGGCAATGACTTTAGCTTTTTCTTTCATGAATATAGTAAGTTAATGTAAATTTAGTAATCATACCATTTGTAAGGTAGAGTATAAATTAACAGACCCAGAGAATTTTAGAGCTGGAGGAGACCAAAGAGGTCATCTAGTCCAATAACATTTGTGTTTTATTGTGATGAATCATTCTGAAGACTCCTTAACATGTAGTGAATGTTTGTCTTAATGAGGTTGCTGCAGGATGAGTTGTATATGATGGAAGGATGAAGACAGCTCTGATTAATTAATGACTCATCTCCCATTTTGACAGCTCTTTGTTTGTTTATTTTTTAGGTAAAATTTACATGTGAAATGCCAGATCTGATGTCCAATAATTTCTTTTGCTGTTGAGGAAACAAAGTGCTAGAATGATTGCATGACTTAAGCAGTGTCTCACAGCTAACTAATGATAGATTAAGGACTGGAAACTGAGTGTGTCCACCTCTTAGTCTGGAGGTCATTCCTTTAGTAACTCCTTCAGGAGTCTACTCTAGAACCTTGCATGCATGTATTATTTTTTATATAGCCAACTGTAAATATACATAAAGTTTTACAGCAAATCTTGACTTTGTTGCCTTTAATGTTTGATTTGTGATCTTTTTGTAATTTTCTTTATTTATATGTGTTATCTACTCTTGTTTCTCTCTTAATGCATGACACATCAGAACAGGTTGAGTATCCCTCATCCAAAATGCTTGGTATCAGAAGTGTTTTGGATTTCAGATTTTTTTGGATTTTGGAATATTTGCATATACATAATGAGGTATCTTGGAAAGGACCCAAGTTTAAACATGAAATTCATTTATGTTTCATAAGTACCTTACACACATAGTCTGAAGGTAATTTTAAACAATATTTTTAATAGTTTTGTGCATGAAACAGTTTTGACTGCATTTTGACTGACTCGTCACATTAAGTCGGGGTGGAATTTTCCACTTGTGACATTATGTATGTTGGTGCTCAAAAACTTGGATTTTGGGGCATTTCGGATTTTCAGATTTTTGTATTTCAGATTTTCCTAGTAGGGATGCTCAAGCTGTATACCACTTCTCATTCAATTAGCAAATACATTTGTAAAGAGGGCACATAAGTAAGTTCTAATTTGTTGAGAATTCTTCATATACAATGTGCTATTTTCTCTTAATGTTGTTTAGGTAGAAATGTGTGCATTCAAGACCTTGGGAGCAGATTATCAACTGAATTTATGCTTTTATCATTATTGTAATCATATTGTTAATACAAGGCAATTTGAAACCATAATTGTCTGCCTCAAAAATTGCTTGGTATCATGGATTTTGTGAAGGGGAAGGAAATCTTATGAGGAAGAAACTTTTAGTTTTATTTATAAGCCCATTTTTGTAGGCAAGAATTAAGTATTGATGTGAAGATTGTTTATGTTTCAGTGATACGGTCTCCTTCACCCCAATTATATGGCCTTTTTGAGAGAGATTAGAAAAATTGTGGCTTAGTTCAACAAAGATTGAGTTAACTCGTGTGCCAGGTTACTAGAATTATGGATCCAGCATCTACCTTCAAGACTCTTACAGTCTAGTGCAATTAAAGAGAAAGAAACAGATTATTTAATACAATTTAAGAGCTAAATTAGAGATAATCACAGGGTTTACACAGGTTTGAGGCTATAGAGGTGGTTACTTATACATGATACTTGGGCTGAGTTTTAAACAATGAAGATAATAGTTAATTGAAAGAATGAGGTAAAAAGAGCAGAAGCATGTATAGAGCACAGTGTGGGCAGGAAACTATTAGTACTGCAGTGCTAAGAATGTGGCAGCTGGCTGGGTGCAGTGGCTCACGCCTGTAATCCCAGCACTTTGGGAGGCCGAGGCAGGTGGATCACGAGGTCAGGAGATTAAGACCATCCTGGCTAACATGGTGAAACCCCATCTCTACTAAAAATACAAAAAATTAGCCAGGCGTGGTGGTGGGCGCCTGTAGTCCCAGCTACTCGGAAGGCTGGGGCAGGAGAATGGCGTGAACCCGGGAGGTGGAGCTTGCAGTGAGCTGAGATCGCGCCACTGCGCTCCAGCCTGGGTGACAGAGCGAGACTCCGTCTCAAAAAAAAAAAAAAAGAATGTGGCAGCAAATAGCAATGAAAACAGACTGGGAAGTAGTTATTGTGGGTTTCATATGCAATGCTAGAGTTTAGTCTTTATTTTGAAGGCAGTTGATGGGAAACCTGGGTGAGAGGAACAGGCAAGTTTGTGCAGTGCCCAGGATCGATTTAAAGGGGACAAGAAGAAGAAATATTTCAGAGGTAAAATCATCAGGATTTGATGATTGACTATATAAGATAAGGGAGAGGAATAATAACTGTGATGTTTAGGATGGCTTCTAAGTTTCTGGCTTGGCTAGTTAGGTAGATGGTAGTAGCATTACTTGTGATGAAGAATATATTAGGAAAAATACGGTAGGAAGAGCTGGTTTTGGTATGGGGGTGGTATGGGAAAAGTGAATTCAGTTTTGGGTGAGTTGAATTTGAGGTACCAAGTAAAAGTGTTGAGAACGTGGTTGAGTGTGAGTCTGAAATTTAGAGGCAGTAGAGATTCAAGCAGAATTAATGATGCAGTTTATAATGAACATTTGAAAGAGGCTCATTCTCCAACTCCAACCCACTACCTCTTTAATCCTTTTACCTGGGCTGCAGGCAAGTAGAAAGGAAATTTTATTGCCCAGTTTTGAATTGCTGGGCAATTAACTTTTTGTATTCCTGAAAGGAGATCTTGAACCAGATCACAACCAGTGTTGTGAACAAGTAGGGCTGTTTTACATTATATACTTTTTTCTTCCAATGTCATGAATTCTTAGGCTAAAATATTGCCCTTATTGCTATGTTTGTTTTGTGATGATGCCTAAATTGTATCATTTTCATTCACAGATTTCTTTCCTAAGCATACTCATTTTCCCAAGCTTTATATTATTATTATTATTATTATTGTTATTTATTTATTTATTTTTTTAAGATAGAGTCTCGCTCTGTCGCCCAGGCTGGAGTGCAGTGGCGTGATCTCGTCTCACTACAACCTCTGCCTCCTGGGTTCACACCATTCTCCTGCCTCAGACTCCCGAGTAGCTGGGACTACAGGCACCCACCACCATGCCCGTCTAATTTTTGTATTTTTAGTAGAGACGGGGTTTCACCATATTGACCAGGCCGGTCTCGAACTCCTGACCTTGTGATCTGCCTGCCCCCCCATCCCCAGCCGGCCTCCCAAGTGCTGGGATTACAGGCTTGAGCCACCGCGCCTTATTTGTTCCATTTTTTACTGATACAGGTTGAGTATCCCTTATCTGAAATACCTGAGACCGAAAGTCTCTGTATTTTTATGTTTTTTTTGGGGGGGGGGGAATATTTGCATTATACTGGTTGAGCATTTTCTTTGAGTGTCATGTCAGCACTCAGGTTTCTGGATTATGGAGCATTTCAGGTTTTGTATTTTCAAATTAGGGATACTCAACCTGTAATTTATCTAGTAATGGAACGCTAAAGAACTGAAAGGGTATGGTAAATCCTGACATAAGTAGTAGCATTACCAACGTGAGGCTGTATATGTCTGTTTAAAACTGTTTCCTTTATATTTTAAATTTAATAAAATCAGGTTGTTGCTGATGTTATATAAGCAATTCCTAACCTGTACTGGGCCAAATTAATATTGTATTATGTTTGTTTGGTTTTGTTATCAAGGTAATGTTGGTCTCATAAAATGAGTTGGGAAGTGTTCCCTTCTATTTTCTGGAAGAGTTTATGTAGATTTGGTATTGTTTCTTTTTAGATGATTGGTAGGATTCTCCAGTGAAGCCATTTGGGCCTGGAGTTTTCTGTGTTGGAGGTTTTTTACTACAGTTTCAATTTTAGAAATTAATGGATATGGGGCTAATTAGGTTATCTAATGTGTGAGCTTTGGTGGTCCATATGTTTTGAGGAATTTGATTTTCATCTAAATTATTGAGTGTACAGGCATAAAGTTGTTTTTTTGTTTGTTTGTTTTTGTGTTTTTTTTTTTTTTGAGATGGAGTCTTGCTCTGTTGCCCAGGCTGGAGTGCAGTGGTGTGATCTCTGCTCACTACAACCTCTGCCTCCCAGGTTTAAGCGATTTTCCTGCCTCAGCCTCCGGAGTAGCTGGGATTACAGGTGCGCACCACCATGCCTGACTAATTTTTGTAATTTTAGTAGAGATGGGGCTTCACTCTGTTGCCCAGGCTGGTCTCGAACTCCTGACCTCAGGTGATCTGCCTGCCTTGGCCTCCAAAAGTGCTGGGATTACAGGCATGAGCCACTGCGCCTGGTCCTGTTGGTAATACTCTGTAAATTCTCCTTAAAAGTATATAGGATCTATAGTGATGTTCACTTTTTCCTTCCTAATAATGGTTATTTGCGTCTTTTTTTCCTCAAACTGCTGAAGGTTTATCAATTTACTCATCTTTGCAAAAAATTTAATTTCTGGTTTTTAAATTTTTTTTTTAATTCATCTTGATTTCTGGTCTGTTGAATGCTTTGCCTCTTGAGGTTGTAATTTATTCCTTTTTTGTGTGTCTTGCAATATTTTACTGAATGCTGGATATTGTGAATAGGGTAGTAAAGACTGAGTAAATAATATTTATACCTGGAACATTGCATTCGTGGACTTTTAGGGTAGGGAGTTGAGTCAGTGTACTCAGGAGTTAAGCTGAGTTTCTGTTTTGTTGTTGCAGAGGGTACCTTAAGTGCGCCATTGGCTTCAAATTTCTCTCGTGTTACTTTGTGCTTAGATTGGTAGTTGGCATGTGGGAAGGTGTTTCTGAATTTTCCTGATCAGTTCTCAGCGTTTGGCTTATGTGCCTTGGCCTCATGAGTGGGACTCTATCAGTAATCTTGCTCCTCTAGGCCAGACTGCAATTTTTATCTTTGTCGGTGTTATCTGGAAAAGAGTTTCTCTGCTCTTGCCTCAGTGGTATTAGAGACATTAGTAAGATCTCTAATGTCTTTGGTATAAGACCCTGGGTCCAACACTGTTTCCTTCCCCTACAGTGGTAGAGTTTTTTTTTCTTTCACTCCCCCGCATTCACTTGTGCCTTGCGGGTAACTGGGCTTGCTGTTCCTCCACTAGTCCCTTCCAGTTTTTGTTCCCTAGAAGAGAAGGATCTGGTTGGGGCTTCGTATTTTTCCCATTGTAGAAGCTGCTCCCTTCCTCCAGCACTGCACCACAGAGGAGGGCTCTCTTCAGTCCCATGTTCGCATATTGTGAGCCTTTGGTGGAGGTCTGTGGAAGATCTTGCAAATGGTTTCAATTGCCCTTGTTATCTGTGTCTCTCAGGAATAATACATTCTCATGCTAATCCACACTTTGCCTTCAGCAGTTTGTTAACAATTTTAGATGAATTCTTTTTACCTGGTTTTATGGAACCATTGTTTCTTCCCGTGGTCTACCTCAGGTGAGCCCGTGCTTGCTTTCTGTCTCTCCTAGGAAGGGGTTGTATTTTCTTGGATTTGAGGTTTCCTGGTTGCCTGAGTCCTCAGCTCTCGGATGGGTTTTTAAAAGGTTCAATTTTGTAGTTTATTCATGTTTTTTTGTTGTTAGGCTGGTGGTGGCATTCTTTCTGGCTTTCTGTAGCCTAGGCAGAACCCAGTTAATTTAGAAGAATGAATCTCTAGGAAAAACTCCAGTGGGTCATAGAAGTGCTCTTCTCTTTCTGGGGCTGTAGCTTGTAATTCCCCGACTTCTTTGCCCTCAGGTTGCCTTTTCTTTAGTTTAGACCAAAGGAAAGGGTTTGAATTGGTTAGATCGATTGATAGTGGAAAGAGAGACTCCCCAATTAGCGCTGGATTGCTTTTTCTTCTTCCCTAAGTGCTGGTTCCCTCAAAACTGTCTTGTGGTCAGCTCCTCCTCTGTAACTTTTGTCATCTTTTCCCAGTCTCCTCTCAACCTTGCTTATTCTTCTATTTCCTGTTACGAAATTCCTAGGGGGAAAAAACATATATTGTGGCCAGGTGCGGTGGCTCATGCCTGTAATCCCAGCACTTTGGGAGGCCGAGGCGGGCAGATCACCTGAGGTCACGAGTTCGAGACCAGCATGGCCAACATGGTGAAACCCTTTCTCTACTAAAATTACAAAAAGTAGGCGTGGTGGTGCACGCCTGTAATCCCAGCTACTCGGGATGCTGAGGCAGGAGAATTGCTTGAATCTGGGAGGCAGAGGTTGCAGTGAGCTGAGATCATGCCACTGCACTCCAGCCTGGGTGACAGAGCAAGACTCTGTCTCAAAAAAAAAAAAAAAAAGATAGATAATTTTAAAGTCTGGAATTAAGATGAAGTATTTTAGCACTTGGTGTACCTGACAATTTGCCATTTTTTGTCTACAGGTTATTTTGTCATTTTTAAAAGTAAGTAAATATTAAAAAGGCGGGGTAGGAGGCAAATTTTACTTGGTCCCTTTTTCTGTCCTTTTCTTCTGTCCCCATTATTTTCTACCCCTTGTTCACAGTAGTTGGTTAGCAAAAAAAAAATAGGGCCAGGCATGGTAGCTCACGCCTGTAATCACAGCACTTCAAGAGGCCAAGATGGGCGGATCACTTGAGCCCAGGAGTTTGAGACCACCCTGGGCAATATAGTGGTACCCCAGCTCTACAAAAGATTAAAAAATTAGCTGGGCGTAGTAGTGCATGCCTGTAGTCCCAGCTACTCTGTAGGCTGAGGTGCGAAGATCGCTTGAGCCTGGGACGTTGAGGCTGCAAGTAAGTGGTGAACCTGCCGCTGCACTCCAGCCTGGGTGACAGGGTGAGACCGTGTCTCAAAAAAAAAAAAGAGATTTTGTTTTCCAATTCCAGAGTCCTTATCTCTTACTCTTTTGGAAACCTTTGGATTAGATGAAGATCTATAGTTTTGTTAAAAACTGTGTTAAACCATTTTAACCATTTGTAAGTACACAGTTCAGTGGTATTAAGTACATTCACCTTGTTGTCTACCATCTGTCTCCAGAACTTTTTCATCTTCTCAAACGGAAACTCTGTGTTCATTAAACAGTCTTCAACGTTCATAATATATATCAGAATTTCCTTCCTTTTTAAGGCTGAATACTACTTAATTGTGTGTACGTACCACATTTTGTTTATCCATTCTTCCATTGGTGGACACTTCGATTGCATCCACCTTTTAGCTATTGTGAAAAATGCTGCTATGAATATGGATGTACTGTGTGAGACCCTACTGTCAGTTCTTTTGGATGCATACCTGGAAGTAGAATTGTTGGATCATATGGCAATTCTATATTTAATTTTTTTGAGGAACTGCCATGCCACTTTCCACAGCAGCTTTACTATTTTACATTCTCTACAGTAAAGCGCAAGGATTCTAATTTCTCCACATTCTTGCCGGCAATTTTTATTTTTTATTTTTATTTTTTTGATACTAGTCATCTAAATGAGTGTGAAGCTGTTTTTTATTGTGGTTTTAATTAGCATTTCCGTGATAATTAGATAATTAGTGATGTCAAGTGTGTTTTCATGTGCTTATTGTCTATTTGTATATCCTCTTTGGAGAAAAGCCTATTCAAGTCCTTTGCACATTTTTGAATCTGGTTGTTTTTTTCTTTCTGATTGTAATGCTTTATGTATTCTAGATAAGAACTTCTTAAGAGACACATGATTTGCAAGTATTTTCTGCCATTCCATGGTTTGTCTTTTCACTCTGTTGATAGTGTACTTTGATACACAAAAATTAAAAACAAAATTTTTTAAGAGGTAGGATCTTACTGTGTCACCCAGGCTGGAGTGTAGTGGTGCACTTGTAGCTCGCTGCACTCTTGAACTCCTGAGTTCAAGGGATCCTCCCACCTCAGCTTCCCAAGTAGTAGCTAGTACTGTAGGTGTGCACCATCATGCCTGGCTAATTTTTTTAGTTTTTTAGGGATGGGGTCTCACCTTGTTGCTCAGACTGGTCAAAACGGTCCTTCTGCCTCAGCCTCCCAAGTAGGTGGGATTATAGGTGTGAGCCATGGCACCTGGCTCAAAAATTTTGGGTTTTGACACCCAATTTATCTGTTTTTCTTTTTGTTATGTGTGTTTTTGTTGTCATGACCAAGAAACCATTGCCAAATCCAATGTTATGAGCTTTTCCCATACACACACACACACACACACACACACACACACACACACAGACACAGAGACACATTTTTTTGAGAAGGGACCTTACTCTGTCACCCAGGTTGGAGTGCAGTGGTGCAATCTCAGCTCACTGCAACCTCTGCCTCCCAGGCTCAAGTGATCCTGCCACCTCAGCCTCCCAAGTAGCTGAGACCACAGGCACACATCACTACACCTGGCTAATTTTTTGTATTTTTGGTAGAGACGAAGTTTCACCATGTTGTCCAGGCTGGTCTTGAACTCCTGAGCTCAGGCGATCTACCCTCCTTGGCCTCCCAAAGTACTGAGATTACTGGTGTGAGCCACCACACCCAGCCTATATTTTCTTCTAAGAGTCTTAGCTCTAATGTTTAGGTATTTGATCAATTTTGAGTTAATTTTCTATGTAGTATAAGGTAAGTAGTTTTTTTTTTTTTTTTGGCGTTTAGATATATAGTTTTCCCAGTACCAGATATCTATAACTTTAGTAGGGGTACAGATAGGCCTGGTGTTGAGATATGGAATGTAGTTTTTTTTTTTTTTTTTTTTTTTTTTTTTTAGACGGAGTCTCCCTCTGTTGCCCAGGCTGGAGTGCAGTGGCGCGATCTCAGCTCACTGCAAGCTCCACCTCCCGGGTTCACACCATTCTCCTGCCTCAGCCTCCCGAGTAGCTGGGACTACAGGCGCACACCTGGCTAATTTTTTTTATATTTTTAGTAGAGACGACAGGGTTTCACCGTGTTAGCTAGGATGGTCTCGATCTCCAGACCTTGTGATCCGCCCGCCTCGGCCTCCCAGAGTGCTGGGATTACAGGTGTGAGCCACCCCGCCCGGCTGTAGTTTTTCATATTATTTGTATAATAGGTTAGGTTCCAGATTTTTTTTTTTCTTTTTGAGACAGAGTCTCACTCCGGCTGTTGCCCTGTCTGCAGTGCAGTGACGCAGTCACAGCTTACTGCAGCTTCGACTTCCCAGGCTCAGGTGATCCTCCCACCTCAGCCTCCCAAGTAGTTGGGACTATAGGCATGCACCATCACACCTAGCAAATTTTTTTGTATTTTTAGTAGATACAGGGTTTCATCATGTTGCCCAGGCTGGTCTCGAACTCCTGGGCTCAAGTGGTCTACCTGACTTGGCCTCCCAAAGTGCTGGCATTACAGGTGTGAGCCACTGTACCTGGCCTAGGTTCTAGATTTTTGAATTCAGTTATATTATGGGTTAACTATGTACATAGGAGCTGCCCTGGAACTCTACTCTGTATTTGTAACATTGTTTCTATCAGAAGTTTAATTTTGAGCTCATACCAGCCAATTTGAAAACACAGCTTTTTTTTTGCTTTTTTTTTTTTGAGATGGAGTCTCGCACTGTCGCCTGGGCTGGAGTGCAGTGGCACGATCTTGGCTTACTGCAGCTTCCGTCTTCCAGGTTCAAGCTGTTCTCCTGCCTCAGCCTCCCGAGTAGCTGGGATTACAGGCGCCCACCACCATGCCCAGCTAATTTTTTGTATTTTTAGTAGAGACAGGGTTTCACTTTGTTGGCCAGGCTGGTCTCGAATGCCTGACTTCATGATCCACCTGCCTCGGCCTGTCAAACTGCTGGGATTACAGGCGTGAGCCACTGTGCCTGGCCTTTTTTTTTTTTTTTTTCTCGCTTTGTCACCCAGACTGGAGTGCAGTGGCGCGATCTAGGCTCACTGCAGCCTCCACCTCCCGGGTGCAAGCGATTCTTCTGCCTCAGCCTCCCAAGTAGCTGGGACTACAGGAGCCCACCACCACGCCTGGTTAATTTTTGTATTTTTAGTGGAGACAGGGTTTCACCATATTGACCAGGCAGTTCTCGAACTCCTGACCTCGTGATCCACCCACCTCGACCTCCCAAAGTGCTGGGATTACAGGTATGAACCACCATGCCCTGCCATAAACTTACAGCTTTTACAGGTTAATTTTATCTTAAGGTTTTGTTCAGCCAGGGGTTCAGCTGAAAAATTACCCATTCCAATGGACCATTCAGACAAAAGGCAGAAGTAAAAAACAAACCTGGCTGGGTGCGGTGGCTCACGCCTGTAATCCCAGCACTTTGGGAGGCCAAGACAGGCAGATCACTTGAGGTCAGGTGTTCGAAACCGCCCTGGCCAACATGGCAAAACCCCGTCTCTACTAAAAATAGAAAACAAGTAGCCGGGTGTGGTGGCATGCGCCTGTAATCCCAGCTACTTGGGAGGCCAAGGCAGGAGAACTGCTTAAACCTGGGAGGTAGAGGTTGCAGTGAGCTGAGATAGAACCACTGCACTCCAGCCTGGGTGACAGAGCAAGGCTCTATCTCAAACAATCAAACAAACAAACAAACAAAAAACCTTAGAGAAAAATGGGAAATTGCTGGCTCAGAAGAGGGAACAGGCAAAAAAAAAAAAGAGAGAAAGAGAAAGGGAAATTGGAATCTTGGGGAACTTTTTTTTTTTTTTTTTTTGAGACGGAGTCTCAGTCTGTTGCCCAGGCTGGAGTGCAGTGGTGTGATCTCAGCTCACTGCAACCTCTGCTCTCGGATTCAAGTGATTCTCCTGCCTCAGCCTCCCAAGTTGCTGGAATTACAGGTGCCTGCCACTATGCCCAGCTAATTTTTGTATTTTTAGTAGAGACAGAGTTTCACCATGTTGGCCAGGCTGGTCTCGAACTCCAGACCTCGTGAGCCACTGCACCCAGCCTGGTAACTTTTTAATCAGTTAAAATGTTTTGTTGGTTATAAATATATTATTTTCACATTGCAAGTTATTTATATTGAAATTATGTGGAAATTTTTACTTAAAACACTTCTGCTGTCTTCTCCCCTTATACTTTTTCTTTCATAAAATGGAAATAACAGACACTACTTTATGTGGTTGAGAAGGTTAAGTGAAATAACATGAGAAAGCATTTATCACAGTGCCTTGCACATAGGAACCTTTTCATGTTCAGGTAAATATAGTATTTTAGAACTTTTTTGGAAAAGAATAGATTGAGAATTGGTTTTCTTTTTTTATTTTTCCAGCAACTGGTATTTATTATCAAAGTTATGTTTGATGTCAGCAAGTTGCCACAACTACAAAAAAATTTGCATATTACAATCTCAATGCAAACGTTCAAATAGAACCCCAGTCCTTAAAAAGTAAAAAAGTAATTCAGATTTCATCAAAAAGCAACAGAATTTTTAAAACATCTTTATATATCCAGCCAACAAGTTAAAATAGTTAACAAGAAAAAAATACAAAATATTGATGTTTAAAAAAGGCATATTTCTATCGATTTGCCCATCAATCTCTTGGCCACTCGGCTTCGTGCCAGTCATCATCTGACAGGCTCTCAGCCACCTCTGGCAACTCAAGCTTAACCAAACCACATCCCTTGGACTTCACATTCTTCATCTTGATGTTGGGTTATAGCACATGGCCGTATTTGTCAATTTGATCATGTAAAATCAAATGGGAGATTTCTCACAAATACCTGGTAGGCTTTCCTGGCCACCGCCAGGAGCATGGCCTCCAGCCTCACCAAAGGACCCTGCCAAACTTCCTCCAGAGTTTAAGTGGGCGCAGTCAAAGCTGACATGGCCACCACCATCCATGGCTAGGCCCATACACCCAGTCTCAGCACCCAGTGTCTGGCCCATGACGGGACCCATGCACTCAAGGCTGTTAATGCCCATCCTCTCCAGACTGTTGGCACCCGTCCACCCCAGTTCCATCCGGATGTTCCAGGTTGTTGGCACCTATGTGCTCCAGGCCAGTGGCCATGTGATCCATCATGGGGCTCATGTGCTCCAGGCCAGCCCCCATACCTGCAGGAACCATGCACTCCACACCAGAGCCCATGTGCTCAATGGTTTGGTCCACATGGTCAATGGGAGCAGCTGTGCACTTGAGGCTGAAGCCCATGCCGGCACCCATGTGCTCCAGGCCGGAGCCACTGCGCTCCGTGACCTTGCCTGTGTGCTGGATGCTAGAGGCCATTTGGTCAAGGCCCAGCAGGCCCATGCGCTCCCTGTGGGAGCCTTTGTGCTCCACAAAGCCCATGCGGTCCATGACCAGACCCATGTGCTGCATCTTGGAACCCACACGATCCACACCATGGCCCAGGCCTGGACTCATGCATTCCATGCTGGCACCCCCAGTGTAGTCAGCGCTTGGGCCTCATCCTCTCGATTTTGGGGATGCTGCCTCCACCTTCACTTCCTCTCTGCTTTGTAGTGATCTTCCCTATCCTAAGTGTATTACTAAGATTTCCTTTATTCTGCCCATGTTCATCCCAGAGCCAAATTGACCCACATTTTCCATACCGCCACCATGGGGGTCCCTCCTCCATTTCTCCCATTTTATTCTAAATCCATGCCCTCCATTCTAATTTCTGCAGGCCCTGTTTCCCATTCCAGTGCCTTTATTCAGGTGATTGGCATCGATAGTCTGCCCTCCTGGTCCTAACCCTGTTCCAATACCACCAAGGCCATAGGGAAGCTGCGGACGCTTAGGAGGGAAAAAAAAATCCTTTGGTAAGGCGGTCTCATCCGTCTTTACCTGCGTTGGTCTATCACACAGCAGTTGGCCATTGAATGTAGATATAGCTTGCACAGCTTCAGTGGACTGTTCAAAAGTAACAGTGCCCAATCCATGATTTTTTTCATCTTTATCCTCAAGAATGTGCTCAGAACACCACATCAGCCATACTAAAATATTTCCTTGAGTTTCTTCCAGCCAACTTTGTAATCCTGATTTGCTACAAATATTGTGCTTCCAAGTCTTTCTGTCTGTAATACATGGATAATTTCATTTGGGATGTTAGGATTATTTAAGATACTAGGTGGGATAGTAATCATTTCTGGGCCACTTGGTCTCATATCTGTTCCACCAGTGGTAGCCATCACGTTTTGCATTGCTCTCCTGGCATGTTCACTATCAGGATCTTTCACTTTCAGTGGTCTTCCACTCAGACTATGCTTGTCTAGCACCTGAATAGCTTTTTTTATGTTTTCTTCCATCTTGAATTCAATAACAGCACATCCCCTGACTTTCCTTCAGTGCCTGTTGCCCAGGCTGTATTGCAGTGGCATGATCTCGGCTCACTGCAACTTTTGCCTCCCTGCCTCCCGGGTTCAAGTGATTCTTGAGCCTCAGCCTCCCAGGTAGCTGGGATTACAGGTGGGCACCACCATGCCTGGCTAATTTTTTTGTATTGTTAGTAGAGACAGGGTTTCACCATGTTGGCCAGGCTGGTCTTGAAATCCTGAGCTCAGGCAGTCCGCCCACCTCGGCTTCCCAAAGTGTTGTGATTAGAGGTGTGAGCCACCACGCCTGGCCTCAGTTCAGTATAAGGAAGTTTTTTGATTAGAACTCGTTTAAGGCGAAACACCATTTCTACTAAAAGTACAAAAAGTAGCCAGGCGTGGTGGCACTAGCCTGTAATCCCAGCACTTTGGGAGGCTGAGAAGGATGAATCACTTTGAGGTCAGGAGTTCAAGACCAGCCTGGCCAACATGGCAAAACCTCGTCTCTACTAAAAATACGAAAATTTGCCAGGCATGGTGGTACATGCCTCTAATCCCAGCTACTTGGGAGGGTGAGGCAGGAGAATTGCTTGAACCCAGGAGGTGGAGGTTGCAGTGAGCTGAGATTACGTTGCTGCACTCTTGCCTGGGTGACAGAGCGAGTCTGTCTCAAAAAAAAAAAAAATTAATATTTTTTTACGTTTGCATTATGAAATAATGATCCTTATGTCTCCTTAAGCATTCCGTTAGATTCTACATTACTTTTCTTCAGGAATGCTACCTGAGGTGTTTTTGCTGTGGTTGGAGAGGTTGAATTAAGAGCATTTTTCAATTTTAGTGTTTTAGATTTTTAGAAAAAAGAGGGAATTGGAGGTAACCTATAAATATAATTTAAATTACTTAGTTTTACTGTTTTTTTAACTTAAAATTAGGAAACATTTAAATATTAAAAATAAATTCTAATTTGGAAGATTTAGTCATATAGACACTCCTTATACACTGCTAGTTCAAACCACTTTTCCAGAAAGCAGTTTGTTAGTATTTCTAGAGATACTACCAAATGTTAACAATCTTTGAACTTGTAAGTTCACTTCTAAGAAACTGTCTTAAGGAAAGAATCAGAAATGTAGACTGAAATTTATGTGGTTATTTCATTTGAGGTGATGTTAGTAATTATGAAACAGTTTATTTTCCAACAAGTCAGTGATCAAATAATGAAACGTTTATCTGTATATTGGAATATGACATGACCATTAAAAGTTATATTCTTAATTTTTTTTTTTTTTTTTTTTTTTTTGAGACTGAGTCTCACTTTGTCACGCAGATTGGAGTATAGCGGTGCAACCTTGGCTCACTGCAACCTCCGCCTCTGGGGTTCAGGTGATTCTCCTGCCTCAGCCTCCAAGTAGCTGAGATTACAGGCGCCTGCCACCATGTCCGGCTAATTTTTGTATTTTTTGTAGAGAAGGGGCGTTTCACCATGTTGGCCAGGCTGGTCTCGAACTCCTGACCTGAGATGATCTGCCTGCCTTGGCCTCCCAAAGTGCTGGGATTACAGGCGTGAGCCACTGCATCTGGCCAATATTCTCAAATTTTTAAAACAACATTGGTAAAATATAGTATAAAAGGGGAAAAAAACAGGTAATACGTGTAGTATAATTATAAATATTGATTAAAATACTTATACATGTTAAAACAAGCAGACTAATATACCCACATTATCAGTCATTTCTGAGTTAAGGAATTATGGGAGATTTTATTTCATGTTTTACTGTCTTTCTGTTTCTTGTTTTTTGTTTTGGAGACAGAGTCTCAGTCTGTTTCCCAGGCTGGAGTGCAGTGGTGTGCTATGGCTCACTGCAGCCTCAGCTTCTCAGGCTCAAGTGATCTTCTCTCTCTCAGCCTTCCAAGTAGCTGAGACTAGAGGTGTGCACCACCATGCCCATATAATTTTTTTGTTTTTATTTTTTGTAGAGACTGGGGAGTCTCCCTGTGTTGCCCAAGCTGGTCTAGAATTCCTGGGCTCAAGCAATCCTCCCGCCTCAGCCTCCCAAAGCCCTGGGATTACAGGTGTGAGCCACCACGCTCAGCCTAAAGTTCTAAAATGATGTGTATTTTATAATCAGAGAAAAGGGTCAATATGTCCACCAAAAATAAGAATTTTTCCAACTCTTAAGGGATCAAGAGTGAATTTTGTTTTATGTAAATAATTACATATATCTCTCACTGGATTGTTGTAAGCCTGGCACATGATTAATATGTTTTCACTGCAGTTTTTCCCCCTGAGTTTGGGTCATACTTTACTGTTTCTATCATGTCTTATAATTTTTTGTTGAAAACTGGCCATTTTAGATAATATTGTAGCCACTCTGATTCTTGATTTTTCTCCCGTCAAAAGTTGTTGGTTGTTTAGCAGTAACTTCCATGGGCAGAAAAAAATCTATGAAATTTATCTCCCTGCAGTATGCAAACACTGATGTCTCTGCTTAATTATTATTTTTTCTTTTTAAATATTTTTGCTTTTACTTTTAAGCTTGGCTTACTAAAGCATACCTCCCTATATATTTGCATAGCCTAGTGGTCAACTAATGATCGGACCAATCATGAGCCCAAACACCTTGAACACAGATCTCAGCTGTAAAATTTTTAAACTAGTAAATTCACTTCTAAGAAACTGTCTTAAGGAAAGAATCAGAAATGTAGACTGAAATTTATGTGGTTATTTCATTTGAGGTGATGTTAGTAATCATGAAACAGTTTATTTTCCAACAAATCAGTGATCAAATAAATTATGAGACATTTATATTGAAATATTGAAATATTACATGACCATTACAAATTATATTCTGTAAAATTTTGACAAAAAGATACTCCTATAACATTAGAGGGCGTTTCATTTCTCCAAGGCAAAATCTGTTTTGCTTTTTTTCTCTATAGATTATTTGTGTCCCCGATAAAAATTCTTTTTAATGATGTTATTAAATATGTATTATTTTGTGTCTGCCATTGTTTAGCATGTCTATGAGATTATTTCATGTTTGTTTATGATAGAAGTTCCTTTGTGATGCTGATTAGTATTCACTTACATGAAAACACCACAGTATTCATCTTTCTGTTTTGGGGCATTTTTGTTGTTTCCAGTTTGGGACTAGAAACAGCCTTATTGTGAATAAGGCTGTCAGGAATATTTTTGTAAAAATATATTGTGAACGTGTTTACATTTCTCTTGGATAAAAATGTAGAAGTGAAATCAGTGAGTCAAAGAGTTTGGTGTATATTTATTAGAAATTGCCCAATTTTATCAAAAAACATACATCCTTAACAGCAGCATATAGTAACATGAGAATAAAGAGACTTCTCTTTATTCTCCATCATTGTTACTATTTAAATTTGTCATTCTTTTTAATTTTTGCCATTTTAGGAGGTGTGAATTGGCATACCTTTGGGGTTTTAACTTAAAATTCTTATGAATAATATTGAGTATCATTTTTTATGCTATCACCAGTTATCTAATTTTTATGAAATATTTTCTCATATTTTTGCCTGTTTTTTCTATTGGCTTGTTTTCTTATTGTGTTGTAGGACTTTATATATTCTACATACAAGGTCTTTGTGATATGTGCGTTTTGTGAATATTCGACCAGTTTGCTCCTTGCCTTCTTATTTTTCCAATAATGTCTTTTGGTAGACGGCAAGTTTTTAATTTTTATGAAGTCAGTTTATCCAGTTTTTTCTTTATGATTATTCTTTAAACAAGACTATGTCATTTGCAAAGAGATAAGTTTCACCTTTTTTTCTTTTTAATATGGATTTCTTTTATTTTTCTAGCCTAATTGCCTGCTTAGAACTTCCAGTAAAATGTTGAATAGAAGTGGTGAGAGGGGCCGTCCTTGTCTTGTTCCTGATGTTAGAGGGACAGCATTCAGCCTTTTATCATGTATGATAGGTCATGTGGGTTTTTCATAAATACCTTTTTATTATGTTGAGGAAGTTCCTGTTTGTTCTTCATTTATTGATTATTTTTAATATGAAAGGGTGTTGGATTTGATCAAATGCTTTTTCTGCATTAATTGAGATGATCATGTGGATTTTTTTTTTGTTTTTTACTTAAATTCTTTTTATTATACTTTAAGTTCTAGGGTACATGTGCACAACGTGCAGGCTTGCTACATATGTATACATGTGCCATGTTGGTGTGCTGTACCCATTAACTCGTTATTTACACTAGGTATATCTCCCAATGCTATCCCTCCCCCATCCCCCCCACCCCACGACAGGCCCCAGTGTGTGATATTCCCCTTCCTGTGTCCATGTGTTCTCATTGTTCAGTTCCCACCTATGAGTGAGAACATGCGGTATTTGGTTTTTTGTCCTTGTGATAGTTTGCTGAGAATGATGGTTTCCAATTTCATCCATGTCCCTACAAAGGACATGAACTCATCCTTTTTTATGGCTGCATAGTATTCCATAGTGTATATATGCCACATTTTCTTAATCCAGTCTATCATTGATGGACATTTGGGTTGGTTCCAAGTCTTTGCTATTGTGAATAGTGCCGCAGTAAACATACGTGTGCATGTGTCTTTATAGCAGCATGATTTATAATCCTTTGGGTATTTACCCAGTAATGGGATAGCTGGGTCAAATGGTATTTCTAGTTCTAGATCCTTGAGGAATTGCCACACTGTCTTCCACAATGGTCGAACTAGTTTACAGTCCCAGCAACAGTGTAAAAGTGTTCCTATTTCTCCACATCCTCTCCAGCACCTGTTGTTTCCTGACTTTTTAATGATCGCCATTCTAACTGGTGTTGAGATGGTGGTATCCCATTGTGGTTTTGATTTGCATTTCTCTGATGGCCAGTGATGATGAGCATTTTTTCATGTGTCTGTTGGCTTCATAAATGTCTTCTTTAGAGGAGTGTCTGTTAATATCCTTCACCCACTTTTTGATGGAGTTGTTTTTTTCTTGTAAGTTTGTTTGAGTTCTTTGTAGATTCCAGATATTAGCCCTTTGTCAGATGAGTAGATTGCAAAATTTTTCTCCCATTCTGTAGGTTGCCTGTTTACTCTGATGGTAGTTTCTTTTGCTGTGCAGAAGCTCTTTAGTTTAACTAGATCCCATTTGTCAATTTTGGCTTTTGTTGCCATTGCTTTTGGTGTTTTAGACATGAAGTCCTTGCCCATGCCTATGTCCTGAATGGTATTGCCTAGGTTTTCTTCTAGGGTTTTTATGGTTTTAGGTTTAACATTTAAGTCTTGAATCCATTTTGAATTAATTTTAGTGTAAGGTGTAAGCAAGGGATCCAGTTTCAGCTTTCTACATATGGCTAGCCAGTTTTCCCAGGACCGTTTATTAAATAGGGAATCCTTTCCCCATTTCTTGTTTTTGTCAGATTTCTCAAAGATCAGATGGTTGTAGATGTGTGGTGTTATTTCTGAGGGCTCTGTTCAGTCCCATTGGTCTATATCTCTGTTTTGGTACCAGTACCATGCTGTTTTGGTTACTGTAGCCTTGTAGTATAGTTTGAAGTCAGGTAGCGTAATGCCTCCAGCTTTGTTCTTTTGGCTTAGGATTGTCTTGGCAGTGTGGGCTCTTTTTTGGTTCCATATGAACTTTAAAATAGTTTTTTCCAATTCTGTGAAGAAAGTCATTGGTAGCTTGATAGGGATGGCATTGAATCTATAAATTACCTTGGGCAGTATGGCCATTTTCACGATATTGATTCTTCCTACCCATGAGCATGGAGTGTTCTTCCATTTGTTTGTGTCTTTTATTTCATTGAGCAGTGGTTTGTAGTTCTTCTTGAAGAGGTCCTTCACATCCCTTGTAAGTTGGATTCCTAGGTATTTTATTCTCTTTGAAGCAATTGTGAATGGGAATTCACTCATGATTTGGCTCTCTGTCTGTTATTGGTGTATAAGAAAGCTTGTGATTTTTGCACATTGATTTTGTATCCTGAGACTTTGCTGAAGTTGCTTATCAGCTTAAGGAGATTTTGGGCTGAGATGATGGGGTTTCCTAAATATACAATCATGTCATCTGCAAACAGGGACAGTTTGACTTCCTCTTTTCCTAATTGAATACCCTTTATTTCTTTCTCCTGCCTTATTGCCCTGTCCAGAACTTCCAACACTATGTTGAATAGGAGTGGTGAGAGAGGGCATCCCTGTCTTGTGCCAGTTTTCAAAGGGAATGCTCCCAGTTTTTGCCCATTCAGTATGATATTGGCTGTGGGTTTGTCATAAATAGCTCTTATTATTTTGAGATACATCCCATCAATACCTAATTTATTGAGAGTTTTTGGCATGAAGGGCTGTTGAATTTTGTCAAAGGCCTTTTCTACATCTATTGAGATAATCATGTGGTTTTTGTCTTTGGTTCTGTTTATATGCTGGATTACATTTATTGATTTGCGTATGTTGAACCAGCCTTGCATCCCAGGGATGAAGCTCAGTTGATCATGGTGGATAAGCTTTTTGATGTGCTGCTGCATTCGGTTTGCCAGTATTTTATTGAGGATTTTTTTTTTTTTTTTTTTTTTTTTTTTTTGAGACGGAGTCTCGCTGTCGCCCAGGCTGGAGTGCAGTGGCACAATCTCGGCTCACTGCAGGCTCCGCCCCCTGGGGTTCACGCCATTCTCCTGCCTCAGCCTCCCGAGTAGCTGGGACTACAGGCGCCCGCCACCTCGCCCGGCTAATTTTTTGTATTTTTAGTAGAGACGGGGTTTCACCGTGTTAGCCAGGATGGTCTCGATCTCCTGACCTCGTGATCCACCCGCCTCGGCCTCCCAAAGTGCTGGGATTACAGGCGTGAGCCACCGCGCCCGGCCTTTATTGAGGATTTTTGCATCAATGTTCATCAAGGATATTGGTCTAAAATTCTCTTTTTTTGTTGTGTCTCCGCCAGGCTTTGTATCAGGATGATGCTGGCCTCATAAAATGAGTTCGGGAGGATTCCCTCTTTTTCTATTGATTGTAATAGTTTCAGAAGGAATGGTACCAGCTCCTACTTGTACCTCTGGTAGAATTCCGCTGTGAATCCATCTGGTCCTGGACTTGTTTTAGTTGGTAGGCTATTAATTATTGCCTCAATTTCAGCTCCTGTTATTGTTCTATTCAGAGATTCAACTTCTTCCTGGTTTAGTCTTGGGAGGGTGTGTGTGTCCAGGAATTTATCCATTTCTTCTAGATTTTCTAGTTTATTTGCATAGAGGTGTTTATAGTATTCTCTGATGGTAGTAGTTTGTATTTCTGTGGAATCAGTGATGATATCCCCTTTGTCATTTTTTACTGCGTCTATTTGATTCTTCTCTCTTTTCTTATTAGTCTTGCTAGCGTCCTGTCAATTTTGTTAATCTTTTCAAAAAACCAGCTCCTGGATTCATTGATTTTTTTTAAGGGTTTTTTTGTGTCTCTATCTCCCTCAGTTCTGCTCTGATCTTAGTTACTTCTTTTCTTCTGCTAGCTTTTGAATTTGTTTGCTCTTGCTTCTCTAGTTATTTTAATTGTGATGTTAGGGTGTCAGTTTTAGATCTTTTTTTTTTTTCTTTTTTTTTTTGTTTTTTTTTCTTTTTTTTGAAACAGGCTCTCACTGTCGCCCAGGCTGGAGTGCAGTGGCGCGGTATTGGCTTACTGCAGCCTCAACCTCCTGGGCTTCAGTGATCCTTCCACTTCAGCCTCCCAGGTAGCTGGGACTACAGACATGCACCACCATGGCCAGCTAATTTTTGTATTTTTTATAGAGATGGGGTTTCACCATGTTGCCCAGGCTGGTCTTGAACTCCTGGGCTCAAGCCATCTACCTGCCTTGGCCTCCCAAAATGCTGGGATTACAGGCGTGAGCCACTGTGCCCAGCCTGCTTTGAAGCCAGGCACTGACTTCTCATAGCTGTGAAAGTCCTAGATGGCATCTGTTTCCAGCAGAAAGCTGTTTCGTCTACTTAGAAAATCTGTTGTTTTAGTATAGCCACCTTCATCAGTGGACATAGTGAGATCTTCTGGATAACTTGCCTCCACTTTTATATCAGCACCTGCTGCTTCACCTCACCTTGCACATCTATATTATGGAGACAGCTTCTTTCCTTAAACCTCATGAACCAAATAGTGCTAGCTTCAAACTTTTCTTATGCAGCTTCTTCACCTCTGGATTAGCTTTGGTTTAAGGGAATGCTGTGGCTGGTTTGATTTTATATCCAGACTACCAAAACTCTCCATGTCAGCAAGAAGGCTGCTTTGCTTTGTTAGCCTTTGTGTGTTTATTGGTGTGGCACTTTTTTGGTTGGGGGGGGTGGTGCGGGGTGGGAGAGGGTAGTGATGGAATCTCGCTCTGTTGCCCAAGCTGGAGTGCTATAGTGTGATCTCTCCTCAATGCAACCTCCGCCTCCCGGGTTCAAGCAGTTCTCCTGCCTCAGCCTTCAGAGTAGCTGGGATTACAGGCCCCTGCCACCACGCCCACCTAATTTTTGTATTTTTAGTAGAGACAGGGTTTCTCCATGTTGGCCAGGCTAGTCTGGAACTCCTGACTTCAGGTGAGCCACCTGCCTTGGCCTTCCAAAGTGCTGGGATTACAGGTGTGAGCCACTGCGTGCCCAGCCTGTAGTTTCTATTTTTTAAAAAGTTTCTTTTTTTTCTATGATTGTTTTGTTGAGTTACTAAAAACAATTTCTGAGACTCTAATCTTTGCCAGGAATTTCTGTACATTTAGAGTTTAAAGTGCTTAATTGGAGTTAGTTTGTTCTGTGAGTGTATCCACTATGGTGAATAGCTTTATTGTCCTTTGCACATTATAGCCTTTACTAGTCCTTTTTTCATTTTGAGCCTCAGAATGGTAAGGTAAATATGTTTTTTTATACATGTGATAAAACATAACTAAGTGACTACAGATTAGCCATGATTGGAGTAGGATTAAAATTCACATCTCTTAATTCTTCGTTTAGTATTCTTTGTATTGTGTTTCACAGATTCTAATTCAGTTATGTCTTTAATTCTAAGTGTTGGGACAGTTTTGCCAGCAATTAATTGTCTTACCTATAAAATGAGAGAGCTCAAATAAATAGCCTCATATTTTCTTTCTGATGTGAATCGTTTTAAAAGTATCATTAAATGTGGTAAGATAGGACTTTCTCAAAATGATCCACATTCTGTTGTTACACTTATATGGTTGTTGATTATTAGAATTGTGCTCATGGAATTCATTCATTCATTGGCTGACATTACTTTTCCACTACCCAGTGAGTTACAGAAAAGCAAAACCTTTCCTTATCTTGTTTACTATTTACTCAATTCTTACTTGGCCCAGTGCCTTGAATGTGGCTATGTATGCAATAAATATTTGTCGAACGAACGATTAAACGAATAGTAGTGTTGGCAGGCAGTATAGTATTATGTAAAGAGCATGCACACTCCTTGGTGTTACCCTTACTTTAGATCATAGGATATATTATAATATTTCAGAGGTTGTTGGGAAGGTTACTTGGGATAATATAAATAATGTATAAAGCATAATGCCTTTTACTTAAAATGTTGGTTTCTTACTGCAGTCTCCTAGAGTCTAGGACTTTTGTTTTTTTAGCCAAGATATTTTTATTATATAAGCTGGGCACATTTGGGTAGAGAAGGTTGAATTTAATAACTTTTAATTTTTTATTACATTTATTATTTTTCTCTTTTAGTTTTACATGTGGCACCCATAAAAGATGAGGCTGAGAACACGGAAAGCTTCTCAGCAGTCAAATCAAATCCAAACACAACGCACTGCCAGAGCAAAGAGGAAATATTCAGAGGTTGATGATAGCCTGCCTTCAGGAGGAGAAAAACCATCGAAGAATGAAACCGGCTTGTTGTCTTCAATTAAAAAATTTATTAAAGGAAGCACACCTAAGGTAATGATTTTACCATATACTTTCATATCATTAAAAGTGAAAATTGGCCGGGCACGGTGGCTCACGCCTGTAATCCCAGCACTTTGAGAGCCCCAGGCAGGTGGATCACGAGGTCAGGAGATCGAGACCATCCTGGCTAACACGGTGAAACCCCGTCTCTACTAAAAATACAAAAAATTAGCCGGGCGAGGTGGCGGGCGCCTGTAGTCCCAGCTACTCGGGAGGCTGAGGCAGGAGAATGGCTTGAACCCTAGGGGGCGGAGCCTGTAGTGAGCCGAGATCGCACCACTGCACTCCAACCTGGGCGACAGCGGGACTCCGTCTCAAAAAAAAATAGTGACAATTATGATATTTTCTCTAAGCATGTGTAGATGAGAAATCTGATAGCGCACCAAAAACTACGTTTTGGTGTTAATTTTACTTCTAAGAGTTTTACATGCAGAATATTTAATGGCAGTTTAAGAAGAACATTATTCCACTGAACTAATCCACGTAGCCTTCTGCTTTTTCAACATAGTATTATGGGAAGCAAAATAAATTTTTCCTTGTTCTTTTACTTGAGTTGTTTCTTTTACTTTCATTTTCTTTCAAAGAAAAAGTTTCTTGTTAATATTCACTGTCTAGGGAGGTGATGTCTCTCATCTATTCAAGTTCTAACATTTGTATGATGAAGATGTATTGCTTCGTTAAAGAGAAAAGAACATAAAGAAAGAATGGACACGGACCAGGAGTCTTGTACTCCAGATTCATATTCTGGACCAACTTGAGTGACCTAAGGAGAGAGTCATTTACCCCCCAAGCCTCAGGAAGATAGTAAATGGCACTGATACCAACTGCTTCGTCTATCTCAGAGTTGTTTTCAGATTAGATGGTACAACAGGTAGAAAAGCAGTTGGATGAATTTTATTTTATTTTATTTATTTATTTTTGAAACAGAGTCTTGCTCTGTCTCCAGGCTGGAGTGCAGTGGCGCATTCTCCGCTCACTGCAACCTCTGCCTCCCGAGTTCAAGTGATTCTCCTGCCTCAGCCTCCCGAGTAGCTGGGACTACAGGCGCCCGCCACCACACCAGCTAATTTTTGTATTTTTAGTAGAGACGGGTTTTCACTATGTTGGCCTGGATGGTCTTGATCTCCTGACCTTGTGATTCGTCCGCCTCGGCCTCCCAAAGTGCTGGGATTATAGGCATGAGCCACCGCGCCCGGCCTCAGTTTGATCACCTTTAATGCACTCTATCAATGTATAGTATTATTGATTGTGTGTAGTTTTTTTATGACTTTACTATTTTTGTGTTCTTAGAATAATTATTTATATGGTAAATTTTTCATTATAATGGAAGTGTATTACTTTCTTAAGCAGAAAAATAAATTACTGGCTGACTTGTTCATAGGGATAGATTTTGTTGTAATAGAATTAACAAAGCCTAATTACTGTAAGTCACTGGGCAAGATTTGGAAGTATTCTTGGTTTGCATAGGGTTTTAATTTTTGTTTTGGTGGTTTTATTTTTTGTTTTTGTTTGTTTCTAATACTATAATTTCTTTGTTAATTTTCAGTAATTAGAAATTTTAAAAAGTTTCTGAATTTATGTAAACTGAGAAAATATTCTAATGTTATCATATAACAAAGATGAAATATCTTCCAGAAACCTGAATTTCCATCTCTATAAATTCCTAATGGGTTGTCATCAGCCTCTGTTGATGGGAACCTTGCTACGTATTATTACTTCATTCTTCTGAGCAGCTTTAGTTGTCATAAAGTGCGTCCTCATCTTTTGCTTTCTCATGTTACTTTTTTGTAGTTTTTTCCACTTGAAAACAGATCTGTGTTTCCTTACATGTGCAAGTACAAACCTTCAGTCATTATACAGGGCAGCTATTTCTAGTTTTCCTTATATGACATATGATATTTATCATTATCTTGGTCACCTTTATCTGTTATTCATGAAAGATAAAAACCAGAAGTGAAGATAGGTTTTTGTTATGTCTTCAGAATTCTATTCATATTTATAGTTGACCCTTGAACAATGTGGAGTTTAGGGATGCTGACTCTCCCATGTGGTTGAAAATCCACATACAACTTTTGACTCTCCAAAAACTTAACACTAATAACCTCCTGTTGACCAGAGCTTTACCAATAACATAAACAATCATTCAACACATATTTTGTATGTTATGTGTATTCTATACTGTATTCTAATTTTTTTTTAGACAGGATCTTACTCTATTGCCCAGGCTGGAGTGCAGTGATACTATCATAGCTCACTGCAGCCTTGAACTCCTGAGCTGAGTTGATCCTCCCATCTCAGCTTCCTGAATAGCTAGGACTACAGGCATGTACCACCATGCCCAGCTATTTTTAAAGTTTCTCTCCCTTTTTTTTTTTTTTTTTTTTTTTTAAAGAGATGAGGTCTCATTTATATCGCCCAGGCTGGTCTTGAACTCCTGACCACAAGCAGTCATCCCACCTTGGCCTGTCAAAGTGTTGGTATTACACACCTGGCTTTATATTGTATTCTTACAATAAAGTAAGCTAGAAAAAAAGAAAATGTTATTAAGAAAATCATAAGGAAGAGAAAATATGTTTACTATTTAAATGGAAGTAGAGCATCATAAAGGTCTTATCCTCATTATCTTCTAGGCTGAGGAAGAGGAGGGGTTGGTCTTTCTGTCACAGAGGTAGCAGAAAATTTGTGTATTAATGGACCAATACAGTTCAAACCCAGGTTGTTCAAGGATCAGCGTACTTCTTTTGACAGTGAATTGTTTCTTTCATTCCCATTGCCCAGGCTAGAGTGCAGTTGTGCAGTCACAGCTCACTGCAGCCTTGACTTCCCAGCTCAGGTGATGCTCCCACTTCAGCGTCCCAAGTAGCTGGGACTACAGGCTTTTGCCACTATGTCTGGCTAATTACTTGAATTTTTTAATAGAGGCAAGGCTTCACCGTGTTGCTCAGGCTGGTCACAAACTCCTGGTCTCAAGCTGTTTGCCTGCCTGGACCTCTCAAAGTGTGAGCCACTGAGCCTGGCTGAATTGTTTCTGTTAATGTGGTTTTGTGTTAAATTATACTTTTTGTCCTTCTTTAGTAGCTTAATCTCTGTTGGTCAGCAAATTTTGGCTCATGTCAACTGGAACAGCAGTCCCCAACCGTTTTGGCACTAGCAGCTGATTTCAGGGAAGACAATTTTTCCAGGGACCAGGTCAGCCAGGGTGGGGTTTAGTTAATGGTTTGGGGATGAAATTGATCCACCTCAGATCATCAGGCATCAGATTCTCATAAGGAGCACACAGTGTAGATCCCTTTATATGCACAATTCACACTAGAGTTCGTGCTCCTATGAGAATTTGCTACTATTGATCTGACAGGAGATAGGGCTTAGGCAGTAATGCTTGCTGGCTCACCGCTCACCTCCTTCTCTGTGGCCTCATTCCTAACAGGCCATGGACTGGTACCGTTCCATGGCCCAGAGGCTGGGGACTCTTGAACTAGAACACTCAGGACTTTTTTTTTTTTTTTTTTTTTTTTGAGACGGAGTCTTGGTCTGTTGCCCAGGGTGGAGTGCAGTGGCACAATCTCAGCTCACTGCAACCTCTGCCTCTTGGGTTCAAGCGATCCTTTTCCTCAGCATCCCAAGTAGCTGGAACTATAGGTGTGTGCCACCATGCCCAGCTAATTTTTGTGTTTTTGTAGAGATGGGGTTTCACCATGTTGCCCAGGCTGGTCTTGAACTCCTGGCCTCAAGTAATCTGCCCACCTCAGCCTCCCAAAGTGTTGGGATTACAGGCGTGAGCCATCGTGCCCAGCCACTCAGGAGGATTTTTCTGTAGAAATTTTTGTCCAAGTTTCTTTTTTTGTTTTAGCTAAATCTAAGATCTTTCATTAATGCCTCATTACTCAAAGATGTTACATAAGATCGGGCAAAAATCTGTTTGTAAGCTAATGTTGATTGATTGATTGATTGAGACGAAATCTTGCTCTGTCGCCCAGGTTGGAATGCAGTGGCACGATGTCAGCTCACTGCAACCTCCGCCTCTTGGGTTCAAGTGATTCTCCTGCCTCAGCCTCCCGAGTAGCTGGGACTACAGGCGCCTGCCACCATACCTGGCTGATTTTTGTATTTTTAGTAGAGACGGGGTTTTGCCATGTTGGCCAGGCAGGTCTTGAACTCCTGACCTCAAGTGATCTGCCCACCTCAGCCTCCCAGAGTGCTGGGATTACAGACATGAGCCACTGTGCCGGGCTGTCTTATTTATTAATTAACATTTTTGGGTAAGGTTTTTCATACAGCTACAAATTCACTTTATTGTGCTGTAACTGAACTCAGATTTTAAAAATCATATTCTATAAGATTATTATTGAAATTAATATTTGAATGCTTTACTAAAATCGGAGTGAAATCACAATTGTATTTTCCCAGACAACTAATCCTGTGTTAGGAGTAAATAATGTGGTTAATTTGTCACATATTAGTCTTAATGAGCTTATATGGCTTTTAATTATTGTTGCTTTCTTATCTACAATGTCATAAACCATATTCTTAATCACATATTCTAAAATTGCGTTGAGTGTCTAGACAATGCTTGCTTACGTATGTATCTTAAATACAGTGTCATTGTCTTTTTCAAAATTTGGGTAGGAGTTCACAGCTAAAACCTATTGAATATTAACCATCTTTTGATGTTTTATAGGTGAGAACAACAGACTTAATGAATTTAGGTAACTTGCAGTGTCAATAGTAACAATAACAACAATAATTATAATAATAACCTACCCAGGTTAAAAAATAACAGTGAAGACCAATACGACAGCTTTTACTTTTTTTCTTTTGAGATGCAGTTTCACTCTTGTTGCCCAGGCTGGAGTGCAATGGCATGATCTCTGCTCACTGCAACCTCCACCTCCTGGGTTCAAGCGATTCTCCTGTCTCAGCTTCCCGAGTAGCTGGGACTACAGGCATGTACCACTACGCCCGCAACAGCTCTTACTTATGGTTAGTAAGCAGTTACTATTTGCCAAGCACTGTCCTCAGTGTTTAAAGTGTAATAATTTAAGCCTTACAAACCATATGAGATAGGTGTTACTTTTATATTACAAATGAGGAAGCTGAGGCACAGGGAGGTTAAATAATAACTTGCGCAAAGTTACTTAGTTTTAAGTGGCAAAGCTGGAGCCTAGTTTACCTGGCTCCAGAGCCTACACTCCTAACCACTGTATACTACTGCATCTCCAATAAGTGGTGCTGCTAGGATTTAAACTCATATGTATTTAACTGATACCTGTATTATTTCTCCTTTATTATTGTCTGTCAAAGTGGCTGGACGCTGTCTAGAAGTCCAAGAACAAGATGCTGGCCAACATGCTTCCTTCTTAGATCTCTGTTCTTGACTTATAGATGGCTGCCCCTCACACCCCTCACATGGTCAGTCTTCGGTCTGTGTATGGTCTGTGTCTGCATCTTTACAGACACTGGTCATACTTCTTTAGGGGCCACCTGAAGAAATCCTCCTTTTTTTGTGCGTGTATGTGAGACAGAGTCTCTCTCTGTCGCCCAGGCTGGAATGCAGTGGCGCTGTCTCAGCTCATTGCAACCTGTCTCCTGGATTCAAGCGATTTCTCGTGCCTCAGCCTCCTGGATAGCTGGAATTACAGGTGTGTGCCACCACACCTGGCTACTTTTTGTATTTTTAATAGAGATGGGGTTTCTCCATGTTGCCCAGGCTGGTCTTGAACTCCTGACCTTAAGTGATCTGCCTGCCTCGGCCTCCCAAAGTGCTGGGATTACAGGCGTGAGCCACCACACCTGGCCAAGAAAACCCTTTTAATTACTTTTTTAAAGGCCCTATCTTCAAATACGGTCACGTTCTGAAGTATTCAGGTTAGGGCTTCAACATAAACTTTGGGGTAACACTATTCAGTGTGAATGAAATCTTTGGTCTCTCAAATACAGATTTTGTGATTCAAAGACTTCAGATTTATGAAATTATCAGCAAGATTATTCAGGAATTGTTCGTGTGCAGCCTTTCTGCTTTTTAGCACAATGAGATTTCTAATATGTAATTGAAGGCCTCACAACTAAAATATATTTGTTTTCTACCATGAATCTCTGTATTTTTCCAAATATGGCATTTCCAGAGTTTTCTTCATAACAAAATGACCTTTTCCTCTATTCTTAACTAAATGATGTTACAGTTAAGGATCATAAATTTCCATATGAATGCAGTTTTAATGAAATACCTGTTTTTAGACCTTTTAACTGTGGTCTACAAAAAGAAACACATGGCTAATACTTTCATGTGAAACAAAAATCACCCTTAATTTATGTGATGTGCTCTGATTTTTCTGTTTTGTTTCTTCTTCTAAAGGTGATTGTATTAATTTAAATTGATTTGATAATACATTAATGGGTTAAATTTCTTAGTTTGAAAAACATGATTAGATGAACATTTTTGTTCAAAATCTTTAACTCTGATTTGCCAAACTTTGTAGTTTTATTTGGGAATTTTCCTCCTCCTCTTTTTTTTTTTTTTTTTTTTGGATGGAGTCTTGCTCTGTCGCCCAGGCTGGAGTGCAGTGGTACAATCTGGGCTCACTGCAACCTCCATCTGCTGGTTTTAAGCGATTCTCCTGCCTCAGCTTCCTGAGTAACTGGGATTACAGGCATGTGCCACCATGCCTGGCTAATTTTTTGTATTTTTAGTAGAGACAGGGTTTCACCATATTGGCCAGGCTGGTCTTGAACTCTTTTTTTTTTTTTAAAGACGGAGTCTCACTCTCACCCAGGCTGGAGTGCAGTGGGACCATGTTGGCTCACTGCAACCTCCATCTCCTTGGTCCAAGCAATTCTCCTGCCTCAGCTTCCTGAGTAGATGGGATTACAGGCACCCACTACCGTGCCTGGCTAATTTTTTTATATTTTTAGTAGAGACGGGGTTTCACCATGTTGGCCACGCTGGTCTCGAACTCCTGACCTCAGATGATCCACCCGCCTCAGCCTCCCAAAGTGCTGGGATTACAGGCGTGAGCCACCGCGCCTGGCCAGAACTCTTGACCTCAAGTGATTCACCCGCCTTGGCCTCCCGTAATGGGATTACAGGCATGAGCCACCACACCTGGCCTTATTAAGTTTCTTTAACTACTTGATTAATTGAAGTAATTTGCCACTTACTATGGAATGAAAAAAAATCAGCTCAGACTAACTGGTGGAATTTATGGAGGAAACGACAGTTTAAGATTCATTCATATTCATTCATTCTCTTCCCACCACCACACACACAAGCATGTATTTATATTTAGTCATGTGTCACTTGACAATCTGAAATGCACTAATTGGCAATTTTGTCATCATGTGAACATCATAGTACTTATGTGAATCTAGATGGTGTATTCTACTACTTATCTAGGCTATGTGGTATAGCTTTTTGCTCCTAGGCTACAAACCTGTACAGAATGTTACTGTACTGATTGGCCGGGCGCGGTGGCTCATGCCTATAATCCCAGCACTTTGGGAGGCCGAGGCGGGCGGATCATGAGGTCAGGAGATCGAGACCACAGTGAAACCCCGTCTCTACTAAAAATACAAAAAAAAAAAAATTAGCTGGGCATGGTGGCGGGCGCCTGTAGTCCCAGCTACTCAGGAGGCTGAGGCAGGAGAATGGCGTGAACCTGGGAGATGGAGCTTGCAGTGAGCTGAGATTGCACCACTGCACTCCAGCCTGGGTGACACAGCGCGACTCCGTCTCAAAAAACAAAACAAAACAAAACATAATGTTACTGTACTGATTATCATGGGCAGTTGTAACACAATGTTAAGTATTTATGTTTCTCAGCATAGCTAAACATAGAAAAGAAACAGTAAAAATAGAGTATTATAATCTTACGAGACCACTGTTCTATATGTGGTCTGCTGTTGACTGAAACATTGTATGGCACATGATTCTATTGCCTTGCTCTGTCTGCTGAACTGTGTGCACATAGCACCCAGATCTTGGTTTCTAAATACTGTTCTCCACTAAAGGAACTAGGGTTCTGTCTTGTTTTATGCATATATAATTATGTCATATGCCAAATAATGAGAGTTTTGCTTACCCTTTGTCATCACTGGGACTTATTTTTTTCTTCACTTATTACATTGGTTAGGATCTGTATTACCATGTTCAGTAGCAGTGGTGAGAACAACACCCTTGCCTTGTCCTTAGGGGAAGAGAATTTGTTTTACCATTAGGTATGATGTTAGCTAGATGTTTTTCTTAGTTATCTTTTATTAGTTGGTGGAAGTTCTTTTCTATTCCTGTTTGTAAAATGTTTTTATTTTGTTGTTGAGTTTTCTCAAAGGCTTTTTGGCTTCAGATTTCTCTTATTCTTTTCTTATTTATTTATTTATTTTATTTTTTTTGAGACGGAGTCTCACTCTCTCGCCCAGGCTGGAGTACAGTGGTGCGATCTCAGCTCACCACAACCTCTGCCTCCTGGGTTCAAGCAATTCTCCTGCCTTAGTCTCCCAAGTAACTGGGATTACAGGCACGTGACACCATGCCTGGCTAATTCTTTGTATTTTTAGTAGAGATGGGGTTTCACCATGTTGGCCAGGCTGGTCTTGAACTCCTGACCTCAAGTGATCTACTCGCCTCGGCCTCCCGAAGTGCTGGGATTACAGGCATGAGCCACTGTGGCAGGCCCCTCTTATTCTTTTAATGTAGAGTAGTACATAAATTTTTTTTTGAATGGAAATCGTAACTTGGAGTTGATTTGCTGGGGATTTTTTTTTAAGAATTTTTGTATCTGTATTCATGGAGGATTTCTTCTGTAGTTTTGTCTTGATTTGTAATGTTTTTAAATTTTGGGATTAAGATTAAGCTGGTGCCATAAAACAAGTTGAGGACTGTTCCTCCTCTTCTGAAAGAGCTTGTGTTCGATTGGTGTTATTTCATTCTTAAATATTTGGCAGAATTCACTGTTGAATTCTGGAGTGGGATTTCTAAAATGTAACTGGAATTTTCTTTGTGGGGTATCTTTTACTGTAATTTAGTTTCTCTAATATAGATGAGATTATTTAGCTTTTCTCTTTCTTGTTTTAGTCATACATGTTTTTAAGGAATTTAAGTTGATTTATTTGACATCATATTTTGTTGGTATTTATTAATTTAATACTGTCTATAGAATTTGTAATGGTGCTCCTCTTTTCATTCCTGATCTAGATAATTTATTGATCTTTATTTTGATGAGTCTTGCTTGGGTTTATCAATTTCATTATTCGTTCAAAGGGATTTTTAATATTAACTGTTCATTCTGTTTAATTGATTTCCACTATTTTCAGTATTTTCTGTTTTCAGTTTGATTTACTTTTACTTTTGTAGCTTCTTGAAGTGAGAGCTTAAATCAGATATCAGTAAACATTTTCTATAAATATTTCAGGTAAGAAATATTTTAGGCTTTGTGGACAATATTGTCTCTGTTGCAGCTACTATTCAACTGCCACTGTAGACGGCTACATAAATGAATGAACATGGCTTTGGACACGGGTACAGTAGTTCCCCCCTATCTTTGGTTTTGTGTTCCATAGTTTTAGTTACCTGTGGTTGCCAGGGTCTGAAAATATTAAATGGGAAATTTCAGAAATAATTGGTAAGTTTTAAATTAGTCACCTTTCTGAGTAGCATGATAAAATCTTACATCATCCTGCTCCATCACAACTGGGACATTAATCATCCCTTTGCCCGAGTATCCATATGTATATGCTGTACTCCTGTTAGTCACTTAGTAGCTTTCTTGTTTATCATATCAGCTGTGTAGATACCACTCTGTTTGTATTCAATTAATCCTTATTTTACTTAATAATGGCCCCAGAGTACAAGACTAGTGATGCTGATAATTGTTCTATTTTATTGGTAATCTCTTACTGTGTCTAATTTATAATTCAAGGTTTATCATAGGTGTATATATATGGAGGAAAAAACAGTATATGTAGTGTTTGGCACTGTCTGTGGTTTCAGACAACCACTGGAGGGTTTTGAAAGGTGTCACGTGAGCATAAGGGGGAACTACTGTATTTGAATTTCATATAGTTTTCATGTGCCATGAAATATTATTGTTCTTTTGATGTATTTACCTCCAACCATTTATAAGTACAAAAAATATTTTTACTTTCTTGCCCATATGAAACAATTAGTGTGCTGAATTTTGCCTATGGCTGTAGCTTGCTACTTCCTTGATTAGAACATTAATTTTACACTATTTTTTTTTCTAATGTAGGTATTTAAAGGTATGAATTTTAAAGTATTCCTTTCTCTATATGCCATATATTTTGATACCTTATTTTTTATTACTTCATTTTTCTTGTGATTTATTTTGACCCATGGATTATTCATTTCGATTCAAGAATATTAATATACTCTGTATAATTTGATTTCTTTGGTATTTTTTGGTACTTACTAGCACATATTCTATCTTGTTGAATGTTCTATATGTATTTGGGAATATATGTGATATTTCGGAGTTGTTCAGTGCAGTATTCTATAAATATCAATTATATCCAAATGGTTGATAATATTCTAATTTTCTATATCTTCTTTTAAAGTGAAAGCAAGTTTATTAAAGAAGTAAAGAAACAAAAGAATGGTGGCCGGGCGCGGTGGCTCACGCCTGTAATCCCAGCACTTTGGGAGGCCGAGGTGGGTGGATCACAAGGTCAGGAGATCGAGACCTTCCTGGCTAACACAGTGAAACCCTGTCTCTACTGAAAATACAAAAAAATTAGCCGGGTGTGGTGGCAGGCACCTGTGGTCCCAGCTACTTGGGAGGCTGAGGCAGGAGAATGGCGTGAACCTGGGAGGCGGAGCTTGCAGTGAGCCGAGATCACGCCACTGCACTCCAGCCTGGGCGACAGAGCGAGACTCTGTCTCAAAAAAAAAAAAAAAAAAAAAAAATGGCGACTGCATAGTCAGCTATCTTATTTTTTCATGTACTTGTTTTATTGGTTATTAAGAGAGGGATGTTAAAATCACTTATTTTTGTGCATTTGTCTACTTCATTATCTGTCAATATTTGCTTCATGTATGTTGAAGCTTCATGTATTTATAAGCGTATGACTTGTTCTTGTTAATATTATGATGTATCTCATTATCTCAAGTGATATTATTTATTTTGAAGTTTATTTTAATATTGATATAGCCATACAGTTTTCTTACTTACTATTTGCATGATATATGTTTTTCCAGCCTTTATAAAACCTGTGTGTATATATTTACATTGGCTTTTTTTTTTTATTTTAAAGACAGAGTCTCGCTCTGTCACCCTGGCTGGAGTGCAGCTGCGCAATCTTGGCTCACTGCAACCTCCACCTCCTGGATTCGAGCAGTTCTCCTACCTCAGCCTCCCGAGTAAGTGGGATTACAGGCACCTGCCACCACTCCCAGCTAATTTTTATATTTTTAGTAGAGACAGTGTTTTACCATGTTGGCCAGCCTGGTCTTGAACTCCTGACCACAGATGATACACCAACCTTGGCCTCCTAAAGTGCTGGGATTACAGGTGTGAGCCACCACGCCTGGCCTACATTGGCATATTTTGTCTATTTATATTTAATGTAATTATTAATATGTTTGAGTTTAAAGTCTTCTATCTTACTATGTATTCTGGATTTGTCCCATCTTTTGTTTCTCTTTTCCTTTCCTGTCATTTGAGTGAACTAGCTATTTTTTAGAATTTTATTTATCCTCCTATATCCTATATTGACTTCTCAAAAAAAAACCTTAAACACAATAAAATACACCTGTTCAAAGTGTTTGTTTTCTTGAATTCTGACAGATTTATGCACATGACCAAAAAGTATCCTTATTTTATACCCAACATCACCTGAGACAACCACTGATCTTTCTGTCATTATAGAGTTTCATAGGATTATAATCAGTTTATCTTGCTTCCTTCACACACACAACATACATTTTTTGGTTTCTTCCGCGTTACCACATGTATCTGTAGTTGATTCCTTCCCCTCCCCTCCCCGAGTAGTATTCCTGTGTGTGAGTCTACCACAATTTGTCTATTTAAGTTGTTTCTGTTTTTTGGCTATTATAAATAAAGTTGTTAGGAATATTTGGATAAATAAGATTGATATTGCTGGATCATAAGATGTATGCTTAACTTCTTTGTAGCAGCTTTATTGAGATATAATTTATATACCAGAAAATTCACCCATTTTTTTGAAGTGTAGAAGCTTTTATTTACTTATTATTTTTTGATATAAAAAGCTGTACTTAATGTATACAGCTCTATGAGTTTGGGGATAAATATATTCCTGTGAAACCATCACCATCATCAAGGCCATCAACGTATCTGTCACCTCCCAGAGTTTACCCTGCCCCTTTATTATGATCTACTATCTTAGAAAACTTTAAATATGTAATATAGTATAGTTAAGTATAGGCACAGCACTATGTTGTATAGTAGTATCGTTCATTCATTCATTTAAAGTATAAATTCAGTAGCTTTTAGTACATGCACAGAATTGTGCAACCATTGCCTCAACTTTAGAATATTTTCATCACCCTCAAAAGAAACCTCTAGCTCCTAAATTTCCCCTTCCTCTCTAGCCCTAAGCAGTCACTAATCTGCTTCCTGTCTCTATGGATTTTGCTATATTTTGGACATTTCATGTAAATGAAACCATAGTCTATTATGTCTGGCTTCTTTCACTTAGCATGTTTTCAAAGTGCATCCATGGTGCATTTGTTCTCAGGATCTCCTGGGGCTGTGTCCTGGGAATTGAATAAAAATTAAAAAAAAAAAAAGAGAAAAAACAAAGTACATCCATGTTGTGGCATATATTATATCACTATTTCCTTTTTATTGCCAAGTAATATTCTGTTGTATGGATATACCACATTTTGATTATCCATTTATCAATTAATGAACATTTGGATTGTTTTCATATTTTGACCATATGAAGAATGCTGTGAACATTCATGTATACATTTTTGTATGGACATCTGTTTTCCGTTGTCTTGGGTAAGAGCTTGAATTGCTGGGTTATATGATAACTTTGTGTTTAGCTTTTTAAGGAACTGCCAGACTGTTTTCCAAAGTGGTTGCATCATTTTACAGTTCCACTAGCAAAATATGAGGATTCCAGTTGTCTTGAGGACAATCAACACTTGTAATTGTCTGTCTTTTTTATTATAGCCATCCTAGTGAGTGTGAAGCAGTATGTCGTAGTTTTGATTTGCATTTCCCTAATGACTGATGGTATGGAGCATCTTTTTTATGTGCTTCTTGGCCATTTACATTTTCTTTAGAGAAATGTCTGGTATTTTAATTGTATTATTTTTATTATTGAATTGTAAGAGGTGGTTTTTTTTTTTTTGGCATGATCTCGGTTCATTGCAACCTCTGCTTCCTGGGCTCAAGTGATCCTTCACCTCAGCCTCCTGAGGAGCTGAGACTACAGGCATGTGCCACTATGCCCAGCTAATTTCTTTCCCCACTTTTTGGAGACAGAGTCTCACTTTGTCACCCGCTGGAGTGCAGTGGCGCAGTCTCCATTCACTGCAACTTCTACCTCCTGTGTTCAAGCAATTCCCCTGCCTCAGCCCCCTGAGTACCTGGGATTACAGGCACATGCCACCAAGTCCAACTAATTTTTTTTATTTTTAATGGAGACAGGGTTTCACCGGCCCAGGCCGGTTTTGAATTCCTGACCTCAGGTGACCCGCCTGCCTTGGCCTTCCAAAGTGCTGGGATTACAGGCTTGAGTCACTGCGCCAGGCCTAATTTTTGTATTTTTTGTAGAGACAGGGTTTCACTATGTTGCCCAGGCTGATATCAAACTCCTGGGCTTAAGAGATCATCCTACCTTGGCCTCCCAAAGTGCTGGGATTACAGGTGTGAGCCACCACACCCAGCCATGAGTTCTTGATATAATCTAGATACAAGTCCCTTTTCAGAGATATGCAAATATTTTCTTCTATGCTGTGGACCCTTTCTGAAACACAGAACTTTTACATTTTGATGAAGTCCACTTTGTTTATTTTTTATTTTGTTGCTTGTGCTTTTGGTATATCCAAGAAACTATTGGCAAAATCAGGGTGACAAAGATTTATCCCTAGATTTTCTTTTTTTTTGAGATGTAATCTCGCTCTATCGCCCAGGCTGGAGTGCAGTGGCACGATCTCAGCTCACTGCAAGCTCCACCTCCCGGGTTCACGCCATTCTCCTGCCTCAGCCTCCCTAGTAGCTGGGACTACAGGCGCCCGCCACCACGCCCAGCTAATATTTTGTATTTTTAGTAGAGACGGGGTTTCACCGTGTTAGTCAGAATGGTCTCGATCTCCTGACCTTGTGATCCACCCGCCCCGGCCTCCCAAAGTGCTGGGATTACAGGCGTGAACCACTGCGCCCAGCCGTATCCCTAGATTTTCTTATATGAGTTTTATACTTTTAGCTCTTTGATACATTTGAGTTAATTTTTATAGATGGTGTGAGGTAAGAAGTCATCTTCATTATTTTGCATGTTCATTTTCATTAAGTCCCAGCACCATTTGTTGAAGACACTTTTTAACTTTTGAGAAACTGCCCAGCTATTTCACCGTCTAACATTCCATTTAACAATTTCAAGCAGTTTCCCTTGCTCACATTCTTACCAGTATTTGATATTGTAAGTCTTTTTAACTTTAGTCTTTCTACAGGGGTAGAGTATCTTATTGTTTTTAACCTGCATTGTTTTAACTTCCATTTCCGAGGCTCAGGTGATCCTCACGCCTCAGCTAGCTGGGACTACAGGTTTGCATCACCACACCGGGCTAATTTTTATATTTTATAAGAGATGGGGTTTCGCCGTGTTGCCCAGGCTGGTCTCCAACTTCTGGGCTCAGGCAGTCTACCTGCCTCGCCTTCCCAAAGTGCAAGGATTACAGGAGTGAGCCACCACCCACAGAATGTTAAGACTCATATATAAAGGCCGAGATTTAACAGTTTTACAGCTTCATCAAGAACTTTCTTGGGGCCAGGTGCGGTAGCTCACGCCTGTAACGCCTGTAATCCTAGCACTTTAGGAGGCCGAGAAGGGCAGAGGGTGGATTGCCTGAGCTCAGGAGTTCAAGACCAGCTTGGGCAACATGGTGAAACCCTATCTCTAATAAAGTACAAGAAATTAGCTGGGCATGGTGGTACACGCCTGTAGTCCCTGCTACTCAGGAGGCTGAGGCGGGAGATCGCTTGAACCCAGGAGGCGGAGGTTGCAGTGAGTGGAGATCGCACCACTGCACTCCAGCTTGGGTAACAAAGTGAGACTCTGTCGTCTTTGTTTTAAAAAAGAAGAAAGAACTTTCTTGAGAGGAACTGGCTCTCCCAACTTGCTAAACGTGGCTATAAAGAATGCAATGGGCCAGGCTTGGTGGCTCACGCCTGTAATTCCAGCACTTTGGGAGGCTGAGGCAGGCGGATCACCTGAGGTCAAGAGTTCGAGACCAGCCTGGCCAACATAGTGAAACTCCATCTCTACTAAAAATATAAAAATTAACCGGGCATGGTGACACATGCCTGTCATCCCAGCTACTCGGGAGGCTGAGGCAGGAGAATTGCTTGAACCCGGGAGGCAGAGGTTGCAGTGAGCCAAAATCACTCCATTGCACTCTAGCCTGGGTGACTCCATCTCAAAAGAAAAGAATACAATGACTGTTGGGTTTCAGTGCGTTGATTTGTCTTAAGGTACCAGTTACTATATACACCGTTGCTCTTGCATAGCTAGCACAAATGTTAACACAAGTTGTTCTAGAATGGACTGAAAGACAATAAATAAATAATAAATAAATAAATGGATTCACCACTTTTGTTTGTTACCATGCATTCACAGTAACAAAACTCTTTGCTAATTAGTTGGTGCTGGTATCAAATAAATACATGTAGGCAAAATACCAAGTCCGGCCACATTAATAAGGCACAGAAGTACAATTCTCTACATACTAGATATTACTTCTTTTTTTATGTTTGCAGATAAATCTTTCATTCAGTGATTTAACTTAGCATTGGAAAGTGGGAGGGCATGCTTCTTTTACTGACTTTTTATCTAGCAGACTTTCAGCACTATCTACTATGCAAAGATTTATCTCTCTGATATTGTTTACCCCTTTTCAACCAATGCAGTGTGATAACTTTAAGATTCTTCAGGCCGGGCGTGGTGGCTCACGCCTATAATCCCAGCACTCTGGGAGGCCGAGGCAGGTGGATCACCTGAGGTCAGGAGTTCGAAACCAGTCTGGCCAATATGGTGAAACCCCATCTCTACTAAAAATACAAAAATTAGCTGGGTGTGGTGGTGGGCACCTGTAATCCCAGCTACTCGGGAGGCTGAGGCAGGAGAATCGCTTGAACGTGGGAGGTGGAGTTTGCAGTGAGCTGAGATCATGCCACTGCACTCCAGCCTGGGCAACAGAACAAGACTTCGTCTCAAAAAAAAAAAAAAAAGATTCTTCAGACGCTTTTTCATTTTTAGTTTGAAAAACTAACCACTTTTTGCTTTTAAAGAACTCATTATGTATATATTTAAAGTATTAAATTCCTTTTTAAAAAACTCATTCTCAAATGACAGTATACTAAATTGTCACCATTTAAATATGTCTCATCTATTTAAGTATGTTCTATTACATAAGATGTAGTAAGACAACCTTATGCAGCCAAAGGGAAGATATCTTTATCATGCTTTCATTTGCTATTGACAATTGCATCAAGAGTCTCTGGAATAGATTTACTGCTTTGTGAGTCAGAGAATCCTGATATGTCAGTTTCTTATTTTTCAGCAGTGCACCAATGGATTGAAATCACAGCTCTTCTTACCTCCCTGTTGTAACCTAATGATTCATTATTAAGTATTAAAAAGTTACATTTTTTTTTATTTTGAGATGGAGTCTTCGCTCTGTCGCCCAGGCTGGAGTGCAGTGGCACGATCTCGGCTCACTGCCAGCTCCACCTCCCGGGTTCATGCCATTCTCCTGCCTCATCCTCCTGAATAGCTGGGACTACAGGCGCCCACCACCACGCTGGCTAATTTTTTGTATTTTTTAGTAGAGATGGGGTTTCACTGTTAGCCAGGATGGTCTCGATCTCCTGACCTCATGATCCGCCCGCCCTGGCCTCCCAAAGTGCTGGGATTACAGTCGCGAGCCACTGCACCCGGCCACAAATTTTATTTTAAAATATTACTAAATTCTGAAATAACTTTTATGTAAAACTTAAAATTTAGAAGTAAATGTATTTTAAATGAATATATTATTGCAAAGCAAAAGCAGAAGAGTACTCTTGCTGTGTTTTCACATAAATATATATATACAGTCAGGTGCCAGGTAATGATGTTTAGGTCAGCATGGACCACCTTATGGTCCAATAAGGTTATAATACCATATTTTTACTGTACTTTTTTCTGTGTTTAGGTACATGAGTACTTAACATTTTGTTATAATTGCCTACAGTATTCAGTATAGTAGTTTGCCGAACAGGTGGGTTGCCTAGAGCGATAGGTGTGTGGTAGATAATATCATCTTGGTTTGTGTAAATACGCTGTATGATTGTACAGTGATGGAATTGCTAAAGATGCTTTTCTCAAAACATATCCCAGTTGTTATGTGATGCATTACTTTATATAGAAAAATTTTGAAATTGCAAAATAATAATTTACTAAATCATAATGAAGTTACAGAGATTATAGCAGGTACAACTAGATAATTAGTAAGAGCACAGTAGAAGTGCACAACACAAGGTTGGGCACCATGGCTTATGCCTTTAATCCTAGGACTTTGGAAGGCTGTGGTGAAAGGATCGCTTGAGCCCAGGATTTCGAGACCAACCTGTGCAACATAGTAAGACCTCGTCTTTTCAAAAACTTTTAAAAACGAATTAGTCAAGCGTGGTGCTGCACACCTGTAGTCCCAGCTACTTCAGAGGCTGAGGTGGGAGGATCACTTGATCCCAGGAGACAAAGGCTGCAGTGAGGTGAGATTGTGCCACTGCACTCTAGCCTGAGTGACAGAGCAAGACCCTGTCTTTAATAAAAAGGGGAGAAAAGGGGGCCAGGCTCAGTGGCTTATACCTGTGATCCCAGCACTTTGGGAGGCCAAGGTGGGTGGATCCCTTGATCTCAGGAGTTCCAGACCAGCCTGGGCAACATAGCAAAACCCCGTCTCTACAAAAAAATTTTGTTTTCAATTTGCTGGACTTGGTGTGTGCCTGTAGTCCCAGCTACTTGGGAGGCTGAGGTGGAAGGATGACTTGAGCCTGGGAGGTCAGGGCTGCAGTTAGCTAAGATCGTGCCATTGCACTCCAGCCTTGGTGACAGGGCAAGACCCTGTCTTTTTAAAAAAAAAAAAGTACTTGCCAGGCACGGTGGCTCATGCCTGTAATCCCACCACTTTGGGAGGCCAAGGTGGGCAGATCACCTGAGGTCGGGAGTTCAAGACCAGCCTGACCAACATGGAGAAACCCTGTCTCTACTAAAAATACAAAAAATTAGCTGGGCATGGTGGCGCATGCCTGTAATCCCAGCTACTTGGGAGGCTGAGGCAGGAGAATCACTTGAACCTGGGAGGCAGAGGTTGTGGTGAGCCAAGATCGTGCCATTGCACTCCATCCTGGGCAGCAAGAGCGAAACGTAGTCTCAAAAAAAAAAAAATACTTAACACAAAGATATTTTATATGTATTCACATATTTTCCATTATGTTATTCACCCAACGCATTTAGGATTTTATCTGGTACTATTTATCTGATGCCTGCAGAACTTTATTTAGTATGTGTTTCTCACCAATTTTCTTAGTTTTATGTCTACATTTTTTGAGCACATACTCATTACATGCTATCCTTTATTCAAATTTGGCTTAGTTCTACAGGTTCTCCATCTGTTTGATGTGCTTGATGTTTATGATTAGTCTTAGCATCATTGTCTGAAGCTCATTTTTGTAGTGAATTCCTTGGAAAAGATTGGTGGGGCTGAGCATGGTGGCTGATGCCTGTTATCCCAGCACTTTTGGGAGGCTGAGGCAGGCATATCACCTGAGGTCAGGAGCTTGAGACCAGCCTGGCCAATATGGTGAAACCGTCTCTACTAAAAAAGAAAATACAAAAATTTCCTCAGCGTGGTGGCAGGCACCTGTAATCCCAGCTTCTCGGGAGGCTGAGGCAGGAAAATCGCTTGAACCCGGGAGGTGGAGGTTGCAGTGAGCTGAGATTGCACCACTGCACTTCAGCCTGGGCAAGAAGAGCAAGACTCTGTCTCAAAAAAAAAAAAAAAAAAAAAAAAAAAAAAAGACTCATGAGAAGCATATTCTGAGCTTTTGCATGTTGATAACAGTGCCCTCTATGCTTGAAAATCAGTTTTGCTGGATATAAAATCCTTAACTCACATTTTTTCTTGGTTATTTTAAATGTTATTCTATTTTCTTCCAACATGAAAAGCGTTTCTGTCAAACGTTTGATAATATAATTTTTTTTAAGTTGCTAAATTAGAACATGTCTTGGATTGACCTGGGGCTTGGTGGCTCAGGCCTGTAATCCCAGCACTTTGGGAGGCCAAGGCAGGCAGATCACTTCAGGTCAGGAGTTCAAGACCAGCCTGACCAACATGGTGAAACCCTGTCTCTACTAATAATACAAAAATTAGCTGGGCGTGGTGGCAGGCACCTGTAATCCCAGCTACTTGGGAGGCTGAGGCAGAATTGCTTGAACCCAGGAGGCGGAGCCACTGACTGCACTTTAGCCTGGGTGACGGCTGTCTAGCCTGTCTCAAAAACAAATAAAAAATAATAAAACGTGTCTTGAATTGACATGCCACTCCTGGCTTTTACATTTTCTTCATTTGTTTTTATGTCTGTCTTCATTTCTTTAAAAAAAAACAAACAAACAAAAAAAAAAAAACAAGTTTTCTCCCTTGCCAGGTGTGCTGGCCATCAGCTATAGTCCTGGCTATTCAGGAGGTTGAAGCAGGAGGATTGCTTGAACCTGGGAATTTGAGACCAGTTTGGGCAACTTAGTGAAACCCTGGCTCTCAAAAGAACAAAATTGTTCATTTTACCCTCTTTCTTATAAGGTATAATCTTTTGTTTACTCTCTTGGGCCCCTTGTAGTATAGTCTTTATTTCTGAAATGATTTGTAAAAATTTTTGAATTTTTTTGTTCTGTTTCTTAGTTTCTGAGTTTTTCTTCCTCTGCTGTATGTCTCATATTTTCTTTCCTTTTTTTTTTTTTTTTTTTTTTGAGACAGGATCTTGCTCTGTTGCCCAGGTTGCAGTGGCATGGTCATGGCTCACTGCAGTCTCAAACTCCTGTGCTCAGGTGATCCTCTTGCCTCAGCCTCTTTGAGTTGCAGGGACTATAGGCACATGCCACCATGATTGGCTAATTTTTAAATTTTTGTGTAGAAATGGGATCTTGCTGTGTTGCCCAAGCTGATCTCAAACTCCTGGCCTCAAGTGAGGCTCCTGCCTCGACCTCCCAACGTGCTAGAATTACAGGCCTCCACACCAGCCTCATATTTTCTTATTTTGCCTGATTTTGAAATAGAAGATTATAATTTTTATCTTTTCCCTATGCATCTTTTTCTGACACGTGTTCTTTATCTATAGAGGTATTGTTCTGCTCCACGTGTGTTTCATTATAGTAGTTTTGTGTGGGATTTGATATCTATACTTTCTTGCTCATTTTTATGTGAAATTAGTTTTTCTGAATTTTCAGAAAGTTATGTAGTTCAGGGTATCTCTTTGAACAAATTTTGTTTTTATGTAGTGTTTTTAAATATTGGTGATGCTTTTTGAGTTTTGTCTTTTATTTCTACCATGTGTTTATTTGGAATTTCTCTGTCTTTTCTCTCTGTGCCTGCCCTACTCACATTTGATTCCACTCCCAATACTTCCTCCTAAGTATGGAAACTTGTTCTAGAAGGGCGCCATAGTTGGTCAGTTTCAAGAGTTCATAGGAGCAGACTGTTCCTGTCATTTCAATTCTAGCCATAGACCCCCTATGCTATTGGATTGGACAGCAACTCCCCAACTCCCCTCCCCCTTATTTCATTTGCTGTTCTCAAATTGGCCTGCCGTGGTTTCCAGTGACTACCTACCTGTTAGGTATTTGGGGCTTCTTTTCTCAGGTGTGCCACCTCACTTGTTGCTTATTTCTGTTTTCCTTTGCACTGGTATATATGGACATTTAGTTATTGTGCCTGTTGGTTTGTTCTCATCTGCTTGCATTTTTGAGTGTGGGGGATACCTTGTCTTCTGGTTTCGTTGTAAATGTTGCCCATGGGTTTTTCTTGCCTTTTCAGTTCTCTGTATTTACATGGGGATTCATATATTTAAGAACACCTTCCCATCATTTTCCCCTTAATTACCTATCTTAGAGACAACTTTGAAAAATACAAATTTTGCACTGAGGTGGAAGGATAGCTTGAGGCTAGGAGTTTGAGACCAGCCTGGGCAACATAGCGAGACCCTGTCTCTACAAAAAATAAAAACATTAACAGGGCGTGATGTTATGTGTCTGTATTCCTAGCTGCTTGGGAGGCTGAGGCAGGAAGAATGCTTGAGCTTACGAGTTTGAGGCTGTAGTGAGCCATGACTGTGCTACTACACTCCAGTATGGGCGACAGAGACCCTGCCTCCATGAAAAAAAGAAAAAAGAAAAATACAGATTTTAGAGAAGACATTGTAGGATTACTGTATTTAGTGAAACAGCTTATATAGTAATGTAGAAACTGTGTCTTTCCTAGTTCGTCTTCCTCTTCTAAAAAATCCTACCATGTTCAAAGTATACCCAAATTTTACAGTTGAATGTTCACAGAAGACTAGGATTGGGTGACAAATTGTCATTCAGAATTGGATCATCAGGCTGGGCACCATGGCTCATGCCTGTAATCCCAGCACTTTGGGAGGCTGAGGCAGGAGGATTGCTTGGGGCTGGGAGTTCAAGACCAGTCTGGACAACATAGCAAGACCCTGTCTCTACTGGGGGGAAATAAAAGGATTGGATCATTAGGCATTTCAATGAATTATTCTGAAGAGTATGATTTTACTGTCAATGACTGCAGAATTTTAGTCTTGACCTTAATAGCTTCCTCTTCCGTTTTTGTAACCTGAAGTATTTGAATGTGTTCTAAAGTGACCGCCTTATAGTCTGTTCTGCAACAATATGTGGTGCCCCTACAATAATATTATTTAGCTTACTCACTATTGGTAAACAGGGGAGTAGTATCAATAACATAGTAGGGGGGAGGGGTTTGTAGATGATTTTCTTCTAAACCAGACAACAAACTGAATAATTAGAGTTGAATTTGATATTCTCTTCATCAGGAAAGTAAAAAGCCTCCAGTTCAGCTGCTACATAGGCACAAGTCCTTTCACCTGTATTTTTATTTTTATTTTTTGAGATGGAGTTTCACTCTTGTTGCCTAGGCTGAAGTGCAATAGCATGATCTCAGCTCACCACAACCTCCACCTCCCGGGTTCAAGCGATTCTTCTGCCTCAGCCTCCCAAGTAGCTGGGATTACAGATATGTACCACCATGCCTGGCTAATTTTGTATTTTTAGTAGAGACAGAATTTCTCTATGTTGGTCAGGCTGGTCCCGAACTCCCAACCTCAGGTGATCCGCCTGCCTCGGCCTCCCAAAGTGCTGGGATTACAGGCTTCAGCCACAGCGCCCGGCCTATTTTTATTTTTAATTAAAACTGATAATCTGCAGCAGATATTCTCTCTCCAGAGAGGTGCACCCTGGTCTAGCAGGGACTCTTCACATGTGGCAGTTTGCATTTCCTTTTGTACCCAACTTAACAGCAGCCCTGCTGGCTTAAAGCTTCACTTTTCCCATAAGCCCGTTTCTACTTCATTGTTTTTAGTACCCTTTATTATCCCCTGAGGTAGCATTCCAGCCCTCTTAGCTGCCTTACCTGCGTAGGGATGTCCAAGTTATCTCTGGTGGTCCCAGTCGTTGTTGTTTTAGAGACAGGGTCTCACTTTGTTGCCCAGGCTGGGGTGCAGTGGTGCAATCATAGCTCCCTGCAGCCTTGAACTCCTGGGCTCCCACCTGAGTCTCCCAAGTAGCTGAGATTACAGGCATGTGTCACCAAGCCCAGCTCCAATCATTGTTTTTGTTAGTGCTATGGTTACAAAGTTACAGGGGCATGAACTAATCTGCCCCAACATACCTCTCTCCCCTTCTGGACCCATTTTTTCCATAAGTTTTGTTACTTTTATTGTTGCAGAATGCAAGGTTTTCATGAATGTATGTATGTATGTTATAGCAGCTGTACTAGGACATTTCAGGGGGAGGCTAGGACTTAATGTAGTTGAAACTGCTGTATTATTTCTGTTCTTCAAAGACTTTATAAAGAGAGCTCCTGTATTTTTTGATAATGAAGATTCCATGTTTGTGATAGGAGGCTCCCTGATCCTCATTTTAAAATACAGGAGAATAGTACATGGTCAGAATTGGAAGGATTTTATTGTGGATCACTGAGGCATTATTGTATGCTATTGTAATTTTCACCATTTACAATGCCAAGTTTTGTTTCAGAAATAATGCAGCAATATCCAACTTGTAGAAAATGTATGTTAGTGCATTTTATTAGTTGCTGTAGGGTAAAAACATTAAATACAAAAAAGTAGAGATGAGAATGTTGATTATATGTATCAATTATATATAATATGTAAATTTGAAGATCTAATCCTTACCAAAAGATTTCAGGTAGTCTCATTAAAACAGTAAGGAATTATGTAGGGCAGTATTATAGTAATACTAGAAAATCACTCATGTGGCTAGGTGCTGTGGCTCATGCCTGTAATCCCAGCACTTTGGGAGGCCGAGGCAGGCGAATCACGAGGTCAGGAGTTCGAGACCAGCCTGACCAATATGGTGATGCCCTGTCTCTACTAAGAATACAAAGATTAGCGGGGCGTGGTGGTGCGTGCCTGTAATCCCAGCTACTCGGGAGGCTCAGGCAGGAGAATCGCTTGAACCCAGGAGGCGGGCGGAGGTTGCTGTGAGGCATGATCGTGCCACTGCACTCTAGCCTGGGTGACAGAGTCAGACTCTGTCTCAAAAAAAAAAAAAAGAAAAAGAAAAAATCACTCATGTGCATGACTCTAGAAAAAATTTACAAATGAGGCTGGTCACAGTGGCTTACGCCTGTAATTCCAACCTCGTCTCTACTAAAAATACAAAAATTAGCTGGGCATGGTGGTGGGCGCCTGTAATCCCAGCTACTCGGGAGGCTGAGGCAGGAAAATCGCCTGAACTCAGGAGGTTGAGGTTGCAGTGAGCCAAGATCACACCACTGCACCCCAACCTGGGCAACAGAGGAAAAACTCTGTCTCAAAAAAAAAAAAATTTACAAATTAGAAAACTATATATATAAATAGTAAAACATAAATCATCCTAATGGCTGAAAGTATACTATTTTAGTCCATTAGTACTGCAAGAATAGTATAAACTGGTCATGGGGACTTGCCCCATATAAGGTAGCAAATAGAGAGCTTTGTTAAGGGGTAGACTCTATATTATTTATTCTGGTAATTGAATAATTGAGGTAGGCAGTGCGGGTGTGGCAGTGCCAGGCCCCACCTTTATCCCCACCCTCTATTTTTGGGCTATATGTGACTTGCCAGCACATTCAGTGGGGCTCCCTCTCCTACCCTGAGTTGCTTAAGGAAATTATCTCTGTTCTTAAGGACACTTCTAAAAATGAGGGAAAGCTTTTGAAGATTCAGAGCACATTCTATAATTCAATATTTTGATAGCATGGAAAACTTAATGGACCTTGGGGAAGGGATCTGAATTGTAGGGATGCTGTAATTGTATTTGTATATTGTAATTGCATTCATGTTCTTACAGCCCTGTCAAATTTTTTCTGTGTTGATATTACCTATAATTGCATTTTGTTTTTCCTGGATATGAAAAGCAGAGGAAAGTATATTATACCGTATTTTTTCATTTTAATATTGTAACCTGTAAGGCAGAATGATTGTGCTTAGTGTGTTTTTTTTTCTCTTATATCTTAAGGAAGAGAGAGAAAATCCTTCAAAACGGAGTAGAATTGAACGTGATATAGATAACAATTTGATCACGTCAACACCAAGAGCAGGAGAAAAACCTAACAAACAGATATCTCGAGTAAGACGGAAAAGTCAAGTAAATGGAGGTTTGTTAATATTTAGATACTGTTTTATTTAGGTGTAAGCAGAGATCTCACCTGACACATTTCTTATCTATTTTTAAAACTCTACTTTGAGGCCGGGTGCAGTGGCTCATGCCTGTAATCCTCACATTTTGGGAGGCCGAGGTCGGCGGATCATTTGAGGCCAGGAATTTGAGACCAGCCTGGCCAACGTGGCAAAACCCCGTCTCTATTAAAATCACACACAAAAAATTAGCCAGGCGTGGTGGCGCATGCCTGTAATCTCAGCTACTCAGGTGGCTGAAGGTTGAGAATCGCTGGAACCCGGGAGGCAGAGGTTGCAGTAAGCTGAGATTGTGCCACTACACTCCAGCCTGGGTGACAGAGTGAGACTCTGTCTCAAAAACAAAACAAAACTACTTTGAGTAATTTTTGCCTTAATTTTGTAATCTTTGTATTATTAGTAACATGAAGTGAAATAAAAATGTGCTAATTTGAATCTTACTTTGAATTAAAGTAAGTAAAGATAGAGTATATACCTTTATGCTATTTAGCATAAAAATGTATGTGGATCAACATTTTGAACATCTAAATAAACTCATTTCTTAAAGCAATAATAATTGTGACTTAATTTAATTGAAATATATACCAAATTTCTTCCTAGATTATTCTACTTAAGAGCTCAGAGGGGACTTGCATCACTTAGTCCAGTAGGTTTCAACTAGGGGTGATTTTTTCCTCCAAGGGACATTTGTCAATATCTAGAGACCTTTTTGGTTGTCACAACTTGTGGAGGGGTGGCTACTAGTGTCTACTAGGTGGATGTCAGAGATGTTAAACATCCTACAATACACAGGACAGCTCTTCAAAACAAAGAATTAGACTGAAATGTCAATACTGCCGCTGTTGATAAACTCTGTCAATACCTTGTTGCATAGCAGAGAAACTCCTCAAAGTCAAAAAGAAGGAGAATAGCATTAAGGAAAAGCAGAGACAGCTATAAAGAATAACACTTTAGAGCAACAGTCCCCAACCTCTTGGCAGCAAGGACCAGTTTTGTGGAAGACAGTTTTTCCACTGACAGTGATGGGAATGGTTTCAGGATGAAACTGTTCCATCTCAGATCATCAGACATTAGTTAGATTCTCATAAGGATCGCACAACCTAGATCCCTTGCATGTAAAGTTCACAGTAGGGTTCGTGTTCCTAAAAGAATCTAATGCAGCAGCTTATCTGCAGATAAGGTAGTAGAGGCAGAGCTCAGGCGTTAATGCTTGTTCACCTCCTGCTCTGCGGCCCAGTTCCTAATAGGCTGCGGACTGGTACCAGTGGGTATGGGGTTAGGGACCCCTGCTTTAGAGTATGGAGTACTGTTTTAACGAATGCTATCTTAAACACAGCAGCAATTTCTCCCCTTGTCTCTGCCCAGTGCAGCAATATATCTTTATTGTTAGAAAAAACAAACCAGGAGGGAGAAAAAGACTGAGACAAGACAAGGGGGACAAAATAGAGAAAGAAACAAGTTAAAAGAACCATAGCAAAGAAGGAAATAAGTGTTGTAGACATCAAAAGTTGAGGAGAATCAAAGGATGATTAATTAGAACAGTTGATTGATTTTACTTTTATATTCTTAAAAGATCTGTGGAACATTTTGATTTACAGGAAACTTAAAATTATTTTCCCTAGCCACTCTGAGATGGCGTCTCAGTGTCCATAAGTAATTTTTGACACTGCTATATATAGCCTTTTGCTTCAGTAGAGTTATGTTGCCTCTATTCATTTCGCTGTCATTCATTAGATAGAAGCAGATGTGAGGGAAGGTTTTATGAATTAGAACCGTCCTAGAATGTAAACAAAAATAAAATTATTTGTGTTTTAGTTGGTGGGAACTAGTTTGCTTGTTTACAAAGAATTTTCTTCATTTTGTGTTATACTGTGTTGATTTGAAGCCTTTCAGTCTATAGGTGTAAATCTACTTTGAAAAAACTCAGTAAATATTAGCATTATAAACACATTGATACATAAAGAGCATTTGACTTACGAGTAATTTACCTCAATGTTTCTTTAATAAGCTTTCCTGAACATTAACATTAATTAGCTTTCGTGAAGTATTTTGAGGGAAAAAGAGTTACTTCTATAATGAATGATTTATAACACACTTCTGAAATTCAGTGTTTTCTAGATCATGACTTTTTTCTTGTTTCTTTTTTAGAAGCTGGTAGTTATGAAATGACAAATCAACATGTAAAACAAAATGGAAAATTAGAAGATAATCCTTCCTCTGGCAGTCCTCCAAGGACTACTTTGTTGGGGACCATATTTTCACCTGTCTTCAACTTTTTTTCACCAGCAAATAAAAATGGTAAGTATAAACTGTTAACTGTGATTTGGATTTTTTTTAAAAAAATGCATAGTTTGGGTTTTTTTTTTTTTTTTTTCTTGAGACGAAGTCTCTCTTTGTTGCCCAGGCTGGAGTGCAGTGACGCGATCTCCCCGCTCACTGCAGCCTCTGCCTCCCAGGTTCAAGCAATACTCCTGCCTCAGCCTTACAAGTAGGTGGGACTGTAGGTACCTGCCACCATGCCCGGCTAATATTTTTTGTATTTTTGGTTGAGACGGGGTTTCACCATGTTGACCAGGCTGGTCTCAAACTCTTGACCTTCAAGTGATCCGCCCACCTCGGATTCCCAAAGTGCTGGAATTACAGATGTGAGCAACTGTGCCCAGCAAAAAAATACATAGTTTTTAAAAAGATCTTTTTTATTTTATTAGCATATTTTGTCAATGTCTCGTGTATGTTTTCCACCTCATTAATAATATACAGCTCCTTGGGAGCTGGGTGTGGTGGCTGATGCCGGTAATCTGAACTCTTCGGGAAGCCAAGACAGGAGAATTGCTCAAGGGCAGGAGTTTGAGACTAGCCTGGGCAACATAGTGAGACCCTGTCTCTACAAAAAAATGTAAAAATTATTTGGGCGTGGTAGTGCACGCCTGTAGTCCTAGCTACTCCAGAGGCTGAGGTGGGAGGAATGCTTCAATCCAGCAGTTTGAACCCAGGAGTTTGAGGCTGCAGTGTGCTGTGATTGTACCACTGCACTCAAGCTTGGACAGCCAAGTAGGGGGTCCACGTAAAAAAAAATAAAAAGAATGGAATGGTCCTGTCTTCTGGGTGGCAGGGGTAGTGGCTCACAAAAGGCTTGAAAGAAAAGCCGAATCTGGAAAAGTGGCAAAAGCCATTCCAGGTAGAAGGAGCAGCATGCGTAGAGGCCTTGCAGCAGAAAACAGCATAGTGTATTTGAGAGCTGTTTGTAGTTTGTAATTGATGGAACATTGCATTTGAGAAGGGATAAGGTAGGAGAGCTATGAAGAAGTCATATAATAGAGCTAACATAGTAAGATGATGAACTTTATTCAAGTATGGGATAATTGAAAGTTTGTTTTGTTTTGTTTTTTTCCCCAAGGTGAAAGCAATTTTATTAAGAAAGTAAAGGAATAGGCCGGGCACCGTGGCTTATACCTGTAATCACAGCACTTTAGGAGGCCGAGGCAGGTGGATCATGAGGTCAGGAGTTCAAGACCAGCCTGACTAACATGGTGAAACCATGTCTCTACTAAAGAAAAATACAAAAGTTAGCTGGATGTGGTGGCATGTGCCTGTAATCCCAGCTACTCAAGGCAGGAGAATCACTTGAACCCAGGAGGCGGAGGCTGCAGTGAGCTGAGATCATGCCACTGCACTCCAGCCTGGGTGACAGAGCAAGACTCCGTCTCAAAAAAAAAAAAAAAAGAAAAAGGAATAAAGAATGGCTCCTCCTCCATAGGCAGAGCGGCCTGAAAGGTTTTAAACTGGTGAATAATACGATCAGATCTATGTTTTATAAAGATCACTTGGGCAGTAGTGTGTAGACTAGATTCTGAAGAGGCCATAGGCAGGTAGAACAATTAGTAGACTTGTAGTCGTTTGTGTGAGACTTGATGAGACCTTAATTGTATTAGAGAAGACAGGAAGGATCAGAGGATAGAAAATAGACACATTTTTGGTGCAGATTGGAGGTGAAAGAGAATAGAGATGAAGATGGCACAAGAGTAGAAGATTCAAGGAAAATAAAGTTCCTGGGAGATAGATAATTGAGTGTAATTTGGACCATGCTGAGTTTGAGATGCCATGAAATATTTAAATAAAAATATTCAGGCTGGGCGCGGTGGCTCAACGCCTGTAATCCGAGCACTTTGGGAGGCCGAGATGGGCGGATCACTTGAGGTCAGGAGTTCAAGACCAGCCTGACCAACATGGAGAAACCTATCTCTACTAAAAATACAAAAAAATTTAGCTGGGCATGGTGGCGCACACCCACCTGTAATCCCAGCTACTCAAGAGGCTGAGGCAGGAGAATTGCTTGAACCTGGGAGGCCGAGGTTGCAGTGAGCTGAGATCGCACCATTGCACTCCAGCCTGGGCAACAAGAGTGAAACTCCATCTCAAAAAACAAAACAAAACAAAAAAAACAAACCCCAGTAGTAATATTTTCCCCTCATGCTGAAGTAAAGAATCTCTGAAGGTGTGTATATCTCTGAAGGTGTGTACAGAAATAGATGTCTGGGGAAGAAGGAGTTGAAGTTTGATAGAGTTTTCTTGGAAGGAAGAGATGGTGTCATTAATGATAGTTCTAGTGGAAGGGACTTGGGAAGAATAGTGAAGGTTTACATTGATATTTTCTTTGTGTGTGTCTCTGTCTCTCTCTCCCCACCCCATACACACACAACCTCTCTCTCCACTCCCACATCTGTCTCTTCCCCCCTCCCCCCCACCTACCTCCTCCCCTCCCCCTGCCTTTCCCTGTCTCTGTGTCTCTGTTTTATTTGGATTATGACCAGTCTTTGTAATTGTATTTTTTGTTCCATAGCCTGCAACTAGGGTCTGAGAAGCCTGTTGGTTACGTTGATTCAAGAGGGATTTCTTGATGGATGACAGTGGAGGAATGAGGGATCAAGGATACTGAGGCTGCCAGTTTGACAGTGTATTTAAGTGATACACCACGAAGTCTAACTAGATGAGGAGGGTTGAGAAGAAGTGTTTGAGGGACGTGTTTGGAATTAAACAGACTGGCCTTTATCAAGTTTGAAGATCACATATAATGGGAGTATGAGATATATAATTTGAGGGTTAGGAGGTTGTGCTAAGTGGTTAATACAGTATTAGAATTTTAGGCTTCAGAGGTGAAGTTTCTCAGTGTTAATGTCCAGGTTATAGCTATGGTAGTAACTGATATAGAGCAGTATGAGTGAAGGTGGTTGGAGCTGAAGAGGGCAAGAACTTTGAGGATTAGTCATTGGATGAGTCATTGACATCATCTGTAATAACAACTAGAAAAAATACTGTGTTAAATAGAGCAGTAAACTAGTAGCTATGTATTAAACTTCTTTGCGATTGAGAGGATTCTGGCAGTAGATGGTAGGTGCCAGCAGTGAGGATAAGTGAAGAATTATATAGCCATGTGACATCAGTCTCAAAAGAGCAGACTTTTTTTGCACATTAGTGGAAAACCAGCGATTGGATAGTAGCAATGGAGATAAATGAATTCTGATTCAATTAGTATATTGGTATGGGAGAATAAAGAGCATTGAGGGAAGGGTATCAGAAAAACCTTTTAGGAAAGAGGTTAAACTTAAAGCAACAAGGGAGAAGGAATGTTCTGTAAGGAAGTTGAGAATATTGGAGGTTAATTTTTTTTGTTATTTTTGTTTAAAATGACATTTGGAAGATTCCAGAAGGAAATGGAAAGACCTGGGATTATTATTTTTTCTTTTTTAATTGAGACAGGGTCTTGCTCTGTCACCCAGGCTGGAGTGCAATAGTACGATCACCGTTCACTGCAGCCTTGACCTCCTTCTGGGCCCAAGCGATCCTCCCACTTCAGCCTCATGAGTAGCTGGGATCACAGATGTGCACCACCACACCCAGCTAGTTTTTATATTCTTTGTAGAGACAGCCATGTTGCCCAGGCTGGTTTTGAACTCCTGAGCTCAAGCAATCTGCTTGCCTCAGCCTCCCAAAGTGCTGGGATTACAGGCATGAGTCACCACACCTGGCCCAGTCTTTGTTATTGAGATGGAGTTTTGCTGAGAAATTATTTTTATATCTTTTAATTAAAAGGTTCTCATGATTAGGGGAACAGCTAATTTTTTGATACCTCTGGTTGAAAAATTACAATTGCACACATGACTAGGATGCAGAAACTTTGCTCACAAATGTTACTCTAGCCTGTAAGTCTTTATTCTTCATTGTTTGAAATAGCTAGCAAAGATTCTCTAAAAGCAATATACTCAGCTTTGTTCCTGCAGGAATGATCAGTCTAAATAAATATATTGTACGGTGATGCTGCATTTAGTTTTTCTAAATAGGTGCATTTTTAAATGATGATAGTACACTGAATCATGATTTCAGGAACGTCAGGATCAGATTCTCCAGGACAGGCTGTGGAAGCTGAAGAAATAGTAAAACAACTTGATATGGAACAGGTGGATGAGATCACTACCAGTACTACTACATCAACTAATGGAGCAGCTTACTCAAATCAAGCAGTTCAAGTGAGACCATCACTAAACAATGGTTTAGAAGAAGCAGAAGAAACAGTTAATCGTGATATCCCACCCCTTACAGGTGAAGAAAATTTCTTTTCTTATACATCTTCATGAGTAGTTGATAAAAAATAACAGTATTTCATATTTTTTCTTAAATGAGCACATTATATGCATAGGTTTTTCTTCCTGGAAGTTAAGAAAAAGTTAAAATTGGAAACAAAGCTTTGTCCCAAAAATCCAAAGTCATTTTGAAATTGAAATTTTTTAAAAGATTTTGACTAAGTATTAGTCATTTTACAGTTTAATTATTACTACTAATCTTATTGCTTGGAGAAATTTAATACAACTAACAAAATATATGCTCATGTTTATGAATATCCTTATTATTATTGCACAAGTCTTAGACCCTTATGTCTGAGGTCACTAGCTAGAGGCAGTCTCATACCTTCAGATTTGTTTGATTACATCAATGACATCCCCCCAAAAACTGCTTCTGTTCCTAGATCTCCCTATATACCTAAGTTTGCAGCCTGACTTGGAACCTTATAAAGGCCAAACATAATTATTGGGTTTCGGAGCCATTTGTCCTTGAAATGTGGAAACATATGGATCAGGAATTTCATTACCTCTGAGTACTGTGGTGGATAGACAGGGTACAAGATGGAATTGTGTTCCACCATTCTTAAAAGCAGAAATAAAACTGAAGAAGGCCATCTTCTTATTAGGGCATGGAGATTTTATCTTAAATTTGTTTTGTTTGTTTGTGTTTGTTGTTGTTGTTTATTGTGGTACCAGGTATTTGAGAGAGCGCAGTAAATATATATTAGTTAAGAAACATAGTTTGGGGCCAGGCATGATGGCTGGGGCCTATAACCCAGCACTTCAGGAGGCCAAGGCAGGAGGGTTGCTTGAGGTCAAGAGTTTGAGACCAGCCTGGGCAAAAGAGCCAGACCCTGTCTGGGGTGGAGTCTCACTCTGTCGCCCACGCTGGACAGTGCAGTGGCATGATCTTGGCTCACTGCAACCTCCACCTCCTGGGTTCAAGCGATTCGCCTGTCTCAGCCTCCTGAGTAGCTGGGATTACAGGCATGTGACACCACTCCCAGCTATTTTTTTTTTTTAACTTTTAGTAGAGACCAGGTTTCATCATGTTGACCAGGCTGGTCTCGAACTTCTGACTTCAAATGATCTGCCCACCTCGGCCTCCGAAAGTGCTGGGATTACAACTGTGAGCCATTGCGCCCGGCCAAAAAAAATTTTTTTAAATTAGCCGGGGATGGTGGCATGTGCCTGTAGTCCTAATTACTCAGGAGGCTGAAGTGGGAGGATTGCTTGAGCCCAGGAATTCCAGACTGCCGTGAGCTATGACTGAGCCACTGCAATCCAGCCTAGGCAGCAGAGCAAGATCCAGTCTTGGGAAAGACAAAAGAAAAAAAGAAACATAGTTTGGTTTAAGGAAATATAATATACAGATGGTTCCTGAGTTACAGTGGTTCAACTTCCAATTCTTTTACTTTACAATGGGTTTATCAGGGTGTTAAATGCATTTTGACCTATGATATTTGTGACTTATGATGGGTTTATTGGGATATAGCCCCATCATAAGTCTAGGAGCATCTGTACTTCTCTCAGCTATAAAAAGGAAACTTTTAAAAAAGTAATTGACACAGCAGAAAACATTTAAAGAAAATATGATACAATTATGAAACTTCTATATAATGCAATCCAGTAATACCAACGTGAAGAGACAAGCAGCAAAATAGGTTTATTTTAAAGTCATCAAGTGAAAGATTCATATGTATAATGTTAAATTCAGAATTTAAAAATAATACAGAATCTAACAGTCAAATCAATACAATTACGTTCATTCTTTTGTGGGTAATATTTGCAATTTAACCCACCTTTGACCCATCATTTTATGCTTATTACTTTGCCCAGTGGTATAAGACTAATAAAGTATAGACTAAAGTTCAGGGCTTTGGCTTCCTGTTCGATGTTTGTTCTGTATTTTCATGCTCTTGTATAAGCCTTTTTATTTATTTTTTCTGACAACTGTGAAGATGGAGAAAGGATTTCTGTAACTTAGCGGTTTCTAGAAGGGAAAATTAAGATATACTATAGTTGTCACAGTCATTCATTTATTCTCCCAGCATTTATGAGCACCTTTTTTTTTTGTGATTGGAACTGTTGATGAATTGACTCCTGAGGAGTTTGTGATCTAATTGAAGAGCCAAATATACAGAAACATCACTATACAGTATGGTGAGTGCTGCTACAAAGAAGTGAGCTAAATGACATGGTGTGTCACATTGCAGTTACTCTGATTGGGATGATCATGAGAGTATAGATAGAGGCATTTAGTATGAGTGACAAAAGTATTCTTTTCCTTAACTTTGAGAACATAGCCAAAGAGAACAAGAAGGTAGGAAGCTAGCAGCTGTGTTACTTTGGACAGCTTATTTAAGCTTTTGAGACAGTTTCAAAAACAGTTTTCTTAGCTTTAACATAGTTTTTGTAATACAAGGTTTTGCAGGCTAAAGGAGATAAAATAGGCAAAATACTTAGCATATAAGCACTTAACAAATATTCTTGGCTGGGTGCCGTGGCTCATGCCTATAATCACAGCACTTTGGGAGGCCAAGGTGGGCAGATCACTTGAGCTTAGGAGTTTGAGACTAGCCTGGGCAATATGGCGAAACCCTGTATCTACAAAAACAACAACAAAAAAATTAGCTGGGCATCGTGGCTTGCATACTATAGTCCCAGCTACTTGAAGGGCTGAGGTGGGAGGATTGCTTGAGCCTGTGAGGTCAAGGCTGCAGTGAGCTGTGTTCATGCCACTGCACTCTAGCCTAGGCAACAAAGTGAGACCTGTCTCAAAAAATAATAATAAAATAAAAATATTCTTTCATCTGAGATTAATAGGAACTTGAAATGGTAAAGTTGTTGGAGATTTTTTTTTGTGCTGATTATTGGAAGCATAATGTCAGAGATGAAAAAAAATTCTGCTTTACATCTGATGTCATCCATTGGACATACACACCACGTTGACTCTGTCTCAAAAGGTGTTAATACATGATAATTGCACAAAAGATTAATTTTTGTCTTGAAAGACTATTATCTACCATTTCATTTCTATAGAAAGACTATAGAAATTTTTATTGGGTTCTACTTTAAATTTTTATATCTGAGACGTTACCTATTTGGCTTGTAAGTTACCTTTGTCTTCTTACATTTAAGTTATAATTATTGTCTTGGAAAATTCCCAGCATAATTTCTAAAGCACTATCAAAAGATAAGCTCTTAGCTCAAACTGGGAATGAACTATGGCATGCAATATAGAATTACTTCTTGATCATTTTTAAGTGTTTATAAATTAGAAGTAAAATAGTAAGTCTTCTAAGCAGTGATTTTGATCAGGTACAGTGGCTCACCAGCACTTGAGGAGGCCTAGGAAGGAGGATCTGTTCAGCCCAGGAGTTCAAGACCAGCCTGGGCAGCATAACAAGATACTTTTTTGTCTCCACAAAAAAATTTTTAAAAATAATCCAGGTGTGGTGGTACATCTGTAGTCCCACCTACTTGGGAGGCTGAGGAGGATTGCTGGAGCCCAGGTCGAGTCCACAGTGTTTGCTCCACTGTGCTCCAGCCTGGGCAACAGAGCAGGACCCTGTCTCAAAAAAAAAAAGGTTAAAAGAATAATTTCTGGCTGGATGCAGTGGCTCATGCCTGTAGTCCCTGCACTTTGCGAGGCCGGGTCACCTGATGTGGATCACCTGAGGTCAGGAGTTCGAGACCAGCCTAGCCAACATGATGAAACCCCATCTCTACTAAAAATACAAAAAATTAGCCGGGCGTGGTAGCAGGTGCATATAATCCCAGCCACTCGGGAGGCTGAGGCAGGAGATTTGCTTGAACCGGTGAGGCGGAGGTTACAGTGAGCCCAGATCGCGCCACTGCACTCCAGCCTGGGCAACAGATTGAGACTCCGCCTCAACACAAACAAACAAAGAAAAAAACAGAATGTCTGCATAGAGTAGCATTTCTTAATTTTTTGTTTTTCTTTTTGAGATGGAGTTTTGCTCTTGTTGCCCAGGCTAGAGTGCAATGACACAATCTCGGCTCACTGCAACCTCTGCTTCCCGGGTTCAAGCGATTCTTCTGCCTTAGCCTCCTGAATAGCTGGGATTACAGGCATGTGCCACCATGCCCAGCTAATTTTGTATTTCTATAGAAATGGGGTTTCTCCATGTTTGTCAGGCTGATCTCGAACTCCTGACCTCAGGTGATCCGCCTGCCTTGGCCTCCCAAAGTGCTGGGATTACAGGCGCCCGCCACCACTCCTGGCTGCATTTCTTAATTTTTTAAGATTATAGTCGTGGCCGGGTGCGGTGGCTCACGCCTGGAATTCTAGCACTTTGGGAGGCCGAGGCCGGTGGATCATGAGGTCAGGAGATCGAGAGCATCCTAGCTAACACTGTGAAACCCCGTCTCTACTAAAAATACAATAATTAGCCAGGTGTGGTGGCACATGCCTGTAGTCCCAGCTACTTGGGAGGCAGAGCCTGCAGTGAGCCAAGATCACGCCACTGCACTCCAGCCTGGGTGACAGAGCGAGACTCCGCCTCAAAAAAAAAAAAAAAGAGATCATAGTCTTGAGATTCCTGGGAACATACAGTTTTTTAAAATAAATCTTCAAAGGGCTCATGAACTTTTTAAAGACTGTTCATGGTCCGGGCGCAGTGGCTCACGCCTGTAATCCCAACACTTTGGGAGGTTGAGGTGCACGGATCACCTGGGGTTGGGTGTTTGAGACCAGCCAGACCAACATGGAGAAACCCAGTCTCTACCAAAAATACAAAAATCAGCCAGGTGTGGTGGCACGTGTCTAATCCCAGCTGCTCACAAGGCTGAGGCAGGAGAATCGCTTGAACCTGTGGGGTGGAGGTTGCAGTGAGTTGAGATCATGCCATTTGCACTCTAGCCTGGGCGACAGATCGAGACTCCATCTCAAAAAAAAAACACAAAAAACCTACATTTGGGTCTGTTGTCAGCATACATTTACTGACTGCGTGTATGTACAAGGCATTTTATGAACTATTACCCCTATAAGAGCACCATGAAATTTTTTGGTGATTACATGTAAACACCATACAATTAGAAGATTACATTTTTTGGTGTATATTTTTCTAGTAATAAGTAGTAGATTTTTTCTTAGCTGATAAACATCTTAATTCTAGCCATGATCTGGTTTGCCATTTTTTCTATAGTGGTCATTTTTCCCTTTAGATCTAAAGTTAGATCTGTATGTTAATAAATTGGCTTTTAGGTGTTTACAAGTTATTTCTGTCTTTAAAATACACAAGGCTTTAGGAAGATCTTAGATAGAAGCAGTAAAAATATATATTTCATGAAGCATTAAGTAAAAGCAACATTTTTTCTTTCACTATGTTAAATAGCACCAGTAACTCCAGATAGTGGTTATTCATCAGCCCACGCGGAGGCCACCTATGAAGAAGACTGGGAAGTATTTGACCCGTGAGTTGCTTTTTTCTCTTTTTTTCTTTCCTTTTTGGAGCATGATGAGAGTACGTTATATATGTGGATTGGTGGCTAAATAGTATATTGCCAAGATATGTGACCTGTAGGTATTTGAAACTTTTAATGGGGCTGGGTGCAGTGGCTCATCCCAGCACTTTGAGAGACCCAGGCAGGCAGATTGTTTGAGCCTGGAGTTCAAGACCAACCTGGGCAACGTGGCAAAACCTCGTCCCTATAAAAAATACAGAAATTGGCCGGACACGGTGGCACATGCCTGTAGTCCCAGCTATTAGGGAAGGTGAGGTGGGAGGATCACTTGAGCCCAGGAGGCAGAGGTTACAGTGACCTGTGATAGAGTGAGACTGTCTCAAAAACAAACAAACAAAAACAGCTGTTACTATTTTACAGAGATACTAATTTGTATGTTTTCACTTTTATTAATATGTTTTATAAGTTTTGTTTTCTGGGTTAACTGCTTTATAGATTTTTAAATGGGCTGAGCTTAGTAATGTTCTATATGTATAAAAAGTAAAATGTTGAAATTTTCTTAAAATCTGATTTATAGCTATTATTTCATCAAACATGTCCCGCCACTGACAGAAGAACAACTAAATAGGAAACCTGCTCTTCCGTTGAAAACAAGAAGCACACCGGAATTCTCCCTAGTTTTAGACTTGGTAAGTATATTATCTGTAGAGGTAGAGAGAATAAAGGGGTGAAATTCTTTTTTAGAATCATGCTTATGTTAGCTTTCCCTTTTTTTTGTCAGGATCATGTTTTCCTGAAGGACCAAAAATAATTTGGGTCAACTTAATTAACCATATGCAAGACCATAACCCTTTTCTTATTCTTATTTTTACATATATATTATACCAATACACTTTTTATTAATAGTCTCAAAAGCACAATTTCTTATTTTTTTGAGATGGAGTCTCGCTCTGTCGCCCAGGCTGGAGTGCAGTGGTGCGATCTCAGCTCACTGCAAGCTCCGCCTCCCGGGTTTACACAATTCTCCTGCCTCAGCCTCCCGAGTAGCTGGGACTACAGGCGCCTGCCACCATGCCCGGCTAATTTTTTGTTGTGTATTTTTTGTAGAGACGGGGTTTCACCTTGTTAGCCAAGATGGTCTCGACCTCCTGACCTCATGATCCGCCCGCCTCGGCCTCCCAAAGTGTTGGAATTACAGGCATGAGCCACTGAGCCCGGCCCCAGTATGATATCTTGATGTGATTTAAAAATTTGTATTTTAGGGACTGGGTGTGGTAGCTCATGCCTGTAATCCTAGAACTTTGGGAGGCCGAACTTTTGGCCGATCACTTGAAGCCAGGAGTTTGAGACCAGCCTGACCAACATGGCAAAACCCATTCTCTACTAGAAATTCAAAAATTAGCTGGGCATGGTGATACACACCTGTAATCTCAGCTACTCTGGAGGCTGAGGCACAAGAATCACTAGAACCCAGGAGACGGAGGTTGCAGTGAGCTGAGATCATATCACTGTGCTCCAGCCTGGGCAACAGGGCAAGATTCTGTCTCAGAAAAAAAAATGATATTTTAGGGTACCAGAAAAGCTTTGAAAACAATGATCTCCTATCATTTGCTAACCAAATTTAATATATAGTCACATTTCCCCTCTGCCTCTTGATTTCTTATTAATTTTGCATTTTTAAAATCTGTTTACTTTTTTTAAGGCTAGTAAAGTGAAGCCCTGGGATTGAGGAAGGAACTAATTTCTTGATATTAGTAAAAATGTATCTCATGTCATATTGGAAAATATTTTATTATTAAGCATTTGTTACTGGAACCCTATAATTGGTACCCTATATTTGGAGATGTGGTTTAGCTCTCATAGAAAATTTATCTTAGCCAGGCACAGTGGCTCATGCCTGTAATTCCAGCACTTTGGGAGGCTCCATTCAGCCCAGGAATTTGAGACCAGCCTAGACAACATAGTGAGACCCACGTCTCTACAAAAAATGAATGAGCCTGGTGTTGCAAGCGTGTAGTCCCAGCTACTCGGGAGGCCGAGAGAGGAGGATCCCTTGAGGCCAGGAGTTTGAGGCGGCAGTGAGCTACAATTGTGCCACTGCATTGCAGCCTGGGCAACAAAGTGAGATCTCATTTCAATTTTAAAAGGAAGGAAAGAAAATTTATCTAGGTCAGGCACAGTGGCTCACGCTTGTAATCCCAGCACTTTGGGAGGCCAAGGCGGGCAGATACTTGAGTCCAGGAGTTTGAGACCAGCCTGACCAATATAGTGAAACCCCATCTCCACTAAAAATACAAAAATTAGCCGGGCGTGGTGGTGGGCGCCTGTAATTTCAGCTGCTTGGGAGGCTGAGGCAGGAGAATCACTTGATCCCGGGAAGTGGAGGTTGCAGTGAACCTAGATCATCTGGTGCTGAGTAAAATTACATGAAACGTAATTTGTGAGATACTAAAACATCTACTTAAAGTAAGATGCTTTATAAAAAGTTGGAGGATAAGGAGTTAAATGAACAGAGTATATATTTTTAATAATTAGATTCTACACTTACATTTGCTGATTGTAAAAAAGTAGCATGCATGTGGGTTTAACTGAAAGTTGGCAACTGCAGAACTCAAAGCCTTGCTTCTCAAACTTGAGCATGTGTCAGAATCCGAAGGGCTTCTAAAAACAGACATTGTTGCCAGGCACGGTGGCTCACTTCTGTAATCCCAGCACTTTGGGAGGCCAAGGCATGTTCCTGAGGTCAGGAGTTCGAGACCAGCCTGACCAACATGGTGAAACCCTGTCTCTACTAAAAATACAAAAATTAGCCAGACGTGATTGCTGGCGCCTGTAATCCCAGCTACTCAGGAGGCTGAGGCAGGAGAATCGTTTGAACCCAGGAGGTGGAGGTTGCGGTGAGCTGAGATCGCACCACTGCACTCCAGCCTGAGAGCGAGACTCTGTCTCAAAAAATAAAAATAAAAAAAACACAGAGATTGCTGAGACCCATCCCCTCCCCTGAGTTTCTGATCATCAGAAGTGAGGTTAACATTTGCATTTCTAACTAGTTCTCAAATGATGTTTATTCTGCTTGCTAGTCCAGGAGCTATACCTGAGAACTAGTGACTTTAGAAACTCCTACCCCAAATTGCTGTGCCACATATAGTAATATATTATAAATGTAAAATTCAACATATGAATGGGTGCTTTAGTGTTTTGGTGATTAAGGATAAAAGTATCCTTTGAAGTTTCTTTTACTATCTTGTTTCATTCAATTTCTGTTTTTTATTTTAAGGATGAAACACTAGTGCATTGTAGTCTAAATGAGCTAGAAGATGCAGCACTTACTTTTCCAGTCCTTTTCCAAGATGTCATTTATCAGGTAATTAAAATTTTTTTGATGATTTTTGGCCTGATAGGTAACATTCTGATAAAAAAAACTTTTGTATTTTTTTTGTGTGTATGTGACATTAAATGTGTTTTTCTGTAGAAGTATAATGGATTTCATCAACATTTTAATGATTTATTAACAAAATTAGCATCATGCTAGATATTACATAAAACAACATTAATTTGTTACTCCAAAAATGCTAACTTTCTTACCTTGAGATCTCAGCTAGTTTCATAATCTGTTTGCCAGCAGGTGGAGGCAGGAGCACTGACATCATAGATCCTCAAGAGGAACTTGCCAGGTTAACTCCTGGTGTTTTTGTTTTTGTTTTCCAAAAATCCAATTAATACAAAGAAAACTCATTCCTTGTTGATCATTTTATTTCCTATAGTAGTAATGTGGTCTGTGAAAATTACACTTTAGTACATCTCTTTTATAATTAATCTTAGAATTCCAGGACACTCTTCTAGTTATTGTTTTACTTAGGGCATTTTAGTTTGAGCATTTCTCTCTCATCTGTGCTGATGGACAGGTAACAGTGCAAAATACAAATATCATTAACATTTCACTGTGGATTATGTGTGCTGGCCATAGTTTTTACTTTAAGGTTTTTCCATTATTATAAGATTGAGTTAATAATATAAGTGAATACACTTTGAAAATTGCAAAGTACGTTTCTGTTTTGGAGGTTGTTATTTAACTAGCATTATTTGCATTATATAATAGTTGAAAGATTGGGAATCGAAAAGTTTGTTGTCTGTCAAGAGGGAGCCAGCCTAAAGATTAACTTAGTAAAGTCACAGAGTGCTTGCCATGTGGATGATGAAAATGTGTTTGGTTGTTTATGTGCTCTTAAAGGCAGTTAGAATGTGGTTATAGTTTTCTTGGCAGATAATAGTTGATGTCTCACAGAAACCGTGAAATTTAAGAGTTAAATAGAAGTTTGTGGTTCATGGCTACTTTAACCTACTTTGTCTAGTAATGAGTTGTAAGAGGATTTATTTTAGTTGTCAGTTCTAGTTTTAACCTAGGGTAGGTATTGTAGCTATGGCAATAAATATTTGAATACTGAATTCACTTTTTATGTAAGCTGATTTTAGTCCTGATGTATAATCGGGGGTAAGCAAAATGTACATAAAATTAAAAGATTTAAAGATTTTTCTGTTCCCTTTCAAAACTGATGATTATTTGGTTTAAGGCAAGTATTTTTCTTAAGACCTTTTTTATCAAATTTGTTGTTCTTGTTTAGTGGACTTTAAGGACAGGAGTCCTTGTGGCAGATGTAAATAGTATAGTGATATCTTAGTTTTCTCTTTTAAGCTCGATAACCTTGTTGGGGTTTTTCTTTGTTTTTTGCTTTTGGGTGTTTTTCGTGATTGCATTTGAAAAAAATGGCTTTAAGGCTTTGAATTTGGAAAGGAAAGCTATTAATTGAAAAATATAGATAAACAATGATTTTGAGATGACTTCTTAAGCTTCTAGGTTTGAAATTGAAATTTATTTCTTACAGATGGTTTTTGTTCTGTTTATGTAATTCTTAGTAGTGAATAAGAAACTTAAGTAGGTAAATTTGATTCTTCCCTTTCATGAGCGTTTCTCTTCAGTATGATCATAAAATTGAATTTTTTTCTTACTGCTTCTACCATTTCTGCTTTAACTCTCTTTTTAAAGTTCTTATTATTTCATGTGGATCTGGATAGTTGTCTTATTTTGAATAAAAAGCTTCTAGCAGCATATATGACTAATTAAAATACTGTATGTATGTACTGCATCTACCTCTGTGGAATTCAGACAACTCTTTTTCTTATGTATTCTGAGTTACACTTTCTGAAACTGAAAAATAAATGATCTAGCCTAAATGAGAGCACAGAGCAGGTAGTTTGAACCTTATAAGCTATAGAGATGATTGCACTTTAATACGATTTAGTTACCATATCACAGACAGAGTTTAGTTACTTTTTAGTAAATTTTTGAGGATATCCGTAGTTAATATTGGGTACATTCCCTTGGATTTCTTATTTTGGCATAGCCATTCTGTCTTTTAAAAAATAAATGAAGAAATCTTTGGGTTAGGGTTCCCCCAGTTTTCAGACCAGCAAGCTCCCTTTAAACAGGGAATGATGTCTTTTAAACTTTCAGTGGTGTTGTCTCCATCTACTGGCAAAGAAGAAATATACACAAGGGTCTGAGATGATCTAAGAGATATTGGAGAAACCACATTATTAGGTAAGATGTAACTTAAATCTTTAACCACTGTACTATGATGTGGCCCACTTAAAGGTAGAAATCTGTAAAGTACTGCATATACTCTTATTTTTTAAAAAATTTATTGAGGTGAAATTTACATGACAAAATTAACCATTTTTAAATGAACAGTTCCATAGCGTGTATCTGTATTATTCTTGAATGTTAGTTTTATAGCATTTACATATATATGTATATATATTTTATATGTAAAGATCAAATTTTTCATCTGAAAGCCAGATGGAGTGTCCTCTTGGGACTTATTTTACGTTTTTTTTCTTTCTGTGGTATATTTGTTATGGTTGACCTATAACTAATTTTAACTCTACATGTTATTTCTGTTTCATTTCAAAATAATTTAATTGTATTATATATGTTTTAATAATTGTCTATATCAGGGGTTGGCAACCTTTTTCTATAAAGGGCCAGTTGTAAATATTTTAGGTTTTGTGGTCCCTGTCATGACTGCTTTTTGTGCTATTGCAGCATGAAAGTAGCCATGGACAATACATAAATGAAAAAGCATGACTGTGTCCCAGTACAACGTTATATACAAAAATCAGTGGCAGGCTGCATTTGGCCACCATAGTTTGCTGATTCCTGGTCTAATAATTATGAGAGTATATACAGTAAATTTACATATTCAAATTGTAAGTAGAAGTAAGTAATCAAATGTTCATCAAAATTCTTGTAAATGTATGTAGAAAATTTAAATTAGATCCACAGTAATCTGGTTGTGGGCCTTTAAAGTTTTTTTAAAATCAAAGTTTGAGGGAACTTTGAGGTGGCCACTACTCACATTTAAAGATTGCCTGACTTAATGATACGTACTCTTCTTTTGGTTGATATGTAGGAATAAACTTGGTTAATGCAAGTCTTAGAATTTGTAAGCAGGTAGATTATTGTAAATTAGTACCTTGAGGTGTAATTTGAATTTCATTTCTCTAGGGGATTAAAAAAAAACCTGAAAGATCTATCTCAAATTAAAATTTGATGTATGTTACTACTGACACTATGTGGACTAGACAGAGTATAGTTTGTATATGGATAAAAAGTCATTTGAAAGAACCGACTTGTTAAACGTGAGGAAATGGCACTCATATAGGCAAAATTACAGGCTTTTTGTTTGAATGGGTCTATTTTTCTTAAATTGGTTTTTTTTTTACATTGTTTTATAATCAGTTATTAAGAAAACATGTATTCATAAAATGGTACAAATGCATTTGATATCTGGAAAAACAAGTGCATGATCACTTTTATTGCACATGTTTAATCTTTATATTTAGCCTATATTGGCACTTTGTCAGGAAATCCATCTCGTGGTGTTACTCAGTTAAGAGGTCTCCACTGTATTTAGTTTCTGTTCCTGCAGATCCACCAATTCAAGACTCTAGGTCATCTCACTCCCTCTTCCATCCCGAAGATGACTTCTATCCACAAGCAGGAGTGAATCAAAAGACATTTTTCACTTAGCTCTTGAGCTGAACCACCTCCTCAATGACCTTCCTCTGTCTCCATCAAGAACTGGAGCTCAGTTTTTTGAAGATGTAATAGAACTACTCAGCCCAAATGTGGCTGATTGAAGACAAAAAGAAGATACCTCATATGTTTCACCACAGTGCAGCCAAACGTAACTGTGTTGTCCAACTCCTCATTCTGTAAAGCTTGGCAGGGGCATCTGATTTTTGACTCTGTTCACCAATAAGACTTTAGCCAGTCAGTGGCTTTCTGAAGATCAGTAAAATCAACAAACTTTGGGTCAGCTGTCCAGAAATCAGATTGTGGTAAGCACTCAAGGACAGATAGGATCCCTGTAGGGAGCTACTTGTAAAAGATGCTTTGTTTTATTAGTAGAGGTTGCTTTTATGGGAAAAGTTGGGGGAAGAGGTGGATGGGGAAGGCCACGGTTAGCAAAGCTTACCCGCGTCCCCATTCTTTCAGTTTTCTTGGGAATCTTACAGCTTAGGATAATTTTCATATCACAGAACAAGAGAAGTAGAACCAGGTGCAGTGGCTCACGCCTGTAATCCCAGCACTTTGGGAGGCGGAGATGGGCAGATCACCTGAGGCCAGGAGTTCAGGACCACCCTGGCCAACATGGCAAAACCCTATCTCCACAAAAAAATAAAAAAAATTAGCCGGGCGTGGTGGCAGGTGCCTGTAATCCCAGCTACTCAGGAGGCTGAGGCAGGAAAATCACTTGAACCCAGGAGGCGGAGGTTGCAGTGAGCCAAGATTGCGCCACTGCACTCCAGCCTGGGCGACAAAGCGAGTCTCCATCTCAAAAAAGAAAAGAAAGAACAAGAGAAGTAGAGGGTCAGTTGCTTCTGTCTCCTCTTTACAGTCTTTTCTAGAAAAGTCAGCTTTATTTTTGCTTCATGAAGGAAAGAAACCAATCATTTAAATTTATAATTTTGTAGTAAATACCTAATTTTTTTCTCAAGTTCTGGCTTAAATTGATACTAACCAACATGCACATTGTTCTTGAGATTCATCTACAAAAGTAGCCTAAAAAAAACTTTTGAGGCCGGGGCAGTGGCTTGCTTGTAATCCCTGCACTGGGAGGCTGAGGTGAGAGGAATGCTTGAGCCTGGGAGTTTGAGACCGGCCTGGGCAAGATAGTGTGAGATCCTGTCCCTTCCAAAAAAAAAAAATTAGCCGGGCATGGTGGGGAGCACCTATAGTCCCAGCTACTCGATAGGCTGAGGCAGGAGGATTGCTTGAGCCAGGAGGCTGAGAAATCAGACAACCATTTCAGGGTCATAGTTGCATAGTATAGAGGATAAAACTAATATTTTAGCTTGTAGGGAACAATAATTCAATAATTAATTGTAGATGAATATTAAAAATACTACTTTAGAATAATTTTAAAGTCACTTTCCCATCCTTATTAGTATGTTTAGTTATTGGTACTAATTTTTTCATCATAATTATTCATTATTAATTGGCTAAAAAAAGGAAAAGATACAAATGAAACCAATAGTTCTCTATTTCTCAAAAATATGGAAAAATATATTTTATGGGGATTCTTTGTCTAAAATGTATCTTTCAAAATTAGGAGCAATTCATTAAAATAAAATAGAGGCCAGGTGTGGTGGCTCATGCCTGTAATGATAGCACTTTGGGAGCCCTAGGTGGGTGGATGGCTTGAGCTCAGGAGTTCAAGACCAGCCTGGGCAATGTAGTGAGACCTTGTCTCCACAAAAAATGCAAAAATAGGTGGCACACACCTCTAGTCCCAGCTACTTGGGAAGCTGAGGTGGGAAGATCACCGGAACCCCGAGAGCTTCAGGCCCTAGTGAGCTGTGATCACGCCACTGCACTCCACCCTGGGTGACAGAGAGCCAGTCTCAAAAAGAAAAAAAAGAAGGAGAAAAAACATACGGGCCAGCCATGGTGGCTCACACCTCTAATCCCAGCACTTTGGGAGGCTGAGGCAGGTGGATCACCTGAGGTCAGAGAGTTCGAGACCAGCCTAAACAACATGGTGAAACCCTGTCTCTACTAAAAAAAAGAAATTAGCTGGGCGTGGTGGCAGGTGCCTGTAATCTCAGCTACTCGGGAGGCTGAGACGGGAGAATTGCTTGAACCCGGGAGGGAGAGGTTGCAGTGAGCCGAAATCGCACCATTGCACTCTAGGCTGGGCAACAGAGCGAGACTCTGTCTCCCAAAAAAAAAAAAAAAGAAAAGAAAAGAAAACATACTATGTGGAAAGTTCTTATTTAATGGCTATAAATTTAGAAGGTGTGACAGTTGATTACATTAAATTGGAGGCTTCATTTCCTTTGAAGTTTAGAGTTTGAGTTTAAAGGTAACATTTTTGTTTTACTAAAATGGCCATTGTTTTGACTAAACTTTTATTAATGTAAATACATCAAGTTTTTTAACATATGCAAATATATGTACATACAATATAATGGCCAATTTTTCCCTGATGAAAATTATGCTTCATTGGTAACTTTTTTTTTTTTTTTTTTTTTTGAGACAGAGTCTCAATCTGTTGCCCAGGCTGGAGTGCAATGGCGCTATCTTGGCTCACCACAATCTCTGCCTCCCAGGTTCAAGAAATTCTCCTGCCTCAGCCTCCCGAATAACTAGGATTATAGGCACGTGCTACTGAGGCCGGCTAATTTTTGTATTTTTAGTAGAGATGGGGTTTTACCCTGTTGGCCAGGCTGGTCTTGAACTCCTCACCTCAAGTGATCTGCCCACCTCGGCCTCCCAAAATGCTGGGATTACCGGCATGAGGCATGAGCCACCATGCCCAGCCCCATTGGTAACTTTTAATATAAATCATATAAATCACCTATATGAATACATTAAGCTTCATTTTATCCTACTTTGACTTTTTTTTTTTTTTTTTTTTTGGAGGCATGGTGTCGCTGTGTCACCCAGACTGGAGTGCATTGACACAATCTCTGCTCACTATAGCCTCTATCTTCCAGGCTCAAACCGTCTTCTCACCTCAGCCTCCCAAACAGTAGCTGGGACTACAGGAATGTGCCACCATGCCCTTTTTTGTATGTTTTGTAGAGACGGGGTTTCTCTGTGTTGCCCAGGCTGGTCTCAAACTCCTGGGCTCAAGCAATCCACCCAGTTCAGACTCCCAAAGTGCTGAGATTACAGATGTGAGCCACCGTGCCCTGCCTGTACTCTTTAAAAAATTTCTTTTCAGGTTGATTTCTGTTTGAGTAAGGTTTTGCAGGAACTTTTTTTTTGAGACAGAGTCTCGCTCTGTCGCCCAGGCTGGAATGCAGTGGCACAATCTTGGCTCACTGCCAGCTCCGCCTCCCAGGTTCACGCCATTCTCCTGCCTCAGCCTCCCGAGTAGCTGGGACTACAGGCGCCTGCCACTACACCCGGCTAATTTTTTTGTATTTTTAGTAGAGACAGGGTTTCACCGTGTAAGCCAGGACGGTCTCAATCTCCTGACCTCGTGATCCGCCCACCTCGGCCTCCCAAAGTGCTGAGATTACAGGCGTGAGCCACCGCGCCTGGCTTTTTTTGTTTGTTTTTTGTTTTTTTTTTTAAATAAGACTGAGTCTCGCTACTCTGTCGCCCAGGCTAGAGTATGGTGGCACCATCTCAGCTCACTGCAACCTCCACCTCCTGGGTTCAAGCGATTCTCCTGCCTCAGCCTTCTGAGTAGCTGGGATTACAGGCATGGGCCACCATGCCGAGCTAATTTTTGTATTTTTAGTAGAGATGGGGTTTCACCATGTTGGCCAGGCTGGTCATGAACTCCTGTCCTCAACTATCTGCCCACCTCGGCCTCCCAAAGTGCTGGGATTGTAGGCGTGAGCCACTGCACCCAGCCGCAGGAGCTTTTAATTTAGGGATTTTTTGTTGTTTTGTTTTTATTTTTATTGGTTTTAGTGTTTACCTATTCATCCCAAATTTATCCACCTACAAATACTACCCCCAGCATCTGTCTACCTCTTATTGGAATTTTCATGAAGCAAAAGATTACTACTGTAACATCACTCAGTGGGTTATGAAATTGAGACCACTCTAGGGCCTACCTGAATAACCCTCTTTCTTTGGAGAAGGTTTGGGTTTTATCTTTAAGTTCTGGTATTGATGCTAAGAACATGTGAACTAAATTAAACAGTTTACTGAAACAGTTTGTTATCTCCCTCTTCCAAAAGTATAGATTTTGGCTGTAGGGCTTTCTCTTTGGAATTGAGGTTGCCCAGTTCTGCCCAATAGAATCATACTCACTCCAGCTCTTCTTGTGACTGATTACTTTTAAACAATGAGATAGATAATAATAGCTAATAGCTATTGGCACTTTGAATGTACCAGACACTGTTCTAGGTACTTTACGTGTATTAACTTATTTAATCTTCACAACCACCTTATGATGTAGATATTGTTGTTATATCCTGTATTTTATAGATAGGGAAACTGAGGTATACAGAAGAGTTAAAAAATTGGTACAGCCACTTGTACACTTGTGGTATCTACTGATGGTAAGATAAGATTTTTTCAGTTAATTGTAGCATCTCATTCTTTTTTTTTCTTTTTTTTTTTGGAGACAGGGTTTCATTCTGCCACCCAGGCTAGAGTACAGTGACATGATCACATCTCACTGCAGCCTCAACCTCCTGGGTTCAAGCAATTCTCCTGCCTCAGCCCCCTGAGTAGCCGGGACTACGGGCGAGTGCCACCACGCCTGGCTAATTTTTGTATTTTTTTGTAGAGACAGGGTTTCGCCATGTTGCCCAGGCTAGTCTCAAAACTCCTGGGCTCCAGTGATCCTTTCACCTCGGCCTCCCAAAATGCCCTAGCATTTTAGGATTATAGACATTGAGCCACCACACCTGGCTGCATCTCATTCTTTATGTTCCCCAACTTTGTTTATTTTCTACTGTTTTAATTCTTCTTGCTTAATTAAATAAGAAATAGCACCTACCAGTCATCTTTTTGATTAAAAGAAAACAGATGTCATACTCTAAAGTGGATGATTCCTTGGATTCATCATTTTTTAAAACCTATTGCCACAATGTAGCAATAGGTTGGAAGGATGTCATGGAAAAAGTTTCAAAGATGTTTCTTTTTGAAAGTTATGGTCTGCCGGGCGCTGTGGCTAGCCCCTGTAATCCCAGCACTTTGGGAGGCTGAGGCGGGTGGATCACGAGGTCAGGAGTTCAAGACCAGCCTGGCCGAGATGGTGAAACCCTGTGTCTACTAAAAATACAAAAAACTTAGGCATGGTGGCGGAGCCCTGTCAGCTGAGCTATTCGGGAGGCTGAGGCAGAGAATTGCTTGAACCCGGGAGGTGGAGGTTGTAGTGAGCTGAAATCGCACCACTGCACTCCAGCCTGGGTGACAGAGTGAGACTCCATCTCAAAAAATAAAAAAAGAAAGTTATGGTCATATTATCTGGGCCTAAAAATCATTTAGAAATGTTTTTCCTAAAAAGACTCACATGTAATTTTTGGGGGGGTCATACTGTTAAAATTATCTATGATATTAGATTAAGGTTTGATAAACTAGTAGAAATTACTAAGTATATAACTTGAAATTATATAATTCGATGTGAGTTTTAATTTAGACTTTACCACATAATATGTAGAATCAGTTTATAAGTGGATTATCATTTTAATGACTGCCTTTTTTATTTTTATTTTTTTTATTTTTTAATTTTTTTGAGACACAGTCTTGCTTGATCACCCAGGCTGGAGTGCAGTGGTGTGATCTCAGCTCAGTGCAACCTCCACCTTCGCTGTTCCAGTGATTCTCCTGCTTCAGCCTTTCAAGTAGCTGGGACTACAGGCGTGCACCACCACCATGCCCAGCTAATTTTTTGCATTTTTAGTAGAGACGGGGTTTCCACCATGTTGGCCAGGCTGGTCTTGAACTCCTGACTTCAGGTGATCCGCCCGCCTTGGCCTCTCAAAGTGCTGGGATTACAGGCGTGACCTACCACGCCCAGCCAATGACTACTTTTTTAAAAATCCAGCTATGTTAACTATTAATAGCCTTTCAGTACTATCTATATACAATTTTTATCTTAACACACAAAAAAATAGACCATCAAGTATTATTCATATCAAGTAGTAGTAGTGTAGTGGGTTTTTTGAAATTATATATATGGCTGGGTGCGGTGGCTCATGCCTATAATCCCAGGACTTTGGGAGGCCAAGGCAGGCAGATCACTTGCCTTGCTGACATGTCAAAACCCCGTCTCTACTAAAAATACAAAAATTAGCCGGTTGTGGTGGCATGCGCCTATAGCCCCAGCTACTTGGGAGGCTGAGGCAGGAGAATCGCTTAAACCTGGGAGACGGAGGTTGCAGTGAGCTGAGACCACACCATTGCACTCCAGCCTGGGCAACAGGGCGAGACTCCATTTAAAAATATATATATATATATTCATTTTCTGTGTAAAATTTAAATTTTGGTAAAATCAGTTCACAACACCTTTTTTTTTTTGAGACGGAGTCTCACTCTGTTGCCCAGACTGGAGTGCAGTAGCGCATCTTGGCTCACTGCAACCTCTGTCTCCTGGGTTCAAGCAATTCTCCGGTCTCAGCCTCCCCAGTAGCTGGGACTACAGGTGCATGCCACCACGTCCAGCTAATTTTTGTATATTTAGTAGTATATTTAGTAGAGACAGGGTTTCAACATGTTAGTCTGGCTGGTCTCAAACTCCTGACCTCAGGCGATCCACTCGTCTTGGCCTCCCAAAGTGCTGGGATTACAGGCGTGAGCCACCATGCCTGGCACCACAACACTCTTTTACAGATATTCTGATAGATTTTCATTTTAAAAGTTTTGCATAATGAACATGTTCATAAATCTGTATCTTCAAGTAGTAGTCAATCTTGAATAGTTTTTTAAATATAATTATTTCTTATTATGGCTTTAGGCATTATTTTTAAACTTTTGACATTTTCCACAATATATTTGGTTTACTGAGAAAATATTAAAATTATTTGTACTATAAATAAAATATTATCGATTTGAAGAAACATGTATACTAGACTGAAATGAAGCTTTTGGCCTTTGGGAGATTACATAATTTTGAAGAGCTGCAAGTTTCAAGAAGGTAAAATACTAAGTAGAGAAAGGAGTGGATTAAGGAAATGTAGAAAATGGGAAGTAGGCAGCTCAGGAAAGGAATCTTTGTATGAGAGTAAAATTAGAAGAAAAATGGAGCTAATGCTATTTGTAGAATAGATTTTGAAGCATTTGGAGGCATGTCTATGTGTGCATCTGTCTGTTTTTGTATCTCTGACCTAACACAATAAAGTAATGGTAGTCTCAAGAGTTAAACTCATTGTATTATATGTACCTGACAGATGTTCTTTATTTGTTCTTACCAGACAGTACGTAGTGCTTCTTGACTTATATATTTCTGTTCACGCTTACCTATATCCAAATAACTTAGACGCTGCTGGCCTTATGTCTCATCTCTACTTCTGTTTCTGAGATTTTCCTTTGCATCACATGGCACAACCCCATGTGGCCCTAACCCCAGCCCAGTACCTTTCTACGTTTCTTCCCACTTTCCTCCCTCATTCTCTGCCTGTGTCTTTTAATACTGAAACACCTTCTTGTTCACATGGTGAATCTGTTCTGAGGATAGGAACTATTATTTTCAACAGTTACTCTTTCCATTCTCATAGTAAAGAAACACTCTAGCAATATATTCCTTTATCTTCAGTGCCACCTCTTATCCCCAGTAAACAAACACATTTTGAAAGCAATGTCAAATTTTAAGATGCATGTTATATTTAAGTATAGTTAAAGTAGTAGTATGCACAATGAAGTTATAGCTTTGACCTAATCTGGAAGTCACTGTATGAGAAGTTGGAAAATGTCACCTTTGAACAATGTTCCACTTACTATGGCTGGAAAATATTGTTAACTAGACATATTCTTGTGCAGTGGAATTGTGTCGTGTTCAGAGGCAATAAATCTCAAAGAGGCCCTGCTTATCTTAGTTTACTGCAGGTTGAATATCCCTAATTCAAAAAATGCGAAATCTGAAATGCCTCAAAATCTGTAATTTATCACCAGGTGTGGTGGCTGATGCCTGTAATACCTCCCCTGGGAGGCCGAGGCGGGGAGATCACCTGAGTTCGAGAGTTTGAGACCAGCCTGGTCAACACGGTGAAAACCGTCTCTATTAAAAATACAAAAATGAGCCGGATGTGGTGGCACACGCCTATAACCCCAGCTACTGGGGAGGCTGAGGCATGAGAATTGCTTGAACCTGGGAGGCAGAGGTTGCAGTAAGCCAAGATCATGTTACTGCACTCCAGCCTGGGCAGCAGAATGAGACGGTCTCGCAAAAAAAAAAAAAAAAAAAAAAAAAGAAAATCTGAAACTTAGTCGGGTGTGATGGGTCATGCCTATAATCCCAGCACTTTGGGAGGCCAAGGCAATATTGCTTGAGCGTAAGAGTTTGAGACCAGCTTGGGCAACATAGTGAGATAGTGAGAGCCCATCTCTACCAAAAAAAAATTGTTTAAAGCCAGGCATGGTGTTATGCACTTGTCATCCCAGCTATGTGGAAGGCTAAGACAGGAGGATCACTTCAGCCCGGGAGGTCGAGGCTGCAGTGGCCATGTTTGCACCACTGCACTCCAACCTAGACAACAGAGTGAAACCTTGTCTTAAAAAAAAAAACAAAAACAGCCTGAAACTTTTTGAGCACTGACATGACGTTCAAAGGAAATGCTCATTGGATCATTTTGCATTTTCAGATAAGGGACACTCAACCTGTATATGGAGCAAGTGATAATAGGGATATTGAAAATAAAACATTTATATACATGAAAAAATGAAATATTTTTGGTTACTAACTGCATGTGAGTGATGAACACTGGCAACAAGTAAAAGGTTCTGATAGTTTATAGTTTATCATCTACCTTGAGATGGAATTCAGAAAAAGTATTGGCAGAATAGATGGGTTGTTCTTAACCATCACAAATCTGTTTTGAAAAGACTCAGTTGATTAAAATGATTTTGTTAGTAAAATAATATACATAAAAATCTGTTGTTGTTTGGCTTACCAAAGAAGGTGTGTGTGGTTTTCAATCAAGGCTACAAACTACACCAAATGTTTCAGGATGAAAATGTTAAAATTGATTAGAAGAACAACTATCGTTAAATTTTTTAGACCTCATCCTAAACGATGGTGATTGGATGCTGAGGATTTGGTTCTTTTTTTCTGCTTTGAGGAGGGGTATGTGGTTTACTTTGTTTTTGATCATCAAGACTGATAGGATTAGGCCGGGCGGAGTGGCTCACGCCTGTAATCCCAGCACTTTGGGAGGCAGGCAGATCACTTGAGGTTAGGAGGACAATGTGGTGAAACCCCATCTCTACTAAAAATACAAAAATTAGCCAGCCATGGTGGCCCATGCCTGTAATCCCAGCTGCTCCGGAGGCTGGGGTAGGAGAATTGCTTGAACCCTGGAGGTGGAGGTTGCAGTGAGCCAAGATGACGCCACTGCATTCCAGCCTGGGGGAAAGAGCAAGACTCCTTCTCAAAAAAAAAAAAAAACTAATAGGATTAAAAACAAGTAAACCTTTATCTAGCCCAGAGATGGGGACAGAGTGATATTATTAGCACAGTAATGATCATTCAAAATTTGTCTTCTGGCCTGGCTTGGTGGCTCACGCCTGTAATCTCAGCACTTTGGGAGGCCAAGACGGGCGGATCACCTGAGGTCAGGAGTTTGAGACCAGCCTGCCCAACATGGCGAAACCCCGTCTCTACTAAAAGTACAAAAAGTTAGCCGGTCGTGGTGATGAGCACCTGTAATCCCAGCTACTCCGGAGGCTGAGGCAGGAGAATCACTTGAACCCAGGAGGCGGAGGTTGCAGTGAGCCAAGATCATGCCATTGCACTCCAGCCTGGGCCGTAAGAGTGAAACTCCATCTCAAACAAACAGAATTTGTCTCCTATAAGTGGTCAGTTCTTAAGGAAATTCTCTATTTTGCCCTAAAACATTCCTAGAACTAGATTTTTGTCATGGGGGCATTTTTGTGTGCATGTATATGGATGCCAGAATTGAAACTCCACTAAGCCTGGGTTTGAATTTGTTGCTACCACAAGGTGTTTGGTTTGTTTTTAATCTGAATCCGTGAATCTAGTTCAATAAATACTTGTTATTCGTGGTATTTGAAATTATAATAGTAGTCACCTTTGAATGAAGTATAGTATTTTTCTTTCTGTAAAATTTTGTAACAAAATGAATACAATTTAGAGGAGTCAGAATGTAAATAGTTTTAATGGTTGCTCATGGCTTTTTGAATATTAGATTATAGGAGCTATATTAAATGTAGGCAAAGAGAGACACAGAAATAAGAAAATAATGTATGTAAAGCAGTTCTGTGGGTACTGTAGTCTTTTCTGATACTGACCAGTAGGTTTTGAGAACTGTTGTGTTTGACTGTTATAATTTTAATCTCAAGTAGCCAATAGTGCTAATTTAGATGCCACATCTGAGTCATTAAATGTAGAATAGGAAGATTGATTTCTGAAAAACTGAGGTTATTTAAACCCATCAATCCAGACGTCTCCTTTTGAATATAATTTACCTTGATATAAATTTAAAATAGAGATATTTTTAGCAGGTGGTTGTTTGAAGGAATTCTGAGTAATTATTGAGGAAGGTCATTGAGACAGGTCAGCTAGAGGTGGACACAATAATTGGATGGATGCTACCTGGCTGGAAGATGGAGCTTACTGGTGGATCAAAATCTCAGAGGGAAACTTTCCATTTTTAGCTTAAATGTTTATTAAAATTACATACCAGTGAAGTACTGTATGCTGCTATTAGTAAAAATGACTTGATCATCAGTGATTATTATTATCCCACCAAAGAGATTGGTTTAAGTGATCGCTTGTATGTGAAATATACTTGGTTTGAGTGGTACTTAGTTAATATTTCTATACTTTAAAACATGAACTTTTTCATTATAATCAAAGTTAGAATACAGCACATCTTAAAAAGAAGTGGTTTCCCATTGTATGTTTATTTGCTGAAACTTATCTTTGTATTTCCTTAGGTTTATGTGAGATTAAGACCATTTTTCAGGGAATTCCTGGAACGAATGTCTCAGATGTATGAGGTAAACATGCTTAAGCTAATTACATATGTATTTTTATTTTATTCAATATAGTACCCATATTTAGACCATGTATAATGATTACTTCTTTTCCCCTGAATTTATAGATCATTCTTTTTACTGCTTCTAAGAAGGTGTATGCAGACAAGTTACTGAACATACTAGACCCTAAAAAGCAACTGGTCAGGTAAATTTAATTAAGAAATAGTGGAAATGTCTGTCACACTGATCTATGAAATTACTGATTCTATTTCATTTTAATGGCCATTTTCAGTTGGCTGCATATGTGTTGAATGGTGAATATAAATGAATTTTTTAAGCCCCTAAACTCTTTAAAAGAGTTCCTAATGATGGAACTCCAGACAGACGTTCTTTAAAGGATACAAAGATCCAGTGCCTTTATTCACTGTGACATCTATATCCTCATTTCTTTTGGGATTGGGGAAGACGGGGGTTGGGGGGGTTGTGTGGAATTTTTCCACGTTGTGCATGATGTTTCATCTCCATATGTCTCTGAGGTAATGCATGTTAATTTACTTTTTAATGGCATAGAGAAATAAAAATTATTTTTTAACAGAAAGGATCAAATTAAGCCCTTGCTTTTTTTGAAAGCAAATTTATCTTCCATGGAAAGAAAATGTTACATGAATCTGATTGGAAATTACAGTGGGTTTAGTCACTCAGGTTATCCTGACTGGACTCAGTTCCTTGTGTGTGCCCTGAGCCAGCAGATGCAGTGTTTTCCTGGTTAGTGGGAGTGCCGTGGTGATTTTAAAATATTATGATAATTAGTTCCATTATTTTGTCAGCTGAAGTGAGATAGTAAGACTGCAGCAGTCTTGCTGTATCCTTTAAGAGGAGGGGTTAATCTTTGAATTTTTGATCAAAAGCTGAGAGAGATGACACAAACGGCTCATAAAAGCTTTAATAGGGCCAGGCGCGGTGGCTCACGCCTGTAATCCCAGCACTTTGGGAGGCTGAGTCTGGCTAATCACCTGAGGTCAGGAGTTCAAGGCCAGCCTCACCAATATGGAGAAACCCCGTGTCTCTACTAAAAATACAAAATTTAGGTGGGCGTGGTGGCGCATGCCTGTAATCCCAGCCACTCGGGAGGCTGAGGCAGGAGAATCGCTTGAACCCGGAAGGCGGAGGTTATGGTGAGCCGAGATCGTGCCGTTGCACTCCAGCCTGGGCAACAAGAGCAAAACTCCATCTCAAAAAAAAAGACTTTAATAGCTGGGTTGGTTGGTTGGTTCGTTCGTTCTTTCTCTCTCTCTTTCTTTCTTTCTTTCTCTCCTCTCTCTTTCTCTATTTCTTTCTTTCTTTTTCTTTTTTTTTTTTTTTGAGGCGGATTCTCACTCTGTTGCCCAGGCTGGAGTGCAGTTTGCAATCTCTGCCTTCTGAGTTTAAAAGATTCTCCTGCCTCAGCCTCTCGAGTAGCTGGGACTACAGGTGTGTGCCACCACACCTGGCTAATTTTTAGTGTTTTTAGTAGAGATGGGGTTTCATCATATTGGCCAGGCTGGTCTTGAACTCCTGACCTCAAGTGATCCACCCACTTTGGCCTCCCAAACTGCTGGCATTACAGGCGTGAGCCACTGCACCCAGCCCAGCTGAGTATAAATTTTCTTAAATACTTTTCCCATGTTGTCTTACTGGAAAATCCTAAAGTGTATTTTCTGCTGTTAACAGTACCTTTATTATTCAGTGGTTGCAAGTATACTGAAAGGCTTTTCCTAATGTTCATATTTTGGAAGGTTTTTTATTCTAAATAAAGCTGTGGTATCTTTTGTTTTTTAATCTAAAGGGTCAAAATAAGTAAGCTGCAGTCACACAAATGGGAAATGGTATTTTCTGTTCACAAAAGTATATTGTAATTTATGCTAATTTTACCTCACTTTACTAAAGTATACCCAGTGATTTTGTTTTGATGACTTCATTCATTATAATGATTTCTGTTCAGCATCTCCAGTATTCCAGGGAACAGTGGTGAGCAACACAAGCTCTTCCCTCTTGGAGCTTTCATTTACTAATGAGGAACAAATGATAGTCATGTTATGACAATGTGTTATAAATTAACAATCCTCTTTTAAACTAGATTTATAAAACCTACACACTTGAGGGTTTCCATTTGTTCTATCTAGATGTATTTTGAGAAATCTGAAACAAAAGCTTGTTTTTTTGTTTGTTTGTTTGTTGTTTGAAACAGTCTTGCTCTGTCACCCAGCCTGGAGTGCAGTGGTGCGATCTTGGCTCACTGTAAACTCGGCCTCCCAGATTCAAGCGATTCTCCTGCCTCAGCCTCCTGATAAGCTGGGATTGCAGGCGCGCATCACCACGCCCAGCTAATTTTTGTATTTTTAATAGAGACGGGGTTTCATCATGTTGGTCAGGCTGGTCTGGAACTCCTGACCTCGTGATCCGCCCACGTTGGCCTCCCAAAGTGCTGGGATTACAGGCGTGAGCCACCGCGCCTGGCCAACAAAAGCGTTTCAAAGAGTAGATTGTGAGTGCTATAGGGAATTGTCTGTGTTGGTGACAAGGTAGACTCTAAGAAATTCCTATGATCTAGGCTGAGTGCCGTGGCTCACGCCTGTAATCCCAGCACTTTGGGAGGCCAAGGCAGGCGGATCACGAGGTCAGGAGTTCAAGACCAGCCTGGCCAACATAATGAAACCTCGTCTCTACTAAAAATACAAAAAAAATTAGCTGGGCATGGTGGCAGGCGCCTGTAATCCCAGCTACTCGGGAGGCAGAGGTTGCAGTGAGCCGAGAGTCTGCCATTGCACTCCAGCCTGGGCGACAGTGGGAGACTCCGTCTCAAAAAAAAAAAAAGAAGAAAAAAAGAAATTCCTGTGATCTCTAAATCTCATGAGTTTCTAACACAAGTCTGTACTCACATGGATGATCTGCTCTTTGATGACTGGTACAAATAGTTTTTTTCTAAAAATGCAAATACATGCTATACACCCTCAGATTCCTGAATGAATAATTGGAAGGCTTTTACTGTAATTTAATTAAAATAACTGTAGTATCCACGTACAGATTCAGTTGTCTCCTGTCTCAATGAGTTTGCCACTATCGGTGAAGAGGCATCAACAGTGACTTGAATTTACATGCTGTATCTGCCTTTCCAGTTTCCTCATATCTAAATGTTTATAGAAATAAAACAGTGAATCTTATTTAGGCCCAACCAAGGCTTGAATTAATTTACTTAGTCTTTTTTGTTGTTGTTTTTTCAAAGTAGAACTGACTAAACTTTCCCGGGGCCAGATGATCGTTTGACTGTGATTATTAAAGTTATTCCTTATAATAAGGGGGAAAGAACTGCTTATACATTTTGTCTGTTCGTTAAATTCTTCCTTTTTGCCATACCAACTGGCACTGATAATTTTAAGGTTGAGTTTTTATTTGTGTGTGTATATGTAGATTTTTATTTATTCTTGGTAGCACTGTGACAGATTTTGTGGGTAGAAAATACCAGTTTCTTGAAATTGCATAATTTAAAATACAGGTCCAAATAGGTCCTAGATTTTGTAAAATTGTTAGTGTGATTAAGACACAAGGAAGACAACTTACCAATTATTAATATATACAGAATAGAGTACTTCAAGGTAGAAAAAAATTATATGAAACAATTATTAGTAATGTTCAGAGACTAGTATTTTGAGTATAAATTGAGATTATAATAATCACTTTAGTATTGTAAAACCTTTAATAGCTTTCTAAAATGATGTAGTATTTTTCTATGTGAGTGAAATATCAGTTTACATTTATAATACTTGATACTTAAATCTGAATTCCTCATTTCACTTAATCTTTTTTCAAATGATCATACACATATACTAAAAGAGGGGTGTTTAGGAAAAGTTGAAATGATGGAATGTTTTGGTCTTAGGACCTTTTCTCAAAAAAAATAAGGAAATCTAAAAAGCATTTTTTCAAATGCCAACACAAAAACATTCCTTCTTATATTTTCTATTCTGGCATGTACAGGGATAGGGAGGCTGTGTGGTCCACTGGTTAGAGCCAAGGACTGGGAGCCAGGAGGATCCTGGGTTCCAATGCGGGGCTAACCACTGACTTACTGTGTGACCTTGGGCAAGTCACTTGACCTCCTTGTTCCTCAGTCAACCATCTGGAAAATTGGTTAAAAAGCAGGACCTCGCTGACAACCAGATGCTGCATCTGAGCTGAGCTTTCTTGGGTAAATAAATTACAAAAACAATTTAGAGTTTTTAATCCCCCTTTATAATTTAATAATAACATTTTGGGATAAACTCAAGTTCTTTAAGGCATAGTAATATTTGGTTGTAAGCTTTCAGTAATTGCTTAGAATTTTTATAGTAAAATGGCAGCCCAACGCTTAGACCCATATTTGTGTTTGAATTTCCTTCAAGAGAGAAAATCATATGGCTTAAACTATAAAGCCTATGGTGTATATATATGTGTATATGTTCTACTTTTTAGAAAGTTTTTTTTTTTTAATTTGTTTTTATTTTTATGTTTAGGCACCGGCTTTTCCGTGAACATTGTGTTTGTGTACAAGGAAACTATATAAAGGACTTAAATATTCTTGGAAGAGATCTTTCAAAAACTATAATAATTGACAACTCACCACAAGCCTTTGCATATCAGGTAGGAAGAAAGTTGATAAACAAACTCAGATTGGAAAAAATACAATGAAGACACATGCTGCCAAACAGAATATGATGGGAGAAGAAGAAGAGAATTTTCACTGGTGGAATTTCCCTTTAATGTGTCATTTTTTTAGAATTAGAAATGACAAAGTGGTATATTCCTTTTGGAAAATTTTTACTTAAATGACATGCAGCATAAATGAAGAAAAACCTGAGTAAGAAAACTATAAGATAAGCATCATTGAATAGCATTCTTATCAGTTATTAAATCAGTAATTAGTAATTTAATCATAAACATATTTGAGTACTATAGTTAGTTTATGTTCTTCTGGTCTGGTTATTTGGTTTAATGTTCTGAAATATTTTCTTAGACTATTTTGTCAATATATTTGTACCCTTTGTTAATATTTCTTTGACGTATAACTACAAATGTAGATGAGTCATCCTTCCTTCCTTTTGTTTTTTTGTTTTTTTTTGTTTTTGTTTTTTGAGAAGCAGTTTCACTCTTGTTGCCCAAACTGGAGTGGAGTGCAATGGCGTGATCTTGGCTCACTGCAACCTCCGCCTCCTGGGTTCAAGCGATTCTCCTGCCTCAACCTCCCGAGTAGCTGGGATTACAGGTGTCTGCCACCACGCCTGGCTAATTTTGTATTTTTAGTAGAGACGGGGTTTCTCCATGTTGGTCAGGCTGGTCTCGAACTCCCGACCTCAGGTGATCGCCTGCCTCAGCCTCCCAAAGTGGTGGGATTACAGGTGTGAGCCACTGCGCCTGCCTGATGAGTCATCCTTTCAAGGTATATTTTAGATTATGAATATGTCCATGTGATATGATTTCTTTTTTCTTTTTTTTGTTTTCCTTTTTTTTTTTTTGAGACGGAGTTTTGCTCGTCGCCCAGGCTGGAGTGCAGTGGCACGATCTCAGCTCACTGCAGCCTCCACCTCCCGGGTTCGTGATTCTCCTGCCTCCACCTCCTTAGTAGCTGGCACTACAGGTGCGCGCCACTATGCCGTGCTAATTTTTTTGTATTATTAGTAGAGACGGGGTTTTGCTGTGTTGGCCAGGCTGGTCTCGAACTTCTGACCTCAGGTGATCCCACCTGTCTCAGCCTCCCAAAGTGCTGGGATTACAGTTGTGAGCTACCACACCCAGCCCCATGTGATAGGATTTCTTAGATTTGCTTCACAATAAGCCAGTCCAGAATAGGGATGATGCAAAGTGGATTGGAGTATAAACTAGATTTGTCCTGTGTTTCAAAATGTCTATAATAAAAAGAAAACAAGTGAAAAGCTGTATATGATACTAAGTTATATTTAGGTCCTTACTTTTATTTGTTTACATTTAAAAATGTCTTTTAAGAATTTCATCTTGGTTCCTAGTTAAAATTATATCAATTATCCTCCATCTCATATACAACATTTAGCCTAAATTTTAAAACATTTTATCCCAGAGATTATTCACCATAAAATAAATATGGCTTGCATTCTTGTTTTTAGGCTCCTCTTCAATGAAATACCATTAATTTGTTAAGTTTCTACTATATTTCAAGTTATCATCCTACTCGATGGGAATAGAATAATGAATGGGAGATATGGTCACTGTATTTAAGGGGAAAAAAAAGTATAGGCTTTTCTATATTCTCTTTAGATTGGCAGTGTCCCATCATTCACAGTGCCTACCTAGCATTGTACTAATTGTAACTATTTCTTGAAGGAATAATGGAATATTTTATTTATATTAATGATCCTTATAAAATGTATTTTAATGGAACTTTCTTGTTTAGTTTTATATACTCTGAGAAGAAATGACACTGAAAAACCAATAGGCTTCAATTTATTTCCTTATCCTCTGTCTCTTGCACTATTGAGTTGTCAAAGAAAAGTCTGGTGACATTACTTTTCAAAGGAACTTTTAGATCAGTGTTTACTTAATAAATCTTTGTTTATTTTTTAACTTTTTCCAAACTAGGTAAAATATAAGTAAAAGAGGATTTAATTACTTATTTATTGTTTTAGCTTTCTAATGGAATCCCTATAGAAAGTTGGTTTATGGATAAAAATGACAATGAACTCCTAAAATTGATTCCATTCCTGGAGAAGCTTGTAGAACTGGTAAGTGTAGCTTATCTTTTTCTGTTGTGTTTTTGTTAGCTCAACTATATTGAAATAAATATTTTTAAATGTCTTTGCTTTGTGTGTACTGACTTATAAAGTCAACTGTGAGCCAGGTCACAGGTGCCATCATAGGCGCCTGTAGTGCCAGCTACTTTAGAGTCTGAGGCAGGAGGATTGATTGAGCCTAGGAATTTGAGGTCATACTAGGCAACATAGTGAGACTCCAGCTCTTTAAAACATAATGATGGGCCGGGCGCGGTGGCTCACGCCTGTAATCCCAGCACTTTGGGAGGCCGAGGCGGGCGGATCACGAGGTCAGGAGATCGAGACCATCCTGGCTAACACGGTGAAACCCCGTCTCTACTAAAAATACAAAAAATTAGCCGGGCGTGGTAGCGGGCGCCTGTAGTCCCAGCTACTCGGGAGGCTGAGGCAGGGGAATGGCGTGAACCCGGGAGGCGGAGCTTGCAGTGAGCCGAGATCGCGCCACTGCACTCCAGCCTGGGCGACAGAGCGAGACTCCGTCTCAAAAAAAAAAAAAAAAAAAAAAAAAACATGATGATGATGATGATGATAAAGTCATCTGTCATGGGAGATGAGGGCAAAGGTTGAAAAAGATTATGTGCATTTTCAAACTTTTTTGAGGCAGGGTCTTGTTCTGTCACCCAGGCTGCAATGTAGTAGCACAATCACTATTCACAGCAGCCTTGACTTCCTGGGCTCAATCTATCCTCCTGCCTCAGCCTCTTGGGTAGCTAGGACTATAGGCATGTGCGACCATGCCTGTCTAATTTTTGTATTTTTTGTAGAGATGGGATTTCACTGTGTTTCCCAGGCTGGTCTTGAACTCATGGGCTCAAACTATCTGCCCATCTCAGCCTCCCATAATGCTGGGATTACAGACGTGAGCCATCATGCCCAACCACATTTTCAGACTTTATATATTATATTAACATTATGCTTATCAGTACTTAAGAATTTATAGATTGAATGTCTTTACTATTTCAGTGGTCTTTCTCTTACAAATTGCTAAGCAGTTGTGTTAGAAATAACATTAAATTGGCCGGGTGTGGTGGCTGATGCCTGTAATCCCAGTACTTTGGGAGGCCGAGGCAGGCAGATCACTTGAGGTCAGGAGGTCGAGACCAGCCTGGCCAACATGGTGAAACCCCATCTCTACTAAAAATATAAAAATGAGCTGGGCGTAGTGGTGGGCGCCTATAATCCCAGCTACTCTAGAGGCTGAGGTAGGAGAATCACTTGAACCCGGGAGGCGGAGGTTGCAGTGAGCCGAGATTGCACCACTGCACTCCAGCCTGGGCAACAGAGTGAGACTTTGTCTCAAAACAAAACAAAACAAACAAACAAAATTAAATTTTTCATTTTGGTCTTATAATTCACATCTAGAATTAATGCTTATGCTACTGAAACTTTATTCTGGGAATTCTATTTCTATATCACATGGAACACTTAGCTTTAAAGACCAATGTAGAAAGTAGAATTCCCTTTTACCTGTCTTGGTTTGGCCTCTATTGCTTGATGAAACTTTGGCAGGATGTAGTGGTGCACACCTATTTAATCCCACTGTTTTTTGTTTGTTTGTTTGAGACAGGATCTTGTGCTTTCGCCCAGGCTGGAGTGCAGTGGCGCAATCTCGGCTCACTGCAGCCTCCGCCTCCCATGTTCAAGGGATTCTCGTGCCTCAGTCTTCCAAGTAGCTGGGATTACAGGCGCCCGCCACCACGCCTGGCTAATTTTTGTATTTTTAGTAGAGACTGGGTTTCACCACATTGGCCAGGCTGATCTCGAACTCCTGACCTCAGGTAATCTACCTGCGTTGGCTTCCCAAAGTGCTGGGATTATAGGCATGAGCCACTGCACCCAGCAGTAATCCCACCATTTTGGAAGGCTAAGGTGGGAGGATTGCTTGAGGCCAGGAGTTTGAGACTAGCCAGGGCAACATAGTGAGACCTCATCTCTACATACATACATACATACATACATACATACATACATACATACATACATACATACATAAGCAAGCAAGCTTGCTGGGCATTGTGGTGTGTGCCTATAATTCCAGCTACACAGGAGGCTGAGGTGGGAGGATTGCTTGAGCCCAGAAGTTTGAGGCTCCAGTGAACCAGGATTGTGCCACTGCATTCCAGCCTGGGTGAAAGAGCAAGACCCTGTCATTCATTCATTCATTCGTTCATTTATAAATAAACAAACAAACAAATCTTCTTGGGAGGCCAAGGTGGGCAGATAACCTGAGGTCAGGAGTTCAAGACCAGCCTGGCCAACATGGTGAAACCTTGCCTCTACAAAAATTACAAAAAATTAGCCAGGCATGGTGGTGGGCGTCTGTAGTCCCAGCTACTTTGGAGGCTGAGGCACAAGAATCGCTTGAACCCAGGAGGCAGAAGTTGCAGTGAGCTGAGATTGTGCCATTGCACTCCAGCCTGAGCAACAGAGCAAGACTCTGTCTGAAAAAACAAAAATTTAAAAAAGAAATCTTCAACGAAATTCTTTTCAAAATCTTAAATTTAACTGCATCTGTGTAGTATCTCTATTTGGCAAATAAAATATGTCATAAAATAAAAACTGGTATGTTTTCTCTGCAAGGTAAGAATGTATGTTATGAGGATCATATCTTTGAAATTTTATGCCTTTTTAAAAATTGTCTTTTTTCCACGCAGAATGAAGATGTTCGACCACACATCAGAGACAGATTTCGCTTGCATGATTTGCTGCCCCCAGATTAAGTACAAAGACTTGTCAAATCACTGAAGGGGGAGAGAATGCAGGACCCTTTTGGACTAAGACAAAAACATTGCCATTACTGTTGAAATTTTGCATTTTTGTACCCCGTCTTGCTTTTCTTATCTTTGGTGCCCAATAATAATTAAGGGTTACAGAAAGAGACTTTATCTATCTCAGATCGAATACATATAGTAGGTAGGCTAAAACAGAAGAGTCTTTAGAACTAGTGCAACTCCAGTGAAATTTTTTATGTACAGGACATCTGCAGTTTATAAAGAATTCTGTTTCTGCCACCAGCAGTTTGACCTGTAGTCACACAGGATTTTATGATAATAACAGAGATGAAAATGGACTTTTATTTTCTCTCTGTTTGGTGCTCTAAGTGGGTTTGTAGCCACTTTTCTGTTACTTTATGATTCTCATTTCAACAGGAATGGCCAGTAAAAGTTGTTTTATTTTTCCTGTTAAGGTTTATAACCTTTTTACATTTTTGACCTGTATTAGATTAGAATTTCATTATGCATTCCTTTTAGTTGAGGCGCTTCATAGTTTTCTGGAGATAGTCAATTTTTAGTTTTTTATTATACATTTGAATGGCCGTTTTCCTGCTTTGTCTGCCTGCACATTGTATATTTGTTTAAAAATATTCTCTACTTTTAGTCTATGTAAGTTTCATTTAGAAAGACATGCATTTATATTTTGTTTCTGTAATATTCTACTGTAGGTGAAATCTTTTCAAAAATCAAGAGACTGGGTAGATAAGAATATATGAATGACTAATATACAAAAGATTTAAACCATTGTGATGGCGTATATTCTCAAATGGTAATATCTTGCAATGGCACACAGATTTAATGGATAAAGGTATACCTCAGACTTCACTGTGCTCACAAATCTTTGAGGAGAAAGTTTGGTCACCTGTTTGGCTTGATTTAGTTACTGCTGCCTTTGGTTTTCTCCAGGAATGAAGTATTCAGCACAGTGACTCAGTATTTTTAGTTATTTTGCATGGGCTGGTAGTACCTCTGTTATGCTCTCAGTTACAATCAATTTAAAACTGTATAACAGTCTTGGTACCTAACAGTAGCTATGCATAATCCTGTGGCACAGTACACTCCCAAGCCACCAATGCAGTTAATATGCTCTCATAGTGGTTTTTCTATGCTATATGAAAATAGTCTTCAAGCCTTGGTTCTCTAATGCAGCTACCACAAGAGGTTGATATTTTTATAGTGGCGTGTAATCTCCTTTTCGGGAGGCTTTTTATGGAAGGTAGAATTTGTAAAAGTTCGTATGCTTTGCCTCTCAACTGCATTAACATGCCACAGGCTCAGACTGTTTTTGTGTAAAGGATGTCAAAGAACGGCACTTTTTCTAAAGAGAAGTTTGATATTTTGTATGCTTGTTAAGAAAGTACAGTATTGGAAATTAAAGGTGGACAACTGATAATTGAGGAGTATGTCAATTAATTTTTTATGTATATTACCTGTTTACTTGTACAACTTACTGTACAAATTACATGCAGCTTCATTTTCAAATGAATCCTTAAAATAAGGAAATCTTTTTAGGAAAACATTTAATTTTTGTATTTTTGATTTTAAAGGCATGAGTTATGTCAATTTTCAGTGTATTAATGAAGATTTTAACTTTTCATCAGGTTGAGTGTTTTCTTACTATATTATCTGTTGTGTATGTAGTTAGCATATTGTGTCACTGAACTGTTTAAAAATCTAGCATGTAGAGCAAGCCTGTTTTGTGGAAAATCCTTATTCATTAAAAAAATAATCATGGCAGATTTTCTGCAAAAAAAAAACAAAAGCATTTGCAATTCAGAATACTGATTTTTTTAATTTTATTTAAAGAAAGGTATTTTGCTTGCAGGAAAAAAATACTACAGATTCATTTTAATGAGAATCTTTGAAATGTATTTATCTTTAGGGCATCTGGGCATCTTTATGCTGTTTGTCTTCTGTCTTTCTTGAAATAAAATGTACATACGTTACCTTTACATATGCTCTTGCTCAAAATTGTGAACCTAGTTACATTTCTCCCTGCTCCCTTCCTTTTTATGCTCAAACAGCGAAACCCAAAACTTAAAAGATCTGAACTTTCAGCATGCATTCTGATTGCTGAAAGATTTCCTGATTTAGTGCATTCTCAAAAGGGCTTTCCCATAATCTAAAGGGAAATGTAAGCACCTATACTCTTGTGCCTGTGGGCACTTCAATAATAAAAACCAACTTTTTAAACTAATCATCTTTTATCAATGATAAAGTTGTTTTCAGTCCCACACTAGGAGAGTTCCTTTAAGTCAGCTGATCAAGCATAAGATACTTCCGTAAAGAAATAAACTAAGAAAATTTTTTATGGCTTGAGAAAATTCCTTGAGGCCAAATTAATATATTTTTCTTTGTTATTTTATTTGAGTCATTTTAAATTTGTTAATACAAAATTTAAGATAATTTACAGAGACAATTTATCCAGCTTCCTTCTACCTTAATACAATGTTTTGTCTTCCCATTATCCTCTCTTTTCTTTATCTGTTGGTAGATGTAAAAAACTTCCATTTAGTTAATCGGAGGTGTGTATTTTTTAAATTGAAATGTGCCCAGCCCCTTCAGCTCACACAGGAAACATGAACTCTTAAAAAACTGACTAGTAAATGCAGGAGAGGTGGATACCTGATGAGACACAGCGAAAGT